>NC_000017.11:53810980-54435980 GCF_000001405.40 Homo sapiens | reverse complement strand
CAGGTACCACTAGGGTACGAAAAAAAAACTCCTGCAGCTAGCCCAGTGTCTGCCCTAACAGCTGCCTAGTTTTGTGCTTAAAATCCAGGGCCCTGGTGGCATAGGCACTGGAGGAATTCTCCTGGCCTGCCAGTTGTGAAGAACATGGGAAAAGTGTGTTATCTGAGCCAGAGTGCACCGTTCCTCCTGGTACAGTCTCTCATGGCTTCCCTTGGCTAGGAGAGGGAAATCTCTCAACCCCTTGCACTTCCCAGGTGAGGTGGTGCCCCACCCTGCTTCAGCTTGCCCTTTGTGGGCTCCACCCACTGTCCAACCATTCCCAGTGAGATGAACCACGTACCTCAGTTGGAAATGCAGAAATCACCCACCTTCTGCGTTGATCTCACTGGGAGCTGCAGACCGGAGCTGTTCCTATTTGGCCATCTTGCCAGCCTCTCCTACATTAGAAAGAAGTATGTTTTTATAGATTGATGTAATATTTAAATAATATTTAAAGCAGTAAGAAAACTTTAATGATATTTTGTTAGTGGCAAGGTCAGCAGTAGAAGAGAAAAAAAGCATTCAGAAACTGCATTAATCCAAGTAGAGTTTCTGGGTCAAGAGAGGTGATAGACCTAGTGAATTCTGCACTCATCTGATCATATACATTGTACTGTGTTAAGTTCTACTCACCACTTTTTAAAACAGAAATAGATGAGCATGTGTTCATATGTAAGACAATTATTATATGTTAAGGAAGTTCTGGAAATAATATATAGACTATTTAATCCAAGGATATTTGGATAAAAAGGATAATTATTTTTAAGTATTTAAATAGCTGTAACATAAAAGAGAGAGTTCATTTTCATGTTTTCTTATGGCTGCATCTAAAGCTAATGAGTGACATTTATAAAAACTGAGCTTTTAGCTCAATATGGAAAGAATGTTTTAAAAATCAACACTTTCTAACAATGGATAAATCTAAAATAGCGGATGAATGATGATATACCTATGATATAACAGAAAGGATTTCTATGCAAAATTTGATGTAAGGAAGAATTACAAACCTTCTGTGTCCTTTTCTATCATAGATTATTATTATTCTAATAATTCATAACATGAAAGCTTGAATTCTTTAATAAAAGTGATAAATCTGCTGAGGGCAAAATGAATAAAATCTATTTCTATTTTTACTACTAACTAAAGTTGTATGTAAATTTAATATTTACTTGTTTTTATGTGTGACATATAACCACAGAGAGATATATTTCTAAAATATGCTAATCAAATATTAATAGTGCAGTACCTGAGCAATGCTACTACAAAAACAACATATTATCATAAGATCAAACTTACCAAGACAGTATTTATCTACCTATTTGTGTGATTCAGCACTGATGTATTTTCTGAGATTAAAAACAAATGAAAAAAAACACTAAAAAGTTGAAGATTTAGAACAAACCTTAAATCTTTAAAAGTTATAGTGGATTTTTTAGTACAATTAATCATAGGAGTTACAAGAGAATTTTCGTTGGCTGAGCAAGAGCCTGATAAAATCTCTTCCCACTTTTCCCAGTGTTTGTTCGTATCAGTTAATAACATGTGAACCTTGGTGCAGTGGGGAGAACTGGGAGAACAGTGTGGCATTCATCCTGCAACCAGCTACTTGGACTGCGTTTAAAACAGGAGACTGGTTAAATACCTGGACCCTGGAGCCAGAACATCTGACTCAAAATTCAAGTTATGTTTCTTCAAAACTAAGTGAACCTGGGCAAGTGGTGGAAGCTTTTATTGTCTCAGTTTTCTCATTTATAAAATATTTAAAAATTAAGAGAATAGATTCCATAGGATTGTTGTGACAGTCATAATTACAGTAATAGCTAATATTTATTGAGTGCTCACTATGTACTTGGCACAATTCTAAATGGATGGCCTGTATTGTTCATTTAATCATTATAACACACTCTAAAGTTGGTCAGTTTTTTTTTTCTTTTCCAAGTTGGGAAACTGAAGCACAGAGAGTTGGCAACTTATTAAAAGTAATACTATTAACCCAAAAAATCCAGCTTCAAAGATCACATTCTTAAGTATTACTCTCTAACCATATCAAGTAGGTCCTAGCACATGGTAAAGAACTCAATAAATTATAGCTAATATTACTTTCATTAGAGTGAAGACATGTCTTCACATTGTTCGGTTACTGAGCTTTATTAATATTTATTACCATAATTTAGAAATAAACGGGAGATATGGACAGAGAGGTGATGCTAGAACCCCTATGGCTGTGTCACTCTGCACGTATCTGATCTCATCTGGCAAACAGATTTAATGAGATTCTTTGTGTGACTCTAGGCACAAATGGAGCTACTTTGGATTCCAAGTAAAAAGGCAATAAAAGCCATCTGTCTCTTTCTGTTCGGAACTCTTTTAGGGACAACATGGCAGGTAGTGACAGTGGCAAAGCTTGACCAAGGGACTTTACAGCCACTGAGTATATAAAAGGGGGAGTAGAGTGAAAACCACATGGCAGTGGTTTCAACAGTGGTTCGTAAGCATGATTAGGGCACCACTTTTAGGACTTTTTGTTATAGCCAAAAGAGATATTGAGGTGAACGAATATTCATCAGATATATCAGTGGGGGCTCAAGCTGCCATAATTTGATCATTTAAAATAAATGTGGGTTCCACTTCCAGTGGATAGCTCAGAAAGCTCCACTCTCTCAAATAACAAATATGAAATCTGTTCCAAAAATAAAAAATAAATAACAAAACCTTCCCAAAGGCACCGGAGAGTGACAAAAAGCAGACAGACTATGGGGTGGAGATGGGCACAGGAATCGATACTGGGAAGGGAATGGCACTGGGGGAGTTTCCCATTTTCTTTGCTTCCATCCTGAGAAATGACAGTGTGTGCACATGGGGTGATAAAACTACAAGAAAGTCTGGTGTCATGTTGGCTCAAAGAAACAGAGGAGAAAGTTCAGGGCAACCACAGTTGTAGAAAAACAGGTTAGGAATCCTGGGGAGACCCACAGAGGGAAAGTCCAATAATTAGTGTATAAACTCTTCCCAGATATCGATGACCTCTGAATCACATCTGTGTGTGGTAGACTTTCAGTAACATAGCAAGGCAAAAAGGACAGAATTGAGATCAGGACTACTGCCCAGGAGAAAGAGTGTGCAGTTTAAATTTATCGAAGCAATTTGCTAGAACAAATACATCTACACTATATGCGGCAATATAAGAGAATCCAGAGTCTCTATAATATTAAATGCATATGTCCAGGATACCATACAAAACTTACTTAACAAAAGAAGAAATCAAAAATGGGAACCATTCTCTTAGGGGAAAAGACCAGTAAGAAAAATAATGATCTTGAAATGGCCAAGATGTTGAAACTACTAGACAAAATTTTAGAGAAGATGTTATAATTATGCTCAATAATATAAGGGAAAATATACTTAGAATGAATAAAAAGATAGAAATACAAAATTCAGGAATGGAAATATTAAAAATAGAATTTTTAGAACTGGAAAATACAATATTTGAAATTAAAAAAAAAAACTCAGTGAATAAGCTTAACAGCAAAATGGAAATGACAAAGAAAAAGTCCAATAAGTTTGATCAATGAACAGGAGAAAATATTCAATCTGAAGACAAAGAAAAAATACTGAAAAAAGTGAACAGAGCCTCAAAGGCATAACATTTGTTGTATCATATGTGAAATTTGAGTCCAAGGAGGAAGATAGAAAAAAAACAAGACAGAAAAATGTGAAGAAATAATGTCCCTCAAATTCCCAAATTTTGCAAAGACACAAATTTATAGATTCAAAAAGCTAGAAAGCTCTGAGCAGGATAAATACAAACAAAAATATTCCTAGGCACATGATATGGTTTGGCTGTTTTCCCACCCAAATCTCATTTCGAATTGTAGTTCCCATAATACCCACATGTTGTGGGAGGGACCCAGTGGGAAGTGATTGGATGATGGAGGCAGTTTCCCCATGGTGTTTCCATGACACTGAGTTCTCATGAAATCTGATGGTTTTATAAAGGGGTTCCCCCTTTGTTTGGCACTCATTTGCTCTCCTGCCACCCTGTGAAGAGGTGCCTTCTGCCATTATTGTAAGTTTCCTGAGGTTTCCCCAGCCATGTGGAACTGTGAGGCAATTAAACCTCTTTTCTTTATAAATTACCCAGTCTCGGGTATTTCTTCATAGCAGCATGAGAACAGACTAATACAGCATAATTATAATAAAACATCTGAAAACACAAAAAAGACACAAAAGAGTACATGCTGTATGATTTTATATGTGAAATTCAAAAAGAAATGAAACCAATCTGTGATGACAGCAGATAAGTTATTGTCTGGGGCCAAGGGTGAGGATAACCTCAAAAAAACATGAGCAGCCTTTCTGAAGTGCTGGACATATTTTATGTCTTGATTGTAGTGATGTTTATGCAATTGCATGTGTTGTCTAGATTCAATGAATCATGTACTTACAATGGGTGCATTATTTTTATATGTTATAGCTCAATAATATTGACTTTTAAAAAATGAAAGTAGGGTTTGGGAAAGTATCCTCCTAAACTGCAGCTACATATCAAGTATTCTAATAGTCAAACTATGCTCTTGCCTTCTTAAGGGACATTCAAAGTAGAATAAGAAAATATACTGATTAGCCATATTGGCTAATACACTTAGAGTATCATCAAGTCAAATGAAAAGTCCGTATGCATGCAGAAACAGTTTCGGGGAACCCAAGTTTGGTAGAGTAGCACATTTTCTGATTTGGTTTATATCAATTTGTTCAGAAATTTAGAAAAATTTTTTGTTATTGCTTTTCAACCATATAAATTTGTTTATCATTTGTATTAATGAAACCTTCCTGAAATCGTGCAGTCTTAAGTACAAGACTTTAAAACCCAATTTCTGTGCTAAAATCTTACCAAGGATATGAAATTTCTGTGCCAAATGCCTAGGATAATATTTGCAAATGTTGTAGTGTTTCAGTATCTTGCAAAATTAATATTCTAAGGAGTATGAATAACATTTTGAATCTAATCTCTGTGAGCATATATTATTGGCTATTGCTTACCCTTTTGTACTTTTGTTAGGGTCATTTTAAATATGTAATGACAAATTACGATTTCTATTAATGGGTTTAACCCTATAATTACATAGCTTGGAAATGTGTGATTATAATTTTGTGGAAGAAATAACTTAGCAATGTTCAGAAGTTTGAGAAAAGTTAGTATCAGTCTAAACATCTAGACAAACATTGCAGTTAATAAAAAATAAATAGAAATAATCTTATTTCATGGACATTGTCTAATAAGCTATTGGATATTTTAACTAAATACAGGTATGCCTGTGATATAAATAATTCATACATTTTAATTAAGTATAAGAAAATATTGGCAGGCATGGTGGCTCATACCTGTAATCCTAGCACTTTGGGAGGCTGAGGGAAGATCAGGCTCAATCTCAGGAGTTTGAGACCAGCCTGGGCGATACAGTGAGACTCTGTCTCAAGACAAAAAACAAACAAATAAAAGCTTAGGAAATAATAATAGATCTTCATAAATTAGTTGTGGTGTCTCTGAGAACAGGGACCATGCCTTTTTCATCTTTGTATCTACAGTAGTAGTTCAGCTGTCAGTTTTAGCTTAAAATCTAATGAGACCCACAGAAAAGTGTTTATCTGGAACACATTAGCTTTGCTGTCCACACACAAACAAAACCTTGTCCCATATTTTGTTTCAATGCTATTCCCTTAGTTTTTGTTCTTTAATATTGCTAAAAGAAATGACTATATTTGGAAAGCTCCAACAATTGTTGCAGAACAATTGTTGAAGGCATTGCCTATTTTGTTGTTCAGTGTACCTTATATAATATCTGAGAAAACAGATTGCTTTTATGCTTTCTTAGAAAACTTTCCCTAACTACACTTTCCTTTTATTAAAAATTAATAAATAGATAGATAAATAAGCTCAGGGCTTTTAAAAAATATGTAGAGACTAGATTTTCCATTTTTCCTATGATGTAAAATTACACTATACAAAAACATCCATTTCTTCTATCACCCCTACCTTAAGACCCTTCAGTGACATCCCATTACTTTTTTTTTTTTTTGAGATAGAATCTCACTCTGTCACCCAGGCTGGAGTGCGATGGTGTAATTGTGGCTAACTGCAGCCTCGACCACCTTGGCTCGAGCGATCCTGCCACCTCACACTCCTGAGTTGCTGGGATTACAGGCATATGCCACTGCACCTGGCTACCATTACTCTTCTGGTAAAGATAAATCTCCTTAGTATGGCCTCCATGACATTACATGTCCATCTGTCTTGACACATCTCACTCCTAGAATGCACTGCAGTTCTACATTCTCCTCCACTCTCCTGGTTCCCTCCTGCCCTCTGCCATCTGCCTTCTGCCTTCTCAATATACATGTATCACTTACCTTATGGTCTTGGTACAATCATCACTTCCTTAGAAAAGCCTTTATAGTCCCCCTGAGTAGATCAGATCTTTGGGTACATAGTCCCACAGAATCAAATATGTATCCTTCAAAGTCCTTATCACACTCTGTAGCTAAATACATGTTTTGTAATCATTTAGTTAATGTCCATTTTCCCATTATCCTGTGAGCTCTCAAAGGGCAGACAGGGACTATGTCCACCTATGCTCCCCTCAATAAACCTATCACTGAGTACAATACCTAGAAGTCAAACCACTCAAATCAATCTTTTTTTTTCTTTTCTTTTCTTTTTCCCTCCTTCCTTCCTTCCTTCCTTCCTTCCTTCCTTCCTTCCTTCCTTCCTTCTTTCCTTCCTTCCTTCCCTCCTTCCTTCCTTCCTTCCTTCCTTCCTTCCTTCCTTCCTTCCTTCCTTCCTTCCTTCCTCTCTTTCTTTCTTTTTTTGATGGAGTTTTGCTTTTGTCATCCAGGCTGGAGTGCAATGGCATGATCTCGGCTCACTGCAATCTCTGCCTCCCAGGTTCAAGCAATTCTTCTGCCTCAGCCTCCCAAGTAGCTGGGATTACAGGCACCCACCACCATGCCTGGCTAATTTTTGTATTTTTAGTAGAGATGGGGTTTCACCATGTTGGCCAGGCTGGTCTCGAACTCCTGACCTCAGGTGATCCACCTGCCTCGGCCTCCCAAAGTCCTGGGATTATAGTTGTGAGCCACTGCCTCACATAAATATTTCTTAACTGAAATAATGAATGACTGCAGGAAATGTCTTTATATGGACATTTCAACACAATTATTCATGTAGGATACATTCTTAGATGTGGAAGTAAGTCCCTTTTTTTTCCCATTACTCAGTATGTGTGAGCTCCTGTATCAGACTTTGCAGTGAGTAAAAAGGCTTCTCTGACCTCAAGAAGCTTATAGCTTTGTAAGAAGAGTAAAAGTAAGACTCAAGTGATCATAGTGCCAAGTAGGTTTTGATAAATGCCACAGAGATGGTTCTACATTACTCAATATACTTCCCAGTGTTTACTTTGGTGTCTGAGTACATAATATGGTACTAGTGTTGAGGACTTTGATTTCTGATATAATATAAATCTTATAGGTATTTTTAACCTGGAATTATCTCTTAACTCTTCAGGTTTTTCATAACACCCTTCTGTGGAAAAAACATATACAAAAGAAACAAAAAAGGAAACAACAGACAGCTTTCCTATTAAAGTTTTGAGTAAAGAAAAGGCAAGTGCTTTGAATAAGTAGCTCTTTAACATGGGCATGACCTACTTCAAATTAGCGACTCACCCAGTAATGCTTCATTGCAATTGCTGCTGTTTGTTTAAAATCCACTGAGCCAGCTTTTATAAATTATCCCTTAATATGTTCTGGACATTTTGGTTTGGGAAGGATGCTCACTTTCCTCAAGGAGCTAATGAAAATTCAGTGTTTGCCTATTCCCTGTACCTTGTTGCAAAAATCAATGCCTGAAATATAATAGCTGCATAGTGATGATCTGTGGTTCTGGTGCCTTCACAAAGCTGAAAATTATAGCTCAAAAGGCAATCTTTCTTTCTCTCTTCTGAAAACTTTAGATTCACACATCTGCTGCCTTCTTGACCTTGAGCCTTCTATCTTCTTACCAGACAAGAATGTTTTCTTCTTTCTTTTGTAGAAGGTGCTGACTCTTCCTGGAAGCTAGGCCCAGAGTGTAGCTACTCACTGAACACCTGTGGCTAGATTTGAAATCTCTACAGTCTCCCAGACTGAAGAACTGTGCAAACTGAAAATTAAAAAGTAACTTTCTGACTTTTTAGCAATAAATTCTATTTGCTGGTGTGAAAACACAACAGTAGCAATGTTTACTAGGTCAACAAAACCAAGGGATTTGTTTCTTTTATCGGAGTTTGTGGAGTAAGGATATCTGCAGAAGAAGAGTGAGAAGTAAGATTGAGGGAGCAAAAATAGAATATTGGCTCCATCTCTTCAATTCCTTCTTTTAAAATAGGAGTTTTAAAACCTGAGGTCCAGGTAGCTTTACTGAGGACCTGAGACCAAGGATAGGTCTTAAGGGGTGTTTAAACCATATGCAGGGTTATAAGCTTAGGTAAACTGAATGAATACTTTGATTTCATCAGATTTCATAGGGATAGTAAGAGGTCATAAAACAAAAAAGGAATTATAAAATAAAATAGAAATAATGAAATAAAATAAATAATAGAACTACCTCATAAAGTTCTGAAAAAAATTCTTGTAACTACTACTGATGTTAGTGATTAGCATTTATTTTTGTTTTGTATAAGATGGTCATAAGGAGGCTGGATATGGTGGCTCACACCTGGAATCCCAGAGCTTTGGGAGGCCAAGGTAGGAGGATTGCTTGAGGCCAGGAGTTTGAGATTAGCCTAGGCAACAAAGCGAGACCCCCATCTTTATTTAAAAAATCAAAAAATTAGCCAGGCATGGTAGCACATGCCTGTGGTCCCAGCTACTTGGGAGGCTGAGGTAGGAGGACTGCTTGAGCGTAGGAATTTGAAGCTACAGTGAGATGTGATTGTGCCACTGCACTCTAGCCTGGATGACAGAGCAAGACCCTGTCTCAAAAAAAAAAAAAAAAAAAGATGGTCATAAGGGCAACTAGTACTAGCCCAGAGAAAGAAAGATTAAGAAGGAAGGCAATATCTGTTCTCTAATATTTTTAGAACTATATTGATTGATGAAAGATTTGAATATTCCCAAGAGGGGAAATTGAGCTAATTAGTAAAATTATATTGAGATAGCCCTGCAAAGAACTTCCAGAACTCATGTCTCAAAAGATGGAATAGACTGTTTCTGTTAAAAATGAGTGTTATTTGTCACTGGAGTTGCAAAAACAGTTATTGAATAATTCAGAAAGGTGGAGAAACTTGCCAAAGCTCACATAGCTCATGAAAATCAGAATTAGGATTAAAACTTCAGTCTGATCTAAAAGCTCTTGCCAAACTTTTGAGAGGTGCTGATTCTTTCTTGACATCACACCATTAAAGGGGCATACACTTGCCTACAGGTGGCACTGTTGAACAATCTGTTGAATGACTTCATTGCTAAATTCCATAAATATGTATATTCTCTTGAAATCATAGTCTTAGATTCTTAGAATCTGCTCAGGATAATGTATAATATTCCTTAAACGCAATAACCAAAAGTTGTTCTTATTCCTATCATAGCTGCTGCTTGATTGGCTGGTTCAACTCCTGAATTTTAAACATCCATCAAAGCACAAATGACCCACTGCCAGTCCCCTCATTAGCCAGTGAAGAAATGCTACCAGGTTCCCCTTAATAAAGGACATTGTTCCTTCATCACATTCTTCTGTTTCTCCCTGTGGTGTTTGAGAAGAGGTAGCAGCATATCTAGTCAATTGTTGCCTGGATGAAATTACCCTTACGTCCTGGTTTCCTGCTTATCAGCCAACTGAAGAGAACTCTTTTGTTGTCATGTAGAAGTGGGTGGATCACTTTCTTCTATTTCTCAAGAAATCATTCACATTTGGGATGCTAAGCAATTAGAGCATCTAATTCTAATGTATGTAACAAACCTCCTGTTTCACCTCAGCACAGGCTCATTATGTCGTGCAAGACTGCTGCATGTTGAATTTGCACCTTCGGTAATTAGTACAGCTATTCTGCCAGCCCTCCTTCCTGCCTTTGCCAACATTTTCTGTGTTAGCAAACAAGCATCAATCACCAACCCGATGAGCAAAATTAAGGCCTCTCTGTGTAACTCAATTCACAAACTAGACTGAAATTCCAGGTTTAAGAACTCATTTTTGCCAACATTGCAACTACATGTAACAAAAATAGCAAGAGTGAACATAATAATAATGACTTTTACTGAGTACTTACTGCATGCCAGCACTGTGCTAAATGCTTTACATGGCTTGTTTCACGTAATCCTAATAAGAACCCTAAGGGGAGGTCCTCATATCTGCCCACTTTATAAATAAAAAAATGAGCCACAGAGAAGATAAATAACATGCCCAAAGCCATAGAGCTGTCAAGCGTTGGAGCCAGAATGAGATGACAAGCATCATCTGCCAGTTCAACATGGAATTGTAACCTTTTGGGAAAAAAAAAAAAAAAAAAGCTTGGATTCTCTGACCCAAAGCTGACCAAGTTACCACTGAGTCAGACACTCATTACCCAGAAAAGGAGCATGGTCAAATGAGATCTGTGTTGGAAGTCGGGAAGGCATGGGAAATTTCCCAGGGTCTTGGAGACTTTCTGAAAGGGGGTTCAGGTGAATAAAGAGGCATAGGGTAGTTGAAGAAAAGAAATAGAGACATTTCATTGTATTTTTCAATTGATGTCATTTAAATTTATCTCTACACTGGGATGCATCCCTGCATAGGAGTTCTGTGTATGTGTGTGTGTGTGTGTGTGTGTGTGTGCATGTGCATGTCATGCTATTGTTGCTCTTATTATCATGGGGATGGGGTGAATCTTAAGGAGAGAATGTGTGTAATTGTCAACCAGTCTCCAACTTTGCCACTGAGCCAGTCTGTGATCTCTGGCTCTACTTTCAGTGAGGGGTTTTGTCTTCATTCTTGTGATCAAGTGCCACGACTGTCCTGGTTCTAGCCACTTTGTACCTGACCTGTCCTTTTGTGCCAAATTTGCTTTTTTGAACCATCCAGACCTTTTCATAATGACCTGGTTCTTGAAATTAAAAAAAGATGAAGTTAAGAATAGTGATTAGATAAACTTTGCTAAGGTGAATTCTATTAAAAGGACAGACATTCATTTTGAAATTATGTTATCTTATTTTTCTTTCTGGCACACAATCCCGACTTTCATACCAACCTACTTGCTGAATATGGCAAGTTTTTAGATTCTCAACCACTGTGTTCTACATGCTTATTTATTCACAAATAGTTTTTCTTGTTGTTGAAGCACTCTAATGCCAATGACAACTGTAGCCACTGCTACTTACTAAACAATTGTTAAAATAAGTTGCTGAAGCCTAATGCCTAGCAAGACAGTATTTCCAGTGGTTAAAACTCTATAGTTGGACTCTCTGGATTAAAACCTCTGACCCCAGTGAGGCTAGCTCTGGAATCTTGGGCATTATATTTAATTTATATAAATTTTTTTTAATAAATTTGAAATTTTTCTAATTTTTAATTTTTTATTCCTGTAGGTTATTGGTGAACAGATAGTGTTTGGTTACATGAGTAAGTTATTTAGTGGTGATTTGTGAGATTTTGGTGCACCCTTCAGCCAAGCATTATACACTGAACCCAATTTGTAATCTTTTATCCCTCAACCCCCTCCCTCCCTTTCCCTGGAGTCCCCAAAGTCCATTGTATCATTCTTATGACTTTACATGCTCATGGCTTGGCTCCCCCTTATGAGTGAGGACATATGATGTTTGGTTTTCCATTCCTGAGTTACTTCACTTAGAATAATAGTCTTCAGTTCCATCCAGATTGCTGCGAATGCCATTAATCTGTTCTTTTTTTATGGCTGAGTAGCATTCCATCATATATATATATATATATATACATATATACATATATATATATATATATATATATATATACATGTATCACAATTTCTTTATCCACTCATTGATTGATGGGCATTTGGGCTGGTTCCATGTTTTTGCAATTGCTAATTGTGCTGCTATAAATATGCATGTGCAATATCTTTTTTTGTATAGTGACTTTTCTTCCTCTGGGTAGATACCCAGTAGTGGGATTGCTGGATTTTAGTTCTTTAAGAAATCTCCACACTGTTTTCCATAGTGGTTGTACTAGTTTACATTCCTATCAGCAGTGTAGAAGTCTTCTCTTTTCACCACATTCACCCCAACATCTATTATTTTTTGATTTTTTGGTTATGATCATTCTTGCAGTAGTAAGGTGGTATCACATTGTGGTTTTGATTTGCATTTCCCTGATCATTAGTGATGTTGGACCTTTTTTCATATGTTTATCGGCCATTTGTGTATCTTCTTTTGAGAATTTTCTATTCATGTCCTTAGCCTACTTTTTGATGGGATTGTTTGTTTTTTTTCTTATTCATTTGTTTGAGTTCCTTGTAGATTCCAGATATTAGTCTTTAGTCAAATGTATAGATTGTGAAGATTTTATCTCACTCTGTGGGTTGTCTGTTTACTTTGCTGTCTGTTCCTTTTGCTGTGCAGAAGCTCTTTAGTTTAATTAAGTCCCACCTATTTATTTTTGTTGCATTTGCTTTTGGGTCATGAAGTCTTTGCCTAAGCCAATGTCTAGAAAGGTTTTTACCATGTTATCTTCTATAATTTTTATAGTTTCATGTCTTAAATTTAAGCCTTTGATCCATCTTGAGTTGATTTCGGTATAAGGTGAGAGATGAGGATCCAGTATCATTCTACATATGGCTTGCCAATTATCCCAGCACCATTCGTTGAGTAGGGTGTCCTTTCCCCACTTCATGTTTTTGTTTGCTTTGCTGAAGATCAGTTGGCTGTAAGTATTTGGGTTTATTTCTGGATTCTCTACTCCATTCAATTGGTCTAGATGCCTATTTCTATGCCAGTACCATGCTGTTTTAGTGACTATGGCCTTATAGCATAGTTTGAAGTCAGGTAATGTGATGCCTCCAGATTTGTTCATTTTGGTTAGTCTTCTTTCACTATGTGGGCTCTTTTTAGTTCCATATGAATTTTAGGATTTTTTTTCTATTTCTGTGATGAATGATGGTGGTATTTTGATGGGAGTTACATTGAATTTTTAGATTGCTTTTAGCAGTATGGTCATTTTCACAATATTGATTCTACCCATCCATGAGCATGGGATGTGTTTCCATTTCTTTGTATCATCTATTATTTCTTTCAGCAGTGTTTTGTAGTTTTCCTTGTAGAGGTCTTTTACCTCCTTGGTTAGGTATATTCCTAAGTATTTTTTTTTTGCAGTTATTGTAAAAGGGGTTGAGTTCTTGATTTGATTCTCAGCTTGCTTGCTGTATATAGCAGAGCTTGCTGGTATAGCAGAGCTACTGATTTGTATACATTAATTTTGTATTCTGAAACCTTGCAGAATTCATTTATCAATTCTAATAGCTTTTTGAAGGAGTCTTTAGGGTTTTCTAGGTATATGATCATATCATCAGCAAAAAGTGACAGTTTGACTTCCTCTTTACTGATCTGGATGCCCTTGATTTTTTACTCTTGCCTGATTGCTCTGGCTAGGCCTTTCAGTACTATGTGGAATAGAAGTGATGAGAGTGGGCATCCTTGTCTTGTTCCAGTTCTCAGAGGGAATGCTTTCAACTTTTCCCCATTCGGTATTATATTGGCTATGGGTTTGTCATAGATGGCTTTTATTACATTGAAGTGTATCCCTTGTATATCACTTTTGCTGAGGGTTTTAGTCATTAAAGGGATGCTGGAATTTGTCAAATGCTTCTTCTGCAGCTATTGAGATAATCGTGTGATTTTTGTTTTTAATTCTGTTTATGCGATGTATCACATTTATTGACTTGTGTATGTTAAACCATCCTGTTTCCCTGGTATGAAACCCACTTGATCATGGTGGATTATCTTTTTGATATGCTGTTGGATTCAGTTAGCTACTATTTTGTTAAGAATTTTTGCATCTATGTTCATCAGGGATATTGGTCTGTGGTTTTCTTTTTTTGTAATGTCCTTTACTGGTTTTGGTATTAGGATGATACTGGCTTCATAGAATGACTTAAAGAGGATTCCCTCTTCCTCTATCTAGTGAAATAGTGTCAATAGGATTGGTACCAATTCTTTGAATGTCTGATAGAATTCAGCTGTGAATCCATCTGTTCCTGAACTTTTTTTGTTCTTGGTAATTTTTTAATTACCATTTCAATCTTACTGCTTGTTGTTGGTCTGTTCAGGGTTTCTAATTCTTCCTGATTTAAGCTAGGAGGGTTATATCTTTCCAGGAATTTATCCATCTCCTCTAGGTTTTCTAGTTTATGCATGTAAAGGTTTTCATAGTAGCCTTGAATGATCTTTTTTATTTCTGTGGTGTCAGTTGTAGTATCTCCTATTTTGTTTCTAATTGAGCTTATTTGAGTCTTCTCTCTTCTTGGTTAATCTTGTAATGGTGTATCAATTTTATTTATCTTTTCAAAGAACCAGCTTTTTGCTTCATTTATCTTTTGTAAGTTTTTGTTTCAATTTCATTTAGTTATGCTCTGATCTTTGTTATTTCTTTTTTTCTGCTTAATTTTGGTTTGGTTTGTTCTTGTTTCTCTACTTCCTTGAGGTGTGACCTTAGATTGTCTACCTGTGCTCTTTCAGACTTTTTGATGTAAACATTTAAGGCTACGAACTTTCCTCTTAGCACTACCTTTGCTGTATCCCAGACGTTTTGATAGGTTCTGTCGCTATTATCATTTAGTTCAAAGAATTTTTTAATTTCCATCTTGATTTTACTGTGGACCCAATGATCATTCAGGAGCATGTCATTCAATTTCCATGTATTTGCATGGTTTTAATGTTCCTTTTGAGGTTGATTTCCAATTTTATTCTACTGTGGTCTGAGAGAGCACTTGATATAGTTTCAATTTTATTAAATTTTTTGAGACTTGTTTTGTGGCCATTCATATGGCCTATCTTGGAGAAAGTTCCATGCACTGTTGAATAAATGTATATTCTGTGGTTGTTGGGCAGAATGTTCTGTAAATATCTGTTAAGTCCATTTGTTCTAGGGTATAGTTTAAGTTCATTGTTTCTTTGTTGACTTTCTGTCTTGATGACCTGTCTAGTGCTGTCAGTGGAGTATTGAAGTCCCCCACTATTACTGTGTTGCTATCTATCTCATTTCATAGGTCTAGTAGTAATTGTTTTGTAAATTGGGGAGCTCCAATGTTAGGTGCATATATATTTAGGACTGTGATATTTTCCTGTTGGACAAGGCCTTTCATCATTATATAACGTTCATCTTTGTCTTTTTAAACTGCTGTTGCTTTAAAGTTTTCTATGTCTGATATAAGAACAGCTACTCCTGCTTGCTTTTGGTTTCCATTTGCATGGAAAATCTTTTTCCACCCCTTAACCTTAAGTTTATGTGAGTCCTTATGTGTTAGGTGAGTCTCTTGAAGGCAGCAGATGCTTGGTTGGTGAATTCTTATCTATTTTGCAATTCTGTATCTTTTAAGTGGAGCATCTAGGCCATTTACTTTCAACATTAGTATTGAGATGTGAGGTACTATTCCATTAATTTGATATTTGTTGCAGGAATACCTTGTTTTTTTTTTTTTAATTGTATTTTTGTTTTATAGGTCCTGTGAGATTCATGCTTGAAAGAGGTTCTGTTTTGATGTATTTCCATAATTTGTTTCAAGATTTAGGGCTCCTTTTAGCAGTTCTTGTAGTGCTGCATTGGTAGTGGTGAATTCTATCAGCATTTATTTGTCTGAAAAAGACTGTATCTTTCCTTCATTTATGAAGCTTAGCTGGATATAAAATTCTTGGCTGGTAATTGTTTTGTTTAAGGAGGCTGAAGATAGGGCCCCAATCTCTTCTAGCTTGTAGGGTTTCTGCTGAGAAATCTGCTGTTAACCTGATAGGTTTTCCTTTATAGGTTACCTGGTGCTTTTGTCTCACACCTCTTAAGATTCTTTCCTTCATCTTGACTTTAGATAACCTGATGACTATATGTCTAGGTGATTATCTTTTTGCAATGAACTTCCCAGCTGTTCTTTAAGCTTCTTGTATGTGGATGTCTAGGTCTCTAGCAAGGCTGGGTAATTTTTCCTCAATTATTTTCCCAAATATGTTATTCAAACTTTTAGATTTCTCTTCTTTCTCAGGAACACTGATTATTCTTATGTTTGGTCATTTAACATAATCCCAAACTTTTTGGAGGCTTTGTTTATTTACTTTTTATTCTTTTTTCTTTGTCTTTGTTGGATTGGGTTATTTGGAAACCTTGTCTTTGAACTCTGAAGTTCTTTCTTCTGCTTGTTCAATTCTATTGCTGACTTTCCAGCACATTTTGCATTTCTCTAAGTATGTCCTTTGTTTCCTGAAGTTGTGATTATTTTTTATTTACTCTATCTATTGAAGATTTCTCCCTTCCTATCTTGTATCATTTTTTAAAAAAATTTCCTTAAATTGGACTTCACCTTTCTCTAGTGCCTCCTTGATTAGCTTAATAATCAACCTTCTCAATACTTTTTCTGGCAATTCAGGGATTTCTTCTGGGTTTGGATTCATTGCTGATGAGCTAGTGTGATTTTTGGGTGATATTAAAGAACCTTGTTTTTTTTACATTACTAGAATTGTTTTTCTGGTTCCTTCTCATTTAGGTAGGCTATGTCAGAGGAAAGATTGGGTGCACGAGGCTGCTGTTCAGATTCTTTTGTCCCATGGGGTGCTCGTTGATATAGTACTCTCCCTCTTTTCCTAGGGATGTGGCCTTCTGAGAGCTGAATTGTAGTATTTGTTATTTATATTCTGGATCTAGTCACCCAACAGGTCTACCAGGCTCTGGGTTGGTACTGGGGGGTGTCTGTACAGAGTCCTGTGATGTGAACCGTCTTCAGGTCTCTAAGCTGTAGATATCAGCACCTGGTCTATTGGAGATGGCAGGATAGTGAAATGGACTCTGTGAGAGTCCTTAGTTGTAGTTGTTTAATGCACTAGTTTTGTCCTGGTTGGCCTTCTGCCAGTTGGTGGTGCTTTCAAAAGAATATCAGCTATGGTAGTATAGGGAGGATCAGGTGGTGAGTGGGGCCCTAGAACTCCCAAAAGAATATGCCCTTTGTCTTCAGCTACCAAGGTAGGTAGGGAAGGACCATTAGGTGAGGGTGGGGCTAGGCATGTCTGAGCTCAGACTGTCCTTGGGCAGGTCTTCCTGTGGCTGCTGTGGGGCATGAGGTGTGGTTCCCAGGTCAATGGAGTTATGTTGCCAGGAGGATTATGGCTTCCTCTGCTGTGCCATGCAGGTTGTCAGGAAAGTGGGAGGAAAGCCAGCAGTTACAGGCTTCATCCAGCTCCCATGCAACTTAAAAGGCCAGTCTCACTCCCACTGTGCCCCCCTGCCCTAACAGCACCAGGTTTGTTTCCAGGCAGTGGGCCAGTGGGGCTGAGAACTTGCCCCAGGCTACCAGCCTCCTGGCTGAGAAAGCAAGCAGGGCTTTTGTACCTCCCTGCCTGTGGTGCCTGCACACTGGATTCATGTCCTCCCCTGAGTTCTGGCCAGGAAACTTTGCATTCAGTTGGGATTGTTACAAGTTCAGCTGGAGGTTTCCTTCTCCCTGTGGTCTTTTCCCAGTTACTCTGGTAGCCCTTCCCAAGGGCCCCTGTGAGACAAGTCAGAAATGGCTTCCCTGTGAAACTAGAGAGTCCACAGGGCTTTTCCCATTGCTTCCTCTACTCCTGTATTTCTCTCGGCTCTTTAAATTGTCTCAGCTCCAGGTAAGGTCAAATCCTTCCCCTGTTATCTGGACCTTCAGGTTCTCCAGTGAGGGTGTGTGTTTGGGGGCAGACAATCCCCCTTTCCAACTTTTAGTATGGGCACTGACAGTATTTAGGCTATCTACTGGGTCTTGCAGGAGAAATCCACTTCCTTCAAAGGGTCTGTGGATTCTCTCAGCTTTTCTGATATCTTCTTTCAGTAGTTCCTGGAACAAAAGCTCACATTGCAGGTATCCAAACACTGCTCTGTCCTCCCAAGTGGGAGCTGGAATTTAGTCCTGCCTTCTATCTGCCATTTTTTTCAAAAGTCATAATTTATCTAAATCTTGACTTTAATATCAATAAAATGAGAATGCCACTATCTACCTTATAAGATTATCATTAAGATTAAATTAGATAATTCATGATCAACTTAGTACAACAAATACAATTCAAAGCATCTATATAATCTTAAGATAAAAAATATTGAGGTACTTAGACCCAAATAAGTTAAAAGTTTAAATAGTGTTGATCATAGTTTTTTTGCATGCACATTTTAAAATCAATATGGTATCTACTAATAAAGAAACAACACTTTTCTTGAATTCAGTGTATTAGGCCTGTGTGACAATACAGTATATGAAATTCCCAGCATGTTCTGGAACCTAAACTCTATATTGCTGTGCTTTCTAAACTAATTTTAATGCAAAATATTAAGAAAAAAATGTTCATTACATATTTTTTTTAAATCATTTAACAAAGTTGAATGACTTTCCTTGTTGGAATTACTCAGTCTCTAAAATTCAAATGTGCATTGTGAATAGCCAAGATGGGAGTTTGTATATGAAACATTACACATGTGCTTTTGACCAAGTGGTTACTTTCTCAAAGGAGACATAGAAGCCAGTTTGGGAGTGCAGCTGGATTCCCATGAGTCCTAGTAGGTATGTCAATTTCCAGCTTTGACTCCTCTTAACCTGGCCTAATTTATAGCACTTACATCTGTTGTTCTGGGCTATTTCATAAAACATGCATACATAAAGTACATTAAGATCTTACATTATTTGATTCAGTTCAAAAACTGAATGTTCAAAAGTATAATTATTTGATCCTTTATGAGCCAGTAGTAATAGTATGGGCCAGTGATGGAATATAAAATAATCTAAAAAAGATTCTTATTTGGAAGTGGTAGTACGAGATCATAGGCCATCAGAGCCAGAGGATGTCATTACTTGTTCTTTCCTTCCTCCAAATTAAACTCTTTTTTTCTTTAACTTTTAAGTTCAGGGGTAGATGTTCAGGCTTGTTAACATAGATAAACTTGTTGTCACAAGAGTCCGTGTGAAGAGAGTCCATCAACAGGCTTTGTGTGAGCAACAAGGCTATTTATTTCACTTGGGTGCAAGGGGGCTGAGTCCGAAAAGAGAGTCAGCAAAGGGAGATAGCGGTGGAGCAGTTTTACAGGATTTGGGTAGGAAGTGGAAATTACAGTTAAAGGTGGTTATCTCTTGTGGGCAGGGGCAGGGTCACAAGGTGCAGGGTGGGGAGATCATGTGACTCATTGTCCAGGGGGAATGTAACAAGGTCAATTGATTAGTTGGGGTGGGGCAGGAACAAATCACAATGGTGGAATGTCATCTTTTGTGGTTCTTCTGTTGCTTCAGGCCATCTGAATGTATACGTGCAGGTCACAGGGGTTATGATGGCTTAGCTTGGGCTCAGAGGCCTGACATTCCTGTCTCCTTATATTAATAAGAAAAACAAAACAAAGTAGTGGTGAAGTGTTGGGGCAGCAAAAATTTTTGGGGGTGGTATGGAGAGATAATGGGTGATGTTTCTCAGGGCTGCTTTGAGCAGGATTGGGGTGGTGTGGGAACCTAGAGAGGGAGAGATTAAACTGAAGAAAGATTTTGGGGTAAGAGGTGATATTGTGGGGTTGTTAGAAGGAGCATTTGTCGTATAGAATGATTGGTGATGGTCTGGATGTGATTTTGAGGGAATTGAGAAATTAAATGAAAGATACAAGGTCTGAATAAGAGAAGGAGAAAAACAGATATTAAAGGACTAAGAATTTGGAGGACCCAGGATATCCTATTAGAGAGTGCCCAAGGGGGTTCAGTGTAATTATTTGCTTGGTTGGTGAGTTTTTGGGCTTTATCCTTGAGTTTTTTTATGTTGTCATATACCAGGCCAGATTGATTTATGTAAATACAACACTCTTCATTTAAAAATATACAGTCTTTTTTTTTTAGCAGTGAGTGAGTTGAGGCCTCCGTGGCTTTGGAGAAAAGAGAAATGCAAAGCCAGCAATTGTTCGTTAAAGCAGGATTAGAAATGGCTTGGAGAGAGTGAGTGAGATTGATAGTGTGGTGGAGATAACTGGGGAGATGTAGAGGGTGGCATAAGAATGGGAACAAAAATAAGAGTGAGTATAAAAGTAAAGAATAGGACTTTATCACGGTGAAAGTATTGGAGTGTGCCCTCTCAGCAAAGATCATCTATCCACTCCAAGAGGGAGTCAAGAGTGGCAGATTGGGGATAGTACCAGGAGATATTTGCTACGATGGTTTGGAGAAAAAGTGTAAACCAGCAGTGTAAACAGGGGCAGGGCATTTATGAGTAGTTGAGAATGGTGAATAGGAGTATGACTAGAGAGAAGATAGTAGGGATGACAACTTTTTGGGGCGCAGTCCAAGTGAGGTAGGCATAAAGCCCTGTTGTAAAGAGCAGGCTAAGGAAGAAGAGACCTAATAAAAATGAAAAGATGTATTAGGCTTATAAGGGTTACTATTATCCTTTAGGAATGCAGGTGAGTTTAAGGGAAGTAGGGGTGAGTACTTGAGACTTCCAGGAGGAAAAGAAAGAGATCAGGCTGTCTCTCTGACAGGCACAGCTTTATTCTGGAACAGTGAACCTAACTGGGGGTGGGGGGGTCCTGCAGATGGATGGCAGTTGGGGTGCTACAGATGACTAGGTAGGGTCTGGTCCATTGAGGCTGCAGAGTTTGAGGGGTCAGACTCTTAACAGGAACTGATCGTCCAGCTAGGGTGTCTTCATATGGCTGGGAACCTGGAGTAGGCAAGAGAAGATTAGCAGCCTGGTGAATTTCCTGTCTAGCCTGCTGGAGGACTGGAAGATAGTCTCCTAGAGGGCTGGTGTCTGGGATGAGGTTGGGGCCAAGCAAGAAAGTGCATCCATATAAAAGTTCAAGTGGACTGTAACCTGTAGCATCTCAAGGACAGGCTCTAATTCTGAGAAGGGCAAGTAAAAGTACTGTCCAGTCTTTTTTAAGTTGGAGGCTGAGCTTGGTGAGGTATGTCTTTAAAAGACCATTAGTCTGTTCTACCTTTCCTGAGGATTGAGGACGGTAAGGGGTATGAAGATTCCACTGAATACCAAGAGCCTGAGAAACTGCTTGGGTGATGTCAGTAATAAAGGCTGGTCCATTATCGGACTGTAGAGAGGTAGGAAGGCCAAACCAAGGAATTATGTCTGACAGAAGGTAATAAATGACCACAGTGGCCTTCTCAGACCCGGTGGGAAAGGCCTCTCCCATCCAGTGAAAGTGTCTATCCAGACGAATAGGTATTTTATTTTTCTGACTCAGGGCATGTGAGTAAAGTCAATTTGCCAGTCCTGGGCAGGGGCAAATCCCTGAGCTTGATGTGTAGGGAAGGGAGGGGCCTGAGGAGTCTCTGAGGAGTAGTAGAATAGCAGATGGAACACTGAGAAGTGATTTCCTTGAGGATAGATTTCCATGATGGAAAGGAAATGAGAGGTTCTAAGAGATGGGCTAGTGGCTTGTAATCTACATGTAAGAGGTTATGAAATGACGACAGAATAGAATGGGCCTGTGAGGCTGGAAGGAGAAATTTTCCTTGGTCCAAAAACCATTTGCCTTGAGTGGGGAAGGATTGATAAGTTGAAATTTCAGTGTGAGAGTAAGTAGGAGTGGCTGATGACAAGGAGAAAAACTGGCCATTAGGGACAGAAGTAGGAATGCTGACTGCTTCTTTAGCTGTCTTATCAGCATAATTGTTGCCTTGAACAATGGGGTCTGAGGCCCTTTGATGGCCTTTGCAGTGAAGGACTCCCGATTCCTTTGGAAATAAAGCAGCCTTGAGAAGAGTTTTTATTAAAGAGGCATTAATGATGGAGGACCCTTGTGTAGTGAGGAAACCTCTTTCAGCCCATATAACAGCATGGTGGTACAGGATATGGAAGGCTTATTTAGAGTTAGTATAAATATTGACATGCAGTCCTTTTGTACGAGTGAGGACTCGAGTTAAGGCGATGAGATTGGCTTGCTGAGAGGTAGTGGAGGGGGGCAGAGTAGTAGCCCTAATGATAGATGTGGAAGATACTATAGTGTAGCCTGCCTCTGCTAGTGAGTGGTGATTAGGCCTGGTGGAACTGCCATCAATAAACCAAAAGTGATCAGGGTGAGGAACAGGAAAGAAGGAAATATGGGGAAATAGGGTGAATGTCAGGTGGATCAAAGAGATACAGTCATGGGGGTCAGGTGTGGTGTCCGGAATAATGTAGGAGGCTGGATTGAAGTCCGGGCCAGGAACAATGGTAATTGTGGAAGACTCAACAAAGAGTCAGTATAGCTGAAGGAGCCGGGGAGCAGAAAGTATATGTGTCAGGTGTGAGGAAGAAAATAGATTTTGGAAGTTATGAGAGCTGTAGAGAGTGAGTTGAGCATCGTTTGTAAATTTGAGTGCCTCTAAAAGAATTAGGGCGGCAGCGGCCACTGCACAGAAACATGAGGCCATCCTAAAACAGTAAGGTCACGTTGTTTGGACAGAAAGGCTACAGGGCACAGTCCCAGTCGTTGTGTAAGAATTCTGACTGCACAGCCCTGCACTTCGGCTGTGTGTAATGAAAAGGGTTGGTATGAGTCAGGGAGAGCTAGTGTGTGGGCAGTCTCTAAAGCTGTCTTCAAGGAATGGAAAGAGGAGTGGGGAAAGGATTTATGATCTATGGGGTCAGCTAGGTTTCCTTTTGTGAGTTTATATAATGGTTTTGTTAGGATGGCAAGACCAGGTATCCAAAGGTGAAAGTATCCAACCATGCCCAGGAAGGAAAGGAGTTGTTGCTTTGTAGAAGGGTTTGGGGTTTGAGAGATCAGCTGGACGCGATTGTCAGGGAGAGCATACGTGTTTTCATGAAGACTTATGCCAAAGCAGGTAACCGATGGAGAAGAAATTTGAGCTTTGGAGGGGGATACTTGATATCCTTTGGAGAGTAAATGTTGAAGGAGCAGGAGGATATCTTATTGAGAAGACTCAAAGGAGGGGCTACAAAGTAGAAGGTCATCAGTATATTGAATAAGATGAGAAGCAAAGGGGTGGAAATAAAGTAAATCATGAGAAAGAGCTTGGCTGAAGTAAAGAGGCCTGTCCCTGAAGCCTTGTGGCAGTACAGCTGCTGGGACTGATGGGTGTCAGCGTCAGTCCAGGTAAAAGCAAAGAGAGGCTGGGATAAGGGGTGAAGGGGAATAGTGAAAAAAGCATCTTTAACATCAAGAATGGAATAGTGAGTTGTGGAGGAAGGTATTGAGGATAGGAGAGTATATGGGTTTGGCACCATGGGGTGGATAGGCAAGACAATTTGGTTGACAAGACAAAGATCCTGGACAGGCTTTAATCCCCTCAAAGCTTGTTGTGGGATGGGATACTGACACTGAGTGGGGTAAGGGTGATTAGGTTTTAATGGGATAGTAATGGGTATGTGATTGGTTGCCAGGGAGGGAAGAGAAGGGTCCCATTCTTGTGGGTTAAGGTGGGCGGGATACAAGAGGAAGACATGAAGGAGGCTTTGGGTTGGGGAGAAGGGCAGCAATGAGATGTGGCTGTAGTCCAGGAATAGTCAGGGTAGCAGATAATTTTGTTAAAATATCTAGACCTAATAATGGAACTGGGCAGGTGGGGATAACTAAAAAGGAGTGCATAAAAGAATGTTGTCCAAGTTGGCACCAGAGTTGGGGAGTTTTAAGGGGTCTAGCAGCCTGGCCGTCAATACCCACAACAGTTATGGATGCAAGGGAAACAGGCCCTTGAAAAGAAGGTAATGTGGAGTGGGTAGCCTCCATATTGATTAAGAAGAGGATGGACTTATCCTCCACTGTAAGAGTTACCCAAAGCGTCTGTGATGGTTCAGGAGGCTTTCGAAGCAATTGGTCAGCGTCAGTCTTCAGCCACTAAGCTAGGCAGATCTGGGAAGGAATCAGTCAGAGAGCCTTAGGCCAGAGCTCTACAGTCTCTGGGAGTGGCTGCCAGGTGAGCTGGACAGTCCAATTTCCAGTGGGGTCCCTCACAGATGGGACATGGCTTAGTAGGAATCCATCATGGGGGTTGGTTGTACAGATTATTTCATGACACAGGTATTAAGCCTAGTGTACATTAGTCATTTTTCCTGATCCTCTCCCTCCTCCCAGCCTCCACCTGCCAATAGGCCCTGGTGTGTGTTGTTCCCCTCTATGTGCCCATGTGTTCTCATCATTTAGCTCCCACTTATAAGTGAGAACATGGGGTATTTGGTTATCTGTTCCTGTGTTAGTTCGCTAAGGATAATAGCCTCCAACTTTATTCATGTCCCTGCAAAGAACATGATCTCTTTCTTTTTTATGGCTGCATACTATTATTTCATGGTATATATGTACCACAGTTTCTTTATTCAGTCTATCATTGATAGGCATTTAAGTTGATTCCATGTCTTTGCTATTGCGAACAGTGCTGCAATGAACGTACATGTTCATGTGTCTTCATAATAGAATGATTTATATTCCTTTGGGTATATACCCATAATGGGATTGCTGGGTCAAGTGGTACTTCTGTCGTTAGGTCTTTGAGGAATTGCCACGCTGTCTTCTACAATGTTTGAACTAATTTACACTCCCACAAACAGTGTATAAATGTTCCCTTTTCTCCACAACCTTGACAGCATCTGTTATTTTCTGACTTTTTAATAATAGCAATTTTTTAAGTAGGATCCACCCATCTTCAGATTTCCTTGCCTATATCCAAAGCCAATTCAGGTTAGAAGGACAAGTAGCAATGTCTCTTGACTCAACAGCTTGTCTTCCTCTTTGGCTCCCATCTGTGTGGGTATCTTAGGAAGCTTGGCTTCCATTTTGGTCGGGAAAGTCTTATATTGAACCAGATTTTGCCACATGGATGGTGTAAGTTTTATACATGTATGCCTTTTGATGAATAATTCAAGAAGATTTGAATACATAAGAACAGTTGTACTAGGATATTTTTTGGCAATCTTATTTGTACTTGCTGTCCTCCGTGCCTGGGAAGGTCTTGCCCCAGATACATGCATGGCTGGTTCCCTCATGTCCTTCAGTTCTTTGCTCACAAGGCTTCCCTGGTCACTTATGAAAAACAGCAGCCCTTCTTCTATACTCCCTTTCTGTGGAGTCCTCTGCTTTTGGTTTTCTATAACACTCAACATCACATGTGACATGCTATTAGTTTACTTGTTTATGTGTTTATTTTCATTATCCCACATTAGAATGCAAATTTCCTAAAAGCAAGAATTTGTTTGTTTTGTTTACCTGAGTGCCTAAACATATGCCTGTAGACAGTCTTAATAAATATAGGTTGAATGAATGAATACATAAATTCAACAGAATGAGTTACATCTGTATGTAATGACCCAGAGGGAAGAGTAAGATAATACTGTTGAGAGTAAGCTTTTTAAAGAAAAGTGAATGAGATGACCCAATTTTTGTAACAATATGAAGTGTGTATATATGTATCTGGATAATCTCTATCTCAATCTTTCTCTCTATCCATCTCCTCACTATCTATAGTTCCAAAAGCACAGATGATATATGCCAAATTGCAAATTAACATGAATTGCCTTAGGATATTAGAGTTAGACTGCAGAGTTGGAAAGACAGTGCAAATATTTTTATACCTTTATATTGTTTGCCTTGTGACAACAAGCACTGTATTACTTTTCCAATAAAAAAAAACTATCCAATACAATAAATGCAATCACACTCACAGAAAATGACTCCAGGCTGTTTCTTTAAATGTAATGTGGCAAATAATATTATTTTACTCTTGCACAGTTGGACTTCTTATCTTCATAATTCTAGTGTCTGCAGGCTTATAGTATATAGATAATTAGCTTTGTTTAGGGTTTACCAGAGTCTCAGGTTCAGATGAGCATGTAATTGTTTGCTAAGGCTTAGCCAAGTGGACTCTTCTACTTTGAGCCTCAGTTCTTAATTGTCTGAGATTTTAGTAGAAAAAGACAATAGTCATTCATCAGAGTTTTGGGGCTTCTTATAAACAGCGGTGTACCTAAGGCAAGATAGTGATGGTGACCAGCCTTGAGTGTAGGCACTAAGGGGTTACAATGTCTCTAGAAAATTTATAATAAATAATAAACCTAATTGAGGGTCCATCTGCTTTTTATTATCAACATGTGCCAGCAACTGTAAATAATATCTCTCTTAAAATTCCCCTCCTAAAAAATATTGGGCATAAGTTTTAAATAATCACTGAGGTTACTGATGAGCCAGGATGAACTGTACCATCCTTGATTTGTCACCACTCATTAATTTGATTTTCATAATGAAAGGTGGTGTCTTAGTTATAGCACCTATCATATATTTAGCACAATGCTAAGTAATAGAAATAGAAAGATGAATAAGACATAGCTCCCACACTCAAGTTGCTTTCAGTCTAGCGAGGAAACAGGCACAGATGCAACTGAATAAAATATGGGCGATGTATTTTAATGGAGCAATCTCCAAAGTGCTTTGAGGATACAGAAGAGGAAGTGATTAGTTCTGCCTGGGGAATTCATTCAATACTTGTTCACAAATGTTTACTGAACGAGTTGCCTACACTATGCCAGGTATACTGAAAAACACACGGGGTCCCTGTGTCATTAAAGCTTAATTTTCTGACAGGACAATGCAGGTTACAGCATGAGTAAGCAAGGAAAATTCAAGCAGAGAAAAGTGCTTCAAGGTGCTATAACAGAGAGGTCCTGGGAAGGGTGGTCAGAGACAGCCTCGTGTGGAGGTGATGTTCAGGCAGAATGATGACATGGTGGCAGCAATGCAAAGATCAGGAGGAATGAGCACTATTAAACCAAGAGGTGTCACAGGCCAGACCAGCAAACCTGGCTGTGCTGTGAATCATCAGGCAAATGGTGTATCCTGCATAATTAGTCTGGCATGAGGCCCAGGCATTGCTGTTTTGCAAAGCCTCTGCTGGAGATTCTCAAGTGCAACCAGGGTTGAGATGCTACAGAGTATAATGGGAGAAGTAGGATGAAGACCACAGCAGGGTTTTAGGCAGGCCAGTGGCATAGTCTAATTTACATTTAAGAATGTGATTGTGCTTGGGTTATGTGCAGGAGCTACCACATGGAAGGCAAGAGTTAAAGCAAAGAAACAAGTTAGAGGCTCTTGAGGTAGTCCAGGGTAGAGATTCTGATGGCTTGGACCAAGGTGGAGAGGCTTGGAATCAGAAAAGGCTTCACAGCTTTCTGCTGGACTTAGAAGAAAACGAAGGCAGAGTTTTACTTTTGGTGGAAGAGTAGGAATGAGAATATGGGAAAGGGATGAAACCTGGGATAGATTGTGGTATGTGAAGGAGTGTTGGGACTGTGGGAGAGACATGGGTTTAGAAAGATTCAGACGAATAGCATATTGGAGCTGCTAAACTGATAAACCTCTGAAAAGTTAATCAAGGGCAGAAAAGTTAAGACTTTGCTTTAGGTGAATTGTTAAGTTGCAACAGTTACCTTTGATTCCTCCTGGCCTTCCCCTGAAGTGATCTCTATCGCTTTTTAGGGCCTTTCTTTCATTATCCATATTAGGAGGTTTTCCCAACCTGGGGAGCTATTTTCCTTGGTTGGCTTGAGATTTCTTACGGTTTTCTCCTACCATTATTATAGTGAGGCCTTTTTTTTTTTCTTTTCGAGACTGAGTCTCACTGTCACCCAGGCTGGAGTGCAGTGGCGTGATCTCAGCTCACTGCAACCTCCACCTCCTGGGTTCAAGTGATTCTCCTGCCTCAGCCTCCTGAGTAGCTGGAATTACAGGTGTGCGCCACCACACCAGGCTAATTTTTGTATTTTTAGTAGAGACAGGTCAGGCTGGTCTCAAATTCCTGACCTTGTGATCTGCCTGCCTCGGCCTCATAAAGTACTGGGATTACAGGCGTGAGCCACCAGGCCGGGCCTGTACTGAGTTTTAATGCCCCTCTTTTCTCCCTATATGTACTCTACTGATGTAGAGTAGCAGTGATTAAACATAGAATGAGTCATAGAGCCTCCGAAGTAAGCTTTCACCCAAGCTTCAGTGTGTTAATACACCATAGAGGCCATTTGCTGTAGGAGACCCCCAGAGTAGCACTTAATGCTCAGGCTCTCAATTTCCTGGTTAATTATCTGATTAGATACTTTCCTTGGGCTTGCTCTCCTGCTGTGCAACTTTATGTCATGGAGACTATGTTGTACTGGCACCAAATTATGATTGCATGTGTTATAAAATCTTTTATTGTCTCTTTTCAGTGGGGGAATGGTGGGACTTTATGAAGTGAAGCTATGAAAACAGCTAGTGTTCTGTAAGGCTGAAATTGTCTAATTTAAAGGTTTGTGAGCTTAAGACATATATTTCCCAAAGTGAGTGACATCTGACATGTCTGATTTCTTTTCTGTAGCTTAGCAATCCATTATCTTCATGCTATTATCTTTCTTCTCAGAGAATGTCCCATCGGTGCCTATCTCTATGGGGAGGCATTACATTATTGACCAAGAGCACAGGATGTGGAGTCAGACAGATTTGACTTCTAATCACGGTTTTACCATTTACTTGCTGTGGTCCTGTGTAAGTTACTTACCTGCTCTGAGACTTGATATCCATATTATTTCATGGATCGTTCCTAGACAAACAGCATCAGCATCACCTAGGGAATTATTAGAAATGCAGAATCTCAAGCCCATCCCAAATCCTACAGTATCATAATCTGCATTTCAGCAAGATCCCCAAGTGGTTCATATGCACATTAAATTCTGAGAAGCGATTATCTAGAAATATCTTTGCTGCTTATTCAACTCTACCTGTGAACAGAAATAACAATTTCAGAAGAAGGTCAACAGAGGAAAACTTGATAGTTGCAATTTTCAGTGTAGAGAGTTGTTTAAAGGTAGCTCATTTGTAAAAGACAGAAATGATGAAGGAAGAAGGATAAACCATTTTTGTCTTTGGGAAAGCAAATAGGCCTTAATTACCCCCTCAAATTTTGATATTCAGGTGGCCCCTCAATGTGTTCATGCCCTGAGTTAGCATTGGAAAACATAGTGAAAGCAAAACTCTTTCATGAAGCCTCAAGTCACATTTTTGAGGCTGCTTACTTTACTTAGAATTGCCACCACCCACCCCATCTTGGAATACTCACTATTCTTGATAGAAAAATCACAGGAAAAACAGCTTTATAACAAGCACTGAATCTGTACGCAAATATAGAAAGCTTAGACATTTCACAAACTCCCGATTTTCATCGGCTTTATAACTGTCCCTACTTTTACTGAGTTAGGAGAAGGGGCAAAGAAGAAAGAATGCTAAGTTGAAGTTTCTGGAGTCATCCTTAATCATACCCACACTTGCCCTATCATTTTCTATTTGTGGTTGTCTTACGAATTTCTCAACTTTTGCTATTTTATTCCAAGCACAGCTTGGATTTCTGGAGAAAATGCTTTCTAATTCTTTAATCACCACTATTAATCTTTTTCTCTGCTTTTTGTTTTTCAGCATTAACACAATGTTTTTCACTCTTCTTTTGCTCCTTGCTGCCCTAACCACTAAGGATGTGACTGAAAATGCTTTGCACAAATTTTGGATATAATTCTCCACAGTGGTGATTCAAGGGTGACCTTCAGTTACCTTGAATTATGTTGTATTTCCCATTGGCAGGTGGTGAACAACAAAAGTTCTCACTCTTGTGTTAGGAAAAAAAAATTACTATAAATAAAGAGTACTATAATTTTCTTTATTAACTATAGCTACCAGTAATAGCCAGGGCAACATCGAGATACTAAACACAGTGATTCAGATCTGTTGCCCAATTGCTATCTGACTATTTCATCACACCATGTGAAGAGTTTGCATGAGAAGGAGTAAGAATAGAAGTCAAAGGCATATAACTCAGGATAGGGTTGGTTATGCTGGAGCAACTAGCAACTCCAAAATCAATCTCTTAACCTCACAAAATGTCGTAAAAATTCTAAATTACCTGTCCAATGATGCCAGTTGACAGTGGTGCCCTTCTTATTGCAGATACCTAAGGCTAAGCTTAAGAGGGCTCCATTTTGACCCATGCTTTCTCCGTCACCATGGCAGATGGAAAGGAATGTGGAGAATCCATGATGGCTCTCCAAGTTTTTGCCCAGAGGTGATACATCATGTTCACCAATGTTGCATTGGCCAAAGCAAGTCACACAGCTTATCATCAAATGGGGTGAAAAAGCATAAGCCTACTGTGTCCAGAAAAACAGCCAGATTAACTTGGTGACTGGTGCCCATGACTACCTGAGACTATCAGACCCACAGATATCATGGGTTTCAGCTTTCCCACTTTATCACACACTATTTTATGAACTTAGTAAACCTTGAGCTTCTCAACACGTATAATAGATATAACACCACCTGCCCTACTTTCCTCATTAGGTTATTTTGAGAACCAAACTCACTAATATGTTTAAAAGGACTCTGAATGTGTCAAAGATTCTTTCCAGAAAGATTTTCAACTCCTGCTACATGACTTTATTTCCATCTGTGTTCTATTGCATTGGCTAGGCAGTGGATGATATTGTTATTATTAAATCTGAATGCTCCTGTACAAAATCCTAGTACAAGTTAATAAAAATATTGAGTGTTTATATATTATCAAATATGGCAGAAAATCTGAAAAGAATGTGCAGCTAGAATCAACTCCACCACTGCTGTCATTCCTGTGACTCTATATAACCCCCACCCCCAAAATTTGTTCTGTAGATTAAAAATTTAGTTTGGAGAGAAGTCACTCGGGAGCACTAAGTCCCCAAGCTCATGATTGCATAACAATGGAACTACTTTCTAAGAAGTTTCTGGACAATAGAAGGGATTTGAACAGATGTAGGGAGAAAGGGAAAAGGAAAGAAGATAAATTGAATAGATGGCTGGCAGCTAGGGAGCAATTTTGTAACAGAATAAATGTATTTAATCAGAAATTTTAAGTTTTTCTGTATAACTTACCACTTGAATTTTCTTCCACTTCTCTCCTTATATTTTACAGAAAACGTAACACTCACTAACATCTTGTGGAAGTGAAGTTTTTGTTTTTCTTTTGGCTTTTTTTCTGGGGCAGGGGATTGGTTTACAAAATGCTGAGTATGGCTTCAAGTTAGATACAGAGTGAGAATCCAGGCTGATTTGTGAGAAGTTTACTAAAATATGTAACACCAGACATGATAAGAATGAAAAGAGAAATATTTTAGATAATAATCAAAACCAACTAGCCAAGTTGATAGTTGTATAATTAAAAAGATAATTCAGTAGTTGTTGTATGTCCCTCTACTTTTTAATATTTGTTTGATTATATGAATAACATCTTTGATTACTCACCCCTAGCAGAAGGTAAACTTAGTCATTCAGTTCCTGAAAGCCAGAGCAGTGGACGTTGTGCAGGAAACCAGAGGACTAGTACTAGAATTGAACTGAAAGGAGACTATAAGTTTAAGTCAGAAAGTGAGTATTTAACAGATCTTCTAAACCAGAGGCATTGGAGGTGAGAACAAGGACCAAGCACAGAGGCAACAGGATTCAAACCAGCAACCAGATTGGAACAAGTGAAATGAGAGGCAATTTAAGTTTATTCTGGAAACAGGACTTGGTGCATCTCCGTTGGCCAACTCAGTCCTCCTAAAGTTGCTGGAACAGAACAGACACTAGATATATATTGGTCTTTTGGATTTCCCTCATCATTAACTTTTCAACAGGTTTTTAATTCACAAAGCATATGAGGTGTATAATTGCTTACTTAATAGTGTCCATTACATGGTTGGAAGATAACCAGGACAGAGATAAACTAGGGAAGGATGGAGTGCTCTTCAGGCCATCTCAAGTGCTGAAGTAGAAAATGTGGACTAGTAAAAATGCCCAGCAAAATAGCACTGTCATGGTGTCAGGTCCTTGCACTGTCACTTGTGAGTCGTATGACTCAAGCTAAGTTACTTAACTTCTATGAGTGAAAGTTGCCCCATATAAAGGGATAATAACAATACACTCTTTACCTACATCACATGATTATTGGATAATGTACCAAATAAAATCAATAAGGTCTGTGATGGTTAACACTGAGTGTCAACTTGATTCGATTGGAGGATGCGAAGTATTGCTCCTGGGTGTGTCTGTGAGGGTGTTGCCAAAGGAGATTAACATTTGAATCAGTGGACTGGGAAAGGCAGACCCACCCTCAGTCTGGGTGGACACAATCCAAACTGCCAGTGAAGGCAGAATAAAAGGATGTGGAAAGACTAGACTGGCTAAGTCTTCTGGCCTCCATCTTTCTTCCGTGCTGGATACTTCCTGCCCTTGAACATTAGACTCCAAGTTCTTCAGCTTTTGGACTCTTGAACTTACGCCAGTGATTTGCCAGGAGTTTTCGGGCCTTCAGCCACAGACTGAAGCGTGCAAAGTCGGCTTCCCTATTTTTGAGGTTTTGGGACTCAGACTGGCTTCCTTGCTCCTCAGCTTGCAGACCGTCTATTGTGGGATTTCACCTTGTGATGGTATGAGTCAATACTCCTTTATAAACTCCCTTTCATATATACATTTATCCTATTAGTTCTGTCCCTCTAGAGAACCCTGACTAATACAAGGTCTTGTTTTTAAAATGCATAAACTGTTGTGCAAATAGCATGCTTTCCTACTTCTACATCTTACATGGGTGTTTCCTTTGCACAGGCTTTGCCCCAAATCTCTGTAACATGGAGATTAGCGTGGAGTAAGAGTTAACTCTTACTGAACTTCATGCCTAAACTTCAGAGGTGTTCTCTGGCCATCACCTTCCTCCCTAGTTTTGTAAGAAATCCTTTATTTATTATATCACAAATCACATTGTATCATCATTTCCTAATGTCATTTTTATAATGGAAAGTCAGTCTCAACATATTAAAGAGCTAGTCTTATTCTCTAAAAATGTATTTTAGTTATTAATAATTCTTGCAAAAGAACACTTAGTGCTTACTATTACTTAAAAAGTTAATATGAGGATGAAGATAGATATAAACTGATTATCGCCATTTTGACACCAAGTAAATCTCTCTGAAATCAATTAGCTGCTTACTAACTCAGTCAAGGCCAAGCTAGAATCTACTCCTTTAGCTTGATCATAAACACAAAAGAAAGTATGGAGGCATAAATTGTGGATTCATACTTGATTATAAACTTATATAGACAATTGAGACTATACTTATATTTTATATTTTAATCATCAAAGTGAACATCTAACTCAGTTTTTTGTAGAGATTTTTCTAACCCATGGAATATGTTTTGGGCCTCCCAAGGGTCTAAAAACCACAGTTTGGGAAACATTGTCCAGGAGACTAGGTAGAACAGAGAGTAAGAAAGATAAAATCAGGAAGCTGGCCAGGCATGGCAGTTCATACCTGTAATTCTAGCACTCTGAGAGGCTAAAGTGGGAGGATTGTGTGAGGCCAGGAGTTCAAGACCAGCATAGGCAACATAGCGAGACCCTGTGCCTACAAAAATAAAAAAAAAAAAACTGGGCATGGTGGCATGCACCTGTAGTACTAGCTACTTCGGAGGCTGAGGGGGCAGTATCACTTAAGCCCAAGGGTTTGAAGTTACAGTGAGTTATGATGGAGTTTCTGCATTCCAGCCTGGGTGACAGAGAAAGGCCCTGTTTTGTTTTGTATGTTTTTGTTTGTTTTTTGAATAAGAGGCTAAGTAACTCTCCTACAGCAAAATATTTTTACCGAATTCTGAACTAGCCCTGTGAAGTGATGATGGTTGGCAGATAATTTGCAGAAAAACTCAAAATATACTGGACATAAAAAGATTTATTCTGGATTACAAGTAAATGCCAACCAGACAGTCAAGACAGATGTAATTACCACAAACTGATGAAGACAGAGGAAGAAAAGTAATTTTTTTGTTCAAAGATTATTGCTTGAAATTTCCTTACGGCTAGGCAACACTGGACACTGATTTGATTTTTATTGCAATGCAGTGATAACAAAGACACATATCATTAAGTTTCCACAGAGGACACTGAAAGGAAAAGTCTCTCTTTTTTAGATGTTGTTACTTAAACATTGGTCTTTAGCCAGGGTCAAGAGATTTCTTAGCCAGCTTCCTGGCTTTTCTGAAGCCTCCAGAGTGGTCTCTCTAAGCAATGTGCCTGCAGGACAGGGAGGAGCAAGGTTTGACAAAACTACCCTGTGTGACTTCCCTAACCTCAGAATACTTTCAGTGTCAAGAAATGCACAGAACTGGATTTAGAGAGAGAACAGTTGTTATCTCTGAAAATAAAGTGAGGGGTGCACCCAAGCATGGGCATGTTTGGCGAGTCTTCTCATAATTTGCTTTTTGCACTTATGTTTCTTAATTTTTTTTAATATAGCACACATGCAGTACTTTGTAATTAAAGCCAAAACACAAAAGATCACTGCAAAGCAATTCTAAAACTCCTTATTATCCTTCCTCTATTTTCTTGTGGAATGGTAGCAGTCGTTCAAATGGAAGACATGACCTTGTTTAATACCTCATTGAGCAAGAAGACCCCTTGCCTGTAAAGGACCATATTGCCATTACTTCAAAATCAGCTACTGCTTGACCACTGGGGTAGATTACTTTGAATACTTTCCCCAAGAGGGCTTCTCCTTAAAATGGCTTTGCCTCAAGAGCTAATGTAGAAACCCGTTTCATTCATTAATTACCTCATGGGTAGAAATTGCTTCCTAAACTTTATTTGGAACCAATTTTCTCCCCTTAACTTAATTTCATTTCATTCACCAGGTTCAATTGCCTGTGATGAATACAAAAAAGAAAAAACAGTCTGTGATCTGAAGCTCCCCAGCACAAAAATTGCATTTCTCAATTAGGCCTGTTATTAATCACCTTTTCTACTTTATGTAAAGATTTGCAACCCATCTTGAAATTGCAGACCTTTTATGTTCTCTCTGAGCTTGGACTTCATTGGACCTATTTTAACACAAGGGATATTAATATCTCAGCATTCAATAAAGAAATGGGCAAAAATAATCTATGAGAGGTGAAATATAAATGTATTCAGGCTGGCCTAAACCTATCATACTTTAAAATCATAAATAGGTTGACATTATAGCTTATCAATTAGCTTATCCCTAGTTCCTACTCTAGAGAAATGTGTATTGAATTGGTAGCTCAATTTTGCTACCAACCATTAAGAAATGTCAGATGGAGCTCTGAAAAGTAACCTCATGTGGCATAATTCCACATCTGCCACTTGCATCCCTCTTTGAGGAGGAATAGATTCTACCTTTCAGAATAGGTATGAGTGTGGATCATTGATTCAAGAAAATCTCTAAACCTTCTCTTGACTTTTAATTTTGAGTTAGCTCTAGCAAGGTGAAAGAAGCTGTATTACTCTGGGTTTTCCATGAAAAAACAAACAAATAGGATCTCTCTCTCTCTCTCTCTCTGTCTTTCTCTCTCTCCCTCTCTCTCTCTCTGTCTCTCACACACACACACACACACACACACACACACACACACAAGCCTATCTGGGAGATATTGCAGTTTCAATTTCAGACTATCACAATAAAATGAATATTTCAATAAAGCAAGTCATACAAATGTTTTCATTTCCCAGTGCATACGAAAGTTATGTTTATGCTATACTGTCAGTGTGTAATAGCATTATGTCTAAAAGAACCATGTACGTACTTTAATTAAAAAATACTTTCTTGCTAAAAAATGTTAACAATCATCTGAGCCTTCAGAGTATCATAATCTTTTTGCTGGTGGAGGGTTTTGCCTCCGTGTTGATTGCTGTCGACTGACCAAGGTGGTGGTTGCAACAGAGTTGGATGGCTGTGAAAATTTCTTAAAATAAGACAATAATGAAATTTGCCAAATCGATTGACTCTTTCTTTCATAAAATATTTCTTTGTAGTATGTGATGCGCTTTAATGTTTTACCCACAGTAGAACTTTTGTCAAAATTAAAGACAATTCTTTTAAACCCTGCCACTGGTTTATCCACTAAGTTATGAAATACTCTAAATTCTTTGTTTTCACTTCATCAATGTTTACAGCATCTTCACAGGAATAGATCTCATCTCAAGAAACCACTTTCTTTGCTCATGATAAGAAGTAGTTCCTCAGCCATTCAAGGTTTACCATGAGATTGCAGCATTTAGTCACACCTTCAGGCTCCACTTCTAATTCTAGTTCACTTGCTATTTCTACAACATCTACAGTTACTTCCACCCCTGAAGTCTTGAACCCCTTAAAGTCATCCATGAGGGTGGGAGTCAATGTCTTCCAAACTCCTGTTAATGTTGATACTTTGACCTCCTCCCATGAGGCACAAATGTTCTTAATGGTATCTAAAATGGTGAATGCTTTCCAGAAGGTTTTCAATTTAATTTTCCCAGATCCATCAGAGAAATTACTATCTATGGCAGCTATAGACTTACGAAATATATTTCTAAAATAATAAGTCTTGAAAATTAAAATTACTTCTTGATCCACAGGCTGCAGAACGGATGTTGTATTAGCAAGCAAAGAACACTATACTTAACCTCCTTGCTCATCTGCATCAGAGCTCTTGGGTGACTAGATGCATTGAGAATGAGCAGAAATATTTTGAAAGGAATCTTCTTTTCTTAGCAGTAGGTCTCAGTAGTGGGCTTAATATATTCAGTAAACTACGCTGTAAAAAGATATGTTGTTATCCAGGCTTTGTTGTTCCATTTATAGAACAGAGATAGAGTAGATTTAGCATAATTTTTAAGGGCTGATATAGTTTGGCTCTCTGTCCCCACCCAAATCTCATGTCAAATTTTAATCCCCACGTGTCAAGGGAGGAACCTGTTGGGGGTGATTGGATCATGGGGGTAGATTTCCCTCATTCTGTTCTTGTGATACTGAGTTCTGGCAAGATCTGATGGTTTAGAAGTGTGGCACTTCTCCCCTTGCTCTCTCTCTCTCGCTGCCTTCTGAAGATGTGCCTTGCTTCCCTTCACCTTCTGCCATGATTGTAAGTTTCCTGAGGCCTCCCCAGAATTTTCTTTTTCTACTGCATAGTCATGCTGCAAATTTTCCAAACTTTTGTGCTCTGCTTCCCTTTGAAACACAAGTTCCAATTTCACACCATCTATTTCTTCATGCATATGAGCATACATTTTAAGAAAAAGCCAGGTTACATTTTGAATGCTTTGCTGCTTAGAAATTTCTTCCACCAGATACCCTAAATCATCTCTCTCAAGTTCAAAGTTCCACAGATCTTTCCAAACTTTCACTCATCTTCCTATCTTCTTCTGAGCCCTCGAAACCGTTCCAACCTCTATCTGTTACCCAGTTCCAAAGTCGCTTCCACATTTTCAGGTATCTTTGTAACAATATCTCACTCCTGGTACCAACTTTCTGTATTAATTCATTCCCACACTGCTATAAAGAATTACCTCAGACTGGGTAATCTATAAAGAATGGCAGAAGGTGAAGGGGAAGCAGGGCATGTCTTCACAAGGCAGAAGGAAAGAGTGAGGGGGGATGTGCCACACTTTTAAACCACCAGATTTTGTGAGAACTCAGTCACTATCATGGAGGAAATCTGCCCCCATGATTCAATCACCTTTCACCAGTTCCCTCTCCTGACACGTGGGGATTAGAATTCAACATGAGATTTGGGAAGGGCAAGGGATAAAATGATATGGCTTGGCTGCGTCACCACACAAATGTATATGTGCACACACACACACACACACACATACAGGGATACTTCATCTCACTATGTGTCATATATATACACACATGCACACACACGGATATATATATATATATATATATATATATATATATATATATATATATATATATATAATGTTCAAACTGGAACTTACACCATCAGCTCTCTTGGTTCTCAGGCGTTCAGCTTTTCTGGGTCTGATATATATCAGAGCTGTTATATATCCCAATAAGTTCCTCATCTTCATCCAAGACCACCTCAGCCTGAACTTCATTGTCCAAAAACACTGGCAGCTTTTCTGGGTCTGATATATATAAGAACTGAGAAAAGCTGATGGTATAAGTCTAGTGTGAGTCTAAAGGCCTGAGAATCAGGAGAGCTGATGGTGTAAGGTCCAGTTTGAATTTGACTCTGAATGCAGAAGACCAATGTCCCAGTTCAAAGAAAAACAGAGAACCAATTCTAACTTTCTTAGCTTTTTCGTTCTCTGCAGGCCTTCATTGGATTGGATGAGGCCACCCATATTGGGCAGGGTAATCTGCTTTACTCAGTCTGCTGATTGAAATGTGAATCTTATCCAGAAACACCCTCACAAACACACTCAATCTTTAACCAAATATCTGGGCACCTTGTATTCCAGTCAAGTTGACACATAAGGTAAACCATCACTGAAGCCTTGATCCAACAACTGATCATAGAGAAAAAGGAAAGAATACTTATTTAGTTAGAGAGAAAAAACCAAGCAACTGAGGGAGTTGTTTTTTTTTTTTTTAATAAACTTTCTTGTTGACAAGTAATGTTTTTTCTAATCATATACCAAATATACATTAATGTTCATTGAAATAAGCAGAAGTTTATATGTATACAAAACTTTTATTATATCCAAAAGTTTACACATAAGGTAAACAATCACTGAAGCTTTGATCCCAATAACTGATCTTAGAGGAAAAGGAAAGAGCAACTTATTTAGATAGAGAAAGAGAACCAAGCAATTGAGGGAGCTGGGGGTTTTAAATAAACTTTCTTGTTGATGAGTAATGTTCGTTCTAATCAAATACCTAATGTACATTAATGTTCATTGAAATAAGTGGAAGCTTATGTACACAAAAAATTTATTATATCCAAAATTTATGTACAAACAGGACATGTACCACATAATAATACCACTAAATTTGAGTATATATTTAGGTATAAACCATTAATTTTTGTAAATAGTATGTTGATGTCAATTAATTTATGAATGTTATTATTTTAATAAATGTCCTGTCTTTGAAGCTCATTAAATTCGTTCCATTAGCTTGATATGTAATATTGCCACAAATTACTAGATTATAAAAACTCTGATTTTATATTTATAAACAAAATAATAAACTCCTTCAGAAATATATATGGCTTATACATATATTTAAAATGTTTGACTCACCATGACATAAGTTTACCTATATAACAAACCTGCATATGTACCCCTGAACTTAAAATACAAGTTTAAAAAATATATTTGACTCTTTTAGTAATCAAAGACATGAAAACTAAATCATTAGCCCTCCATTTCCATCCTAAAACATAATAGATGTGTTAATAGGAAGGACAACCAAACACTATGGCAAGTAGCAGTGCATTTCTGCTGTTACCAGTTAAGTCCCACAGATACTATATGTTTGTTCTCAAACCATTTTATAATAGCAATACTTGTCATTATAATCACATAATTTAATTACATGCTGCTAGAGGAAAAAAAGTGCTGTTTCCATGAAAGCTAAGTTGAGTGCATAGAAAGTTTTACTAAATGTAAGTTAGGAAAAAAAAATGGTTGATATTGAATTATATATAGGTGAGATAAACTATAAGAGAAAGAGAAACAATAAGAATCTAGAAGGACTATGCATTCACATTGCTTTTGATTTTCTCTCCCCTCTCACATAATAGAAAATAAAAATCATAGAAGGTGACTTATAGGAGTGGTTTATACAAGAAGATCTGATCAGTTATTTAAAAAGAAAAAAAATAGAAAGATTTCAATCCTGATAGAAATCAAAATTTTGCCATGTAGGATTTCTAATAACAGGATTTCTAGGATTTCTTCAACAATTTATGTTTAGCCTGTTTGAAGCAACACTTTGTTTGATGTTTGTATTAATTTGTAGTACATCTCATTAACTGGCCCGTCTTTGATAATGTTTTTAATTTTTCTAGCTGATAATGAGCATGAGTGATGATGTTATATTCACTAACTATTCACTCACCTCATTTCTCCTCTATATTTCCCCAACCCACTGACATTGTGCTTGCCCATGTGACTTATTTTAGCTAACGGAAAGTGGATAAAAGTGACAGGGTGTCAGTTCTTAGGTAAGGCCTTAAGATGGTTGGCTCTTTTCTACAAGCCCTCTTGAGCGTCTGACACTCACCATGAGAAGATCATGCCCCAGACTGATCCTCAGTCTGAGTTTTCCTTCAGGCTGGGTCTCAAAATTGGAGACACATGCAGAAAACCTGAATCCAACCAGCAGCCTGTAGTCTGGTGATGAGTCCCACTAAACGGAGTCACACCGAAGCTGAGCTGTAGCTAACACGCAGAGCAGCGATGAGTGAAAATTAACGAAGTGTTGTCAAAGCCATTGAATTGCGTATTGTTTGTTCCACAATATTTTTTCATCAAAAGCTGATTAATCCAGCTTTTAACCAATTTTGTGACTAGCCTACACTTTTAAATAATGTTTTTCATGCTAGGATGTGTATGTAGTACTCCTTTTTTTCCCACTAAAGATGTTATTTGCCCTTAAAAATGTTTGAATGGATATTATTTAGAACTACATCTCTTTTTGCAACACCTCCAGAATAATACTTAGAAATGTGTTTGTAATTCACTTGGATTTGCTTTAACAGACACAGGTCCAAAATAGGAAAACTTTGCCCATACAGGAAAATATTAGGAATAAAGGCACCTTAATGTATTTTAAATAGGTTTAAATGTCTAAGTGACTCATCTATTATTTTTATGACTTCTTGCATTATCCCAACTTTTAATTTAACCTACAACTAGTCACAATGGCATTTTATACAAATATTATTTATTGTATTAAAATGGCAAAGGATGTTTACTTATCATTAGAGAAAGTATGAGGAATTGGCAGTCTCCATATACTCTAATAGCTGAAGAACAGACCTTTGGAAGTGGTAAGCAACGTGCCTCTGATCACACTGTAAAACATTTGGAAGGAGCCATTCTGTCCTTTTGTTTGTGATATCCAGAATAGGGCTTGGTACTTTTTTGACAATCGCTAAATATTTCATGAATGAAAGAATGTACATGCCTGAATGCTGGCATGGATACAACCCTCTAAGAATGTACTTATTGGTGCTTTTTCTCATACTCTTGCTTGCTTTCTCATGGGAGTATAATTGTACCTGTAAGTATACCAGAGGCAAAAAGAAAAGGTATCAGGAATAATAAAAAGAAGAGAACTGACTGATTCACTGATTGACTAGTTTTTTCAAAGTCTATTGATTGAATGTCAAATAATATCCATAAAAATGGAAAATTTGCATGTAATCTGCCCTGCTACAATCAGAACATTTCCAAAAATATTTACTCCTCTCTAGTGTGCCTGAACCCATCTATTTCTATCAGTTGAGTTGTAGGCTTACAAGCGTATTCATTGTAAGCTTGATTATACTAGTGAATAATTATAAACAACATAAAATGCCTGATTATAGGGAATTGGTTAAATCTATCATGGGGTATACATGCAATGAAATACAGCATGTCTTGCATTTAGTAAGAGCTTAATAAATATTGTTGACTCACTGACTGCAGTTATTAAAGACAAGGTTGTAAATGTATATTTACTGACATTGAAAAAAATCCACAACATATTAAGTCAGGCTAACAAGTTACTAAGAGGAGTATATAACAATTCTGTTTCTGTGTGAGGAAAAACAACATACATATATTTGTCTATATACATGAAGAAAGTTGAAGGATTTTTACCTGAATGTTAAGAGTTGTTATTTCAGAGGTAGATATTTGTGTTGTTTTCTCTTTTCAACTTGATGTTCTTCCATTACTTTCTGATTTATTTTACAATGATCATGTATTATTTTATAATTATAAAAACGAAAAGACAACGTTAACTTTGCAAAAAGTTATATATGTACAGTGTTTGGGAATGGACTATGTATAAAGCCAAGTCAGCTATGAGTGGGTAGTTTAAAGATAAGGAAAGAGGGATTTCCCCAGTGTTTGGTTTGTCATGGTGTTTATGGGTGAATTTACAAGCGTCATAGATGGCAGAGGGGCTGGAAAACTTAGGTTTTTCTACTAGATCCACAGTGTATACAGAACTCTACCTTCATACGTAGTAATGGTTCATCACTTATTCTACAAACATGGCAAAGAAGGTAGTTTTGTACATTATTCCTTAGGCTACTAACAAGAAAATAAAAATCAGAAAGAGACAGGAAAAGTATAATTTTAAAACTGAATCAGTTCTCCATTCCCCAAATCCTCTCCCCAGAAGTCAAATTCCTGGAAAATACACAGCATGCCCAGTGTATGGGATGTAATTTTAATAAACTGTTGTCATTTACTTAAAATTCAAATTTTACTGAGCATCCTGTATTTTTATTTGCTAAATCTGGCAATTGTACTGACCAACAATATGTCTGACCTCATTTGCTCATTTAATAGGAAGTAATCAAATCTGCCTGTAGGATTATTGTATCAGAGGTATCTCTTTTACTTCCCTTGTCAACTCTTAGCTTTTATGTTAACACTGACTCTGCCTTGGTTCGTCCAGCCTTAACACTGACAGCTTGTAGTGTAGTAGCTTTGTTTTTCTGTATAAGGTCTGTTAGGGCCATTCTCATGCTATCCTCAATAGAAGAAGATAAATACTGGTACTTTTGCTAAGTAGAACAAAAAAAAAATCCTATTTTTTTTTTTTGTCTTTCTCTACCCTCTGCCCCCAGCCAAGAAGGTACTAATGATAGGATTCTAATCAATCCCCATTATCATCTCCTAGTATGAGACGGTGTTGATCAAAGCGTGTGTTTCCTACTGCCACTCAGTACTGCATAATCAACCATCCTGAAACATAATGACTGAAAATAATAAGATTTATTTAGTTCACAAGTTTGCAGACTGGTGATTAAGGCTGAACTTGGCTGGGCAGTTCTGGTCTCTGCTAGGGTCACACACATGTCTGGCATTTGGCTGGCTGTTCGCTGGAGCAACAGGGGCCACTGACCCATGCATTTTTCATATTCATCAGGCCATCCTGGTCGTGTTCTCATGGCAGTGGTAAAGGTGCAAGAGAACAAGCGGAAATATTTGAGCACTAGCCTTTACTAAGTACTTGAACCTTGGTCTCTTTGGCACAATATTAAGTCAGTGAGCTATCTTCGCTAATGCTGAAAGAACCACTTGGCTGAATATGAGATTCTTAGAATTGTTCACATTCTAAGAACAACCTATTCTTAGGCATCCCAGATGCACCTAATGAAAACAATAGTCCAGCATCTCCCCAAGGATGGCCTAGCAATAGTTCTGCTTGGAACTAAATGAGTTCACATTTTGATACTCACAAATTGATTTTCAGTCTGACCAGGCAACTGTAGCACTGTTTCTTACTGAGTCCATCAAAATTATAAATCTATTTAACCTTTTTCCCTTAAACTTCTATTAACTACACAATATGCACTGCATAGATAATGTTAACACAGAATGAAATGGAAAATAAGGTCTTCATCCATCCCTAATCTAACTGTAGCAACTTGCTGATAACTAATGAAAAGACCAGAAGGTAATCATTTCCTCTTTGGAATGAAGAAGAGTTTTGCAGCTTGAATGCAACTATCTGAATTTCAAGTTTCATTTGTTGAAACTAACATGAAAACAGTATATTTGACTCTTCTGAAAATCACTAGGTGAAACTGTTTGAAGACTATTGTAGAAATTTATATTCATCTTCACCTTTTCATAATCATTATCTTACATCATACTTTATAACAAAACAAATATCCTGAATTTTATAAAATTAAAGCAGAATAAAATGTTATTATTAAGGTCTTTCTTTGATGTTACTGGCAATTAACATTTAAATGAAGATTTAAATTATCCATAGCACAAGATTGATGGGAACAATTACATTTAATTAAATTTATAACTCAATGATCAAAATAGAAATATGACAAAAATTGGCTGCTATTTTTTTCTTACAGATTAAAATACAATTTTAATATTTTATTTCTCTATATATTTTATACTATATTCTATTAAGATTATGCATATAAATTCAGAAAAATAGGATAAATTCTTTTTGATTTTTGATTCTGGTTATGTGAGCATATGTGTATCCCATATTACCAATTATACGTAATGTGAAGAGTTTTAATGTAGTCAAGTGAAGTGCAATGTTGTCACTGAAGTGATATTTTTGAAAGTATTTTTGAAGATTTACCTTGAATTCTGTGAATTACCACCTGTTTATACCGAATCAACATGTAGCATTGTCAGAAAAGATTTTTCTTTTTGTTTGGGCATACCGATTACACTCTAGATACTTCTTGAAAAAAAAAGCTAGTTGTGACAGTGTAAAAAGAACCTTGGACTTGGTGTCTGTGTCCTGCTTTGAATCTCCAAAACTTGTTAGTTGTATGACCTTGGACAAATGTCACCAGAGCTTTATGTTTGTGTGCAGTTTCATGAAACGATTGAAATAAAACAGTGGCACACTGCAAGAACTCAGTAAGTTCTTATTGAACAGCTGAAAGAGAAGGTACAGAAAGAAAATAAAAAATGAGTTTCCCACCTACATTTTACTATGGAAATACCCTCTGGTTTTCACTGTCAATTGACTTTTTCTGGATTCAGGCATGAAGAAGATCAATAATTTCTCCCTTGTTCTATAATACGGATAAGCAAAAATATTATGGGAGTTAACTGCAAAAATGAATTTGTGAAACTATTAATCTAAACAGAATGAGATTATTGTATCAATGCTGTCTCTAAAATGTAGATGAGGGATTTGTCCTAAAACAGTTTATACAAATACCTTGAATTATTAGAAACAGTCACTGTTACTGATGATTCTAAATTTTTAGGGGGTGATGTATACTTTCGAAATCAGCCAAAAGCTTTGGACTTACTTTACAGAACAACAAAAAATGTATACATAAAGGCACTCCCTTGGACATCCACAGGCCTAAGTGGTCAAGCTTGGTATTGTGATTTCAGAAATATTAATATTCATTGTCTTCCATGAAATAAAAATGCATTTTGCCTCTCAATGTGTATAACAGTTAGCTAATTATAGAACTTTAGGGGACAGGCGGTGATAGTTGACAGGGGGCAGACAAATCCTAGGCAGATGGGGCGGGTCCCCAGTAAAACCCCACCTTCAATCCAAAAACAGCCTGAAGGCTGAAAGACTAGACTGCTGGTTCTGGATGAAACCCTCAACCTGGAGGGAGAACATCTGTTCCTGTTTGTTCCCCCTTTCCCGACTGGTTCTTTTTGAATAATGCTTTTTAAGTGATCAAATGTTGCCTTTTCTAATACTACCTATGACCTGCCTCTCCCCTTTATGCTCCAAGGAGGTTTGAAACAAACCAAAAACTCATTCAAAACAACAATATTCAAGGTTCATAATATTTAAAAAAAATGAATAAGTGAAACATACCTTTTAAACTTTTAAAATCAATAACGTTTTTCTTAATCTAATGGAACCAAAACAAGAATGGATCTAATGTCAGATAAAAGTAAAATGCATAGTGTGTAGCTCTCTAAACAGGATCAGTAGTCCATACAAGAAGGAAAGCACATCCTCTTCCTCTTCCTCTTCCTGTGGCAGACACTCTTGGATACTTGAAGACCAGCCTCATTTTTTCTTGCCAGAAGATTCCACCTACCACTATAGAGGCTAAAAATATGGCAGAAGATAGAATGCTGGCCAGTGAGACAGAAAAGCAGTTTACACCAACTTTTAGGAAATATTTATTTTTCCTTGAATGAAAGCATTAGTAGAGAATAAATTGCTGCCACTTCCTTTCCACTTTTAGATATTGTCCTATGAGGATAATAGTTGCACAACTGCAGCCACTTTGTGACCATGAGCTGAAGACCAAGAGATACTGACACAGAATCTTGATAACTGATATCGCTGAGCCACTTAACCCACCCTGATTTGCATATCTATAGACTCTTCATTATGTGGGAAAAATTAGCCCATACTGTTTATAAATTCTTTTTTTGATGGCTATTCTGTTCCTTGTGGCCAAAAACACACTATTGAACCACTGATGCAGGATTTTTCTCAGTCACTTGTCAGCTGGTGACCCCTGGCTGGTGACACCCTTGCCCAGGTCTTGCTTGGGCCCAGGTTTGTCATAGGAGACACACTGTCCACTCAGCCTGGTGGACTGTGACTGGTGGCACTCTGGCATTGATCCCACAGCCACCACAACTGCACTCTCAGCTCCTGGCAGGAGGGGGTGTGTCAGGAAGCAAGTGTGTGGCCCAAGTGGGCACTCCAAGTGCTGGCACAGGAGCAGGCTCTGCATGGTGCTTGCAGCCGGACCAGGCATATCACAAGCCACTCCTCTGGTATACCCCAGCATCCAGAAAAGGGAGACATAGTGATGCCTAGGCAGGGATGCACAGGACCCTAAAGCCCAGAGGGGATGTTACAGCATTCTAATTAGCTCTTTTAGTCCTCCCATCCACACCCCAACAGATGGCGGCATGTTAACAGCTCTGTCAGCCCTTTGCCCTGCTCTGGTGTCTACAGCTCCAAGGCTGGCTCAACCCTGCCACACTTTCATTGCATGGGGTGGCCGCCCTCCACTGGCAAAGGGCAGAGGGCCATGATATTACAGACTTGTCTGTACCCATGTTTGGTGGGTCCCAAGCTCTTGTCCCATGTCCAAGAATAATGAGAATATGCTGACAATCGAAGAGTGAGGAAGGGGGAGAAGAATTTTATTGAGTGACAAAACACCTCTCAGCAGAGAGGTGATGCACAGGTGGACAGCCACCCAAAGTCAGGTGGTTTCTCTCCCAGTGTGGCTGAGAGTGGGGTTTTTATGGACAAAGAAAGGGGAGGGGCAGGCCATAGGTAGTATTTAAAAAGGCAACATTCTGTTATTTAAAAAGCATTATTCAAAAAGAACCAATCAGGAAAGGGTGGGCAAACAGGAACAGACGTTCTCACTCTGGGTTGCGGGTTTCATCCAGAACCAGCAGTCTAGCCTTTCAGCCTTCAGGCTGTTTTTGAATAGAAGGTGGGGTTTTACTGGGGACCTGCCCCATCTGTCTAGGATTTGTCTGCCTCCTATCACTATCACCACCTGTCCCCTAAAGTTCTATAATTAGCTAACTGCTATACACATCAAGAGGCAAAATGCATTTTTATTTCATGGAAGACAATGAATATCAATATTTATGAAATCACAAATACCATGATGGAGATTCTTGTCTTGAATCATAAGTAATGAAGAGATAGCCTATGATGCCACTGTTTTGGTTCCAACATGGAAATTCTTTTCTCTTTCTGTTTCAGAGACTCTCCAATCCCATCCCTTGGCAAAGGATTGGTTATAAAGCAAGCTTGACCACTTAGGCCTGTGGATGGCCGAGGGAGTATCTGATTTGTGAGGTGATGGAGAAAGACAGGGAGAAAACGAGGGAGGGAGGGAGGAAGAGAGAGAGAGAGAGAACAGATAATAAAAGCTAGAAATACCAGATCAGAGTAGGTAAAATGTGTTGTGATCCGAATGAATGCTGAAATTTTGATTTTATGTGTTTCCCTAGTGCATGTTTGTGTGGCTGTGCTGTTTCTTTAAAATGTTTGTATAGAAGCAAATAACAATGCTGACAGTAATTTAGCTAAAAACAAAACCAACCAACAAACAAAACCCAGGTGTGTTCTTGCCCAGGAGGAAGTCAGGATAGCCTACATTTTCTTTTCCATTTTATACATCACTTAGAACTTACTGCAGTGATTCCACAAAGTCAGGAGGCTTTAAAAAGTTAATGAGAAAAATATAAGAAAAGCCTGTTGTGTGTTATTTTTGAATATCTTGTAATGTCCAGGGTTTGTTACCCAGGGAAGCAAGACTATTTTAATGGCTTTCATTTTTATTGCACTAGATTTGCAGAAAGCACCCTAAACCTTCCAAGTTAATAAATAAAAAATACTGTGACCCTTGGTAGGCAAACAACATTATTTCAGCACTGCAATTTTTAGGGATTATTCTCCTATTATTTGACCTCAGAGACTTGACATTCATTGTTGCATATTCTTAATGCTAATTGAGTTAAACCCTGGTATGGATTTTGATATTTTAGTACTATGCCCTACTTGATCACAAAGGACTGGGTAATCAGGTTCGCCTTTAATCATGACTTCTTATGACTTCTTTTGTGTTGGTTTCTTGTAAAGTGAGTTGAATTCTATATTCCAGGTTAATTAATATGAATATATTTTTCTCTCCAACTAATTAAAAATCCCTTGAAGATAGAGACTCTATGTTATATTTTTCTGTTTCCTCCAGAACAGAGTTACCTAAAGAATGTCCCACGGAAAACCACTTCCTTGGGATGCCAGTAAATATTTTTTTAAAAAGTTATCTTCTTAAATAAGGTAGAAAAATTTGTTTGTTTGTTTTTTTAAAGCAAATCTTTAAAGTATAACACTTCAGAACATTTAAAATGCAAACATATCCCATGTCCCCAAGCTAGGTACATATATGTAGAAATTCCCAAACATAGCTGAACATAAGCTTTTTTTTGGAGAGGGAGGGGCAAGTGGTGTGATAAGATATCTCTTAAGATTAGAATATACATTGCGAAATGTTCCTCTGCAGTACATGGTCTACTATTATGAAGATGGTATGTGTCATATGTGAGTATAAAGGTTCTTTTATTGACTTTAAAAACTTGTTTCATGAGGGCTGATGCTTACTTATTTTTCCAATGAGGGAAAAATAATTTTAGCCCTTATAATCTGGTAAATCATCTTTATATAAATAATATCTTGATTTAAGTGTTTAAAGAAATATTTAAATGTATGGTTTTATAAAAGCAGGAAACAAATTTGTTGGAAATAGCTGTTCACATTTAATGCATTATTTAAAATTTATGTAAAGTGTTCTTATGCAAAGATTTCTAGTGAATAGCCAGTAAATCTTGGGACATCCTGCTTCCAGTATGGTGATTACCTTATATCATTCAAACTTCTTGCTATAAGAAAAAAAAAGTCTAGAAAAGTTGAATAGCATTTGAGTGATACCAGGGAAGAAATGATTTAGAGAGCTAAAATCCTGAAGAGTAGGGGAGTGCAGGTAGATGAACCCGATATTCAATTCTGCTTTTTCCAGCAAGGTATTTGAGAGGCTGGATAACTGAAAAGAACTTCGGGCAACCTTGTGGTGCTCAGCAGGCTAAAAATTAGAGTTCAGGACTTGCCAAGGAGGAAGGGCATGAAAAAATACTCCAGTCTTTCAGCTGGGACCTGTGAAGGGCAATATTTCCGAGTAATGGCTATCCAAAAAAGACCAGCTCTCATAAAGACTGAAGTTTAGTTTTGAATCAGTTCACTTCCTAAAAGAAAGTACTCTGCCTCTCTCATGTAACTGCCTACCAAGGGCAAAGGTAAATCTTTTCTGGAGGAAAGTAACATCATCTAGCAACTCAAATTACTTCTGCAATTTTTTTCATAAGAAAAGGTCAGATAGATCTTCAATAAAAAATAGCAGGGCATACAGAGAAAGAACAGGAATGTCTGAAATAATGGACAGTAGAAACAGACCCATAGGAGATCTAGATACTGGAGTTATCAGACAGGTCTTTGAGAAAACTGAATAATATGTTCACAACCAGAAGCTATATAATGAGTCAAATTGAAATTATAGAAAATTTTCAGGAGAAAATGTTTAACTCTTATCCACTAATTCAACACTACTTATTGACCATCTAATGTGAGCCAAAAAGAACAAAGAGAACAAAAGAGAAAAAAAGGGAAAGAAATTGTGGCCTTGAGGTACTTACATCCTTGTATTAGGTTGGTGCAAAAGTAATTGCAGTTTTTGCATTGTTGAAATTTGACATTTGATATTGAAACATATTCTTAAATAAAAGTGGTTATGTTATACATCATTTTAATGCTCATTTCTCACTTTATTTTTTTGGCTAATGACTTATGACTTGCTGTTTATTTTGTATTTATTTTAGACTATGGAAATGATGTTAGACAAAAAGCAAATGTGAGTGATTTTCTTAAGTTAAAATTTTCTTGTTAAGTTAAAAATGGGTCGTGAATCAGTGGAGACAACTCGCAGCATCAACAACCTATTTGGCCCAGGAGCTGCTAACAAACATACAGTGCAGTGGTGGTTCAAGAATTTTTACAAAGGAGACGAGAGCCTTGAAGATAAGGAGAATAGTGGCCAGCCATTGGAAGTTGACAACAACCAATCAAGAGCAGTCACTGAAGCTGATCCTCTTACAATTACACAAGAAGTTGCCGAAGAACTCACTGTCAACCATTCTACAGTCATTTAGCATTTGAAGCAAATTGGAAAGGTGGAAAAGCTCGATAAGTGGGTGCCTCATGAGCTGAGCGAAAATCAAAAAAATTGTTGTTTTGAAGTGTCATCTCTTATTCTACACAAAAACAATGAACCATTTCTCAATTGGATTGTGACGTGTGACAAAAAGTGGATTTTATACAATAACCAGTGATGACCAGCTCAGTGGCTGGATCGAGAGGAAACTCCAAAGCCCTTCTCAAAGCCAAACCTGCACCAAAAAAAGGTCATGGACACTGTTCAGTGGTCTGCTGCTGGTCTAATCCACTACAGCTTTCTGAATCCTGGTAAAACCATTACATCTGAGAAGCATGCTCAGCAAATTGATGAGATGCGCCACAAACAGCAATGCCTGCAGCCAGCACTGGTCAACAGAAAGAGCCCAATTTTTCTCCATGGCAATGCTCGATTGCAGGTCTCACAACCAATGCTTCAAAAGTTAAACGAATTGGGCTATGAAGTTTTGCCTCATCCACCATATTCACCTGACCTCTTGCCAACTGACTACCACTTCTTTAAGTATCTTGACAACTTTTTACAGGGAAAATGCTTCCATAACCAGCAGGATGCAGAAAATGGGTTTCCAAGAGTTCATCAAATCCCAAAGCATGGATTTTGACACTACAGGAATAAACAAACGTATTTCTTATTGGCCAAAATGCGTTGGTTGTAATGGTTCCTATTTTGATTAATAAAGATGTGTTTCAGCTTAATTTAAAATTCATAGTCCAAAACTGCAATTACATTTGCACCAATCTAGTAGCTACAGACAAAAATAAACAATACATATAAGTAAATAAATAACATGTTAGAACGTTGTAAGTAACAGAGGAGAAAATAAATAGATAAGAAAATTCAGGTAGGGTGGTGCAGTTGGGGTGAGTGGATGTAATTTAGATAGAGTTGAAAGGGAACCTCATTTAGAAGGTGACATTCATACAAAGCCTTGAAGCTGACATCCTAATAAGCCCAATAAGTCAGGCTGATAATTGTGGGGAAAGCGTTCTAGACAGAGAGAAAGCCACTGCTAAGACCCTAAAACAGGAAATTAACTCGTAAGTTCAAAGAACAGTGAGGTTATGAGTGTTGGTGGAGTGGAGTGAACTAGAGGGAGAGAAGTGATGGTAGAAATCAGGAGGAGGGGGTTAAATAATATTGAACTTTATTGGTCAAAGGGACTTTGACTTTTACTGTAAGTTATATAGGAAGGCTTCAGAGAGTTCTGAACAGAAAGGGCTATAATCTGTTGTAGTTTTGTGTTGTTGTTGTTGTTGTTTGTTTGTTTGTTTGTTTCAAGTCAGGGTCTCACTCTGTTGCCCAGCCTGGGGTGTAGTGGTGCAACCTTAGCTCACTGCAACCTCCACCTCCCAGGCTCAAGCAATCCTCCCACTTCAGCCTCCCGAGTAGCTGGGACTGTAGGTGGTCACCACTGTGCCTGACTAATTTTTGTATTTTTTGTATTTTTGCCATGTTGCCCAAACTGGTCTTGAGCTCCTAAGCTTAAGCTATCCACCTGCCTTGGCCTCCCAAAGTGCTGGGATTACAGATGTGAGCCACTGCATCAGGTCTGATGTACATTTTAAAAGGATTTGCCTTGCTGCTCAATTGTAAAGACAACAAAAACTGGAGGGACTATTGTAGGAAACTAGGAGAGAGCTTAATGTGGTTCAGACAAAGTTGAAATAAGAATAATATGGAAAAATGACTGGATTGGATTCTGTTCACATTTTGAATTTGGAGCAAATACCAATTTCTTATGGGTTGATTGTTGGATATGAAAGAGTAATTATTAATAGCCACCTCTTTCACGATAAAGGTTCTGGTGTAACCAGTAAATTATATGATCACCTTAGTTAAATCTGAGTAAACCTTTCTAGGTCATGGTGTATCATTATTTTAGTGTACTCCTTGGTCCTAAATTCTAATAATTTATATAGAATCATATAATCAAGAGTGATTTAACTTTCTCAGTGATTTGGAAAAACACCATAAGGATAATCTATTTAATAACGATATTTAAAAATTTAGACTAGCTCAGTGGCTTACGTGTGTAATCCCAGCACTTTGGGAGGCCAAAGTGGGAGGATTGCTTGAAGCCAGGAGTTCAAGACTAGCCTGGGCAATATAGCGAGATCCTGTCTCTACAAAAGATACAAAAATTAGCCGAGCATGGTTGCACATGCCTGTAGTCTCACCTACTCGGGAGGCTGAGGCAGGAAGATCATTTGAACCTGGGAAGGCAAGGCTGCAGTGAACTGTGATCGTGCCACTGCACTCAAGGCTGGGCATCAGAGTGAGACCATGTCTCAAAAAAAATCATTTTTGAATCTTTCTTGGAGTGGTAGTCTTTAAATAAGTAGTTTTCTTAGTTTTGAGGGCTTCATCAACTTTCTCAACTTCTTTGACTCATTTTAACCATTCATTTCTTCTATGAAGATTTCATTAAACTATTTGAGCTTGTTAGCAATTTTTTTACAAAAGTATTCTAATTCTTTTAATTTTCTCATATTTATTTATTTTTTCTTAATTAGGTTACCTGATAGTTTATCTTATTCTACTATCATTATTTTCTTTTTGGAGGAGAGTCATATAGCCAGCTCTGGATTTACTTATCAGTCTTTCAATCTTTTAATTTACCCATTTATATTACTAATTAATTTTTCTTGCTTTCCTTATATCTTTTACTAAGAGTTCCATGTTTAATATTTCCTAGAAATTTTTATTTTCAAGATCTATATTGTTTGGTAGATAAAGAGTCTTGAGAGTTATAGCTACATAAAATTGATTCTTTAATGTAATGTTTTTGCCTGGAATATTTATTTGTGTAATATTAGTGTCATGGCTCTGCTATATTCTTGCTCATTCTTTCACTTTTAAATATTCTGGGTTATTTTATTTTAGAACTGCTTCCTAGATAATACATAGTTGAGTTTTGTTCTTTGACTCAATTTTAAAGAATTAATTCCTTTTAATAGCCTATTCTGTCTACACAATGTTAGCTGGTTTTTTTCTGTTCTTATTTTGTAGTTTTAGTGCTGTATTACTATTTTCTTTTATTCCTACCTTTTGCTATATAATCATATTCATTCATATTTAGGGTATGTGTGTGTGTGTGTTTGTGTGTGCTTATGTAACTGTCTTAATTTAGAAAGCAGGTATCTGTTTTGAGTTCTGTTTGGGAGTTAGTTGTTTAATTACCAATAATATGCCTACATTTATATTTTTTAAATTATCAACTCAGAAATAAAACTATTTCTATTGAAATTATCCCACTTATGCTATTTTTCTTGATAGCTTCCTGCTACCAATTGGCTTTGTTAGAATTATTATTTTAACATGTTGTCACAGTCTGTTAAAAGGGAATTTTCTTTTTCAACCATCTTATAGTTTTATATAAAATATAAGTAATAAGTTTATAACTATAATTACATATTTAATTTTATATTTATGTTCAAATCAATTAAGTGCTTACATTCTTTAATTTAGGTATCAATCAACAAATATTTCTTGAGGGCTTTCTACATGCTAGGCTTGTGCTGGACAAGAGAGATACAATGGAGCCTGTGAAGATAAGACATCTCTCACGAAGAGAGACAGCAATAACAAATATATGCATAAATCACTAAAGTAACCATAACCCATGGAAATAAACAAAACGACTAGTGGAGAATAAGCAAAAAGAGGCTATTTTAAATAAAGTGGTCAGATAAGAAGTTTTAAAGGAGGTATCACTTAACTCAAAGTATGGGCAAAGGCCCACTATAAAAAGCAAGGATAATAACATTCCAGGCAGATAGGAGAGAAATGTACATGCAGAGTACCTGAGAGTGCAACAGAGCTTGGTATATTTAAATTTATGCTGAGGTTGCAAATTTTGTGTGTGAAAAATCAGACCTTGGCGATGACCTTGCGCAGTAGGATATAAATAACTCCCACAAGCTTAGTGTTCCAATAATGGAACACTAGGCATAAATGGATTAAGAAACTGAAAAATGGCCTGTGTGCTGTGGCAAAGTGAGAGACAGAGACATCAAATGAAGCTGCGATTCAACATGCTTCCTTCATTTTTAATTTCTCGTTTTCCTTGAATTCTGGAAAATTTTTAGCTACTGTCTTATGATTTATGATATCTTGCCTATTCTCTCTATTATCTCCTTTCAAAAATACAAACACTCTTACATAAGACTTTCAGACCAAGCAAATAGTATAAATTCAGGCTCCACAATGGGGCATGATACTCTGATTTTCTTCTTCCATGAATTGATAGCAAGCTTCCACGGAGTTTCCAAGAACAATTAATTGTGATTTCTAAATCCCCTATCAACAATTAGGGCAGTTAAGGGCTATTTTCTAGTGGTGTTTATTAAAACTGTAAATATTGGATGTATATCAATTAATGTCAAGAACTGTTAAGGATGAAAGATTTTCACCCTACTTGCAAGCTAACAAACTTGGCATAGTTTTGTGGATTTTAACAAGACATGAGATTCTTTGGTCAGAGACAAAGGGTTTTATTGCTCACGGCACAGAAAGCAGTATGAGCTTCATGTTTACATCAGTTTCTTCTGTACTCTCATGTCCCGTGAGATGAAGCAGAGGGCCTTATGTAATTTTCTAAATGAAAAATTATGCAGTAATTTTTGTTTCATGGCTGAGGAGCCCTAAGTTAGGTAACTAGAATCTTTCATAATCGGCAGTAAGCAAACCTGCCTGATGTTTGTTTCAGAAGGAGAAATTACCTTTATTATGTTGAACACTAAGCAAACCTGCTCCTTGCTCCTGAGAGGAACACTATCTTTAACTTCCAAGGCCGTTTGCTACATAAACATCCTTGGAAAGACAGTTAAGAATAAAAGGGCAGGGCTGGGCGCAGTGGCTCACGCCTGAAATCCCAGCACTTTGGGAGACTGAGGCAGGCGGATCATGAGGTCAAGAGATCGAGACCATGCTGGCCAACATGGTGAAACCCCACCTCTACTAAAAATACTAAAATTAGCCCGGCGTGGTGGCATTTGCCTGTAGTCCCAGCTATTCAGGAGGCTGAGGCAGGAGAATCGCTTGAACCTGGGAGACGGATGTTGCAGTGAGCCGAGATAGCTCCACTGCACTCCAGCCTGGTGACAGAGTGAGACTCCATCTCAAAATAAATAAATAAATATATTAAAATAAGAATAAAAGGGCAGTTAGTGTCCTTGCTCAACAGCCATGCAGAAATGTGAGAGACTTACAAAGAATTGTCCCCCAATAGTTAATTCGTGTAAAAGATTTTGGTTTTCTATAATGTGGTGTGTTCATACTGTTTTTCTGTTTTGCTTGTATCCTTCTGGAATGGCTGTACATTGCTGAAAACTCTATGTATGCTTTTCTCTTGGCAGCCATACTAGCATTCTCCATCAACTATTACTTCATGCTTAATGTCATGTGAATTACTGTAGAATTTAGGTTTAATAAATATTTGCTTAATAAATCAATTCCTACCTCTCCTAAAATAACTTAATATGCTCAGCCCTGCTTACAGAATATCATGCATGCCTATTTCAAAAGACCATTATGATGAAAATAAGAGTGTTAATATGTATTTGGGTACTCACTGCAATTTCAGAAACTAACATTTATTAATTAGTGAACAATTCTGAAAAGCCTTCCAGGAGAGATTTACTTCAAAGTAATAAAATTTTTATTTTATTTCAGTATATAGCCAAATAGGAACCAGTTTCACACAGCGGATTAGCTTATTGCATTAAAAAGATACAGAATACGAAGCTAAAAATCCAGAACCAAATAACAAACAAAAACGAACTTACAGGATTTACTTTTCATCTTAAGCGAGATAGTAAATGAATTTCCTAAGTCTTAGGGGCTCTAATTCCATAGAAATGATTGGCTCTGGGAATATAAGGACATAGAAGTGAAGTTTAGTAATATAGACCATCCAACAAATTTTAAGAATGATCTCCGTGAAGATTAAGAAGAGATGGGTTCTTTTTTTCCAGGAGAAGAGGCAACAGATGGTATAGAAATATAGCAATATCATTAACCACAAAAGGAACTCACATTTGGTTTTTTCATCAGTCATCTAGACTGCCAAGTCCTAAAGAGGGTTGATGCTCAATTCTACTGGTCTAGGATAATAAAATAGACGATAGACCTGGTCAGGTTTTGTAAGTCATATTAAAGAATGGAAAACAACAGAATTTAGGCTAAAGTTACTTTATAATTTTATCCATTTATGATGTTTTTCATGGTAAGAAATGCTAAAGTTGATCTATTTTCAAAACATACATTCAGAAGGGTGAGGCTAGGGAGGTGAGATACTTACATGCTTTAGAATGAGTAATATGTGCACTGTATGCTAAATGGTATCTTAGAAACTGAAAATAAAAAACAAAAAGTAAACCAGAAAAATTGTTTCTATTAAAAATTGAAATCTTGATAAAAAATGTTAACAAGTAATTAAAACAATATAAGCACCTTTATGACTGAGACATGAAATGATCACATTTCCTGTTCCTTTATCAGTGGGTAAGAAACTGATGAGTGATCACCATTAGAAATAGTAGCTACGTGTTCTTGTATATCACAACTTATTCTAGAAGTTATTAGGGTCATTTCAGGGAACATGAAATTTTACTTGAAGAGGATATGGGTAGACAAGTTTCCTATAATTGGCAAATATTCATTTATAAAATATTATAACGTATCTAATAAAAATTATTCTCATGCCACACAAAAACAAAATATTGTCTAGATAGTATGTGACAAGACCTTTCTAAAAGCTGATGTCATACATTTTCAATTTCTTTCCTAATTTGAACTCTTTTCCTACCCTATCTATAAATCCTTCTTACAGAATAACATAGGCTGGTCCCTTCCTCTCTCCTTTCCTTCCTTTCTTTATTTCTCAAATAAAAGTATCACCACAAAGTAAACTACTACTAAAATAAACTACTACTGATACTAAACTATGAGTCCCTTGAGAAAACCAATTGTACATTTTCCATATTTGCTTTCCCAGTATGGGTCCAAGGTACCTTCTATATGATGTGCCTGGTACATAGATAATACTCAACAAAAGTTTGCTCTATATAAGAATGCCATCAACTAAAAAACTTGGTTAGCTCCAAGTGTACAGTTATTTAGTTGTAGTTTAAGTAATTCTGAAATTGAATTTGATGTTACGAAAAATTTTAGGCTTAGATACCAACTGGCTTGTTGCATCCTCATTTACCCTATATACCCTCCCATTAGAATATCTTGAGAGAAATGCAAAATGATAGCCCCCAAAACTGAGATATTATTTGCTGATTCATTTCATGTGTTTGACATATATTTATTGAGTTCTTACTATATGAAGTCATTATTCTAGATATTGAGAATAGAGCAGTCGCTAATACACAAATTTCCTGACTTCAAGTTTATATTCTAGGGCAGAATATTTTCTAAATAGGTAAATAAATATGCAATGCAATGTTAGGTAGCAATTGGTACTATGAAAAAATATATAAATAATGTAAGGATATAGAAAATTTGGGGGAAGGCCTCCTTGATGAGATAATATGAGACTTGAATAATGTGAGGGAAACGGCTGTGGAAATAGCTAAGGGAAAATTGTTTGAGGCAGAAAGAAGCCAATGCTTTGAGGTGAGAGAATATTTGGCAAGTGAAGAAGGAGCCAGCAGGCCAGTGTGGCTGTTGCTGAGTGGGCACAGTGTGGGAGTGAGAGCGGTACTGGAGAAGCAGTCAGAGGGCAGATTACGTGGGGCGCCGGAGGTCAAGGTCAAGTCTTTGGACTTTATTGTAACTGGAATTGGAAGCTCTGGAAGGATTTTGGACAAGTGGTTTATGTATTTAGATTTGCTTTAAAAGAATCACCTTGGTTGCTCTGTGCTAAATAGACTGTAATGGGTGAAACAAGAGTTGAGCATGGAGAGAAGACTTCGAAAGAAGCTTCTACAAACTAAGGCAGGGAAGGGATTGAATTGAAAAGTTGAAGGCCCTAGAGAAAAAAAGATGGGAAGAAGCTTCCACTTGGTCCCTCCACGTACTCTTCTCTAGAAGGTGCCTGACATTACTTGCTGAAGGCATTTCTTTGTCCAGAACGTCTGGGTGATTCAGGAATAAATTAACCTGTGATAATTTAGAAAATTATGCAGCATGGCTGCAAAGTACTCCTCATCTCATTAAAGATGCATGAACAAACAAACACAAACCAAAAGGAGGCAATGAAAATATTTCCACAAAACAGAATATATTTTTAAAGGATTTTACTCCAGCAAGCCGTAGGCAATTTGTGAAAGCACAAGCTTTCTGTTCTCCATTAGGTACCAGAAACACGGAATGGGAGGTTCAGTGGCTTAAGAGTGTCCTATAGTCATGTGGTCAAGTGGACTGGTGATTTCTGTGCTCATGTGGGTGTTAGTTATTTTGTTTGTTTGTTTTTAGATTGAAGAAGGCTTTACAATTCAGGCACTTGTAAACTGGGGACTAATCTGCATTTAGCATAGAGTTTTGGAATCAGAAAGACCAGAATATAAATCTCCCAGCATCCGCACTTGCTATTTATGTGATCTTGGACAGGTCACTTGACATTTCTGGTCTTCACTTAATCAACTGTAAAATAAGAATAACAAAGTCTGGGCGCAGTGGCTCAGGCCTATAATCCCAGCACTTTGGGAGGCTGAGGCTGGTGGATCACGAGGTCAGGAGATCGAGACCATCCTGGCCAACATGGTGAAACCTTGTCTCTACTAAAAATACAAAAATTAGCCGGGCATGGTGGCATGCACCTGTAATCCCAGCTACTCGGGAGGCTGAGGCAAGAGAATCACTTGAACCTGGGAGTCACAGGTTGCAATGAGCCAAGGTTGTGTCACTGCATTCCAGCCTGGCGAAAGAGCGAGACTCTGTCTCAAAATAAATAAATAAATAAATAAATAAATAAATAAATAAATAAATAAAATATGAATAACAGTGACCACTCTGCCAACACATAGATTTTGTGAAGATCAAATGGAATAATGTGACTGAAAGCTTTCTCTACTGTAAAAAACATTTGATTCCAGTTGTTATTACCACCTTCATCATTATAATTCATGCTAAGAACAGCCGCGTTAATGAGTATAACAAAAAGATGACATTGATGCAAATCATCTAGATGATCTGCCAAGGTAACCAAAGAAACTTTAAATTTTTTTCCCTTTGGCACTGGATTTTTTTAAAAGACATATTTTTAGAAAAGTACTTTAAAAATAAATGAGCTTAGATAAAAATCATTTATGTATTTCAAAAACACAATTGAGTGAATGTTAGGTGCTGGGTACTACGGTAGAAAATTAGTAGCCACCAAGAAAAAACAAATTAGGATTTTGCTTTCTGGGAAGGTGTGGTCTGGTAAAAAGGTTGAGAAATATACATTAACCAACATAAGGGAAACTGAAAGGTACTCTCAGTGAGATATGCGATATCGACATCTGAGATATGCAATAAGATCCCAATGAATCGTGGCTAACAGCAGACACTTATACACATAGTGGAGCAAATAGTATTTCTTGAAACATGTTATCTTCTTAACTGATATGAAATTATCAAAATTTCTTAGTTCTCTCTTCTGACACCTGCAGTTTATTAAAATATGTCCAGCTTGAGCAACATGGTGAGATCCCTATCTCTACAAAAAATTTAAAAATTCTCCAGGAGAGGCTAATAAGTGGTGGTGCATGGCTATGGTCCTAGGTACTAGGGAGGCTAAGGTGGGAGGACCACTTGAGCCCAGGGGGTCAAGACTGCAGTGAGACTTGATTACACCACTGCACTCTGGCCTGGGGAAGAGAATGAGACCCTGTCTCAAAAAAAAAAAAAAGAAAAAGAAAAAGAAAAGAAAGGATACAGCAATGCTTGCATGAGGAAATTAAGATAGGTATTGAGGACTAAGCTCTGATTTTTTTAACTTGCCCAAATTCCTACCTAAGGGGTCTAGTAAGTCATGCCCTACAAATCATGAATTCTCATCTGATGGGTTTTATTTGACCCTATATATCGTGACTTACTTTTTAATCTGACTCTGACATACCATTATGAGACAAGGAAAAAATATTTAACCCCAAAATATATTTCCTTGCCATACCTTGAAATTGCCTGGCAAAGCCTCTTGTGGGAAAAACCCACATCCTATAGAGAATCCCCTTTCCCCTTTGTTTTCCTTCCTTTCTTTCCAGATTCAGGAGATCATCAGCTAAGAGACAGGTACCCTTTTAGGTCCCAAAAGAAACATTTTACAACATGGTCTCTCTCTCTGAAGTCTGCTGAGAGATTCCACTGCACAATAAAACTTGGTCTCCACAATTTTTTATCTTAACCTGAACATTCCTTTCCATTGATCTCAGGCCTTCAGATAAACTCAACCAATTGTCAACCAGAAAATGTTTAAATTTATCTATAGCCTGGAACCCACTGCTTTGAGTTGTCCCGCCTTTCTGAACCAAACCATGTATTTCTTAAATGTATTTGATTGATGTCTCATGTCTCCCTGAAATATATAAAACCAAGCTGTACCCCTACCACCTTGGGCACATGTTCTCAGGACCTCCTGAGGGCTGTGTCACAGGTCATGGTCACTCATATTTGGCTCAGAATAAATCTCTTCACATATTTTACAGAGTTTGACTCTTTCTGTCAACAGTATTTTAACCTATGTTATGCTCGATAATACCATAAGTTAGTGAAGACTCATCAGAATACACATAGAATAAAAGAATAATTTAAAAAATTAGATATTATGTGAAAATGGACAGTAGCTTCAATAACATATATTTTGAATGAATATCTAAAAATTATAGCTGCTTTTGCTTTCCCCCCAACTTCCTAACATTTTATGAGATTTTATTAGATTTATCGTTTTTTTCTATGCTAACTGAAATTCAGAACTTATGCTCAATACGAAATGAATTAATGACTTTGGCATTTAACGGGAAAGAAAGGAACTCTCAGTTAAAGTGAGGAGTGAATTGGGGACTCACTGTTTCTTCACACACATAATAATGCTAATAGCTCCTAAAGTTCCAAACTTTCTTTATTTAATCCTTTTTAATACAAAGACGTATCCCATGAATGGAAGCTTTTTATTTTCCATTAAATTGATCTTTGGGTATGAAAGTCAACAGGAAACACAGAGCACTTTCCTTTCATTATATTTTTGAACTGATAGGCACATACAGAGCATCCTGGTCTCAGCAGAAATCTCATTTAACAAGGCATCTACTTTAAGTAGTCAGAATGTCAACAATTTCTTTCAGATCCTTTTCTTTCCTTGGATATGGAGACATCCCAGGCATACAGAATTATGCTTTTTTGCTTTGATGGGCAGATTATCTTGTCTAAGGCAGCAACACTTCATTCACACAGTTAGCTTTCATCTTCAGGTTTCCAAGCTGTCCCTGTGTTATGCTTTTGTCTCGAGCCATATAAGGAGAAAATCATAAGTCTTCTCAAGGCCAGAGATTGTCATCTTGCAAAGGGAGCTAAAGCTTGATTCCTATAGCTCATTCAGGTGTGTTTTTATGCAATGTTAAATAGAACAATAGCATGTAGGGACTTCGAGAAGTGTGTCCTAGGCTTGACCTTTTGTTTATCAGTTCCAGGATCTTGAAATGTTGAAATTAAAGTTAGCTGTAAACAAATTAAAAACACCGACATCACAAAGAAGGAAGTCTTCTTATTTTATTGTTGCTATTCACAATTCGGTTTTGCCCACTATTCTCTAGAGCTCTAACAGATCAGAATCGAACAAAATCTGTTTCTTGCCCCCCACCTTCCCCCACCTCTTTTTTTTTTTTTGAGACATGATCTCACTTTGTCACCCAGGCTGGAGTGCAGTGGCATAAACAGGGCTCACTGCAGCCTCAACCTCCCAGGCTCAAGCCATCCTCCCTCCTCAGCCCCATAAGAAGCTGAGACTACAGGAATGCATCAGCATGCCTGGCTAATTTTTTATTTTGTGTAGAGACAGGGTCTCATTATGTTGCGCAGGCTGATCTCAAACTCTTGGGTTCAAGTGATCCTCCTGCCTCAGCCTCCCAAAGTGCTGGGATTATAGGTGTGAGCTTCTCCACTGACTATGATTTAATTCTAATGACAGAATTTAACCCAGTTTTATCTTTTTCTTTCTTAGCCATTAAATTTTGGTTCAAGCTTCAGAAATTGGAATTCCCTATTACCTAAAAGTATATGATTTTGATAATGTGCTGAAAGTTGCCATTGTTTCTCTTTACTTTTTAAAATTTCAGTCTTTGTTCCCTTGTTTTCCATACACAGCAAATTCAATCTTATTTTTTTTTTAATGAGCCAATAAATCTAGTTTGTTCTGATGCTAGATTTGAAAGTTAAGATGAAGATGGTATGGAATAGGAGCTACATCCAACTAAGAACCTTCTTAGAGAACAAGCATAAGTATAAATCAGTTTAATTTACAGAATCACTGTGATTTTAACCCCAAATTTCTGTGAACAAAATAGTTTAAATATGTCATGAGAACTTATTATTAAATTTACTACTTTTATAAGATAGAGGGCAAAAATTCCATGTTTATTTCATTTGAATATTTAGGACTTGTGGTTTCAAGATTGTAAAAAAAAAAAAAAAAAAGACATTTTCACAACTTTCTCCCCAAAATTACCCAAATTGAACAAGAATGAGAAATAGGAACAGTGTGTCTTTGTAAAATCAGATAATATTTGTAAATCTAAAAGACAATATATAAAGATGGAAGGACTTAGAAGGCTGGCAAATGATTTAAGAGAAGACAATTGTTAAAAATGCAATGCTTGTAGTTCTGAGAAACTCACATTGGAGCAGCCTAGGAAAAATTTAAGAATTGGAGTTACTAGGTACTTCTGAAGACTTGGATGTGGTTGGAACCAGAGCTATAAACAAAAAGATTGCTTAGAAAATCCCTGTCTGGAGCCCAGACTGCCAAGTGACTTTTCTTTCCTCACCAGAGATTGAACCAGAGCTGACCTCTGACAAGGGGGATTTCAGACCCAGCAGAAGGAGAGGTTGCCACACTATACTTAAACAAAGGAATAAGGGAAAATGTGAATTCTGAAAGAGATATCCAGCAGAAATGTTAATTTATAGAGACAGGGTGCTTTTCACCAAATAGTTTGATAGGGTAATATAGTGAGGAGAAGATATTAACGTGTTCTCTTTTAGAAAGTTGCTTTCATGGCCTAGAAAAAAATAGGACTCCCTGCATTCAGTTGATATAACGGTTGTTATGGAAACTACTTTGCATTGAATGACAAGGCAGTAAGCATATGTATGTAGCTTTGGGTAGATGCAGCCACATTGTTTTTTTTGTTTGTTTTGTTTTTTTTTTTCCAAATGAATGGTTAACTTTCCAAAGTGAATAAGTAGATTTTCAGTAGAAAAAGATGCAAAATAAACAAATAAAACCCACTGTCAGTTCAAAATTTTTCAGCAGGCTGAGTATGAAAGCCTCCCAGAAGGGACTATTTGGTGAAAGTTGGTTTAAGTAAAAATGAAATCTTTACAACTTATCAAGCTTAATATTTACCAATGTCCAGAGGCTTTTTAGTGGTACTGTTTGTCTCATCTACTCCACAAACACTTACTGGGAACTTTAGATACAGCATATGCATGTTCAGAAAAGAAAAATAACTTAAATAACTTAGGCTAAGGGAAAGAAGAGAGAATTCATTTTTGTAATATTTAGACTATAGCTATAGATGTCACATAAATCTGCTTAAAATTGTCTTCCGTTAATCAGTTCATCATTACAAATTTCAGACTGATGTTTTCTAAATTAGAAACTGGAGCTTTTTATTAATTTATTTGAAATACTTTATCTGTTTAACATTTAATGAGATTTCAAGCAATTATATAAGCCAGATGGTATTCTGCAGTCCATGACTTTATCAAAGAAACAAAATCTTTGTTCTTTTATATAAACTTTTGTGTTTCCACAACCTTCAGGATAAGAAAAATGGTTTATGGACCAGACGTCATTTGACCATAAAAGTTCCTCTTAAAGGAATCCGCAAGATGCTAGACTGGAGATACCTTAATGGTATGATGAATCCTTAAACACTTTCTTCAGATTTCTCTATGACCTTTTCAGATTGTGATAAAATTCTGATGGTTTATTTATTTATTTATAAAGAGGTATTTCTGTCTTGAAAAAAATAAGCAAGAAGAAAGATAACTGATTTCAAGAGCAAATCTTTCATCAAAACCTGGAAATGCATTCTGGCAAGGATAACTCAGAAAAACTGACATGCCACAGCAAAGAGGTTATATCATTGCCTCCGAATGCAAAACAAATGTCAAGAATTGCTGAGCCAAAATGTTAAATTGTCAAAAGAATGGTTTTGCTCTATGTATTTTAACCATGGAGAAAGGAAATGCGTCAACAATCCCTGGTTGATAACATTATCTTAAACTGTTAATTATAAGCTACAAGAAAGATAAGACTTTTGGCAGTTGATGGCTAGGAAGTTTATTAAAATTTTGTAGTAGGCACTAAAGAATATTGGCTATAGTTGAATTAGAATAATTTCAGTCCCCAGTTTATTCTAAAACACCTATCATGTGACAGTTAATAAAACATGCTAAATTGCTCCCCTTGCTTCTTACCTCCCCACCCAAAGAAACAAACACTGTCAACATTCAGTGGAAATTGAGCTTGCCTGGATCCAAAGAAAACGTAAACCCCTTTTTAAAGTCAGTGGTTATCCTAGAGGATGGTCCTTAGGCAAGCAACAGCCATATCATCTGGAAACTTGTTAGAAGGTCCTAGAATCACTTTGGAACTGAGGCCCCACACCAGATTTTCTGAATCAGAATATGTGGGGATGGGGCTCAGCAATCTGTAGTTTAACAAGCCTTTCAGGTGATTCTAATGCTAAAGTCACTGTGTAGGTGATATGGGAGGGGGACAGGGAAGTGCTGGGTAGAGAAGGGGCGGGTCCCTGGCAAGGGCTCCACCCTGGGGCCTGTGCCCATGGATCTAAGTGAGAACAGGCACTCTGGGTTTTCGGGCTCAAATGTTGCATTTACCAAGACCACTTTGGCCTGTCATGCCCCCACATCCTGTGCCCAAGAGACCTTAGCAGGCACACATACAAGTTGGCTGGACCTCTAGAGGAGGAGAACACACTGATGACACCAGCAGACACTGACAGACCAGCCATGGCGGAACCACATGGACACAGAGGGCAGTTCGGCCGGGGGGCAATCAGAGGAGAGTCTGGCTGCTGGGCTGCCTGACTCCAGGGGAAGACAGCCTTCCCACTCCATCCCCCTTCTAACTCCCCAGTCATGTTGCTGAGAGCTAACTCCACCACTCAATAAAAACTTGCACTCATCTTCCAAGCCCACATGTGATCCGATTTTTCCAGTACACTAGGGCAAGAACCCGGGATACAGAAAGCCCTCTGTCCTTGTAATAAGGCAGAAGGTCTAATTGAGCTGATTAACACAAGCTGCCTGCAGACAGCAAAGCTGAAAGAGCACACTGTAACACAGGCTCACTTAGGCTTTGGGAGTTGTAAACACTCACCCCTAGATGCTGCCATGGGGTCAGAACCAAAAAATGCTCCCCACGACCTCTGCATCTGCCCGTCTGCATGCTCCCCTAGGGTTGAGCAGTGGAGGCACCAAACAAGTAAGCCACACCCTTGTCGCACATCCTGTGAGGGGGATAAGGGAACTCTCCCATTTCATAAGATTCTAAAACCATTCCGTATGTTGAAAACTCAGCTGTAAAACTTATCCTTAAATACCCATTAGAAAGGTACAAAAATGTAGTTCAATAGTCCACCTTAAAATATGCCCAGCATAGTCAATTTTTCCTCTAGTATTGAAGAAAAAAGTTTCTGCCTCTTTGGGCACTGGATGATGCATTTGACTTGGGGCCATGTTTTATGAAAAATATATATATTTAAACACAATTTAATGTAGTAAGATGCATAGACTATGAGACTATGGGGAAATTGACAATAACAAACAGACTAGGACATTAGCATTTCCCATCATGTTTGTTTTAGGGAATATATTTATTGAATAGCCTCATGGGAAGAATTCACTACACAATTCAAAATATTTTCTTTCTCTTTCTTTCCCTTTTTAAACTGAGTGTGTGTACTTTAATCCAAATATGTGAATTGCCCATGTGGTAAACTATTTGGGCCATATTATTTCAGTATGTGTTGTGTTAGAATAAAATCTCTTGTTAAGAACTATTAAAACAAATTAAATTTAGCAGAGTTTATTTGAGCAAGGATAGTTTCATGAACTGGGCAGCCTCAGAACAAAAAGAGATTCAGAGAGCTCCACCCAGCAACATGGGCAGGACAGTATTTATAGACAGCAAAAGGAAGTGATGTACAGAAATAGCTTGATTGGCTACAGATGGGCATTTGCATTTATTGGACATGGTGTGATGAGGCATTTGCTTTCTGTGAACATGGTCTGATCAGTTGGCAGCCTGTGATTGGCTGAAGCTTGGCTACTGTAATTGAGACTCAGCTATTTGTTACAAGAATATAGTCTTATTAAGGTTGCAGTTTCTTTACATACTAAGTTAGTTTGCAGTTTACTCTGTAGGGATTCAAAGTACAAAGGCAGCCTTAGGACAAATTTAATTTAATTTAACAAAATAAATCCATAATTTTTTAAACACTTGAGATCCAGGGAATTTTGTGTTATTCTCAGTTCGAGCAATGTGATTGTTCTATGTGATTATGGATGACACTAAGCCTGTTTTCTCATTTTTCTTCTTCTACACATGGATTTTAAGAAATTGGAGATTATTGCAGGGTGTGTGTGTGTGTGTGCATGCATGTGTGGTGTTTCTGCATGTGCTAACAACAAAACACATTCTGATAAACAAGATTTATTCAAGAAATATAAAGATCTTTGAATCTTAGCAGATCTATTTTCATATTAGCATCACATTAAATAGTAGAAAGTAAACAAGAAAACATACTACCTATTTAGATGCAGAAAAATTATTCAGTAAAAATTCCTAACAAACAGGGAATACGAAAAAAATAATTTTAGTTTTTAACCTGATAGAGGATTTCTGTAGGAGGAAAATGATAGCAAATATGGACAAAATGGCAAAACTCTGAAGTATTTCCCTTTATTCTGGAATAAGACAAATATATCTGCCATCACTTCTAATATTCACTATTGTAGTAAAGGTTTAGCTAATGGAAAAGACAAGAAAGATATACAACAAGAAATATGGAAATAATAGGAAGTAATACCACTCTCTTTATTTTTAAATGATGAAAATTTCTGTATAAAAATTCAAGATAATTTGTATACAAGTTATAAATAATTGCAAGGTTTTTAGATAATAGATCTACATACAAAAACTAAGAGTGCTTTTTACAGTAAAGTGTATTGATTTAAAAAATTTTCATTCACAGAAATAATAAAAACTTAAAAAAAACCATAAGAACCCTATTAAGAGATCTTATAAATGATTTAAATATGGATAAAATTATATTGCTAAAAGAGATAAGAAAAAAATTAAATAGAGCGATACTGTGTTAATATATAAGAAGCCTCAATATAATAATGATATCAATTATCTCAAAATTAATTTAAAATTTTAACCCACAACAATATTTTGTTGAGATTTTGACAATATGTTGAGTCATGAATATTTTGAAATAGGACAAAGTATACAAAACTGATGTGGCAGATACTGAGATTATTATAAATCTATAGTAATTTAAAAAGTGTTTTAAGTGACACAAAAATAAGATGACACAAAATAAAATAGAAACCCCAGAAAATGACCCAGACATTTATAAAACTTGGTATATGACAGCAATAGTATTATAGTTAGTGGGAAAATATGGATTACTCAGCAAATGGTCTTAGGACTGTATTATTCAGATAAAAAAATACAATTAGTTTGATACTGCATATTACAACCAAAATGTAAATATAAAGAGCAAAACGGTGTATTCTGGGAAAATATAGCAAAATTTTTATAAGGACTGGTTAAGAAAACATTTCTTAATGCAAATAGAATAAATTATTTAAAAACTGAAAATTTTAAAACTTAAATTTAAACTTAAATTTAAAATTTAAAAACTAAAAAGCTGAAATTTTCAAACACATTAAGATTTTAAATTTCTGTACAAAAAATCACAATGGAAAAATATGTCAGACTAGAGAAATATTGTAATGTGTATAATCACCAAAACATAAGTATGAAGAATATACAGTAAAAATGATTCCTAAAAAACTTAGTAAGAAAAAGTCAACCCAATAGAAAATTGAGCAAAAGGTATGAAGAGAAATGTGATTCCTGTCTGCCAACTCCAACAGAAGAGAAAAACTCAAGAGAAATTCACAAGTCATTTCCATTATATTGACAAAATTAAGTGTTTGACTATACCAAGTATCAGCAAGATTAAGGCATAACAAGAACTCTTCATACACTGTGAATTGAGATAAACATTGTTACGATCACTTTGGATAACAACTTGGCAATAGTTAATATTCAAATTTTAATATGTGCATGCATTCGACAATCCTACAATGGAATATCACACAAAAATAAAAATGAGTGGCTGAGAACTATCAGCACTAACAAGAATGACTCTCACAAATATTAAATGTAAACAAAACTATATTTTATGTAGGAATACTTTTAAAGTATTTTTAAAGTATTTTTTATATATATTTTTATATTTATATATTTTTAAAGGATGGTATTATTTACATATACATTTACATTATTTAAAATATTCTATTACCTTCTAAGGCAACTGTATTCATTATAAACTTAACATAAGTTTGTACTTCTAAAATGTATATTTGGGACTCAAAATTCACTTTTCATGGTTAGAAATGAGATTTCTATTGACATCTATACATACTCATGTGGTAAAAATATGAAGAAATGCATAAGCGTTAAACAATCTAATGGGCAGATGACATAAAGTTACCTTTTGAAACCCCTCTATGTCATCATCATATTTCTCTTCCTTCAGTATCACTGGTCTCCAAATAATTTGACACAACATAGTGAAAGTCATCTTTCCGTAAACCACTCTCTTTCCTCCACAATTTCCCTCAGAGTCACAATAATGTCTGTCTTAGTTCATTCAGGCTGCTACAACAAAATATAAATGGAGTATCTAAACAGAAATTTGTTTCTTGCAGCCTGGACATTGGGAAATTCAAGATCAAGACACCTGCAAATTCACTGTCTTGTGATGGCCCACTTTCTGGTTCATAGATGGTGCCTTCTGTCTGCACATGGCAGAAGAGACAAGGCAGCTCCCTGCGCTTCTTCAATAAAGGCACTAATCCCACCCATGAGGGCTCTGCCTTCATGATCCAATCACACTCCTTGACCCCCAACTCTTAATACCATCACATTGGCAATGAGGTTTTCAACACAGGAATTTTGGTGGCAGGGGACACAAATACTCAGACCATAACGATGTCTAAACTACTGGATTGTAAACTCATCATGGGCAGAGATGGTCAACACTTCTCTGTGTGTCCAACCCCCAGAACAGTTCTTTACATACAGTTGTACAGCAAATGCACTAAGATTTAAATAACCCTGAAGTGATTTATTTTTGCTCATATTATTCAGTTTGTGAGTTCCTATAGCAATAAATCTAACTGAATCTTTTTGCAAATAATGTTGAATGCCTTGGAGAAAAATTGAGGTTACACCATAAGTTTAGACAAATTAGATACAGAACATGAAGTAAGGCTAAAAGTATGATAAAAAAAAATCCATGTTTTTATGAGTATGCAGTCTTATGCAATGTATCTTACCCATAATGTACAAAACAGTAGTCAGAGAAATGCCATGGGGCAAAAAATAGAATAAAAGAATGTTTGAATAGCTACAGCAGGCAGACTACATTAATTATAACATCAAGAAAATGCTCTCTCCTGAAAAGAATACTTTATGAACTCAGGGGAAATGTATTTTTCTTCTCCAACAGTACAAAGTAACTTAAATTTGATTAATAGATTATGAAACGCTGAGTGGATTCGTTTTCAGAATTAGACAGATTTGTGGAGAAGTGGCCTTGGTCTTCCAGGTATGTGGGAATTTCATGCCTAAAGCCAAGAGCATCTAGGTCTACTCTCTTCTTATCGTCTTGTTAGTCAATTATTTCCATGTTGTGAATGTAATGTTCTTTTATTATCCATCTATGAATTGCTAGGAATAAACAGCGTCAACATCTACAGCATCTAGTGTTGAGATAAGATGGCTCCACTATCTCAGCTGTCATTTAGCAATAATGCATTCTGTCTTATAATGCTTCCTTACATTTCATAGTACTCTACAATATAAATTGCTAGCTATATATTGCCTTATTTAAGCTTTAGTGTATCACTTAATAAATGATGAAACTGAGGTTTTAAAAATCTAGTGACTCAGGTCTCTTGAGACCTAGTAGTACCATGATTCTGAACCTAATTACAAGGTTTTTATCTCCCCAATATACCAAGGTGTTTTTAAGTTTGTCTAATTTCAATTGATTTCTCATATCTTTTCCCATTTTTATAAAATAAAAAAGTCTTAAGTAGAGCAAACTGTCTTAAGCTATAATGCTCACATAAAATATCGATATTTAGTGAAGGCTTGCTTGATGAAGCTGGTAAAAATAAATACACTTTCATTATATGAAGCTTTCTGAACAAGGCAGGATTTTTGTTTTTCAAGATGATAGGAGGTTTGAGCAGGAAAGAGTTTGTTAGGAAAAAAGAAAGAGGCAACATAAAAGAAATTAACAACATAATTCAGATCCTGGAAGTATCTTAAAATGGACACAGAGACTTGGACACAAACACTTGGAAAGAAGATCTGAGAATATTTCAAACAGAATATTAAACAATGACAATTAATGCTATAGAGAAATATCACTAAGATGTAATTGGCAATAGGACAATAAGAAGACCCGAAGGGTTTTCCCAGGAGTAGTGTGCATTTACATAAAATCTATGTTTTTCATGTTTAAAAAAAATCACCTCTGTACATACTCATGAGCAGAGAAAAAGAAAGAAAAATATATTGCCAGGTTGGGAAGTTATTAGAATACCATTTGCTAAACTAGTTTATATAAAATTTTAACCTTACAGTGTAGCTTTGAGTTTTTTCCACATAGAATACTATATAATCAATGTTTTTTTACAGTGCATTTACTTAAATTATATATTCCTGTTTTTAAATTCACTGCTTTTTGACAACTTTATGTATCATTTGATTATTAAACTAGCGTACAGTATGCAATAGAAAGATAATTGTGCTCTGCATCACTTGTTAATTTCTACTATGCAGCTTGAGTAAATTTAAACTCTTCTTGCCTGAGGGAGGAATCTTCTTGGTTCTCAGTGTTACCTAGGCATTTCAATAAAAATATAAAACCTTTTAGGTTTTCAGAAAGCAGCTATGTCAGAAGATAATATGTTGTCCAAAAGGACTTTAAATCACCCATCAGCTTAGCTTTTTAAAATGTGCTATACCTTTACCCACACTGGAATGTTTTATGATCTAGAATAGTAGCTTTAATATTTTAAATATACTTTTTTACACGGGGAAGTCTAATCTAGCACAATGTGTTACTTCTCATTGCAGGGTTTCAAATTATGTGTGCTTAGAGGACTGAATTTTCAGTTTTGATTTATCATCTTGTGAGTCAAGTGCTTTTAATTGCTTTCCTATAAGATAAAGGTTTACTCATTTCAATTTCACAAATAATTCATGAGGGCTCATGAATATGCATATCCTATCTTATGTAGAATAACATCAGGTTTTTCTGAGAGTACAATAATAGATTAAATAAAATGAGATTTAGAATGAAAAATAGATTATAAACTAAAGGATTTATAGAAAAGAACTTTTGTCTTTCTTGGTTGTTTTAGAAAATACATTCCAATTGTCGAAAGATAAGGTCACTTCTCTAACATTTGGCACGTTATGTTATTATTCATCATTTTTCTCAATAATATGTGTTGTGTTCTGTACGTGATAGTACTAAACATGTAAAATGGACAAATATGTGAGCCTAGAAGAAAATGAACAGATTTTTAAAGTATGGTATTATTTACATATATGTTTACATTACTTAAAATATTCTATTACCTTCTAAGGCAACTGTATTCATTGTAAACTTAACATTAGCTTGTACTTCTAAAATGCATATTTGGGACTCAAAATTCACTTTTCATGGTTGGAAATGAGATTTCTTTTGACATCTATAATTACGGGATAGGATTCTTATGAAAAGTTAAAACATGAATAACTTCTCAGGGAAAAACAGAGTAATTTGGTTTTTGTCTTCTACCGTCGCTGTTCAGAGGTAAGTAACAGTAGAAGTCATTTTAGTTATTTGCTCTTCATTAGTCTTAGATATACCAACCCCAATGCACATAGTAACATAAACTGATATGTTTAACAGCACTGTTATGCTTTAATAATCAAAAGCATTTTTAAAAATTTTCATCTAACTTTCTGAGCTAATTGTATAAAGCTTATTTTATTTATATTGGTGACCTTAATCTATTATTTTCTTGAAGGAACGCTACATTAATATCTTCTGTTCTGTGGTAGAATAATGTATTTGTACTATTTACAAGAAAATCCAATACCAGTTTGCTTCTCAGTTTGCTCTTACTAATTGGCAAAATTAGAATTATGTGGCTCAAAGGAGCTATCTCCCTAGCCTTTGTTATAATAAAGTGAGAAATTTGCCAACTAACTTCAGCCATTTGGCTCTATACTTACTTCTGTCAGCGAAGAAAATAAATGTTCCCAGTATATAACCCCTCCCTCTGCAATGGTTAATAAGAAGTTTGAAGCTGAAATGCTGCCTGAGATTTTACAAGGCTAAAACTCTCAGGATACTTCAGAAAGTAAGATAAATAGGAGCATATAAATTTTGTTTACATAACTAGTGAAATAAGGACCCTTGGAGATAAATGCACACACACGGCTTTCTTTTGCTTTCTCCCTTCCTCCCTTCCCTCCTTTCAATTTTTTTTTTTTTTTTTTTTTTGGAAATTTCTCAAGAAACAATCAAAGGATTACACATAAAAAGTTGTTGCTTAGTAATGGTTTTTAGGATTCTTTTTTTTCCCCTGAATTTCTATGGAATCCTCTTACTTGTTCTAAGATACAAGTAATGATTAGTCGAGTAGCTACTGGCTTTAGAAAACTTTGAATACTAAATGGTCTGTTTTGGAATTTTAAAAATCTGTAGTGATTTCTCCATCATTTGAAGCGTTAAAGAATCCATCTGGGGATTTGCATTAGAGTGCAGAGATGGGGAGCAAAGAATTTAAAGACGCACAAAAACCAGAAATGAATTTTTGTATTCCAAGAAAATAATGCTATTAAATGCATATAATAACAGAATTTTAGAAGTAAAGGGGAAATTACGGATTATTTGATCCTTAATTCTGTTTCTTGAAATGTAAGTTTTTCAGGGATTTGGTATTCAATTTGAAAAATATTGACTTAAGGAAAGGCTAGAGTGTTTTTATTTTGTTTTGTTTTATTTAAACTGCAGGACGCCATAGTGCCTGTAATTTGCTCACAAACATTGTGAATTAGCAGAGTAAATACTACATTAGTTGAGAATAAAATATTTTTTGAAACATCTCGTAGGTCTTAAGTTTGCCTCCCACAGAACACAATTTGGGTTAGTGTTAATCAAGTCTGAATTCTTCTTTTTTCCAGATAGTATGGAGATAATAAATAATATCCTGACCAAGATGCCCTTAATATTTCCCTCAGGCTGACTAAACTTTAGACACATTTATCTTTGACTGTAGGCCCCTGATTTCCCTTTTCTCAGAGCATTTACTTTAGAAAATTTGCAGTTGTAAATTCTTTCTCTGCCCCTTTGAGATGTAAATCTTCTTCCAGCCTCTTACCAGGTTTATAATCCAGGAAATTTTTTTCTCAAGGACCTGAGAGCCATCCTTTTGAAATATAATCATCAAGGTAGATAGTGCCTCTCTGTCTTAGTCTCTCTGCCAAGGTAGGAGTCTGACTTCCATAAACTACTATTAGCAAAGACAGGTAGCCTAATTATATTGACCAACCTCTGCCCTCACTTTTTCCGCTACTTCACTCAACCACTGATACGGTTTGGCTGTGTTCCCACCCAAATCTCATCTTGAATTGTAGTTTCCATAATCCGCATGTGTCGTGGGAGGTACACAGTGGGAGGTAACTGAATCATGGGGAGAGTTTCCCCCATGCTATTCTCATGATAGTGAGTAAGTTCTCACAAGATCTGATGGTTTTATGAGGAGCTTCCCCCTTCACTCAGCTCTCATTCTTCTCCTTCCTGCCACCATGTGAAGAGGGATGTGTTTGCTTTCACTTCTACCATGACTGTAAGTTTTCTGAGGCCTCCCCAGCTCTGTGGAACTGTGAGTCAATTAAACCTCTTTCATTTATAAACTACCCAGTCTCAGGTAGTTCTTTATAGCAGCCTAAGAATGGATTAATACAGGCACTTAAAAACTTTTCTGCCTTTTGTTCCAGTTCAATCTCTCCCTTATTTTTATTTCAGTTCAGTCTCTCTCCCACTGCAACTGTCTTGACTAAAAATCTCCTTAGCCTGTTTAACCTGTCCAGTGCAATTTATCTTTGACAATCCTCAGATGACATAACAACTTACACAGCCAAGACTAGATAATAATTCTGAATATCAAGTGTATACTTATAATATGGGTTAATATTTGATATACAAGTTTGGTAAGAAACATTAAAGATGATTTGTCACACCTTACATTTGAGAACATTTGTTCTATTTATTTGTTTCTTATGGTAGTTATTTGAGAGAGAGGTATACTAGATACAATCTGAATGCTTTATTTTTATAATTATATTCATTAGAACTATTTTAAAACTCAGTGTTAGAGAGGTTTTCTCATGCCTATTGAAGTAGGAAAAAGCTTATTTCATTTTGTTTCTCAGTATATGGTCTGTTGAGAAACAAACAATTTTAAAGTAATCCTCCAGTTAAAGTCAGAAACAAACCTTAAAGGTACACATCCATACATTAGATTTCAATAAATGGTTTTCTCTAGTTTAACAAGCAACTTCAAGTTTCCTGCAGTTGTTTTATTTTTATGACCTAATTTGTGTTGGACTATCTACTCAGATTCATTCTTCCTAAATCAGAGTTTCATTCTAAGCTGTTAGAAGTATTCTAGACACTTATATACAAAGATATTGGACTTTATCCTGACCATATTATTTTAGAACTTCTGCAGACAAGAAACCTAAGGAATGGTGATCACTAGGTACTTGTGATGAATTACATAGTAACTTGAAGATACTTAAAATTAATAAATTTTATTGTGTTTTACTTTTATTATCATGCTCTTATGAAACTATGTTGATATTCTGCCACTTATGTTAAAGGCTAAATTCTAGGATTTAAAAATTGATAATTCTTAGAGACAATTAAAAATTGGATTTCTCTTCTTTCTGACACACTAAGAACCTAATTAATTGTTGAGTACAGATTGTGTGAAATTTGATTATCCTGTTATTATGCTTATTAAACTTGATTTACTTGGTACTTTTCACTTAATGGGACATTGAAGCATTCATAATCCGTAAGAAGGGACAGATGTTTGTTTCCGTCTTGTAAATGCAGAAATTAAGTTTTCATAGAGGTGAATTTCCTAGGATTATTTAGTTAGTCAGTGGCATAATTAGGATGCAGCTCTCAACTCTTGAGTTCTTTCTATGTTGTACTACTTCTATTTGAAGCTGTATGGCAATTAAATAATGCAATTCTATAAATTTTTAAAAATTGCTAAGAAACTTCTTCAAATTGTAGGACTGGGAAAGATAACAGAATGATTTTTCTCACTCTCATCGCTTTGGTATTAATACATTTATTATTTATCCATTCACTTAATAAGCCTTTGCTACCACTTAAGGTTTTCAAATGCAAGTAGAATAAGAATCTAATGCATGGGGTAAAAAGAAATTGGAAATGGAAAACTTTTGATGTGTGAGAGGAAGAATAAACTTATATGTTCTGAGGTTTTATGCTCCAAAATAAACATATTTAAAACCAAGACAACAAAGAAAATGAGGGGAATTTCTGTTCCTGTCTAAAATAAAGTAATAGGTAATGGAAATTCCCTCAAATCTGTGGTCAAATCCCCATACATGCCAACAAAGGCAGTATGAAGAACTTTGACTTCTACCCATGCAAGACTGTAAGGAGGTATCTACCCCAATACCCCTGCAACAATTGTGTCAGAGAAGGTCAAGTAGAGATTTGAAACTGCCCAGTAATTAGGATCCCTGCTTACAGTGTCAATGAAGACCACATGAGGAGCCTGAACTTCTATCCGCACTCAGCAGTGACAAAGTGGCCCTCTCCCTTCCTGCTAGAGTGATGTTGAAGGACACCAAGTGGAGAGTGAGGCCTTTACCACTGTATAGTTCTAAAAAGACCACCCCCACAATAATGTCAGTGGAAACTACATAGAGAGCACAGAGCAGTAAAAAGGAGTGGCCAAGCCTCAGGGTTAAGAGAGGCCAAATGGTGAATCTGAACTTCTGTCTCCACCTGATAGTTAAAAGGTAGTGTTCTATTTTCCTGATAGAATGGTGTCAGAGAAAGTCAGTGAAAATGAAAGGTTTAAATAAAATCCAGAACCGCATAACATAAGGCAAATATGACTATGTTTCACTGAAATCACTTTTCATACCAAGAACCAGGATCTCAAATTGAGTGAAAGAAGATAGTCATTGGATGATGATATGGTTTGACTGTGTCCCCACCCAAATCTCATCTTGAATTGTAACTCCCATGATTCCCATGTGCCATGGGAGGAACCTGGTGGGAGGTAATTGAATTATGGGAGTGTGTCTTTCCTGCACTGTTGTCATGATAGTGAATGAGTCTCACAATGCCTGATGGTTTTTAAAATGGGAGTTTCCCTGCATAACCTCTCTCTTTGCCTGTTGCCATTCATGTAAGATGTGACTTTCTCCTCCTTGCCTTCTGATATAATTGTGAGGCCTCCCCAGCCATGTGGAACTGTAAGTCCATTAAACCTCTTTTTCTCCCCAATCTTGAGTATGTCTTTATCAGCAGCGTGAAAATGGACTAATATAGTAAATTGGTACAAGTAGAGTGGGGCATTGCTGAAAAGATACCTGAAAATGTGAAAGCAGCTTTGGAACTGGGTAACAGGCAGAGGCTGGAACAGTTTGGAAGGCTAAGAAGAAGACAGAAAAATGTGGGAAAGTTTAGAACTTCCTAGAGACTTGTTGAATGGCTTTGCCCAAAATGCTGATAAGCATTATGGACAATAAAGTCCAGGCTGAGGTGGCCTCAGATGGAAATGAGGAACTTGTTGGGAACTGGAGCAAGGGTGACTCTTGCTATGCTTTGGTAAAGAGACTGGTGGCATTTTGCCCCGGTCCTAGAGATTCGTGGAACTTTGAACTTGAGAGAGATGATTTAGGGTATCTGGCAGAAGAAATTTCTAAGCAGCAAAGCATTCAAGAGATGACTTGGATGCTGTTAAAGGCATTCAGTTTCATAAGGGAAACAGCATAAAACTTTGGAAAATTTGCAGCCTCATAATGCAATAGAAAATCCCATTTTCTGAGGAGAAATTGAAACTGGCTGCAGAAATTTGCATATGTTAATCCCTAAGACAATGAGAAAAATGTCTCTACGGCATATCAGAGGTCTTCATGGCAGCTCCTCCCATCACGGGCCCAGAGGCCTAGAAGGAAAAAATAGTTTCATGGGCCAGGCCTGGGGTCCCCATGTTGTGTGCAATCTAAGGACTTGGTACCCTGCGTACCCAGCTCCTCCTGTCATGTCTAAAGGGGGCCAAGGTACAAGTCAGGCCATGGCTTCAGATAGTGCAAGCCACAATCCTTGGCAGCTTTCACGTGGTATTGAGCCTGCAAATGCACAGAAGTCAAGAATTGAGGTTTGGGAATCTCTGCCTAGATTTCAGAAGATGTTTGGAAACGCCTGGATGCCTAGGTAGAAGTATGCTGCAGGGGTGGGGCTCTCATGGAGAATCTCTGATAGGGTAGTGTGGAAAGGAAATGTGGGGTTGGAGCTCCCACACAAAGTCCCTGCTGGGGCACCACCTAATGGAGCTGTGTGAAGAGGGCCACCATCCTCCAGTCCCCAGAATGGTAGATCCACTGACAGCTTGCACTGGGTGCCTGGAAAAACCTCAGACACTCAACATCAGCCTATGAAAGCAGCCAGGAGGGAGGCTGTACCCTGCAGAGCCACAGACGTGGAGCTGCCCAAGACCTTGAGAACCCACCTCTTGCATCAACGTGACCCGGATGCAAGACATGGTGTCAAAAGAGATCATTTTGAAACTTGAAGGTTTGACTGCCTCGCTGGATTTTGGATTTGCATGGGGCCTGTAGTCCCTTTGTTTTGTCCAGTTTCTCCCATTCAGAATGGCTGTATTTACCCAATGCCTGTACCCCATTGTATCTAGAAGTAACTAACTTGCTTTTGATTTTACAGGCTTGTAAGTGGAAGGGACTTGCATTGTCTCAAATGAGATGTTGGACTGTCAACTTTCAAGTTAATGCTGAAATGAATTAAGATTTTGGGGGTCCTGTTGGGAGGGCATGATTGGTTTTGAAATATGAGCAAACGAGATTTGGAAGGGGCCAGGAGAAGAATGACATGGTTTGGGTATGTCCCCACCCAAATTTCATCTTGAATTGTAGCTCCCACAATTCCCAAGTATTGTGGGAAGAACCTGATAGGAGGTGCTTGAATTATGGGGGGGTGTCTTTTCTTGGCTGTTCTTGTGATAGTGAATGAGTTTCACGAGATCTGATGTTTTTAAAAATGGGAGTTTCCCTGCACAAGCTCTCTTTGCCTGCCACCATCCATGTAAGATGTGACTTGCTCCTCCTTGCCTTCCACCATGATTGTGAGGCCTCCCCAACCATGTGGAACTGTAAGTCCATTATACCACTTTTTCTTCCCAGTCTCATATATGTCTTTATCAGCAGCATGAAAACAGACTAATACAGATGGCAACACTAAGGTGGGAGAGATATCAGAATTGTCTTCTGTCATATACTCTAAGGCAGTCATCATGACTGTGCTACAGGATGCAGTTACAAACATGGTTGAGACAAATAAAAAAACAGAATGTCTCAGAAAAAAAATAGAGAATATAAAAAAGAATCAAATGGAAATTTTAGAATAAAAAATAAGATAACCAAAATAAAAAGCTCAGTGGATCATCTCAATAGCAGAATGGAGGAGTCAGAGGAAAGAATTAACACACTGGAAAATGGAACAATTGTAATTCTTATATAAACAATGGAAAGAAAATAGACTGAAAGAAAAGGAGAATACAACCTTAGAGACCTGCAAGACTGTAACAATAGGTCTAACATGTCATCAGAATCCAAGAAAAAGAGAAAAAGGAGGGCAGCCCTCAAAAAGTATGCTAAAAAATAATGAATGAATATTTTTCCAAATTGGAAAAACATATAAACTTACACATTCAAGAATCTGTGGAAATCCTAAACAAGATAAACTCAGAGACATTCATGCTAAGAACAATGTAATTAGATACCAAACTAAAGAAAAGAAATCTTAAAATTAGCCAGAGGAAAAAAGACTCTTTATCCACAGGGGAAGACAATTCAAATGACAATGAGTTTCTCATCAAAAATAATGGAGGCCAGAAGGAAGTGGCACATTACTTTTTAAGTGTTGAGAGAAAAAAACTGTCAACTCAGAGCCCCATACAAAGCAAAATCAATAAAAGCATGAAGACAATATGAAGACATTCTGGAATGAAAGAAATCTAAGATACTTTGTCCATCATCAGGCCACTCTAAAGTAGTATATAAGGGAACTTCTTTAAACGGAATGGACATGATAAAAGAAGGATCACTGGAGCATCAAGAAAAAAGAAATAATATATTAAGCAAAAACATGGGTAAATATAATAGGTGTCTCTTCTCTTCCTGTGTTTTTCCAAATTATGCCTGATGGTTGAAACAAAATCATAACACTGACTGCCTCTAAATGTACATAGAGAAAATATTTAAAACAGCTATATATTAAATGTGTGAGAATAAAGGGACCTAGACAGAGTTAAGGTTTCTACATTTCACTTGAACTAGTAGAGTGATTATAGTATGCTTGGTAAATTATGTATACATTATGTATTATTTAGAAAAGCCACTAAAAGAGAAAAAAAACTATATAAAGAAATACACATAAAAACACTACAAAAAAGTAAAAATGAAATTGCTCAAGTAACCCATAGGAAAGCAAGAAAAGAAAACAGAAGTAATAAAAAGAGATCAAACAGGAAAGTAAAATACAACAGCAGACTTCAACTCTATTATATCAAAAATTAAATATAAATGGCCTAAATGTACCAAATAAAGGCAGAGATCATAAGAGTAAATTTTAAAAATTATCTGATATATGCTGTCTGTAAGAAATTCACTCCAAATAGAACAATATAAGCAAATAGAAAATAAGAGGATGGAAAAAGATATATCATGTAAACATCAATCAAGAGAAAACAGGCTATATTAATATTAAATAAAGTAGTCTTCATAGCCTAGAAAATTATCAGAGACAGTGTGACATTATATAATGATAAATTTTTCAGTAACCAAAATGATATAGTAAGTTTTTATGTTTCTGCACGAAGCAACAGAGCTGCAAATTACATAAAGCAAAAATTGATAGCACTGGAAGAAGAAATAGAAAAATACACAATTATTATTGGACACTACAACAACCTTCTCTCAACATTTGATAGAATAACTAGACAAGAAATCATTAGGAATACAAAAGCACTCCACAACACCATCAACAATATGATCTAATCAAAATGTATGGAACATTCCACCCAACAACATCAGAATATACATTCTTTTCAAGGGTCCACAGGACATATCCCAATACAGACAGACCATATACTGGGTCATAAAACAAACTTTTTTCTTTCTTTTTTTTTTTTTTTTTTTGAGATGGAGTCTCACTCTGTCACCTAGGCTGGAGTGCAGTGGGAGGATCTCAGCTCACTGCAAGCTCTGCCTCCCGCCCCCTGGGTTCATGCCATTCTCCTGCCTCGGCCTCCCAAGTAGCTGGGACTACAGCTGCCTGCCAACACGCCTGGCTAATTTTTTTGCGTTTTTAGTAAAGATTGGGTTTCACTGTGTTAGCCAGGTAGTCTCGATCTCCTGACCTCATGACCCGCCTGCCTGAGCCTCCCAAAGTGCTGGGATTACACGTGTGAGCCACTGCACCCGGCCTATAAAACAAATCTTATACAATTTTAAAAGAATTGAAATCATGTAGGATATGTTCTCCAAGCACGGTGGAATCAAATTAGAAATCAATAACTTAACAGAAAAATCTGCTAACACTTAAAAACTAAATAGCACACCTGCATTTCCTAAGTTTACAAGGAAGTTTCAAAGAAAATTTAAAAAAAGAATACTTTGAACTAAGTGAAAATGAAAGTAAAGCATATTAAAAACTGTGGGCCACAACTGAAGCTTTGCTCAACCAAAATGCATGCATGAGAAAAGGGGAATCACTCAAATCAATAATTTAAGCTTCCACCTGAAGAATCGAGGAAAAAATAGCAACATAAAACTAAAGCAAACAGACGGCCAGATATAATAAAAGTAAAAGCAAAATCAGTGAAATTGAAAACAGAAATATCATAAAGAAAATTAATGAAATAAAAATCTGGTTCTTTGAAAAGACCAGTACAATTGATGAGCATCTAAGATGACTGACAAAAAGAGAAAAGACGGAAATTATAGTATCAGGAATGAATCAGGAGATATAACTACAGATCGTGTATATATTAAAAGGATAACAAGAGAACATTATGAACAAGCTATACATCTAAACACATAATTTGATGACTTAAAGTTCCTCAAAAATCACAAATTGTCATAATTTACCAAAAAAGAAATAAAAAATTTAATAGCCCTATGACTATTATGAAAATTTAATGCCTAATTAAAAAACTCACAAAAAAGAAACCAACAAACCCAGATGGTCTCACAGGAGAATTTTACCAAATGTTTAAAGAAGAATTAACACCAATTCTATATAATCTATTCCAGAAAATAGAAGAAAAGGAAACAATTCCTAATTTATTTTATGAGTCTAATGTTACTCTTATTCCCAAACCAGGCAAACACAATACAAAGAATAAAAATTACAACAAATATCCTTCATGAAAATAGATGCATGTCCATAAAAAATCAGCAAATAGGGTTCAGATATACAAATATGAACTATGACAAAGTAAAATTTATTCCAAGCATTTAAGTATGGTTTAATATTTAAAAATTAGTCAATGTAATTCACCTTTATAAGAGGCTATAGAAGAAAAATCATTGATTATATAAATTGATGCAGAAAGAGCATTTGACAAAACTCCAGGTGGGCACGGCACATCACGCCTGTAATCCCAGCAGTTTGGGAGGCCGAGGTGGATGGATCACTTTAGGTCAGAGTTTGAGACCAAACTGGCCAACATGGTGAAACCCCGTCTCTACTAAAAATACAAAAATTAGCCAGACGTAATGGCACGTGCCTGTAATCCCAGCTACTTGGGAGGCTGAGGCAAGAGAATCGTTTTAACTAGGGAGGTGGAGGTTTCAGTGAGCTGAGACCATGCCCCTGCACTCCGGCCTGGGCAAAACAGTGAGACTCCATCTCAAAAAAAAAAAAAAAAAAAAAAGGCAAAACTCAAAATATATTCATAATTAAGATTCTCAAAAAATAGAAATTGTCTCAGTTTGATAAAGCACATCTATAAGAAGCCTACATATAAAATTATACTTAACCGTGATCACTCAATAGTTTTCCCTAAAGATCATGAAGAAGGCAAGGAGGATGTTCACTCTCACTACTCTTATTCAGCATTGTGCTGGAAGTCTTAGGCAGTGCAGTTAAGTGCAAATACCTTTATTTATCAGGTTAAAGACTTTTCTTTTTTATTCCAAGCTTGTTAAGAGTTCTTATCATAAATAGATATTTAATTGTATTGAACCATTTATCTCCATTTAATGAAACAATCAAATGCTTTTTTTTTCCCTGTCAATCTGTTAATGTGGTGAATCATATCAATGGATCTTCTGGTCGTAAACCATCTTTGCATTTCTGGGTGTTACAAGTTAGGTCCCAAAGGGAGCAGACTCGGAGAAGTTTCAGTTTGCAGGATATTTATTAGGGATATTCTTAAGACCAATACCAATGGAATGGATGGGGAAATAGTAGGATTACGCTAATGGGGAGGTCTGGCTTTGATGCAGACCTTATAGCTTCAGCTGCCCATGAGGTGTAATGTCATTCCTGTAAGGGCATGACCTTGGACAAGTTATCACTCTGAAGCTGGAACAGCCCCTGAAGGGGCTTCTGCTGAAAGACATCTTTTCACAATACTCCAAACAGATCTTAAACAAAGATTTTCTTTAAGGGCAATTTGGGCTTCACACCTACAGGTCTACACTGCTGAGACACACTGGTTATTGTGGATTTCTTCTTAAAAATACATGACTAAATTAATTTGCTAATATTTTATTTATCTATATTCATGAGTGAACCTGGCTAGTAATTTTCATTTCCTATCCTATACTTGTCTGGTTTAGGTAATTAAGGTCATACTATTCTCATAAAACAATTTGCAGAGTATTTATGTTTTTCATATTTCCGAGATAATTTGTATAAAACTGAAGTGATTAGTTTATTAACTGTTTACTAAAACTTACCAATAGATATGTGGCAGAGACTGCAGTTGTACTCTCATTTTCTCCCCTTTTAAATGAATCTAATTCCTGTGATATTTAAGTAACTACATTTTCCAGATTCCCTTGCTTCTAGGAGTGCCAATATCACTAAATTATAGCCAAACATTGAGTGAAAGTATTATGTGGAATTTTATGGAAGCCTTTTTATAAAAGCAAGACTTTTTGTGCCTTTTTCTCCCCCTGTTGTCTGGATTTGGATGAATTTATTGGCTGCCAGAAGCCTGGTATTGCAGAGCAGAATGAAAGTGACTAAGTCTTTCACATGACAGAATAGGCCATTGTGAGGTTAAGACCACTGTATCTGAGTTTTCTAAGACATATCAACGTTGGCTTTATGTTTATCTTCATGTTCAACAACTTCTTTGTTCCTCCTATTTGTCACCTAGACATTGTGTTGGAGTCTGTTTCTTTAGTCTTCAAATTCATCCTTTAGAAGTTGCTTTAATGAGAGTTTGCTGTTAGTATAGTCTCAGTGTTTATTTAAAAATATCTTTCTCCTTTCTTCTTTTGTTTTTCTTGAAAGTCTTGGCCAGGCACAATGGCTCATGCCTGTAACCCCAGCACTTTGGGAGGCCGAGGTGGGCAGGTCATCTAAGGCCAGGAGTTTGAGACCAACCTGGCCAACATGGCAAAACTTCATCTCTACTAACACAAATAGAAAAATTAGCCAGCTGTGGTGGTGCGTGCCTGTAGTCCCAGGCTACTCAAGAGGCTGAGGCACGAGAATCACTTGAACCTGGGAGGCAGAGATTGCAATAAATGGAGGTGGTGCCACTGCACTCTAGCCTGGGCAACTGAGCAAGATTCTGTCTCAAAAAAGAAAGCCTCATTAACTAGGTATGTAATTATAAGTTGGTAGTTATCTTTTTCTCGGCACTTCAAAGATATCATTCCATTCTCTTTACTATTTGGATTCCTTTGTTGCCTTTCAGAAGTCTTCTATCAATCTTTTTACAGGGAAAATTTGCTTTTCCCTAGCTTCCTTAAGATCTCAACATCATCTTTGATATCCTGCAGTTTTATATGATGGGTGTAGGTATAGATTTATTTTTATGTGTTCTGCTTGATATTTATTGCATTCCTGAATCTGGGGATTCACGTTTCTTAATAATTTTAGCAAATTGTTAGCCATTGCCTCTGCAAACACTGTGTTTCCCATACTCTCTCATCTCTCCTCTGGAACCCAAAATAGAGGTGTGTGAGAAATCCTCAGTCAATCCTCCATGTCTTTGATCCCTCATATATGGAAGAAGATACTTCTTTGTTTCTCCAGATAGTTTTTGAATGATATCTTGGTATCTATCCCCAGTTTACTAATTCTCTCCTCAGCTCTGTTATTTGATTTAATCAGTGTGTGTGTATTTGTGTGTGTGTGTGTGTGTATGTGTGTTTTCATTTTAGCAATAACATTTTTTGTTTGAGGAAGTCCTATTTGGTTCTTTTTCCTATCTGCCTGGCTATTTTGTATTCTCTTGTGTTTTTATCTCATTTTATTTCTATAAAGTTAAAAATATGCTTATTTAATAGTCTGTGTCCTATCATACCTCCAACTCATGTAATAGTATGCATGCAAGCTCTGGAAACATTGTTATATTTGTAACCACCCAGTGCATTCTCCTTGCCCGCTGCCTAGGCAGAGCCAACTTTTCAAGACAGGGGAATTGCAATAGAGAAAGAAATTCAATTCATCAGAAGCAGCTGTTAAGGGAGAACTGAGTTTTATTATTACTCAAATCAGTCTCCCTGAAAATTCAGGGATCAGAGTTTTTAAGGATAATTTGTAGGGTATGGGGTTGAGAAAGGGGGGACCACAAGACTAGATGAGACAGTTTATCATTCTGGGCGGCATCAGCTGGTGCATCGAAAGGCCGGGTCTGGAAAATATCTCAAGCACTTATCTCATGTTTTATAACAGTGACTCCTGAAAGATAATTTCTCACCCTTGGTTAATTTGTTACTCCTGCAAAGGCATTCTAGTCCTCAGGCAAGAAGGGGGCTGTTATCATCTCTGTCTCAAAGTCAAACTATAAAATACATTCCTCCCAAAGTTAGTTTGGCTTATGCTCAGGAATGAGCTAGACAACTTGGATGTTAGAAGCAAGAAGGAGTCAGTTAGGTCAGATCTCTTTCACTGTCATAATTTTCTCAGTCATAATTTTTGCAAAGGTGGTTTCATATTCAGTGTGATACAGCACACTGCAAAATGAAGAAAGGGTTAAAAAAGTGTATACTTATTAGGTAAATTTTATTTCTACCTGACTTGCTGGGCTCTTCCCTGCTCCTTCGTCTCCAGTTAACTTTGTTCTTTTGCTCTCTGATAAGCTTGGTCCCCAAAATTGTGAAAAGATGTGAAAAACAACCATGTGCATCCAACTGAATAATGAAACACTATCTTCTCCAGCAGGATAACTAGAGTTTGTGAGGGCTTTAAAAAAAAGCCATACCTCAAAATGGTCACAGAGTATATTAACAGACCTAAATTAGTTAGCCCTGGTGATCATTGTATACTCCTGAGTATCTAACAAATCTTTGAATTCTTATTTTAAAAATTATTTTCAATCTTAGTTCTTGAAAACAAATCTGGATTGCTGTCAGCCTTTATCCATTTTAAGAATTGATTTTAAGTGATGATAAAAGAAAAATTTTAGCTGAATTAAATTTAAGGGAGTTTGATTGAGCAATGAACACTTCACAAATTGGGCAGCCTCCTGAGCCAGGGGAGTGGAAGAAGATTTATTGACAGAAAAAGGAAAGTGATGTACATAAAACAGAAGTGAGGTACAGAAACAGCTGGATTGGTTAGCTGAGCGTTTGCGTTATCTGAACATGGTTTGAACAGTTGGCTATATTTGATTGGCAAAATTCAGTGATTGGCATAAGGGTAGGCTAAGGTCTGTTTACACCTCCACTTGTTATAGTTCATGATGTACGGGAAAACCTTTAGTACAAACCTAAAATATATAAGGAGGCAACTTTAGGCTAACCTTTATTTAACAGTGACTACTGCAGACTATAAAGAGACATAATTCAATTGAAATGGAAAGCAAAGACTTAAAATTTTTGAGTGCTTGGTATGTGTCCATACTCTACTAAGTATGTTACATACTTTACCTTAATACTGTAAAAGATAATTTTTAAAAAATTCCAGCACCACCCCCACCAAGCTTTGTATGCAAAAGGAAGGTCATTGCAACATCCTCTTCCAAATGAATAGCTGTTACTAACACTGTATCAGCCAGATACCCATGCAGAGGAAAAAGGCCTCAGGCATCAGGGAAGGACAGCCTCCACAGACCATTCATGAGTACATTTTTTGCTGATCTCCCCTAAAAGAGGACAAGCCAATTGTAACTGTAGGTCTACAATGTAAGTCTAGCTTTTAAAACTCCAGACTGATAACATCCATTACAAGCTTACCTTCCTAGGTGCATAGCAAAGTCAAGTCATTTCCTTCATCTACTTAGAGACATCTGCATAATTGACCCTTCCTTTACTTCCTTTTCCTCTTCAGATATTCGCCGTATGTAAAATGTAGTGCTTGCCTAACCATCTACCTGTCCCTCTTCCTACAAGCCTTTCCCCCATTAAGGAGATGTATAAATACCAAAGTTCCTAAAAATCTCTTCAGATAAACAGATGCAGATGTATCTGTGGCTTGTGTTTTTCTCAGATGCACCCTAAGGTGACTTAATAAACCTCAATGATCATGATCGAGACTTATGTCTCAGTCACTCATTTTCATTGTCAATACCTTCACAACTCTATCAGTTGCTATGAGTTACTATCTTATTATAAGGTGGGGAAAGTGAAAATCTGAGACCTTAAGTAACTATCTAGGGTCCCATGCCTTATGTTTGACATTTTTGATTCCCAAACCCATTATGCAGATTCCTACTTGGTGGTGTAGGAAATCGCTTTTGCATGAATTGGGACAATTCTTTTTGGATCCTTCTAATGAGAGTCATGCACAACAACATGGAAAATGATAGTCAGCAAAATTGGCCTCCTCTGTGCTATCATTCCTTCTTCTCATATCCATCCTCCCTTAGGCCTCCCTATCCCCACCTTTAGAAAACATATGAGAACAACCTAATCATTGTCCTTTCAAATTTTTGTTCAATTTGTAAACCAAAAATAAAATCCTAAGTCTCCCAATTGATTGAATGGACCCTCTCTTGGCTAACAGGACCCCAGAGAAACCTGAAAAACTGAATTTCCACCAAGACAGGAAGGGGGTCGGACCTACCTCCTTCATTCTACCTCCTCCCTTTTTTTTTTTTTTTTGAGACGGAGTCTTGCTCTGTCGCCCAGGCTGGAGTGCAGTGGCATGATCTCGGCTCACTGGAAGCTTCATCTCCCGGGTTCACACCATTCTCCTGCCTCAGCCTCCCAAGTAGCTGGGACTATAGGCACCCACCTCCATGCCCTGGTAATTTTTTATATTTTTAGTAGAGATGAGGTTTCACCATGTTAGCCATGATGGTCTCGATCTCCTGACTTTGTGATCCGCCCGCCTCAGCCTCCCAAAGTGCTGGGATTACAGGTGTGAGCCACCGTGCCCAGCCCCTCCTCCCTTTTGAGGTTTAGGCACAACTGACCAAAATTAAAGTTAAAATAGAGATTATAAGACTGAAAAAAACATACTCTTTGTGGCAATAAGATACCAAATTCCCACCTGTTCCTGGTATAGCATTACATGACACATAGCTGACCCTAAAGGAAATAAAAATATTTTACTCCAAAATATATTTCTTAGACAAATTTTGAAATGGCCCTGCAAAGCCGTCTTTCATGGGGGAAATTTGCACCCATAGAGAATCTGCATTAATGTAACTGGGCCTTTCCTGGATCTAGGAGAGATAACTGAGTCTGATATTTTTTTAAATCTGAAAAGAAACACTTACCATTTATTCTGTCTGAAAGGGGCTACCTGGAGGATTCATCTACATAAGAAGAACCTTGGCTTCCACAGCTCCCCTTATCTTAATGCAAGCATTTCTTTCTAATGACTTAAAGTCTTTAGACAAAGCATAACTCTTTGAACCAATTATAAATCAGAAAAATTTTGAATCTACCTATGACTTGTAAGCTACCACTTCTCCCCATTTGAGGATATTCCACCTCTTTAGGCTGAACCAGTGTATACCTTACCTGTGTTGACTTATGTCTTTGCCTGTAATGTCCGTCTCTTTAAAATGTACAATACTTAACTGTAACCTGACTACCTAGGGCACACTTTCTCAGGATCCCTTGAGACTGTTCCCAGGGCCATGGTCACTCATATTGGTTTAGAAACCGGTTTTAGTCATCCATGCATCTATTTTTATGCTAATGATATATTGATTCAGTTATAGGAGATTTTTGTCATATTCTGATGTATGTTAAGCCAAGTTCCTCTTCATTATTATCACTTCTTTAAATATTTTAAAGAGTTTGTTTTTTCATCAACTTATTTATATACAATAGAAGTGCAAAGTATAAATACACACATATGGAGCTTATTCTTTCCTTTCAATATGAGATTATATGCAAATGTTCTGTTTAATGCGCATCCGTGTGAAGAGACCACCAAACAGGCTTTGTGTGAGCAACATGGCTGTTAATTTCCCCTGGGTGCAGGCGGGCTGAGTCCAAAAAGAAAGTCAGTGAAGCGAGATAGGGGTGGGGCCGTTTTATAAGATTTGGGCAGGTAAAGGAAAATTACAGTCAAAGGGGGTTTGTTCTCTGGTGGGCAGGAGTGGGGGTTGCAAGGTGCTCAGTTGGGGAGCTTTTTGAGCCAGGATGAGCCAGGAAAAGGACTTTCACAAGGTAACGTCATCACTTAAGGCAAGGACCAGCCATTTTCACTTCTTTTGTGGTGGAATATAATCAGTTAAGGCAAGGACCAGCCATTTACACTTCTTTTGTGGTGGAATGTCATCAGTTAAGGCAAGGCAGGGCATATTCACTTCTTTTGTGATTATTCAGTTACTTCAGGCCATCTGGGCATATACGTGCAAGTCACAGGGGATGCGATGGCTTGGCTTGGGCTCAGAGGCCTGACATTCTGCATTCTGCTTTTCTCACTTAAGAATACCTCATGGAAATTTATTTTCAACAGGTATAATTCTATTTTATTTCTTTTAATTGCTGCATAGTGTTTCATGGTTTTGTTATTGGAAAAGGGTCCTGATCCAGATCCCAAGAGATTGGACCTCATGCAAGAAAGAATTCTGGGCAGGTCCATAGAGTATAGTGAAAGCAAGTTTATTAAAGAAGTAAAGAAACAAAAGAATGGCTACTCCATAGGCAGAGGAGTGGCATGGGCTGCTTGACTGAGTATACTTACAGTTATTAAATAATTATTAATATTTCTCGATTATATGCTAAATAAGGGGTGGATTATTCATCAGTTTTCCAGGAAAGGGGTGTGGCAATTCCCAGAACTGAGGTTACCTCCCCTTTATAGAGTATATGGAATAACTTTCTGTTGTTGCCATGGCATTTGTAAACTGTCATAGTGCTGGCAGGCGTGTCTTTTAGCAGATAATGCATTATAATTAGCATATAATGAGCAGTGAGGACGACCAGAGGTCACTTTCATTGCCATCTTGGTTTTGTTGGGTTTTGGCTGGCTTTTTAATGGGCCCTGTTTTAGCAGCAAGGCCCTCGTGACCTGGATCTTGTGCTGACCTCCTATCTTATCTTGTGAAAAGAAATGCATAACCTCCTGGGAATAGCCCAGTAGGTCTCAGCCTTATTTTACCCAGCCCCTGTTCAAGGTGGAGTCACTCTGGTTGAAGCGACTCTGAAAGTATGAATGTACCATCTTTTTCAACCATTCTCACTGCAACCAATGCTCTAATAAAATCTGTGTGCATATATATTTTAATACCTGTGTTTTTATTTCAGTAAATATGATCCAAAAAGGAGGATGGCAAATTCATAGCTCAAATGATATATTGACTAATTTCAGTAGTATTGCCTGATTATTTTCCCAAAAAGATTTTAAACAATTCCAGTTTTGTTTCCTCCTCTGAAGGCATCCTGTATCAGCATTCCCACCAACAGTAAGTGCTATTGCTCCTTTTAAAGGTGTAGGAAGGTGATATCTCAGTGTTACTTTAATTTTTAATTTGCATTTTCCTGACTCCCGGTGAGTTTGAGTACATATTTCTTTCTTTTTTTTTTTAAAGAGTCTTGCTTCGTTGCCCAGGCTAGAGTGCAGTGGCACAATCTTGGCTTACTGAAACCTCCGCCTCCTGGGTCCAAGAGATTCTTGTGCCTCAGCCTCCTTAGTAGCTGGGACTAAATTTCATATTTTTTGTAGAGATGGGGTTTCACCATGTTGGCCAGGCTGGTCTTGAACTCCTGACCTCAGGTGATTTGCCCACCTCGGCCTCCCAAAGTACTGGGATTACAAGTGTGAGCCACTGCATCCGACCTGAGCATATATTTCTTGACCTTAGGATTTACGTTTAAGAAATGTATTTTCTCATATCTCTTTCCCATTTTTATTGAGTTATTTGCCCTTTTTCTTGTCAAAATTTCAGAGCTTTGCATTTTGTTAAGGAAAAGTTTAAACACAAAAACTTTTTACATGTTAAAACACTTTACGTAGAGGCCACTCACAATATTTACTCTGCATGGATCCTTGGGAAATAATGTTTATATAAAAGAAAAAAAAATAACATGGAATTTTTAACCAAAGTATAGGATTGTCTGCTTTATTAGTAATTAAATATTGTCTTTACCTGACTGGCCATGGGCTTTGTGTTGAGATTCTAAATGCATAGTTTACATTTACATTGTTCAGCAGTTTGTCATTTAGAAATTGTGAGTTAAGTATATATGAAGTATGAATTATGGAAAATTGTTTTATTGTTTGCAAAATTATTTCTCAATTTTATAAATAGCAAACGATTTTTGGTTGAATAATTTACAATTTTCTTTCCAAATCCATTGTTTGTCTATTACTTTGGTTTATGTTGCTTTTTGCCTCTCAAAGGTTTCACATTTTTTTAGACAGAAATGCCTATCTTTTATTTATAGAATCTGGTTTTACATATTGCTTAAGAACATTCCCTTCAGCTCACCATTAAGGTATTGGACCTGTTTCCCTGGTTGTTTAAAGTTTTATAAATATTTAAACTTTAAATTCATTTAAGTATTTATTTCCTGTGTAATTTTATTTTGTATATGGTATAATATCAGGAAAAATTATATTGTCTTCTATATAAATAACCAATCATGACACAATCTTATAATTTATTTTTTCCATTAAATTGAAATACTAGTATTAGTGTGTAGGAAATTCTCATATATGCTAATGCCCATTTATTTTTTCTACATCTTGTTTCACCCATCCATGCATCTATTTTTATGCTAATGATATATTGATTCAATCACAGGGAATTTTTGGTGTAGCCTGATTTATGTTAGGCAAGTCTCTCTTTATTATCATCACCGTCCTCTTCTTTTTGCTTAATCTTAGGTGTCATTTTCTTCCATATGAACTTCGAGATCCATTTATAGAATTTGATTTACATCTCTATTATCATTCTAATTAGAGGCATATTACACTTATACTAATTTAGAGAGAATAGTGGTTTATGAAAGTACTTCCTCCCATAAAGAGAATGGTATATGTTCAAATGTGTTCAGATTTAATTTTATATTCTACAATAAGATTTTATTGTTTATCTCATATATTTCCTGTTTCTTTCTTGTTACTTTTATTTGTAAGTATTTATAATTTTCAGTATGTAGTGAATGGGATATGTTTTACATTTCCATTTTTAAATTTACATTTACTTTGGGTCTGATACACATGTTTATATTATGAGTTTGTGAACATAATATATTTTGTCCTTTTTGAAACATATTAAAAGACAAAAGCAAGAATGAAAGAAAAAATGCTTTTACTTTTAAAACTAAGTAAGGCATTTTTAAGAGTTTTTTACATTTTTCTACTAAAGGACAATCCCCACAACTTTAACTTGCTAATGTAAGCAAGCGTGAAAACCTTTACAGTGTCGCTCATACATGCTTTTTCCCCCTGTGTTCACTTGGCAGCTTCTATAACAAAGCACCATAAACTAGGTAGCTTACAAACAACGGAAGTTTATGTCTCATAGTTCTGGAGTCCGAATAGTTCAAGATCAAGGTGCCAGCAGATTTATCGTCTATTGAGGGCTCCTTTCTCATAGGTGGCACCTTCTCACTATGTTCTCATATGATGAAAGGAGATAGCTATCTCTCTGCAGTCTTTTATAAGGCCACCAATTCCATTTACGAAGCCTCCACCTTCATGATCTAATCACCTGCTAAAGGCCCCACTTCCTAATATTGTCCCTTGGAGGGTTAGAATTTCAACATATGAATTTTAGGGAAACACAAACATTTAGATAACAGCACATACTGAAATACAAGGAAACACACCTCTACACAATTGTTATTGTATTGATATAGGATATTTCATTTAAAGATAAATTATGGACATTTTTCTTTGTCCATAACTATAGCTCTTTATCATGACTTTTGAATGGTAATGTAGTTTAAAACTATCAACAATATAGAGGATACTATAAATAAAATCTTTAAATGTATCTCTCTGCACACTTTTCCATGTTTTTGTATAGGATAACTTTGAAAAGTGGAATTCTTGGGACAAAAGGAACGCGATAATATTAATAGCTACATTTAATATATGATTCCCACTTGTGAGAATGAGAGTCCTAGTGTTCATGCATATCTGCTTTTTCTTTCCATTCTGGACCTGAAAACGGGTATATTTTCCAGCATCCTTGCATGTACATAGAGCCATGTAAGATGGTGAAGCCAAGAGATGCTTGAGTCATCCTTTGTCAGGAAAGCTAAAACTTTGGAGAGATGCTGAAACCGTGGCAGCTTCACAAGTGTCTAACCACTGTGATTCAGACGTAGAGAGTTTTCTCCAAAATCCATCCTGGAAATCCCTACCTTATTCTTTTTCATACTATGTTGTTTCATTCATATTTAGAATATCCTTTACAAATATTATAGCAACCTATAATCCCACCACTATTTCCTGACAGTGCCCATTTCTCCACTTGAACTCTGATAATAGGTATTATTAAACCCTAAATTCTGTTTTAGGCTAATGGAGTAAAGCTAAAATTAATTGCCATTTAATTTGCATTTTAAACATTTCAGGTAAGGCTGAATACCATGTAATTTCTATTTCATCTTTGAAAATGGCCCATACATATATTTTGCTTATGTTTCTAATCTATTTGGGTATTCTTGTTTCATAATAGCTCATTATATAATCAAGAATAGAAACATTATTATAGTGTCCTGCCTAAATTGTGAAAATTTAATATAGTTTGGATTTATTCTTTTATTATCTTCCTTTTTTCCCTAAGAGATATTATACAGAAAATTTTACCTTTTCATTTGACTTTGTTTTCATGCTTAGAAAACTTTGCTCTCATACTAAGATTACAAAATATTAACTAATACATTTTTTCTGTTTTGACATAAAATAGTTTATCAGGATAAAAACATTTATTTTTTTTTCCAAATGACTAGTGATTTTTTTTTTGTTCTGACAAATTTGTTCAGTAATTTTCTTTCCTTAATAATCTGTTTTTGGTCTATTTTTGTGTACTTTCTGTTTCATTTCAGCTCTGGCATTATACTTTAAAAATTAGTTTGAATTTGGCCAGAGAGAAGGAGAGACCCTTGTATCCTGGCTTATTCCTTAAGTTTGAAACTCAGGAAAGTAGGGAGAGGATGCTAGAAGCAGTCAAAGAACTTAAGAGTCTAAGAGATCAGATGTTTAGGGGATTTACTGAATGGTGAATCTTGGTTTCCCTTCACTGAAGCTGAACAGAGGGATGATGATTTAGCACAGAAATAATTCAAAGAAAATGATCAAGGTGTTATCAGTCTACTGACACTTTATGCATTTTTTGCTCTAGAGCATACATTTGATTTTTTTAAATTATAGATCTCAGGTATCTGGTGAATTTTGCTTGGTCCTCTGTTTCTGAACATACCAATCAAAATTATTTTAAAGTCTTTGTCTGAAAACTTTAATTTCTGTATTACCTGCAAATCTACTTTTATTGTCTCATTTTCTTTTGGTCCATTCTCATTATATCTTTAAATTTTTTTGATTAAATAAACATTTTGTATATACAAAATTATAAAAGCTCTGGATTAGTTAGTTTCTGTTAGCAAATTAAAGGCAAAAAAAACCTTAGTCCTAATAGGAGCTGAGATGTTTTGGGGTGTTCATTTAGTCTTTCTTATTTATGTTTTTATTTATTCATTTTTTTCCCTTCCTCTTTGGGGGTAGTCCTTCAAGATTCCAAACTGAAATCCTGGGGTCCTTCTTCCTTGACAAGTCATAAACTCCAATTTAAATCTCTTAAGCATAATGAGATTGCCAAAAGCTCAGTTAGGTCTTTATTTTCTTCACTGCCATTTCTCTCTAGGCTTCACTTTGCCCTCATTGCTTACTTTTATGAATCATGAATACCTTGACAGTAAAAGCAGCTGACACCATTGGGCTCACAACTCTACACTTTTTTTTTTTCTCCATGAAATGTTGGCTTCGCAAATCCTTCCTATCTGATTAGCCCTGCAATCTAAATTTTATCATGATCCTACAGTAATGACAACAGCACTGCTCATCTCCTCTGCCTCTTTGAAGTCACTTTCTGTTGGCTTCCCAGTCTTTGTTATCTACAGCAGTCAGGGATTGGTGAATGTTTTAAGGAAAAGAGCCACAACAGGCCAGCTTACCTCAATAAGACTTTCCTCTGTCCATGACTTTGGTTCTTCCAGTCTCAGCCATCTTTGTAATTCTATTTAGTCTTCAAAATCTTTTATATCTTTGTTTTCATTTAATTCAGACTGTCTGTTTTTTCTCTGTAAAAGATTTAGTCTGTTACAAGCTATTTTGCCATTACCAGAAAGGAAACTCCTATTCAATGACATTTAAAACAAAATTTCCAACAAATCCAGTGAGTCAGGCTCTGTGTTTAGAAAGGATTGTTTGGATCCCTGATAGCTTCCTTTTTATCAAAGTTTGGATATGAGGTCTGGTCCAAAATTTTATATAAGTTAGGTTCAGACAAGAGGAGGAAAAAGTAATTCAGGTTCTTTTCTGTCTAATTGGTGATGGGAAGGGAAGGAAAGGGTTTGAGGGTTAGGCCAGAGAAGCTATAAGTAATTTCTCCCAGTTTCCCCTACTGCTTTTACAGGAGCACTGAGAAGAAGGAACTCTCCCTTACTCCCCATTTATGACTGTAAAAAACCCCGACACCTTGCAAGGTATTGTCACTGCAAAGTTAACTTATAAGTATGGTGTTTCCGGCCGGGCGCAGTGGCTCACGCCTGTAATCCCAGCACTTTGGGAGGCCGAGGCGGGCAGATCACGAGGTCAGGAGTTCGAGACCAGCCTGGCCAACATAGTGAAACCCTGTCTCTACTAAAAATACAAAAGAAATTAGCCAGGCATGGTGGCAGGTGCCTGTAATCCCAGCCACTCAGGAGGCTGAGGCAGGAGAATCTCTTGAACCTGGAAGGTGGAGGTTGCAACAAGAGTGAGACTCTGTCTCAAAAACAAACAAACAAACAAACAGACAAACAAACAAAAAAAAGTATGGTGTTTCCAGGAAGAGAGAAATCTCAAGGCATGTATTTTCCCAGAAGCCCCTTGCTTTCCTATATTCTATACGGAACTTCAAAGTAATCAAGGAGCTTGCCAAATAATGTTATGTAATAAGGGCTGAAGAAATAATTAGGAGTCAATGCAGGACCTCAAAGAGGTTCATAGTACCCGTGGGAACCATGGTCAGGGCAGCTCAGACAGGGAGCCACTGCAAATATGGTTTGATGCAGCAGAGACCAGATTAAGAATAATACCCACCAGAAAATCTCTCAATGGCAGCAGGGCAGTCAGCAACCAGGTAAGTAAGAAACAGTGCCTCAGGGACAAGAGGATATCAGCACACACACAACACCAGCCCACACCAGGAAGTCCCTTCTAATGCCTCAAGAATGGGCCAACCAGAACCTTCCCTCACGTATAAATAGATGGTATTTTCGAAAGAGAAGCAATGGGAGGGGAAGGTTTCCTAAGAGACTAAGCATTATTATCCAAAGAAAAGCTTAAATATTGCCTAAAGGAACTGTTTAAATTATCAGTTCAGGTTAAGTTTTAAATCATATTGGACCTTTAATGAAAAATTATACCTATTGACTGTGCGTGAAGCCTCAAGAGAAAGACGAAAGGAGCTACACATTTCCTGGAAAGTTGAATACTAGGTCCATAGAATGAGTGCCTAAATGAATAAATTGAATGAAGACAAATATTCTCATTAAGGCACACAATGCAGAAAGTTTGAGCTGGGTCTAAGGCAGAGAGGAAAGATTATTCAGAAGAATTTTTAAAATTCGTATGGCCTTTCTCTAGTAGTCTTCAGGATCAGGTTAGTCTTTCAATTTGTTCCTTCCACACGATTGTGTCTTGGACCCCTTTACTTTACCTTTAGCTTCTTAATCAAGGGGGACTGGTAGTGCCTATATGGATTTGGATTATAGTGGCACACAATGTATATTGCCTATGAAAACCAATGAGGTTCCTAATTTGGGGCTCCCATCCTTGTGCTTAGCCTTATTGGGTTATGGCAAAAAAATATTCTCTAAAGTTCTTATTAATAAGTTGCTGCCTATGAGATATAGCCAGTGTATATTTGGAAATCATGATCTACTACTTAAGATGACATTCCTGTTAGCTATTTTGAAATTTACACTGAAATGATGAAAACAGAAAGCTCCTTCAACTCTGAGCAAAATGCTTGTAATAATGTTCCTAAATGTAGGTAAGAAATCAGAAGCTTCTGTATTATGACTCTGCCTTGGGTCTTGTATGAGCAGACTGGCTACCAAAAATGGTGCAATGACTGACTCTACCTGACTCAGAAAGCTACAGTAGCAAGAACCAGCACAGACTAGGCAGAAACAAAGTAGGTCAGAGCCTTCTTTGAAGACCTGTGCATTCTGCAGCATGCCAAACCATATCTCTAAAATGTTTCTGCAACGCTGTAGGAAGAAATCTCCTGCTGGCACTTAGTGGATTGCTTAATAAATGCAATTTAAATTTATTTTCCTTGGAACTATTTCAGAGGGTTCCCCCTAACTGTGTATATATATATAATTTTATATATATAATATATATAAAATTATATATATTATATATATAAAATTATATATATATAATATATAAAATTATATATATAATATATATAAAATTATATATAATATATATATAAATTATATATATATATATTTTTTTTTTATTTTGAGAAGGAATTTTGCTCTTGTTGCCCAGACTGGAGTGCAATGGCACAATCTCAGCTCACTGCAACCTCTGCCTCCCGGGTTCAAGTGATTCTTCTGCCTCGGCCTCCCGTGTAGCTGGGATTGCAGGCATGGGCCACCACGTCCGGCTAATTTTGTATTTTTAGTAGAGACGGGGTTTCTCCATATTGGTCAGGCTGGTCTCAAACTCCTGACCTTAGGTGATCCGCCTGCCCCAGCCTCCCAAAGTGTTGGGATGACAGGTATGAGCCACCGGGCCCAACCCAAACACAATATATATTTTAAGGTACCAGGTAATTAGATCTCTGTATTAATCATTTAGGAATTGGGGAGTTTGATATTTTTCTTTGAGCCTTACAAAATTGATTACAAAGGCAGAAAGTATGGAAAGAATGATGCAGTTTACAACCACCCTGCCCCCATGCACCGTTCACTTAAGTCCATTAGGATCATATAGTCATACAGCCTAAGAAAAATGTCATTAAAGCAAGAGAACAAGAATACATAGTGATGCTGATAGAAAATTGGTGCTGCAAATTTTACCATGGTGACTGTTTATAGTGGAAGAGCAAAGTAATTCCAGAAACAAACAAATATTTAATTATAAGAATACAACTATGCCAGCAACTGCACAACCTCTTTCAACATAATATTGACAAAAGGGGAACTAATGTCCATGTGGCAGAAACTCCAACAAGGTAACCCAAGAATCTAGGCCAGTTGCCTTTTATTCTGTGGCTTAGGTGTCAGCATTTTCTCATCCATGTAAAGTTCAATTCTCAGGATTCTGTGTTTACCCCATGACTGAAATGCTGAATTAAGCACTTGGTTATGTTCTGCAATGAAAAATCCTTCTCTTTCCTTCTTTTCTCTTTCCCTCCATCCATTCCTGCTGTATTAGTTATTTTCCACACTGCTGATAAAGACATACCCAAGACTGGGCAATTTACAAAAGAAAGAGTTTTATTGAACTTATGGTTCCACATGGCTGGGGAGGCCTCACAGTCATGGTGGAAAGCAAGGAGGAGCAAGTCACATCTTACATGGATGGCAGCAAAGAGAGCTTGTGGAGAGAAACTCCTGTTTTTAAAACCATCAAATCTCATGAGACCATTCACTATCACAAGAACAGTGTAGGAAAGACCTGCCCTCATGATTCAATCATCTCCCACCAGGTCCCTTCCACAATACGTGGGAATTATGGGAGCTGTAAGATGAGATTTGGGTGGGAACACAGAGCCCAACCATATCACCTACCACTCTCTCTCCTTTTCCTTCTCTCTCCTTCCCTCCTTCCGTTTTTTCCTTCCTTTCCTCCTTCCTTCCTTTCTTCTTTATTTTCAATACATAAAGCATATAAATGCTGAAAAAAATTAAAGTCATAGTGATGTCATTGAAGGTGGTACAGTAGGAAGCTCCAGGATTTGGTCTCTCCACTGAAACAACTACTGAGCTGGCAAGAAACATAAGAATCAAGTATTTCAGAACTCTAGAGTCTAGTGTAATACTCGTAGCATCTAGAGGAATGCTTGGTGAAGAAAAAGCCTGGTAAATTTTATTGAATTTCAATATTTTATGAAGTGACCTAAATTCACCATCTCCCAGCCTGACAGCATGTAGTCACAAGGATGGTGGCTTACATTTCCAGTGTAGCTTGCTGGTGCCACAGTGGGCAATACAGATTTTGTTCCCCCAAAATCGAGATTGCATCTTTTGATCTGCTTGACAGATTACTGAGGGACTGGCAAAAGACCTGTCCATCGTTTCAATTGTCAAACACAATTAACTTCCCCAAACAGTTAGTTGTGGGAATTTAAAGAGATAGAACATCATTTCTCTTCTTTTCTTATGGAATCTATGCATTTGAGAACATTTCTCTCAGGTCACTGCCTGACATCATAGATCACAAAACAGAGACTTCGGTAACCACATGTGACCAGGAATATATTTTTTGAAAAAATTATTTTGGAAAAGTCAATAAATAAATGAATATCTGGAGATTTCATCAAGCAACAACAGCAATCACTGGGGAGAGGGAAGAATCTGATGTCCTGAGTTAACAAATTTACAGTATTTAAAATGTTCTGTTCTCAAGGAAAAAAAAATTCAGAAAGCACACAAAGAAACAAGAAAGTATGGCCCACTTACAGGAAAAAAAGTTGGGGGGGAGGGGTGCGGGGTGCCGATTTGACCAAAGTCTTCACTGAAGAAGCCCTAGACATTGGATTTATGAGACATAGACTTTGAATTAACTACCAAATATGCTCAAAGAGCTGAAAAAAATCATAGATAAAAACTTAAAAACTTGGGATAACAGTGTACAAACAAGTAGTGAATACCAATAAAGAGATAGAAATAGGAAGCAAATAGAAATTCTAGAACTGAAAATTATAACAGCTAAAATTGTGGGGGTGGGGGTGTGGGGAACATAATAGTGAGTATGCTATAGTTTGAACACTCTCTCCAAAACTCATGTTAAAATGTAATTGCCATCATGATGGTATTAAGAGGTGGGACCTTTAAGGGGTGATTAGTTCATGAAGGCTTTGCTGTTATCTCAGGGGTGGGTTATTTTGTAGGAGTTTCGTCCCCTTTCTCTCTGTCTTGAGTGCATGGTTCCTCACCATGTGGTACCTTCCACCATCAGGTGCCCCTTACCAGATGCTGGTGCCATGCTTTTAGACTTCCCAGCCTCCAGAACTGTGAGTCAAGTAAATCCCTTTAAAAATAAATTTCCCAGTCTATAGTTATTTTGTTATAGCAGTAGGGAATGGACTAAAACAGGATAAAACAGTAGAATTGGATAGGCACAAAAAAGAATTAGCAGACTTAAAAATAGGACACTTGAAATTACCCAATCTGAGGAGCAGGAAAAAAAAAAAAGAATGAAGATAAGTGAACAGAGCCTAAGGGATCTATGGGGCACTGCCAAGCATGCCCATATATACATTATGGACGTCTCCAGAAGGAGAAGAGAAAGATAAAGGTTTAGAAAGAAAGAAAGATACTTGAAAAAATAATGGCAGGAAACTTCCCAAACTTGAAGGAAACATGAATCTACACAACCAAGAAGCTCAACAAAATCCAACAGGATAAAAATAAAGAGATTGAGATCTATGCTGAGATACATTATATATAAGCAAGCTGTCAAAAGCTAAAAACAAACAGAGAATCTTAAAATCACCTGAGGAGAGTGAAAATTACCTGGTAACCATTGAACAGGCCCTGGAGACAAAAACTTTTTATCTGAAGAATTTAGAAGGGAGCAAAGACAACCTGGTGACCATCAAACAGGCCATGTGGAGGCAAAACTCCATATCTGGGGAATTTAGAAGTAATTAAACTTGCCTAGTATCTAAAGTCAGCATCTGGGCCAGGCGTGGTGGCTCACATCTGTAATTCCAGCACTTTGGGAAGCCAAGGTGGGTGGATCACCTGAGGTCAGGAGTTTGAGACCAGCCTGGCCAACATGGCAAAAACCTGTCTCTACTAAAAATACAATAATTAGCTGAGTGTGGTGGTGCATTCCTGTAATCCCAGCTTCTCAGGAGGCTGAGACAGGAGAATGGCTTGAACCCAGGAGCGAAGGTTGCAGTAAGCTGAGATCATGCCACTGTGCTTCAGCCTGGGCAACAGAGCAAGACTCCATCTCAAAATAAATAACTTAATAATAATAATAATAATAATAATAATAATAAATAAAGTCAGCATCTTGCTCCAGGCTTAGAATTTCTATATGTCTCCAGAATGCCATGCTGAAACTCATTTTGCAACCCTTGCTGATGTTAAGGCATCAAAATGTAATCATTTATCATGGCCTACATGGCTAATATGGCCCAAATTATCCTTAAGTTCCTGCCTTAAGGTTCATAAAAACTCCTAAGAAAAATTCACCATGGTGCGCTCAATCCTTTCTCTGAGAGCCCCCACTGCACCTTTTTGCAGTGTTCTTTCTTTCTAATAAACTTTCACTGTGCATACCCATACTATTGTTGGTAAATTCTTCTTAGTAAACTGCGAATTGACCACTTCCTGATGCCAGGGCTCTGATACCTCACCTGGCAACAACAAGAAAAAAGCAACACATAGCATACAAGGGACTCTAAAAAGGATTAACAACCAATTTCTCATTATCAATAATAACAAAAAAACACGGAAGTTTTTTACTAGTGACTTGTCATACAAGAAATGCTAAAGGAAAAAAAAGAAAATAATAAATGCTAATGGGGGTCCTTCAGCTGAAATGAAATAAAAGTAGGTGGTAACTTGAAGCCATAAAAACAAAGATTACTGGTAAAGATAGCTGCTAAGGTAAATATAAAGTCTAATATTATTGATGTTTTGGCTTGTAACTCCTCTTTTTTGTTTTCCATATGATTTAAAGGACAAATACATATAACAATAATCATAAATCTATGATAATGAGCATACATTGAATAAAGCTGTAATCTGTGACAATAACAACATAAGGGAGAAGAACTGAATAGGAGCAGGGTTAATGTGTGCTATTGAAGCCAATTTATTATTATTATTATTATTATTTATTTTTGAGCAGCAGCAAGATTTATTGTGAAGAGTGAAAGAACAAAGCTTCCACAGCGTGGAAGCAGACCCAAGCAGGTTGCTGCTGCTGGCTGGGGTGGCCAGCTTTTATTCCCTTATTTATCTCCTCCCATGCTCTGTTTCTGTCCTATAAGAATGCCCTTTTTTCAATCCTCACGAGATTGGCTACTTTTAGGATCCTGCTGATTAGTGAGTTTTACAGAGCGCTGATTGGTGCATTTTACAGAGCACTGATTGGTGCATTTTACAATCCTCTTGCTAGCTACAGAGCACTGATTGGTCCATTTTACAATCTTCTTGTAAGATAGAAAAGTTCTCCAAGTCCCCACTCAACCCAGGAAGTCCAGCTGGCTTCACCTCTCAATTCCCCCTCTAAACAGGACACCACAACAGCTGTTGGGAATTGGGCAATGACCAGTCTAGCTACTTCCTGCTGGATAGGGGCAAAGAAGGGGCCCTGCAGTTGTAGGATCCTCCAGCAGTAAACTCTCTAGGCCAGTGAAAGGGCCAGTGGGTCAGTCCAGGGGTCCTCAGTAAAAGTTGTGAGTTGAGCTCATTTGGGGTTCCATTGTAAGACCATCTGTAGCTTGATGGCCTCGATCCTGGAGGAAACAAACTTGACAAGGAGATTAAAAATACAGGGCCTGAAGGAGAGAAATAGCAAGATGGCTGTCATGGGACCTAGAAAGGGGAGAAGCCATGGTGCCCACCTCCAGAGGTTGGTATAAGAGTTTGAAAGGTGTTGTCTGATTTCAGAAGCCTTTCCTGTAAATGCCAGGTGGCATCTCATGCTATCCCTGATGGGCTAGTGTAAAAACAACACTCTTCCCCTAAGAAGGTGCAAAGTCCTCCTTTCTCACCAGTGAGGAGGTCTAGGCCTCAGTGGTTTTGGAGAGTCACTGTTGCCCAAGAGTCTATTTGGGATTGTAGAGTAAGAATAGATTTTGTTATTTCTTGCAAACTGTCTGAGAAATCCTCTGAGAATATGTGGAGGTAGGATAGTGAAGTGGACAAACCTGCTATTCCAGTTCCTGTAGTAGTGACCATTGTATGGCCCTGCACTGATGGACTTGAGCTTTGAGGGGCACTGATAGGGTCTGATTTCCTGTGGCAATGTCAAGAAGAATACGTCTCAATTAAGTAGACAGAACTGGTTGTGTATGTTAAAAAGGTGTGTGAGTTTGTTGTTTTCATTTTACCATACTCCTAGAGTAGTTGCCAAAGTAGCTCTGGTGAACAGCTGGAAAGGAATGTTGGGTGCAAACTGAGTAGCTCCAAGTGTTCTATTTTCCCGTTGGAGAAAAACACATCTTGTATCTGTTAGAAACCATTCAAGAGAGTAATTAAAAGAGGGGATGAGAAGGCACTCACTAGTGGTGGGGGTGCTGCTGCAGAGGGTCCAGGGGAGAATGGTTATGCAGCGAGTATGTTTGCCATTACAAAACCTGGATGTTTGCTAAGCAGGGCGGAGGTCATGATTTTTGGGGGCCCTGAGAAACAGACAAGCCATCTGAATGGAGGTGTATAACAGGCTGTGTTGGGTGCATAAAGGGACTTGGAAAGTTAAACTTGTGTCACATCCTGTTAGGCTATTCTTGGTGCAATCAGAGATGGGGAAGAAGACCAAATCTAGGAATTATTTCATGAATTAGGACTTTAACCACTTCCTGAGCCTTCTCTGTCTTGCAGGGGAAGGCTTCTATCCAATTTGTAAAGGTATCAACACAGACCAACAAATACTGAAATTCCCTTGACTTAGGCATATGGGTGAAGTCTTAACTGCCAGTCCTCTCCAGGAGAGTGACCTATTCTTTGTTCCCCCAGTGGGGCCTTATGATGGACCAAGGGATTATTCCTTTGGCACACCTCACAGGCTTTGACTACTTGTTGGATGGTCCGGAGGAGATTTGGCCCTGTAAATAGGGATTTGGCCATTTTATGAATGTTCTCAATACCCATATGAAAAGTTTGGTGAAGGGTCATAAGTATTTTCCACTGGCTGGCTTTGGGTATGAGTATCTTTCCGTCTTCTGTCATTAACCACCATGAGGGGAGGAAACTATGCCCCCATGAAAGTCCCCAATCTGTTTCAGTCAGGGAATACTGGAGCTTAATCTCTTGGAGAGGGTAGTTACATACCAAGGGTCCTTCCATAGGTATTTCTAATGGGAGGTTCCACCTGGCAGCAATTTTGGACTCAGCACATCTGCCTGATGGATTCCTCTGCCTTTTTTTCTTCACCGTTTTGATGGCTTTTTGACTGCTACCTCCTTGGGTTTTTGCACTGTGTGCAGTAACTTCATGATTTCCTTGTGGTATTTAATGGGGGTTACCCCAGAGGTTAGGAAGTCCCTTTCTTTCCATATGGCAGCATGGGCATATAGGTAAACATACTTGCTATCTGTATACACATTCATTCTTATTCCCTTTCCCAGTTCTAAGGCTCGGGTAAATGCCACTAGTTCTGCTAACTGGGTGCTGGTCCCTGGGGGAAGAGGCTTACTTTCAAGTACTGTTACATCACTAACTATGGCATAACCTGCCCTTTATATCCCGTTCTCCACAAATGACCTTCCATCGGTATATAGGTTAAGGTCAGGATTAGTTAAGGTGAATTCTAAGAGATCCTCTCAGGCGGCATAAGTCTGAACTAAAATTTGTTGGCAGTCATGCTTGATTCGTTCCCCATCCTCTGGGAGAAAAGTGGTAGGGTTGAGGGCTGCACATGTGCATATTTGAAGCACCGGTCCCTCAAGGAATGGCCCCTGGTATCTAAGCAGATGGTTGTCTGATAGTCATAAGCTTCCTTTGTCACCTAGTATGCCATTTACATCATGAGTAGTCCAGATGGTGAGATCCTTTCTTTGTATTATTTTGATAGCCTCTGATACTAAGTTGGCCACCACTGCAACTACCCATAAACAGTGAAGCCAGCCTTTTGCTAATACATCAATTTCCTTACTTAGGCATGCCTGGTTGTGGGGTTGTCCCACAAGTCTAAGGACTCCAAAAGCTATTCCCTCTCTCTCTGTGATGTATAAAGAGAAGTTTTGTCCTTTGGGAAGGCTTAAGGCTGGAGCTTGTACTAGGGCCTGATTTAAGGTATTGAAGGCTGTTTCTGCTTCTGGTTCCCATTCTACTAGGTGAGTATTTGCCCTCTGGGTCTCCTTGATTAGAGTACAGAGTGGCCTGGCCATTTCACTGTATCTGGGGATCCATAGTTGGCAAAAGCCGGTGATCCCAAGGAACCCCCACAACTGTTTTATTGTCTTAGGGTGAGGACAAACCAGTATAAGGTGTATTCATTCTTTGCTGAGGGCCCTGATTCCTCTGGCTAAGATTAGGCCTAGGTATTTGACTTGTTGTAAGCAGAGCTGGGCCTTCAATTTAGATACCTTCTACCCTTGATTAGCTAGAAAGTTCAAGAGATCTAGAGTAACCTGCTGGCATGAGGCTTCTGAACTGATAGCCAAAAGTAAATCATCCACATACTGAAGGACCAGAATGCCTGGACTTGAGAAGTGGCCTAGATCTTGGGCCAGTGCCTGACCAAAGAGATGAGGGCTATCCCTAAACCCTTGAGGCAAGACCATCCACTTAAGTTGAAACATGTAGTCTGTGGGATCCTCAAAGGCAAAGAAAAACTGGGAGTCAGTGCAGGGGAATGCAGAAGAAGCCATACTTGAGGTCCAGAACTGTGAACCATTCTGCTTCCTCTGGGATTTGAGAGAGCAGGTTATAGGTATTGGGTACAACTGGATATAGAAGAATTACTGCCTCATTGATGAGTCTAAGATCTTGCACTAGTCTCCACTAACCATTCGGTTTTGTACTCCTAGAATTGGGGTGTTGCAGGGACTGTTGCATTTTCTTACTAAGCATTGAACTTTTAAATGTCTAACAGTATCCTGTAATCCTTTATGAGCTTCAGGCCTTAAGGGATCTTTTAGCCTGATTTGGACGGGGCAGGCATTTTTTGCCTTTCTGAATTGTCCTTCCAATGTCCAGACTTCAGGGTTGATTCCCTCCTTAGGCAGGGGACAACAAATGGGTAACTTTTTCCTCATATTCATGTAGATAATAGCTCCAGCTATGGCTAATATATCCCTCCCTAATAAGGGTGTGGGATTTTCATGCATAACAAGGAAGGAACATGAAAAGAGCAAAGTCTCCCAATTACAACTGAGGAGGTGAGCAGAACCCTCAGAGTTATGTTGCCTAAGCGAGAGTCAACCATCTATCCTATCTATCCTGACCCTTGCCCCCTGGGTCCTAACAACTGTCAGACAAACTTCCTCCCACCTCTCTTCTCCAAGGTTAGTCCCACTTCTAAATACCACTCCCTGTCCCTGTGCTCTTCTAGCTTCTCTTATACAAATGATTTCTAGTATACATTTTGGGACTCTGTTCCCTTCTTTAGGCACATGGGCTCACCAATCAGAAAGACATAATTTTTGCCCAAAGCCCCAGCATAGTGGGTAGTGGGGCAGGTGGACTATCTGGAATTTTAGGATCCCTCCTTAGTCTAGCAGGCCTAACAAAGGCTATTCCTGAAGCTAGGATATGGGGACCCTCAGAAATTATAGACTCCCAAATTAGGAGAATATCCTTCCTATTCATATGATAAGAAGTGAGGACAAAAGGCGTCACTCTTCCAACCCTGGAGATCCCTTCCCTCCCTCAGGGTATGGCCCTCCACTCCATTTTGAGGCATATCATCTTTATAGGACAAGGATAAGGTCCCAATACCAACAGGAGAAAACGCTTAGGACTCTGACAGGTTTTTGAGAATGCATCAGTAAGGGCCACTAAATCCAATTTTTCTCAGTCCTCTTTGTGGTCTAAGAAGAAAGGCAAGGGTGCAGGTTTTCAAGAAGGCATTGGTAAGGGCCACTAAATCCAACCTTTCTTAGTCCCCTTTGTGGTCTAGGAGGAAAACTAGTGCCTGATGTTTAGCCCCTGAATTCTAAGGAAAAATAGGACAGAATAGCAAGTGACATGGGTCCAGTGGTACTCGCCACGTGGCGATATCCTGGACAAGCCCCCGAGAAGTGCCTGGAGTTGGTTCCTGCTGGTGGGTTTATGGTCTTGCTGACCTCAAGAATGGAGCTGTGTACCTTCGCAGTGAGTGTTACAGCTCTTAAAGGTGGCATGGATCCAAAGAGTGAGCAGCAGCAAGATTTATTGTGAAGAGTGAAAGAACAAAGCTTCCACAGCATGGAAAGGGACCTGAGCGGGTTGCGCCAATGTATTATTAATTAGAACTAGATTGATACAAATTTAGGATGTTAACTGTCATCTCCATGGTAACCACTAAGAAGGTAATTTAAAAAAATACTGAAAAGTAAATAAAGAGGGAATCAAATGTGGTACACCAAAAAAAAAAAAAATCAAAAACAAAGGAAGACAGTATTAAAATAATTGAGGAACAAAAAGATATATACACTTATATACATACACACACACACATACACACAAACATATATATGTATAATAGCATAATGGCAAAAATAAGTTCTTCATTATTAGTAATCTGGTTAAATATGAATGGATTAAGCTCACCAGTTAAAAGTCCATAAGTGGCAGATTTGCAGTTTAAAACACAAATAGGTGTGAAAGGAAGAAAAATATCCATGTAAATATTAAACAAAAGAGGACCTCCTCTTACTTAAAACGTCAATCCTCCTATCTCCCTCCTTCTCATAAAGAAATAACTTATCACTTTTTAAAAAATTTCCTCTTCTCTTTATTTCTTCCTGTTTTTTCACCTGTTGTTCACCTTTCTAGGATACGGCCCCCAGCCCCTGTTCACTGCTCTGATGGTCAGAGTCTTCTGTGATCTGTGGCAGGTCTTGGGGAATGTACACTGATGGCTGGTTTTCAAAAAGCAGCATTAGGGCTTAAGGGTGATAACAGAAGAATGTAGAGCTATCAGCAATTTTTATTTCCTTGACAGAGCTGGGGCCTTCCTATTTGTTTCTGGCCACCATCTACTGAGAAGAAGTACTTTGTATGGCTATTCATTCCATTTTAATGTTTAAACCACAGCAACTCCATCTTGAACAGGGGCTTGGTACAATAAGGCTAAGACCTGCTGTGCTGCATTCCCAGTGAGTTAAGGTATTCTAAGTCACAGGATGAGCTAGGAGGTTGGCACAAGATGATACAGGTCATAAAGACCTTGTCGATAAAACAAGTAGCAGTAAAGAAGCTGGCTAAAACCCATCAAAACCAAGATGACAATGAGAGTGACCTCTGGTTTTCCTCACTGCTACACTCCCACCAGCACCATGACAGTTTACAAATACCATGGCAATGTCAGGAAGTTACCCTATATGGTCTAAAAAGTGGAAACATGAATAATCCACCCTTGTTTAGTATATAATCAAATAATCTTAGAAATGGGTAACTAGCAGCTCTTAGGGCTGATCTGCCTATGGAGTAGCCATTCTTTTATTTCTTTACTTTCTTTTTTTTGTTGTTGTTGTTTGTTTGTTTTATTTTATTATTATTATACTTGAAGTTTTAGGGTACATGTGCACAATGTGCAGGTTTATTACGTATGTATACATGTGCCATGTTGTTGTGCTGCACCCATTAACTCGTCATTTAGCACTAGGTATATCTCCTAATGCTCTCCCTCCCCCCTCTCCCCACCCCACAACAGTCCCCGGTGCGTGATGTTCCCCTTCCTGTGTCCATGTGTTCTCATTGTTCAATTCCCACCTCTGAGTGAGAACATGCGGTGTTTCGTTTTTTTGTCCTTGCGATAATTTGCTGAGAATGATGGTTTCCAGTTTCATCCATGTCCCTACAAAGGACATGAACTCATCATTTTTTATGGCTGCATAGTATTCCATGGTGTATATGTGCCACATTTTCTTAATCCAACTTTCTTTATAAACTTGCTTTCACTTTACTGTATGGACTTGTCTTGAATTCCTTCTTGTGCAAGATCCAAGAACCTTCTTTTGGGGTCTGGATTGGGACCTCTTTCTGATATCATCTTTCTGGTGACTACTGAAGGGACAATACTGAGGAAACTCCTGACCCAGAGGCTAACGTTACTTAAGTGGTAGGGTCCGGTAGGTAACATCTGTCTGGTGAACCCTGAAGGGCAAAACTGAGGAGACCCCCCCAACCCCAAGGGTAATTATCTGTGTGCACCAATTGGCTGACCTTGGGTATGTGGGGTGCATAAACCTGGGTAAAGGATAGGGCTGAGTTACAGGCCCAACTTAGATGAGTTAGAGTCCCTCTTAAGACAGAGAGGGTTTAAGGGCTCCTCTTAATAAAAAGCAAAAACGCTTGAGGAAACTTGGACTCGAGGCCTAACTTATGAAGGTTAGAGTGCTTCCTAAGATTTAGGGGGTTGGAGGCCCCTCTCAGTAAAGTCCCTCTCAACTAAGAATGATTTTGGCACTATGGGATATTAACTGCTATTCTGTTTGGATTAATCTGCCTTGCACTTTTTGCTTATGACTATGAGTAATGGAATTAGGCACATACAGGATCATGGGACATGGGTAGCTTTTCCCTTGCCAAAAGGGGAAACTTGAGAGTGAATGGAACTGCTGGAAAAGATCCCTTTGCTAGTGATAAGTGGCTGCCTGAACTTTTCAGTGTTGCTGCAATGGATGGGTCTTTCTCTGGCCTCAGTGAGCTGTTTGCCTTCCCTACCCTGCCACAGGCAATGCTTTTCTCTCTCTTCTTCCCCTTTTCTATCTTTTATGTTATTCAGGATGACCATCTTGCCCAGAGACCACATGTTGAAACTCCTGGTAGGAAGTTGGTTTAACGATAATGGGGCCCAATTGGGGGCAAGTTTGAGTCTTGCCAGTTTGATATTGGGTGCTAAGCAGAGTGGCTAATGTCTGTGTTTTATCCCATATATTTTGCTCTGGCCAGGACAGGAAAAGATAATATTCTTTTGTGTTGGGTCTTGGCCCCTAGGGCTATGGTGCAGCCAGCTAGGTCACTAGGGCCACTCAGGGAAAGGTAACCCAGAAGCCTGGCACGCTGGCAAAATGGTAAGAATTTCTTACTAGTCAGACTTCTGGCCTCTCTCTCTGTGCAAACTGATTGAATGAATGGTAAAAAGAAATCACTCTTTAGCTATTCTGTAAGGTTTTGATTAATAGAAAAAAGGATTCATGAAGCTAATCTTAAGCTGTAATGAATCTGGTGTGCTTTCTGTGTCTTTTGGTATTGTTTTCATAAAGAGTGGTACCTTAGGACAAAATGCGGGCCTAGGACCCCATAAGCCTGGCTCAAGATGGCCCAGTGAAGTGGTCACTTATAAACTTTGCTACAGGTCCACCCCCTGCAAAAAAATAAAAACTGGTTGAAGTTTCCCTCTTGTCTTGTATGTCCTTAGGAGCTTGACCTTGTAACCATGTGGCGATATTTAGTCTTGGTCTCCACCATCACAATGGCAGCGCAGGTTCAGGGTTCAATTCTCGGCTTAGGAAATGAGTCCTTTATCTTCTGTGTGTGTATTTATATGTGTTGTGTGTGTGATATAAAAAAGCTTTAATTGGTTTAAAATAATAAGTGCTTAAATTAAATATTTGGTCAAAAAAGTAAAAAAGTGTAATGCCTTTTGGTTCATTTGACTTAAGTAATCTTTGGGAAACAAAAACAGTTTTAAAGATTATTGGTAAAATAAAAATATATTCAAAAATGTAAACATTTGGTCTAAATTATGCAGGTCAAATATTAAGTTTGCTAAATGCTTTAAGGTCATAAACTGCTCCTTTGACTTTTGAAAATTGTTCAGTTTACCTACTTTGGAGCATTAGATTTTAGGTAAGACCCAGAAACATGTGGTGTTAGCCATACCCATAGCAATGCTGGAAAAAGTCGTACTTATCTGGTTTCCTAAGCTCCACACCTAGTACATAATTATAATCCCTTACTTACCAAGGTTTTCACCAAAAGTAAGAGTTGCTAACAGTTAACAGTGTAATATACGTAATTGAAACTACTGAAGAAACAGTTTTACACGTAATGCTTGTAAGGAAAGTGAAATGTGTTTTTGGTGAAAGATTATAAGAAGTCATGGAAACGTGGATGTTCTTGGCCATATTAAAAGTTAAAAAGTTTGTTTTAAGTTAGAATAAAGCTGAAGCTTTAAGCAAGTTGTGGAAGGTGTGTAAAAAATTAATCTTGTAAAAAAATTATTGGCTAAAGTTAAAGGGGTATTATTCAGTTTTTCCTTAAATTAAACATTGGAATAAAAGCACAAAAGATTTTTCTTATAGCAAAAACTTGCTTATGATCTGCTCTTTAACAAAGATTTGTAAAGGTTTATAAAAGGTTTATGAGAATCTTACCTTATGGTCAACAATTAAAATAAAAACATTATAGATATGTCTATAAGGTTTTATTAAGAATTGGGTTTGATATCAATAATGTACAAATGCAACAGTGAAATTTGGCTCATTTAGTATGAAAATCACCTAGGAAACATTGTCAAATATAAAATGGTGTTTGGCTTTCTTTTGGCTGTGTTTATATAAATATGTTATTAGCATCTGTTCCAAAATTATGTAAAACTCCTATAATCCTGATATAACTTAGTGTATGTTATTAAAAGTTGTAATTGTTATGTACAATTGTTGTATGCCACAGAAGTAACCAAAATTTTCTTATCAATTGTGGCTTTAAGAGTGGCTGTCCTGTGACTTTTTTTTTTAATTGTCCACAGACAAATGTTGTCTGGTTTTGTTCCTCTTCAAATTGTGATTGATAGTCAGCTATGGGAGTTTGATAGGTGTTCTTAAATGCAGGTTTTTGATAACTTTGGAGATTGTAACATTAGCATAGGGAAAAACCTTTCAGGACTCTCATGGAGTGCTGAAATGTTCATGAATATCAAACAGAACAGGAGTTAACTGAGTGGACTAAACTAATAGAAGACTGAAGTAATCTTTGTGACTCTTTTTTATTGTACTTTAAGTTCTAGGGTACATGTGCACAATGTGCAGATTTGTTACATAGGTATACATGTGCCATGTTGGTTTACTGCACCTATCAACTTGTCATTTACATTAGGTATTTCTCCTAAAGTTATACCTCGCCCAGCCCCCCACCCCTGACAGGCCCCGGTGTGTGATGTTCCCCACCCTGTGTCCATGTGTTCTCATTGTTCAACTCCCACCTATGAGTGAGAACATGCGATGTCTGGTTTTCTGTCCCTGTGACAGTTTGCTTAGAATATGGTCTCCAGCTTCATCCATGTCCCTGTAAAGGACATGAACACCCCCTTTTTTATGGCTGCGTAGTATTCCATGGTGTATATGTGCCACATTTTCAGTATATCATTGATGGACATTTGGGTTGGTTCTAAGTCAGTGCTATTGTGAATAGTGCTTCAATAAACATATGTGTGCATGTGTCTTTATAGTAGCATGATTAATAATCCTTTGGGTATATACCCAGTAATGGGATTGCTGGGTCAAATGGTATTTCTAGTTCTAGATCCTTGAGGAATTGCCACACTGTCTTCCACAATGGTTGAACTAATTTACACTCCCACCAACAGTGTAAAAGTGTTTCTATTTCTCCACATCCGTTCCAGCATCTGTTGTTTCCTGACGTTTTAATGATAGCCATTCTAATTGGTGTGAGATGGTATCTCACTGTGTTTTTGATTTGCATTTCTCTGATGACCAGTGATGATGAGTATTTTTTCATATGTTTGTTGCCCACATAAATGTCTTCTTTTGAGAAATGTCTGTTCATATACTTTGCCCACTTTTTTGATAGGGTTGTTTGTTTTTTCTTGCAAATTTGTTTAAGTTCTTTGTAGATTCTGGATATTAGCCCTTTGTCAGATGGGTAGATTGCAAAGATTTTCTTCCATTCTGTAGGTTGCCTGTTCACTCTGATGATAGTTTCTTTTGCTGCACAGAAGCTCTTTAGTTTAATTAGATCCCATTTGTTGACTTTGGCTTTTGTTGCTATTGCTTTTGGGTTTTAGTCATGCAGTCTTTGCCCATTCCTATGTCCTGAATGGTATTGCCTAGGTTTTCTTCTAGGGTTTTTATGGTGTTAGGTCTTACATTTAAGTCTTTAATCCATCTTGAGTTAATTTTTGTATAAGGTGTAAGGAAGGGATCCAGTTTCAGCTTTCTACATATGGCTAGCCAGTTTTCCTGGCACCATTTATTAAATAGGGACTCCTTTCCCCATTGCTTGTTTTTGTCAGGTTTGTCAAAGATCAGATTGTTGTAGCTGTGTGGTGTTATTTCAGAGGACTATGTTCTGCTCCATTGGTCTATATATCTGTTTTGGTACCAGTACCATGTTGTTTGGGTTACTGTAGCCTTGTAGTATAGTTAGAAGTCAGGTAGCGTGATGCCACCAGATTTGTTCTTTTTGCTTAGGATTGTATTGGTTATGTGGGCTCCATTTTGGTTCCATATGAACTTTCAAGTAGTTTTTTTCCAATTCTGTGAAGAATGTCAGTGGTAGATTGATGGGGGATAGCATCGAATCTATAAATTACCTTGGGCTGTATGGCCATTTTCATGATATTGATTCTTCCTATCCATGAGCATGCAATGTTCTTCCATTTGTTGGTGTCCTCTTTTATTTCCTTGAGCAGTGGTTTGTAGATGTCCTTGAAGAGGTCCTTCACATCCCTATAAGTTGAATTCCTAGGTAATTTATTCTCTTTGAAGCAATTGTGAATGGGAGTTCACTCATGATTTGGCTCTCTGTTTGCCTATCATTGGTGTATAGGAATGCATGTGATTTTTGCACATTGATTTTGTATCCTGAGACTTTGTTGAAGTTGCTTAACAGATTAAGGAGATTTGGGGATAAGATGATGAGGTTTTTTAAATACAGATTTGTGTCATCTGCAAACAGAGACAATCTGACTTCCTCTTTTCCTAATTGAATACCCTTTCTTTCTTTCTCTTGCCTGATTGCCCTAGCCAGAACTTCCAACACTATCTTGAATAGGAGTGGTGAGAGAGGGCATCCTTGTCTTGTGCTGGTTTTCAAAGGGAATGCTTCCAGTTTTTGCCCATTCAGTATCATATTAGCTGTGGGTTTGTCATAAATAGCTCTTGTTATTTTGAGATACATTCCATCAATACCTAGCATATTGAGAGTTTTTAGCATGAAGGGCTCTTGAATTTTGTTGAAGGCCTTTTCTGCATCTATTGAGGTGTGGTTTTTGTCATTGGTTCTGTTTATGTGATAGATTACATTTATTGATTTGCGTATGTTGAACCAGCCTTGCTTCCCCAGGATGAAGCTGACTTGAATATGGTGGATAAGCTTTTTGATGTGCTGCTGGATTCAGTTTGCCAGTATTTTTTTTTTTTTTTTTTTTTTGGGATGGAGTCTCACTCTGTCACCCAGGCTGGAGTGCAGTGGCCCAATCTCGGCTCACTGCAAGCTCCTCCTCCTGGGTTCCTGCCATTCTCCTGCCTCAGCCTCCAGAGTAGCTGGGACTGCAGGTGCCCACCACCACACCTGGCTAATTTTTTGTATTTTTAGTAGAGACGGGTTTTCACTGCATTAGCCAGGATGATCTCGATATTGTGACCTTGTGATCTGCCAGCCTCGGCCTCCCAAAGTGCTGGGATTACAGGCCTGAGGCACCATGCCCTGCAGCCAGTATTTTATTGAGATTTTTGTATCAATGTTCATCAGGGATATTTGCCTAAATTTCTCTTTTTTTTTGGTTGTGTCTCTACCAGGCTTTGGTATCAGGATGATGCTAGTCTCATAAAATGAGTTAGGGAGGATTTTCTCTTTTTCTATTGATTGAAATTGTTTCAGAAGGAATAGTACCAGCTCCTGTTTGTACCTCTAATAGAATTTGGCTGTGAATCTGTCTGGTCCTGGACTTTATTTGGTTGGTAGGCTTTTAATTATTGCATCAATTTCAGAACCTGTTAGTGGTCTATTCAGAGATTCAACTTCTGCCTTGTTTAGTCTTGGGATGGTGTATTTGTCCAGGAATTTATCCATTTCTTCTAGATTTTCTAGTTTGTTTGTGTAGAGGTATTTATAGTATTCTCTGATGGTAGTTTGTATTTCTGTGGGATCGGTGGTGATATTCTCTTTATCATTTTTTATTGCATCTATTTGATTCTTCTCTTCTTTCTTCTTTATTAGTCTTGCTAGTGGCTTATCTATTTTGTTGACCTTTTCAAAAAACCAGCTCCTGGATTCATTGATTTTTTGAAGGGTTTTTTGTGTCTCTGTCTCTTTCAGTTCTGCTCTGATCTTAGTTATTTCTTGCTTTCTGCTAGCTTTTGAATTTCTTTGCTCTTGCTTCTCTAGTTCTTTTAATTGTGATGTTAGGGTGTCGATTTTAGATCTTTCCTGCTTTCTGTTGTGGGCATTTAGTTCTATAAATTTCCCTCTACACAGTGCTTTAAAGGTGTCCCAGAATTTCTGGTGCATTGTGTCTTTATTCTCATTGGTTTCAAAGAACATCTTTATTTCTCCTTCATTTCATTATTTACCCAGTAGTCTTTCAGGAGCATGTTGTTCAGTTTCCATGTAGTTGTGCAGTTTTGAGTCAGTTTCTTAATCCTCACTTCTAATTTGATTGCACTGTGGTCTCAGAGGCAGTTTATTGTGATTTCTGTTCTTTTACATTTGCTGAGGAGTGTTTTACTACCAACTATGTGGTCAATTTTAGAATAAGTGTGACATGGTGTTGAGAAGAATATATATTCTGTTGATTTGGGATATAGGGTTCTATAGATGTCTATTAGGTTCACTTGGTCCAGAGCTGAGTTCAAGTCCTGGATATCCTTGTTAACTTTCTGTCTCATTGATCTGTCTAATATTGACAGCGGGGTGTTAAAGTCTCCCATTATTATTGTGTGGGAGTCTAAGTCTCTTTGTAGGTCTCTAAGGACTTGCTTTATGAATCTGGGTGCTCCTGTATTGGGTGCATATATATTTAGGATAGTTAGCTCTTCTTGGTTAATTGATCACTTTACCATTATGTAGTGGCCTTCTTTCTCTCTTTTGATCTGTGTTGGCTTTAAGTCTGTTTTATCAGAGACTAGGATTGTGACCCCTGCTTTTTTTTTTGCTTTCAATTTGCTTGGTAGATCTTCCTCCATTCCTTTATTTTGAGCCTATGTGCATCTTTGCACTTGAGATTGGTCTCCTGAATACAGCACACCAATGGGTCTTGACTCTTTATCAAATTTGCCAGTCTGTGTCTTTTAATTGGGACATTTAGCCCATTTACATTTGAAGTTAATATTGTTGCATTTGAATTTGATCCTTTCATTATGATTTTAGCTGGTTATTTTGTCCATTAATTGATGCAGTTTCTTCATAGCATCGATGGTCTTTACCATTTGGTATGTTTTTGCTGTGGCTGATACCAGTTCCTTCTTTCCATGTTTAGTGCTTCCTTCAAGAGCTCTTGTAAGGTAGGCCTAATGTTGACAAAATCTCTCAGCATTTGTTTGTCTGTAAAGTATTTTATTTCTACTTCCCTTATGAAGCTTAGTTTGGCTGGATATGAGATCCTGGGTTGAAAATTCTTTTCTTTAAGAATGTTGAATATTGGCCCCCACTCTCTTCTGGCTTGTAGGGTTTCTGCCGAGAGAGCCGCTATTAGTCTGATGGGCTTTGCTTTGTGGGTAACTTGACCTTTCTCTCTGGCTGCCCTTAACATTTTTTCCTTCATTTCAACCTTGGTGAATCTGAAAATTATGTGTCTTGGGGTTGCTCTCCTCAAGGACTATCTTTGTGGTGTTCTCTGTATTTCCTGAATTTGAATGTGGCCTGCCTTGCTAGGTTAGAGAATTTCTCCTGGATGATATCCTCAAGAGTGTTTTCTAACTTGCTTCCATTCTCTCCATCACTTTCCGGTACACCAATCAGATGTAGATTTAGTCTTTTCACATAGTCCCATATTTCTTGGAGGCTTTGTTTGTTTCTTTTCACTCATTTTTCTCTAATCTTGTCTTCTGTCTTTATTTCATTAATTTGATCTTTAATGACTGGTATCCTTTCTTCCACTTGATTGAATCGGCTATTGAAGCTTGTGCATGTGTCGCAAAGTTCTTGTGCCATGGTTTTCAGCCCCATCAGGTCATTTAGGTCTTCTGTACACTGTTTATTCTAGTTCGTCGTTCATCTAACATTTTTTCAAGGTTTTTTAGCTTCCTTGCTGTGGGTTAGAACATGCTCCTTTACCTTGGAGAAGTTTGTTATTACAGACCTTCTGAAATCTACTTCTGTCAACTCGTCAAGCTCATTCTCTGTCCAGTTTTGTTCCCTTGCTGGAGAAGGGTTGCGATCCTTTGGAGGAGAAGAGATGTTCTCTTTTTTGGAAGTTTCAGCTTTTCTGCTCTGGTTTCTCCCCATCTTTGTGGTTTTATCTACCTTTCGTCTTTGATGTTGGTGACCTATGGATGGCGTTTTGGTGTGGATGTCCTTTTTGTTGATGTTGATGCTATTCCTTTCTGTTTATTAGTTTTCCTTCTAACAGTCAGACCCCTCAGCTGTAGGTCTGCTCAAGTTTGCTGGAGGTCCACTGCAGACCCTGTTTGCCTGGGTATCACTGGCGGAGGCTGTAGAACAGCAAATATTGCTGCCTGATACTTCCTCTGGAAGCTTCATCCCAGAGGGGCATCCATCTGTTTGAGGTGTTTGTTGGCCCCTACTGGGAGGTGTTTTCCAGTCAGGCTATACGGGGGTTAGGGACCCACTTGAGGAGGCAGTCTGTCCGTTCTTCGATCTCAAACGCTGTGCTGAGAGAACCACTGCTCTCTTCAGAGCTGTCAGTCAGGGATGTTTCAATCTGCAGAAGCTTTCTACTGCCTTTTGTTCTACTATGCCCTGTCCCCAGAGGTGGAATTTATAGAAGCTGTAGGCCTTGCTAAGCTGTTGTGGGCTCCATGTAGTTCATGCTTCCTGGCCTCTTTGTTTACACCGTGAGCTACTCAAGCCTGAGCAATGGTGGATGCCCCTCCCCGCACCAATCTGCAGCATCACAAGTTGATCTCAGACTGCTGCATTAGCTGTGAGCAAGGCTCCATGGGCGTGGGACTTGCCGAGCCAGGCATGGGAGAATATCTCCTGGTCTGCTGGTTGCTAAGACCACACAAAAAGCACAGTAATTGGTCAAGAATATACCATTTCTCCGGGTACAGTCTGTTCACAGCTTCCCTTGGCTAGGAAAGGGAAATCCCCCAACCCCTTGCACTTCCTGGGTTAGGCGATGCCACACCCTGCTTCAGCTCACCCTCCATGGGCTGCACCCACTGTCCAACCCGTCCTAGTGAGATGAACCGGGTACCTCAGTTGGAAATGCAGAAATCACCTGTGTTCTGTGTTGATCTCACTGGGAGCTGCAGACTGGAGCTCTTCCTATTTGGCCATCTTGGACACATCCACTTATCCACTTTGACTCTTCTGATAATGTTGCTGATCCTTTGTTTTTCAGAGTAGAGGAAACTGTTTTTTTTTTTTTTTTTTTTGAGCTATTTACATCTTTTAACAATTGAGTAAAGTATATTCCTATAAAGAATATTTGGAGCATATTTATTTATTTCTACCTGATTTCTTCAGAATTTGGAAACTAGTTGTGAGTATTCTTCATTTATGGCAATATAATTGTTTGTATAAGTGCAATAAGAATTGTTTTTTTCAACAGAACACTATTGGAGAAACTGGTTATTTTCCCAAGGCTTTGGCTGGAATGGTGTGCTTTCCTTTAAAAAAATCAAACTTTACTTGTAAAGCCAGTAAAAGCACTTTGGGAAAACTGGCCTCATGCCTTATCTACACAGTCTATGTACAGGGTTTCTGACCTGTGGTAAGTAAAGAATGTCATGAAATGTCACTTTCTGACAGGTCCAGGAGCCCAAGGTATCTTGGGACCTCAAGAGGAGAGGAATTTACACAACTTATAGTTATTTGAGGGTGCAAATCCATGGCTGGACTCACCTTTAAATAAAAAGTCTTATCTGAGATTCCTTATAGAACAGAGTTCCATCAAAGCCAATTTTAAAATCTATGTGAAAAGTAATTATTTTTGATGCACTTTATACAAATAATTAGGCCAAGTATAATAAAGAAAATCAGTCTTACCATGATTTGTCTTTAGCAAAAATGGGAAACTGTAGAGAGAAATTATGTTTCAAGAACTATGGTACACTTGTTATTAGAGTCTAGTCTCATCAGTTATTTTTGAGTTTTTTCCTGAAATTTAGGTTGACGTTGCTTATTCCTGTAAAACAACCAGTGATCTCTGGCTTCTGCTCAAAAGAAGCAAAAAAGATGGGTAATGTAAAAATCTGGAGTCAATATTCTAATCATGGGCACAGTGGAATCAGCTAGCAACCCCATATCAGCTTGGTTCCAACTATTACCCTGTTCAAGGAAAGCCTTCAAATTCAGTTACCTTGGTATAATTTCTCATGTGGAATATATTGCTGTTGTACTCTGTGTAGGAATGCAGAATACACTTACTCAATATTTTCTTAAATTGAACACATTAATCTTCCAGATACCAACCTTTTGTTGGAACTCAGGAGTTCTGAATGGCCCTCAACATACCAATGCTTTCTGACCGGCTCCTCTCTACCCCAAATACAAGAGACCCTCATAGTTAGGCAGAAATATCATTGCCCCTTTTCAGCTTAAAGAAGTTACGGAAGATGGATCTTCATCCCTCTGCAACCCTTAGGTTTACTGGTTCTGTTATAAAAGGGAGAGGTAAAATGCCAGAGGCATTTGAACCATAGCAACTCCATCTTAAATAGTGGCTGGGTAAAATGAGACTGAGATCTACTGGGCTGCATTCTCAGACACTTAAGGCATTCTAAGTCACAGGATGAGATAGGAGGTTGGCACAAGATACAGGTAATAAAGACCTTGCTGATAAAACAGGTAGCAGTAAAGAAGCCAGGTAAAACCCACCAAAACCAAGATGGCAACAAGAGAGGCCTCTGGTGATCCTCACAGCTATACTCCCACCAGCACCATGATAGTTTACAAATGCCATCACAACGTCGGGAAATTACTCCACACGGTCTAAAAGGGGGAGGCATGAATAATCCACCCCTTGTTTAGCATATAATCAAGAAATAACCATAAAAATGGGCAACCAGCAGCCCTCAGGGCTGTTCTGCCTGTAGAGTAGCCATTCTTTTATTCCTTTATTTTCTTAATAAACTTGCCTTCACTTTGCTGTATGGATTTGCCTCCACTTTGCTGTATGGATTTGCCTCAAATTCTTTCTCGTGTGAAATCCAAGAACCCTCTCTTGAGGTCTGGATCCAGACCCCTTTCTGGTAATATCTTTCTGGTGACCACTAAAGGAACAATACTGAGGAAACCCGCAATCCAAAGGCTAACTTTGGGTATGTGGTGGGGTCTGGTAACAACTACAGATGCTCTTTTTTTTGTAGAAGAAACATCTGAGACTCTCTGTTGCTTCTGACCACTGTGTTCTCTACACCATATCACTTGGTGACATTAATATTGATATAATTTTTCTCTTTCACAAAACTTGTAAAAAAATACGTGTCATATTCTTTTCTTTGTAAATGTCTCAATACCTACAAAATTACCTTTTATAAAATACCCCATATTTCATCAGTTCTATGATGCCATTTTTTTCGAAGTTTACCATCTTGAAATTGTGAAATTGCATTTGCCCAACTTACCAGCATGTTTTCTTTTTTTCTTAGTGGCACATAAAATATTAAAGTATGTTATAATTGTTATACAGTAAACTTGATAAAGTAGGTAGACAGTAATATTATTATAGATGAATAAGTTAATGAGTGTGTTCTATAAGTACATAGGAAGGAAACCCTAGGAGAATAGAAAATCATTGATATACATATGAATATAAATGTAGAAAATCATTGATATAAATATATTTCAACCACTTAACACTTAGAAATAATGAATGGGAATGAAGCTTTTTCACCTTTTAAAGAAGAAAGCAAATTTCTTTTTTGCAGTGGATGATGGTTCCAAATTTCACTGAGGGTCTGATATTTGGAATATGTTATTTCAAGCTTAACAATCAGTCAGTAGTCTACTTCAGAAATTCCCATTTCAAGGGTGGTCAGCTGGCATTTAATCTGCAAGACCAGAGATGGCTATTTTAATTGTTTCAACTTTATTTATCTCCATCAATACTAGAAGATTTGCAAATGCTATAATGGATGCTAGCAACAGGTTCTTGAAATTAGTTGTATCCAATATATGTTCATTATAAACAGGACATACAAATACAGTAAACTTTGTAGTTTTAAATTGCATTGTAAATTTGTTCTCTAAACATTTCTTGTCAAGATGTTGCTTTGAAGATTTTTGTGGTCATTTTATTCTGACAAACAGCTAATTTATGTTTCTGAAATATTATCTATGATGGTTTCATCTGCTTATAAATAAAGGTTTGTACATGCAGCTAGAATTTGATCTACACATTTCTTTCATTACAACCTTCTATTAAGTAAGTAGTGCTTAATGTGTATAATGTTCATTTAGTTCCTACTGGTGGCTTCAGAAATCTATCAAAAATAATCTCTAAGTCTTGAACATCCAAACTTGACTTATCACAGGCCACAACCAATATGAAGGTATATATATGTACGTGTACACCTACATATTCTTCTCTATTTATGCTGATATTTAATGAGAAGAAAAGTATAAAATAAGTCCAAGGGAGTTGGAAACTGCTGTGGGTTACATGTGAGTCTCCTTCAAAATTTATGTTGAATCTTTATCCTGATTTTGGTGTTATTAAGTGGTAGGCCCATTTGGGAAGTGATTAAATCATAAGAGTCTCTGCTCTCATGAATGGATTAATGCCCTTATAAAAGAGGCTACAAGGGGAGTTTGATCTCTTGCCTTTTCATCCTTCTACCATGTGAAATCACAGCAATAAGGCATCATCATAGAAACAGAGAGACTGGCTGGGACCTTACTAGACCCTGAACTTGGCAGCATTTTGATCTTAGACTTCCAGCCTGCCCAACTATGAGAAAGCAATTTCTATGGTTTATAACTAATCTGTGGTATTTTGTTATAGTTGCATAAACAGATTAAGACAGAAACAAAAACTGAAACATGATTTTATAGATTGCATTTTTGCTCCTTCTTTGTACTCTAGGAGATGAGAGAAGAGCAAAGTATGTTGCTTGGCAAGACTCATAGTGAAACTTGCTTACAATTGACTATAATTTGGTTCCTTTGGTTCCTTGAAGCACAACAACTATGAAGGTTACTGGCATGAGTGTTGGCCATGGGTCCAAGCACTCCACTTTCAGAATGTTCAGTAAGGGACCCCTCAGGCAACTCATTGGGGATCTTGTCCTTACAAAGTTGTATCTGCATGAACCCCCGAGTCATTTATTTTGTACTTTAGAATACTCTAAGTGTTTGTTAAAATACAGCTTTGTAGACCCTAGTTTCAAAGGTTTTGCATTAGTGTGGCTAAGGTGACATTTAGAAATCTTTATTTTAAGCACCTACACTCTGCAGTTTGATGGCAGTGGTCTGGGCTCACACTTTAAGTACTGTCTTAACCTGTTTGAGTATAATTTCTTCTGATTAGTACAAAGGTCTAAATATGAAATGACTGCTTCTTACTGGCTTAGTGTACACTGTAGCCACAGAAAAGTATGAAACTGTGGGGATTTAGGGCCTTTGAAATTTCAGATGCCTTAACGCCATAATTGGTGCACCCTGAAAGACTTGACTCTAAGGTGAGAAGAGTAGAGTAGGTAAGAAAAGAGTGTTAGTTACAAAGGCCTCCAGTTCTGAAAGCATGATTGGCACTTAGCAGATAATAAATATTAATTTCCTTCCTTACTCCTCAGAAATGATTAATGGCTTTTTATTTGTAAACAAATTCACTTCAAACTACCAAATGAATAAATTTCAAACCTCTTATCTTGATCATTTCGGAGAAGAAATATCTCTATTTGGGAGTGTTGGCTGTTTGGCATGTTCATCCTGCCCCCTCTGCCCACTCTGTCCCCCCGTCCCCCTCTGGAAAACACTGCTTCTCCCTGACATAAAATGCTTCTTATGCAAATAGAAGCTAGTTGAACTGAGAGAGGACTAAAAACAATTGTATGATGGGAAAAAGGTTTTTTTAAAAACTATATTAACTCTACTAAAAATGTCATTTTCAAGCTTTATTTGCAATATTACGTTGAGTACCTCCCTTAAGCTGGCAGATGTCATGAGTCTAACAAATTCTCATTACGTTGGTGTCAGAGCTGGCTGGCACTGCCCTTTTTATGTTATCCAGAAAACCCAGGGAGACAGCTGCTACTCAATGGGGTATCTTGGTTAAAAACTTTTTGGTAAATAACAACAAAAATTAATGTAAAATAGGTTAAAAATGAGTAATAATGGCATCTCATTACACTATGAGCACTCTCTTGTGCTGAATTTACATCTAGTTTTTTAGTCAGTATTTTCAATTTTCATCAAATGTTCATTTTTATTTAAGAAATTCTTTATTTCATATAAACTCTGAAGTGGTTGTGCATCAGAATCACCTTTGGAGCTTTATTTAAAAAGATATGTACCTGATCTTGTCAGCAACTGAACTAAGCATGAGGATGAAAAAAATAAAATCATCCTAGGTCCTTACCATCAAGAAGTTAAAAATCTCTCTGAGAAGCAAAACTATATAAAATAAGCTAGAAGCCAACATAATACGTATTAACAGCATGAATATAGTGCCATAGAAACAGAAAAGAGAGAACAAATGAGTTTGAGTGGGAGTATCAATGAAGGCTTCAATATGAATATGACATTTAACCTGAACCTAGAGGATGAGAAGTATTTCATCAGTCAGAGAAAGGAGTAGCAAGTGGCTTCTTAGAATAGATAAACTCTTACGAGCATCTTATTTTCCACCTGTAATTTAGTAAAAACTACCATGAAAAATGTGAAAGAATAATAATTTGGGGTAATTTTTTTACTATTATAAGATTATTTTGTGTATCCAAGGCTTTCACTATGGGTTAAAATTTTTCTTAGAGAAAATTCTCAATTATTCTTATGCAGATTACCCACACTGCAGATTCTATGATGGACATTTGTATTTTCAAGTTGACTTCGCCTGTCTAGTTCCTAGTCTACAAATGCAAATACTCAACCAGCAAATGCTTTGGGGTTACCATCAGCCTGCACATAGTATATGTGAGGACAGTAATTCTGAATTAGGGGGTGAAGTTGAAAGGAGCCAGCACATTTTTGGGAATAAAAAGAGACACGTGTGGCTTGAGATAAATTATTCAATATTACAACACAATTTTAATATGAAGAAATGTAAAAGAAAGCTCTTGTTTTTATAATTCAAATTATAAAAAGTAATCTCTCTCTGAGTAATCATAGATGGTGAGCATACTTAGAAGATAGATATAGTGAGAAAGAATTCAGGGCTAGCAGTGTGAGGTACATGTTAGTTACCTGAAATGCTTGCTAAGTGTGTTCAGTATCATATATACTGTCATTTTTGTTTTAACTTTTATTTTAAGTTCAGGGATACATGTTCAGGTTTGTTATACAGGTAAACTTGTGTCATGGGAGTTTGTTTTATGTATTATTTTGTCACCCAGGTATTAAGCATAGTATACATTAGTTATTTTTCCTAAGCCTCCCCTCCTGTCACCTTCCACTCTCCAATAGGCCCCAGTGTGTGTAGCTCCCCTTTATGTGTTCATGTGCTCTCATCATTTAGCTCCCTCTTATAAGTAAAAGCATGCAGTATTTGGTTTTCTGTTCCTGCATTAGTTTGCTAAGGATAATGGCCTCCAGCTCCATCCATGTTCCTGCCATATATATATATATATATATATATATATATATATATATATATATATATACATACATACATATATATATATACACATAATTCAATTGTGATCTGGGGTGTTTCTGTAAGAACGGTCTCAGGCTGTCTGTGACATAAATTATGACATATATATATATGTATATATATACTCACATCATTTTTTATTGCTGCATAGCCTTCCATGGTGTATATGTATCACATTTTCTTTATGCAGTATATCACTGATGGGCATTTAGGTTAATTCCATGTCTTTGCTATTGTGAATAGTGCTGCAATGAACTTATGTGTACATGGTGTCTTCATGATAGAACAATTTATATTCCTTTGGGTATATACCCTTATACCCTTTGGGTATATACCCAGTAATGGGATTACTGGGTCAATTGGTAGATTTAATATACCTTATAAATATGTACACCTACTATGTACCCCCACATTTTAAAAATTAAACAATAATAATAATGCAGCAATGTTAGGCTCATGAACATCATTTTTGCAAAAATTAAAAAAAAATCTCATAGGACAGAGGAAGCAAGAGATTATCTTGCATCATTGACCTCTAAGCACTGGCTTCCAAAACAGCCCAGTAATCTATAAGAACACATCATCTCATCATAAAGAGGTAAATTACATGCAAAACTGTTACACACCGGGTATCTGCATTACTCTATGAAGATTTGAATCAGGCAACAATTCTTTACGATATTTTATCCATAGTGTTCTTTGTCAAATAGTTTTTCATGTGAAGAAACTGACACATAAACAAAATGACAGTTTTTTGGACCAAACATAAATTTCTTCACAATTAACAATATAGTTTTATTAATACGTATTATTTTTGTCTAAATGGTTCAACATGATCATGATTTTAAAAGTTACTAAAAATAAAATACAGTTGATGACTGGTTGAGTTGAAAATGGGGCAGTGGCTTAGAAATGTCTGAAGGCAAGAGGCTGTTAAATTTCTCATACAAGCTAACATATTTTCTATATATTTCATTCTGTATGGAATTTGTTTCAGGAGTCTTTTCCAAAAATAGCTAAGGGAAAATTAGGTACACTATAACATTCTTTAAAATTCATAGTGCTAAAAATAGTATTCTCTGTTAATTATTTTACATTGAAAAAGGACAAGGTATCAATAAGGATTGTAAATCAAGTTTTTAACGTAATCACGTATTGAATTTTCCATTGCAATCTAAAAACACCTACTTCATGGGGTTGGTTGGTTAATGGCTACAAAATACAGTTAGGTAAAATAAATAAGATGCAGTATTTGATAGCAAAACAAGGTGACAAAAGTCAACAATAATTTATTATATATTTTAAAAAACTAAAAGAGTAAAATTGGAATCTTTGTAACACAAAGAAATGATAAATGCTTGAGGAGACAGATACCTCATTTACCCTGATGTGAATATTACTTGTTGTGTCTGTATCAAAATATCTCAGGTACCCCATAAATATATACACCTACTATGTACTCATAAAAATAAAAAATATTATAAATAAAAACACCTACTTTAATTCTGCATAGTATATAAAACAGGAGGCAGAGAGCCATTTGGGCACAGTATATTAAAAAGAATAAAATTTAAAGAAGAAAATCTCAAAAAATGTTTGAATGCTCTCAGTTATTCTTTCTAATACTCTGTTATCAAAGGGTGACAGCCTGGCTGGATTTAAAAGTTGAGGTACACTTTTTTCCCGCTTTTCTAAAACCAGGCATAAGACTAAGTTCTTCAAACTATCAAAAGAGTATAACTTTTAGCAAAGCTGGGAATATTTGGCTGATATATTGAAGTTTTGTGTAAGTTGAATCTAAAACACCAGCATTATTTCTCTTTATGATTTATTTACCTCTAACAGAAACAGACTCCAGCTATGAATTTAGTAATTTTTCTCTTAAAATGCCTCCTCATTTTCTTGTCTTAATGAAGCTTATAAAGACAGGAGTCTTAAAAATTATTTCAAAGAAAATATCCAAATCCAATTTCTGCAGAATGAATTCAGGCAATATTTTCCTAATGTTGCTTCTGAAAATGCCATTTAGATGATTATGAGGAAGGCCTTTCTTACTAATGTTGAGTCATTGCCAGATTTTAAGAGAAATTTTAGAATTCAACTTTGATGTATCTATCAGAAAGAATATATGGAATGCCGCTTTGGAGATTTGGGGGGCGAAATATCTCTCTGTCTGTCACAAGAGAATAGGATTTGCCTGTCATCTGTTTTCATCAGAATGCATTTGCAAAGATATATTTTTTCCTGCACTTCTGCCTCTGAAAGCAAAGTAATACAGTGGGTTCAGTATAGTCATTGTACTTTTTCCTGCATTTCTGCCTCTGAAAGCGAAGTAATACCACGGGCTCAGTGTAGTCATTAGTACTGTTGCCAAATATTTCTGGTTCTCTGCTTCTTGACACATGACAGGATTGCACTTTCTGACTCCTTTTTGGTTGTGTGGGGTTGTGAAAGTCGTTTTGGCTAACAAGTTATGAGTGGAAAGGAAGCAGGACACTTCTATGTTGAGCCAAAGTGAGACACACTCTGGAACTCAGTTACCCGTTGCCTAAGTCACCAGCTGTATGAGTTTCCTAAGGCTGCCATAACAAATTATCACAAACTATGTGGCTTAAAACAACAGAAATTTAGCCTCCTATAGTTTAGAAGACCAAGAGTACAAAGTGAAGGGGTTAAAAGTGTTGGTTCTTTCCAGAGGCTCCAAGGGAGAAGCCATGCCTCCCTCCTGGTTTCTGGTGGTTAACAGTGCTTGACATTCTTTGCTTTGTAGATGCATCATTTCAATCTCTACCTCCATCTTCACATCACTTTCTGTGTCTCTGTGTCCTCTCCTCATATAAAAACATGAGTCATTATATTTAGGACCCACCTTAAATCTGGGATGATTTTATCTCAATATGCTTAACTAATTAATTCTGCAAAGATCCTATTTCCAGATACGATCACATTCTGAAGTTCTAGATGGACATGAAATTTTAAAGAACACTATTCAGCCCAGTACACCAGCCATCGTCCAGATTCTTGAAGCCCCATACACCTGAGATCCAGAGTAAAGACAGCATTAAGCCTCAGCTAAGCTACAATCGACCTTTAACATAAGCAAGAAAGAAACAGGCTGCTGCAAGCCACTAAAAGGGGGGATTCGTTACTGCAGCAGTTAACTCTATGTAGATAGACACGGATTTGATGTTGAAAGTGATCCTCTTAAGAGTTCAACTTTCCAGTCTCCTGGTGTGTGGAAGTCTACTGGAAGCAGCCTCAATGGTCACATTAACATCAAATGATTACAGTAAAAATGAGTATATAAGCTTAAGCGTTATTTGAAAATAGGGTGGCTCATCCAAAGGAGATTTGGATTAACAAATTTGAGTAGTAATAGTTGAAAGAAGAGAATATTGTTTTAGCATTGAGAAAGTTAGAAAGTACTTCAGGTAAATAAATTTGTTGTCCAAAGATCAATCTATCATTTAAATAAAATATTAATCAAAATCCAAGTAAGTTTTTTTAAACTAACAAACAAGTTCATTAGACAAAAGTAGAATAGTGTTGACAGTTTATTCTTTTAAGTAATTTATTTTGAATTTAGGATTTTTGCATCTGTATCTCAGACAGGTCTGTGTGGTTTTCTGAGTTCTCTTTTTAAGATTTTGGTTTTGTTCTCATTAATTAAATTCATTTTTTTCAGTTCCCTGAAATAGTTTAAACATTACAGAAAAATATTTTCAAAGAATATAGAAATATTCTGTACTCATCTGGGTATGGTATTTATTATAGGTGGAGTTATTTCACAAAATAGAGAGCAGAGGAGGACTCTGTGTGTGTATACACTCACATATATATGTGTATATATAATCTTGGATCTATTCTTCATGCCTCTTTGTCTCTTTTATTTTTTATCATTATGTGAATCTCTTCATTATTTGCCTTTGAGTTCTAGGACATTCTAAGAATTCTCTAGATGGTCATCTAATTCAACATAGTATTTACAACTTCCAGTAGACTCCTTTCTACCTCCATTTCTCTTTTTAGTTGAGCAATTATGTATTTAACCTGTAAGCAATATTCCCAATCTCTGTTTGCTCAGTGTCTATTACTTGACTACTACCTGGGGAGGCAGGGAGACTTCCAGCCTTACCTCCAGCCCATGTCACTCAGACTGGTTGCTTTGCTGACCTCCTTCTGGAGTCTCCTATTACACACAATCCTTAGGCAAGTTATCTGTATCCAGTGACTTGGGGGTTGGAAAGTTTTCCTTTCAAAAATTTTGTAGGTTTCCAACATTTTCATTCTTTGTCGTGTTGACAAAATTTACTCATTGGAAGGGGCTAAGGGTGAAGAACACAAAAGAGAATTAAACACATAGGCTGAATTCACTACCCCAAACAAAAATTCTCTCCACTTGATATTGAATGATTTCTTTACACTTGTTGTAGTCCTAGTCAAGGGCCTGGTGTATAGTAAGACCTTAAGAAATAAGTAATGATTGACTTTTAGCAGGTTGAAAACAATCACTTTATACAACAGATTGAATCTATTAGAATGTTAACAGTACTAAAATTTAAATATTCTTCTTTTTCATAGATTTTTAAAGTTTTTTTCTCATTTAGCAAACGTTTGTAAGAATCACTTCATTTCAGCCGATATCTGGAGCATGGAATCATACAATGACATGATTCTTGTTATTGAGGTCTTTCTAAGCTTTTAAGTCTCTGCTTTGTATTCAGCTCCTGATGCTATGCTTCCTACCATAGTAAATAATATTGTACAATTGTAAATCCTTCAACAGTTTCCAAGGCACTTTTTCAGATTTTGGTATCTCATTTGGTCCACACAGCAACTCTCACAGGTTATTTTGTTTTCACTGGTGAGCGAAAGGAGACTCAAAGTAAAAGAAAAAATTGCCAAAGTTTTACAGACAGCAAGATGTGATGATAAGGAACACAAATTCAAGGTAGACTGGATGGCCAAATATATATTCATCTCTCTCTTTATCATAAAGATCAAAAGCACCAAAGATGTTATTAATTTGGGAAATTTAGTGAGTGTTCAGAGCTTTGCACACATTTTATCTGTTGGACAACTACATTTACACCCCAAACTCACATGAAGAGCCCTGGAAGAATGCCAACATCAATTACATGTGGGGAAGCCTATTAACAATTTATTACTTGCTTGAATCCTCAACCAACGTTAAGTCCTATGGAGGAAGGAAGATGAGACTCTGGCAGAGAGAAAGGCATGTCATTCTGGAAGAAAATTCTGCTCACCCAATAGCTGTTATTATAGATGAATAAGAAGGGAAATAAGAGTAGTGAAAAGGACAAAATATGGAGAAAAGATATGAAAAAAGGAAGTAAAGTGAAAATTCAGTCTTCCATTCAGCTCTTTGGGCACTCCCAGATGATTGACATTTATTAACTATCCAGATGGCCAGCTGAGGTGTTCACCTGTCATCAGATGTTTTGGCATCCTGTAGACAATGGGCTACAAGCCATTTTTCAGAAAAGTTAAATTAGGTCTGAACCATTTCTAACTGCCTGCATGATCCTGTAATATTTGCCACTAGGCATAAAATGAAGTAGAGTCCTCAAGGATTTTTTATTTTTTATTCAGTGGCTGTGGTTTTTCTTAATGCAAAATGAATCGCTGAAAAGATGCTAAATTTATTTGTAACTCTCTAAAAACTTGTCACTCTCCATAGAGAGATGATGAAAAGATTAATTTCTGGTTACCTGAGAAGCCGGAATACCTGGGCTCTAGGTAACGAGGGAGCTTCCTTTGAATCCAGAGGGCTCACTTATAATCTATCTGAAGGAACTTGAAGCCTAATTGAAAAAAGTTTAATAATGTGGAAGAGGGAATAATATGGAGGACTATAGAAGTTCCAATCTTCACCCATCCTGCCATGTGGGAAATAGGGAATACTGTGGTCTGATTGTGTAGAGCACGGGTTTTAAAGAGAACCCACATGAACTGAATGAAAGGAAGAAAAGAGCCACTTGTTCCTCATCACCTTTGACCAGTAATTTCCAAGTTCCCACTCTAATGCTTTGTCATCAATGCATAACAGAGATTAAAAGCCAATTAATGTCTGTTCTGAATGTTCACAAGAATTAAGGTATGTCTAGATTTTAAATATGCACATTTTTTCAAAGTGCTAAAAATTAACATAAAGAGAGCTAATGTTATTATCAAGTATTATCCATCAAGTACTATTTAAATCAATTTAATGGATTGTCTCTTGAAATCATTACTATAAAATCTACTATATACCTTCTCAGTTCCAGCTGGATTATACATCTTTCATGCTTCTTTCTGGGCATGATTAGTATAAACAAATTTTCAGCTGGGTGCAGTGGCTCACACCTGTAATCCCAGCACTTTGGGAGGCAGAAGCAGGCAGATCACAAGGTCAGGAGTTTGAGACCAGACGGGCCAATATGCTGAAACCCCATCTCTCTAAAAGTACAAAAAAATTAGCCGGATGTGGTGGCACATGCCTGTAATCCCAACTACTTGGGAGGCTGAGGCAGGAGAATTGCTTGAACCCAGGAGGCGGAGGTTGCAATGAGCTGAGATTGCACCACTGCACTCCAGCCTGGGCAACAGAGTGAGACTCTGTCTAAAAAAAAAAAAAAAAATTCCCTCATTTTTTCCTGAAATGCTTTCACATAAATGATTCTGTTTAATCTTCACAACAAGCTGTGTGGAATGTACTGATATACCCACTTTTGCAGATGAGGAAACTGAGCTCAGAGAGATGGAGTAACTTGCCTCTGGACTCCCAGCATAGACCTGGTGATCACAGGATTTGAGCCTGAGCAACCTAGAACTGGTACTCTTGAAACTACGCTAAGTTGCTTATATGCTGCCAGGAGGATTATTGCCAATATTCATTCTCAAAAGTATCCACTACCACATCAAAGCAAGACAAGAGGAAAAGTTGGCATAATAATTCCATTGAGCTTAGAATCAGTCACAAAACCATTAAAACAGCACCTCTGTTCTCACATCTCATCTACTTAATTGTCCCAGAGATTCCAGCTGTCTACTTTCTACTAGAGGTGATCTTTCACAGGGTGGTGTGTATTTAGCTGAGCTTTTAAAGAAACTTCAATTGATCTTTTCAAAGGGACAAAATGTGTTGTGCTTTTGAAGAGAAAACATTAGCACATTTCACTAGCATGAATATAACCACTACTTTCTTGAATGATGAAAATGCTTCCAAAAATGTCATTAGTCAGCCATCTCAACATCAACAGAAATACCTGGGTAAGGTCATAAAAGAAAATGATTATTCTTAATAAATCATTTATCTAGGCAAATTATTTATCTGGAGGGGAAAGAGCAATAAAATTCAGAGCTGGACACTTTTATGTTTCCCTTCATATCTCCTCATTGTGTCTTCAGCACAACCCTTCATGAAGACTAAGGATCAGTTTCACAGCTCAAAAACTTAGAAACAGTAACACCCAAAATATGTATGCACTGCTGAACAGGACTATAGGAAAGCACCTCATTTTAACCAACATTAGGTTATGGAAAGATAACATAAACCCAAAATGGTGTATGTTAAGTCGGTTTCATATAAACTGATTTTTGGATTTTTCTAAATATGAAAAACTGGATATTTATTTTATTTTCTTTTTTTAATTTAGGTATAGCTTACATAGAATGTACAAATCTCAGGTGTACAGATTGTTGACATTTTATATTTGTATATACCCATGAAACCACTACTCAGGTCAAGACAGAACATTTTCAGCACATCAGAGGGTTTCCTCATGCCAATCAATCTTATTACCAATCATCCTCTCCCAGAAGTAACCATGGTCTGGTATCTGTCATCCAAGGTTAATTTTGCCTCTTATTAAACTTTATATAATTTGAATCAAACAGTATATACACCTTTTTGTCTAGATTTTTTCACTCAACATTATGTCAATGTGATTTATTCATGTTTTCCTGCATATCAGTTCTTTTATATTGCTGTGTGTATATCACTGCATGAGTGCACCAAAGTTTAGTTATCAATATTCCTATTGATAGACATTTGGTTAATTTTCAGTTTTTGTCTGTGATTATTGAAGATGCTATGAATACTTTGTGCATGTCTTATGTTGGACTATACACTCATCTAATTTCTGTTGGGTATATACTTAGGAGTAGAATTACTGTGTCTTAGAGCCCCATGTGTTCAAGTTTGGTAGTATATACTGCTAAAACATTTTCCAAAGTGGCTTTATTAACCAATTAACACTCCTACTAATAATGTATAAGAATTCTAGTTCATCTATATTCTTGCAAAACTTGCTATTGTCATTCTTTTAAATTTTAACGATTTTGCTGGATTTAAGGAGGCATTTAATTATGGTTTTGCAATGCATTTTCATACTGACCAATGATGTTGCATACTTGTTCAAAGTCAAATCTGTTTGAGTAAATTTTTTTTTTTTTTTGAGATGGAGCCTCGCTCTGTAGCCCAGGCTGGAGTGCAGTGGTGGGATCTCGGCTCACTGCAAACTCCGTCTCCCAGGTTCATGCCATTCTCCTGCGTCAGCCTCCCAAGTAGCTGGGACTACAGGTGCCCACCACCATGCCCACCTAATTTTTTTGTATTTTTAGTAGAGACGGGGTTTCACCGTGTTAGCCAGGATGTCTTGATCCCCTGACCTGGTGATCTGCCCATCTCGGCCTCCCAAAGTGCTGGGATTACAGGCATGAGCCACCATGCCCAGCTGACTAAATTTTTTTAAAAGCTCCAACTATACGCTGTTTACAAGGAACACACTTGAAATAAACATACATATAGGTTAAAAATAAAAAAATGGAAAAGATATGCTATGTATAATAAATACTACGCAAAAGAATACTGATATGACTGTAATAGTATCAGACAAAGTACATCTAAACAACAAGTGTTATGAGAGAAAAATAAGGGTATTTTATGATAAAATCTCTTTTTCACAGGAAGATATAACCATCTTTAATCTACAGTTCATGAAGAACAGCAAAAAAGAAAAAATAATTAAAAAAATCTTAAATGTATTTTCCTTAATAACATAGCTTCAAAATATGTAAAGAAAAGAAGACAGAACCCAAAAAAGGAACAGGTGAATCTGCAATAATTGTTTGAGATTTTAATATTTCCCTCTCAATAACTTACATTAACAGGGAGATCAATCAGCATAAAGAGACTGTGAACAATATAATTAGCCAACTTGACCTAATTGATATTTATAGGGCAGTATAACCAAAATTACATAATTTTCGATTGCTAACTGGAATTTACCAAACATAACCATACTCTGACATTTTTAACTGTTTTGTAAAATTAAAGAACTTGCAGTTGATAAAAAAGTTCTCAAACTCTAATAGTTAATATATTATTATATGTTATCCATAACTTTTTATTTACACATACAAATAAAATATATATCGTATGTGTATGTATACACGCACACACACATATATGTGTGTGTTTCCATTTTATATGTTATATATGTGTACTTTTAAAAAGGTATGGAATATGTGTGTGTGTGTGTTTCTAAAGTATTGTGAATATTCTTCTATGTTATGTAACACAGATCTTCTATATTAATGCTTTATCCATATTCCTTGTCTATGTTTCTAGAATTAATTTTTATTTGTTACTTATTCTTAAGAACTCTTTGTACATTATGGATGTCTATTCCTTGTCTATAAATCATCATTTTTTCAACAAAGTATTATGTATCTATTATCCTTTTTCCATGGTAGGTTTCCTACAGAGAGCTTTTAGTTTTTATGTAATCAAATTTGTTCCCTTCTTTTACAATTTCTGGGTTGTCTCCTTTGCTTAAAGAATTCCACGCTCCAAGAATATCACAATAGTCTTTTTATTTGCATGTCTTACTGTAACTGCCTCAGGTAGGATGAGCCAGGTGATGACCTAGTAAAGAGCAACCTGCAGATCTCAATAGCTTGACAAAATAAACTTCTTTGCTCATATTTTATACCCAGTGCAGGTCAGTAAGGGATCTCTAATCAGCACAGTGACTGTAGGACCCAGGATGATGAAGCCTTCAACTTTGCATATTCATGTACTCACTCTCTCATATGTATCTTCATAAGGCTTATTCTTATAATATTTTACATTGTAATTTGCTCCATTCCCATGCAGCACCAGCAATCTAACACCCCTTACCTTGTTTAATTTTTTTCTTTTTTTAACTGATAGAACTTATTAACTTATAAAATACAACATAGTTTACCTTTGTATTTTTATTGCCTATTTCCCCTTTCACTTTCAACACTAGAAGGTGTCTAAGAGCAGAGAATATTTACTTAGGGATATGTGTATTTTGTGTGTGTTCTAATGATGTAGCTCAAGTGTCTAGAACAGGGCCTGGAACATAGAAAGTGCCCAATAGTTTTAGAATTAATAACTTAATGAAATATTGTAAACAAGTAAGAAAAATATGGGCAGCTCAATATGGTAAAAGTTTGAATAAAAAAATTCACAAAAAAGGCAACCCAAATGACTTATAAACTACAAAAAGTTTCTATCATTTGTAATCAAATAAATTCAGATGAAAGCCATGATGAGATAATTTTACATAAACGCAAGATTAAGCTTTAAACTTTAATGATTCAAGACCAGGTGTGGTGGGTCATGCCTGTAATCCTAGCACGTTGGAAGGCTGAGGCAGGCGGATCACTTGAAATCAGGAGTTCAACATCAGCCTGGCCAACATGGCAAAACTCATGGTGCACGCCTGTAATCCCAGCTACTTGGGAGGTTGAGGCAGGAGAATCACTTGAACCTGGGAGGCATAGGTTGCAGTGAGCAAAGATCGCACCACTGCACTTCAGCCTGGGTGACAGAACAAGACTCCGTCTCAAAAAAAAAAAAAAAACTTTAATGACTCAAATGATGGCAAGAAATGCAAAGCAACAGAATCTCACATATACATCTGGTGGGAGTGTAAATTGGTACAAGTATTTTGAAAATAGGTTGGCATGCCCTAAGAAAGTTGAGCATATGAATATATTACTCCGATGTGTATAACAAAGGGAATTGTTTACACATGTGCATCAAGCTTTTTTACAAAAATATTTATAGCAGTACTGTTCATCAAATTTAAAAAAATGGAAGCAATCTAAATACTCTTCAACAGGAATTGGTTAAAAAATGGTTGTATATTTATAAACTAGATTATTATCTATCAGTGAAAAGGAATGAATTGCAGGTACATACATCAACAAGTTTGAAACTTACAAATGTATAGTTGAGCGAGAAAAGCAATCACAAAAGAGTAGATACACTATGATTCCATGTATATCAAAGTCCCAAAAGAGAAAAAACCAAATAATGTTTATAGTTGTGATCATAGAAGGTTACTTTTTTTTTTTTTTTTTTTTTTTTTTTGAGACGGAGTCTTGCTCTGTCACCCAGGCTGGAGTGCAGTGGCTCGATGTTGGCTCACTGCAAGCTCCGCCTCCCAGGTTCACGCCATTTTCCTGCCTCAGCCTCCCGAGTAGCTGGGACTACAGGAGCCCGCCACCATGCCCGGCTAATTTTTTTGTATTTTTTTTTTTAGTAGAGACGGGGTTTCACCGTGTTAGCCAGGATGGTCTCGATCTCCTGACCTCGTGATCCACCCACCTAGGCCTCTCAAAGTGCTGGGATTACAGGCGTGAGCCACAGTGCCTGGCCTAGTAGTTACTTTTAGGGGAAAAAGAAGTTGTTATCCAAAAGAGGCATTTTAATGTACTAGCAATGTTCTATTCTTAACTGGAGTCATGGTCACATGGGTATTCACTTATTCTTAAACTGAGTTTGTACATTTTAACATTCTCTTTATATGAAAAATATCTATTCCCATCCTTTTTCAGCACTTCTAGCATCCCATGTTGCCAGATGCTCTGCGAGCCAGAGACAGAGTAGCTATTTTGCAGTCTTTAATTAATTACTTGCTGAATTTTCTACTTCTGGCTCTTGCTTCTATTTCCTGCTGCCTCTCATCATTTGTTATTCCAGAGTTTTAAGGGGGAAAACTTACTTTTTCATTAGTCACATCTCAAGCATGTACTGAGTGTCAGTTTCTTTGTCATATCTACTTTTTATCTTCCAGAAATTCCTCATTATTTTGATATGTGGAATAGGATGCTTCGCGGTTTCCTTGGACTGTTATGTATTTATAACTCCCATCATTTCTTTTGGATTTTGAGGAAGAAGACAGGTAATGATTATTCTCAGATATTTTGATTCAGAAGCCTTCTATACTCGTGGACGAATATTTTAGAACATTTTTGAATATCTTTACTTTCATTCCAAAGTAATCTTTAATAAGCAATGATTCTGAATCTCAACTTTAGATTTTTCTACCAATCCAAATAAACCATTGGGACCCTGTTTTGTAGTTGATGATATTTTAATGTGCTGTGGAAATTGCAACTCAGAATGCACATTAGAATTAACTGGGAGATTTGAAAATACTGGCATCCAAGGTGTAACCTAGAACAATTAAATCACAATTTCTTGGTAGAGCTCTAAAATATTTATTTAAAATAAAAATTTCCAGGTTGTTTAATATACACTGGGGATTAAAAACCATTAATTTAGTGAGTGAGATAAAAGCATAAAGATGTATTAAGTAAGGTAATTGTAAGATAAAATTATAAAATAAGATAAAATGTCATTGGATCAGCATTTAGGGTACTTGCTTACCTAAACCATTGGGAGTAGTTTTTTTTTTTTTCTTTTTTTTTGAGACAGGTTCTCACTCTGTCACTTAGGCTGGAGTGCAGTGGTGCGATCTCGGCTCACTGCAACCTCCGCCTCCCGGGTTCAAGTGATTCTCTTGGCTCAGCCTCCTAAGTAGCTGGGATTAGAGGCATGAACCATCACACCCAGCTAATTTTTGTATTTTTAGTACAGACAGGGTTTCGCCATGTTGGCCAGGCTGGTCTAGAGCTCCTGACCTCAAATGATCCACCCGCCTCTGCCTCCGAAAGTGCTGGGATTACAGGCGAGAGCCATTGAGCCCAGCCAGGAGTAGATATTAATGCTTATGGCAACAACAGTCATGCCAACACTTCTGTAATGAAACAGGGACCCATTTTTTATTCTATATTTTCAGGGAACAAGTCTCTCCCGCTTCCATGTATTTGGACATCTAAGGTTTCTCTGTTCTCCTAGTACATTGTTTATTTGAAGTGAATCTCTGCTGTGTACACGAATTATTAGATGATGATCTTTCTCCCCTATTTTTAATCCAAGATTCATTTTCTGGAGATTATGTCTTACTCTTATTTGGACAATACCCTTATAATTATCTTGGTTCTGGCTTAAACAATAAATTTATCCACTCCAGAATTTACAAACTATATTCATGTCATTATCATACCAATGAAAATGGGTCTTCCCTTGAAATTCTAACACAGGGATGGAAGCCAACTGAAGTTTTCTTACAGATTACTGATGGTCATTTCAGCTTTTCACCAACTCCTCCAACTCCTTCTATTCCTTTTTTTGGTCCCCTTTTGCTTCCACCCTCTAACATAAGCCATAATGCCCTTCTGGAGGAGGAACTGTGTGGATTGCCTCTATAAATTATAGTGAGTCTTTATTTTATTTATTTATTTATTTTTTGAGACAGTGTCTCACTCTGTCACCCAGGGTGGAGTGCAGTGGTGCCATCTTGGCTCACTGCAACCTCTGCCGCCTGGGTTCAAGCGATTCTCCTGCCTCAGCCTCCTGAGTAGCTGGGACTACAGGTGCACACCACTACACCCGGCTAATTTTTGTATTTTTAGTAGAGACAGGGTTTCACTAAGTTGGCCAGGGTCTCAAACTCCTGACCTCAAGTGATCTGCTCACTCTGGTCTCCCAAAATGCTGGGATTACAGGTGTGAGCCACTGGGCCCGGCCTATAGTCAGTCTTTAAACCCAGCTAATAACTTACCTCTTCTAAACCTTACCTAGTGCTTTGGGCTTGAATTCCTAGACCTCAGCTTAGTGTTACCTCTGCCCTTTGGCTTACTGCTCACCTTGATTTTTTTGGTTTGATTTTCTACCCTGAAGTGTAACCATTTCTCAAATACATCCCTAAACCATTCCTATACTTTTTAGGATCTCCATACCCTGTTCTGGCCCTTTATGATCCATTCCAGGCCCTGCCGTCTGGCACTGGAAATGCCATATCAAGACCTTCCCTGGTTTTCCCCAATGCAGGTAGCCTCCTCTTGTTCTCTGAGAAAGAAGACATGCTGCATAGAAGCCCTCAGAATGCCTTGTCTAAGCCTAGAAATGCCCAAAATGTCTCCTTTCACTGGGCATTCCCCTCTTATTCTTCATTAGAAAATGAATATCTTGATATACCTCTTTTCCTCATCATAATGATCTGTTTCATGAGTGCTTCACATATTAAATATTTAGTAAACGTCTGTTAAATAGATGACTGAATGATTGAATGAATGATTTGGGGTGTCAGCCCATCTTGGCCTCCACATTATTATTCCTAGGAAATACTCTCACTTTTTATACCCTGTTCTTCTCCAGAGGTCATGATCCTATTTGACTGTCAGGCCCACATTTTCTCCAAAATGCCTCCTCTGACACTCATAAGAAAGTGTTCTGTTTGCACATGTTTCATATTAGAGTTAGTTGCATCAATGTCTCCTTCACTAAGCTGTAAGTTGTTAGCAAGAATCATACCTTATTCATAGTTGTACTTTCAAGTTCTTGGTAAAAATATATTTCATGTTTTAGGAAAATAATAAATACATGTCAAAATGAATTAAAGGATTAAACTACCTTTAAAAACTTTCCTGCTTTATTTCTCTCTCATTGACTGAATGAGCATTTATTAAACACTTAAACACTTACATATCATGGCAAGAATAATGTTGACACCAGGAGTACTGAGATAAAAATGTCATGATTCTTTCTCTGGAGAAACTTGTAGTACAGTAGAAAACGTTGAAAAGGAAGTACATGAACTCCAATATTCTAGACTTCACCTGCCTTTGACTACAAAATAAGATCATAGTTCTTTTTTGTATTCAAATTATAATAGTTGTATTAGTCTGTTTTCATGCTGCTGATAAAGGCATACTCAAGACTGGGTAATTTATAAAGAAAAAGAGGTTTAATGGACTCACAGTTCCACGTGGCTGGGAGACCTCACAATCATGGTGGAAGGCAAAAGACACGTCTTACATGGCAGCAGGCAAGAGAGAATGAGAGCCAAGTGAAAGGGGAAACCCCTTATAAAACCATCAGATCTTGTGAGACTTATTTACTCCTGAGAGAACAGTATGGGGGGAAACTCAATTATCCCCCACCTGGTCCCTCCCACATGTGGGAATTATGGGTGCTACAATTCAAGATGAGATTTGAGTGGGGACAAAGTCAAACCATATCAATGGTACAAGTTAAAATCTCTCTCTTTTTCTTCCTTTCTTCTTCAGATGTAGCTGTCCTCTGTTAATGATAGCTACCACCTGCCTTCACCCTTCTCTACTCTAGGAAGAAGGAGGACTACTCAAGAAAGGGGAAATTGCTTCCTTTTGTATCACTTTACCCCACGTGGGCATAGTACTTTTCTAATTTTCTGCGTATCATTATAGTCAGGCTGCAACTGTTAATAACACTTTACTGAATAGTCTTGGATAATGGAAAGGCCATACAACATATAGAATTATTATACAAGTACAGAGCCTGAAATACTTCCTAGGCCTGTTTACTATGTCTTTCTGATATGTTTATCCAAGGCTTAACACCTCTATTTGATCTGGTCTAGGACTCTCTTTGGCTCAGAATCCAGGTTATATTGAGCCCTGGCTCATAGAAGTGAGAAAATCTCTCCTGAACTCACATCTAAGGCTTATTTATCTCCAACTTCATTTCTTCATAGACCCAAGACTAACTTTTTCCAAAGGTAGTATGTTTGGAAATCTGATAAATTCATATTTAGTGTCTACTCCTAACATGTACCAGATACTGAATTAAACAGATGTCAAAGATTCTCAATATATTCTGCCAACGTGGCTCAACAAAGGTAAAGCCCTAATTCACCCTTAGCCAGAATGTTAGAATGTAAGGGGGACTGTTCTCTTTTGGTACTTAGGATATAGGTCCTTAGTTAGTTATGAAAAAAAAAAATGAAACAAGAAACAGGAATGTGAGATAGGGGCAAAGTCAAAATTAGTGAACAGTTATCAGAAGTAGATGACCTGTCATAAGCAAATTGAGAAAAGTTCACTCTATGGGTTCTAGTTTAATAAGAAAAATAAGACAGTTTAAAGTCTGCAAGACTTGTAGAGGTAATTAGGAGCTAGTGGAAGGGTAGGGGCGATTGTGTGGAGTATCCAAGGTAGCAGGAGGGATAGATAGGCAAAGAGTAAGTAGGAAAGGAAAGAGGGTACCTTGGAAGATAAAATCATTTTATCCAGTCTGTTAAAGGCAGGAGTAAATTGCTGTCAGAAGGAAGGATGATAGAAAGAAGGTTGATGTGATTAGGATTTTCGTCCTGGCAAGAGCTACAGTATATAGTCCTATTGCAAAGAGTATGATTAGTATGCTGCTTAATAATATGATGAACTAGTAAATGGATTCCATTAAAGGGGGAAGGAGAGGTGTTAAAGATTATGTAGGTTTTCCCTTATCTTTTTTAAGGAGGAAAGGGTTTTTCTTCAGGATCATTGGTAGGAGCCTTTTTAGTCTGGGATGTTTCCTTCCGAAATAGGAGACTCAAGTCCTCCAATTGTTCGCAGGTGTATCAAGGTTGGTCTGGCTGATCTTGGGACTCCTGAGATGATGGTCCCACAGGTTCCTCAGGGGGTGTCCAAACTTTAACTCGGGTCTGGTGAATCCAAGATTCCACTCCTGCCACCTTAACTGCAGTGGGGGTAGAGAGGATTACTGAGTATGGTTCTTCCCACAAAGAATCCATAGATGGGGAGGTAAAAGGGAGGGATTTGACCAACACTAGGACTCATGGTTGAAACAACTCCATTCTCTTCTCTGTGAAAATCTTTGGGTAGGTTTTTAAGGTTTCATTGATATTTTGCCAAAGGAGTTATATCTTTGACGAAGTTGGCCTTTTCCTGATCAAGCAGGAGGTCATTTGTGAGAAAAGGTCATCCATACAGCATTTCATATGGACTGAGCCCCATTTTGTGAGGAGAATTTTGGATTCTCAACAAGGCCATGGGCAAGAGAGTAGGCCATGGGAGTTGAGATTCTTGTGTTAGTTTCTTTAAGTGCCTCTTGAGTGTTTCATTTGCCATCTCAACCTTCCCTGAGGATTGTGGCCTCTAGGTGCAGTGAAGGTGATATTGTATCCCTAGTGCCCTGGAAATTCTCTGAGTTATCGTGGCTTTAAAAGCAGGACCATAGTCATTTTGTAAGCTTTGGGGAAGCCTAAACCTAGCAATTATTTCATGAACTAGGACTTTAACCATTTCTTGAGCCCTCTCTGTCTTGCAGGGGAAGCCTTCTATTCAATTTGTAAAGGTATCAACACAGACCAACAAGTATTGAAATCCCTTTGACTTAGGCATATGGGTGATGTCTAACTGTCAGTCCTCTCCAGGATAGTGACCCATTCTTTGTTCCCCCAGAAGGGCCTTATGATGGACCAAGGGATTATTCCTTTGGCACACCTCACAGGCTTTGACTATCTGTCGGATGGTCCAGAGGAGATTTGGCCCTGTAAATAGGGATTTGGCCATTTGATGAGTGTTCTCAATACCCCTATGAAAAGTTTGGTGGAGGGTTTTAAGCATTTTCCACTGGCTGGCTTCGGGTATGAGTACCTTTCCTTCTTCTGTCGTTAACCACCCTGAGGGAAGAAAACTATGACCCTGTGAAAGTCCCCATTCTGTTTCAGTCAGGGAATACTGGGGCTTAATCTCTTGGAGGGGATTGTTCCATACCAAGGGTCTTTCCACGGGTATTGCTAATGGGAGGTTCCACCTGGCAGCAATTTTGGCCTCAGCATCTGCCTGACAGTTTCCTTCTGCCTTCTCTTCTTCACCTTTTTGATGGCTTTGGCAGTGTAAGACTGCCACCTCCTTGGGGTTTTGCACTGCATGCAATAATTCCATGATTTCCTTGTGGTATTTAATGGGGGTTCCCCCGAGGTTAGGAGCTCTTTTTATTTCTATATTGCAGCATGGGCATATAGGATTATATAAGCATACTTGCTATCTGTATACACATTTATTCTTTTTCCCTTTCCCAGTTCTAAGGCTCGGGTAAGTGCCACTAGTTCTGCTAACTCGGCGCTGGTCCCTGGGGGAAGAGGCTTACTTTCAAATACTGTTACATCACTAACTGTGGCATAACCTGCCTTTTGTATCCCATTTTCCACAAATGAACTTCCATCAGTATATCGGTGGAGGTCAGGATTAGCTAAGGGGATTTCTAAGAGATCCTCCTAGGCAGCATAAGTCTGGATTATAATTTGTTGTCAGTCATGCTCGATTGGTTCCCTATCCTTTGGGAGAAAAGTATCAGGGTTGAGGGCCAGATGCATGTGTATTTGAAGCAACAATCCCTCAAGTAGTGCCTAGTATTTAAGCAGGCAGTTGTCTGACAGCCATAAACTTCCTTTAGCATCTAGTGTGCCATTTACATACGAGCAGTCCAGACGGTGGGATTCTTTCCTTGTATTATTTTGATAGCCTCTGATCTAAGATGGCCACTGCCACAACTACCTGTAAACAGTGAGGCCAGCCTTTTCTACTGTATCAATTTCCTTACTTAGATATGCCACTGGTTGTGGGGTTGTCCCACAAGTCTGAGTAAGGACTCCAAGAGCTACTCCTGCTCTCTCTATGACAAATAAGAGAAGTTTTGTCCTGTGGGAAAGCTTAAGGCTGGCGCTTGTACTAGGGCCTGCTTTAAGGTTTTGAAGGCTGTTTCTGCCACTGGTTCCCATTCTACTAGATGAGTAGTTGCCCTCTGGGTTTCCTTGAATACAGTATAGAGTGGCCTGGCCATCTTGCTGTATCTGGGGATCCATAATAGGCAAAAGCCGGTGATCCCAAGGAACCCCCACAACTGTTTTAAAGCCTTAGGGTGAGGATAAGCCAGTATAGGCTCTTTTCACTCCTTGCTGAGGGCCCTGGTTCCTCTGGCTAAGATTAGGCCTAGATATTTGACCTGTTGTAGGCAGAGCTGGGCCTTCCATTTAGATGCCTTGTACCCTTGATTAGCTAGAAAGCTCAAGAGATCTAGAGTAGCCTGCTGGCATGAGGCTTCCGAACCGGTAGCCAAAAGTAAATCATCCACATACTGAGGCACCAGAGTGCCTGGATTTGAGAAGTGGCCTAGATCTTGAGCCAGTGCCTGAACAAACAGATGATGGCTGTCTCTAAACCTTTGGAGCAAGACCATCCATGTAAGTTGGGATGTGTGGTCTGTGGGATCCTCAAAAGCAAAGAGAAACTGGGAGTCAGAGTGCAGGAGAATACAGAAGAAGTCATACTTGAGGTCCAGAACCATGAACCATTCTGCTTCCTCTGGTATTTGAGACAGCAGGCTATAGGGGTTGGGTACTGCCTCATTGATGAGTCTAAGATCTTGTACTAGTCTCCACTGACCATTCGGTTTTTGTACTCCTAGAATTGTGGTGTTGCAGGGACTGTTGCATTTTCTTACTAAGCCTTGAGCTTTTAAATGTCTAACAATATCCTGTAATCCTTTATGAGCTTCAGGCCTTAAGGGATATTGCCTTTGATAAGGAAAAGTGGTGGGGTATTTTAGCCTGATTTGGACTGGGCAGGCATTTTTTACCCCTCCGAATTCTTTCCAATGTCCAGACTTCAGGGTTGATTCCATCTTCAAGTAGGAGACAACAAATGGGTAACTTGTTCCCCATATTCATATAGATAATAACTCCAGCTTTGGCTAATATGTCCCTCTCTAATAAGGGTGTGGGACTTTCAGGCATAACAAGGAAGGAATGTGAAAACAGCAAAGTCTCCCAATTACAACTGAGGAGGTGGGACAAATACCTGGTTACAGGCTGTTCCAGGACTCCTCGGATGGTAACAGACCTTGAGGACATCCGTCTGGGGCAAGAGATTAGCACTGAGAAGGCCACACCAGCGTCCAGGAGGAAGTCAATTTCCTGGCCCTCAATGGTTAAATGTACCCGGGGCTCAGTGAGGATGATGACCTGAGCTGATGCTTACCCCGGGAACCCTCAGTCCTGTTTTTGGATCATCTGGTTGGGGGCTTCTGGCCCAGAGAACCTTTGTCCTCTGGGGCACTGTGCCTTCCAGTGATTGCCTCGGCATAGTGGACATGGGTGAGAGGGCAGCTTGTTTTTCATTGGACAATCTTTTTCTTTTTTTTGAGATGGAATCTTGCTCTGTGGCCCAGGCTGGAGTGCAGTGGTGTGATCTTGGCTCACTGCAAGCTCTGCCTCCCGGCTTCATGCTGTTCTCCTGCCTCAGCCTCCCAAGTAGCTGGGACTACAGGCGCCTGCCACCACACCCAGCTAATTTTTTTTTTTTTTGTATTTTCAGTAGAGACGGGGTTTCACCATGTTAGCCAGGATGGTCTCAATCTCCTGACCTCTTGATCTGCCTGCCTCGACCTCCCAAATAGCTGGGATTACAGGGACAATCTTCTTTAAAATGTCCTTGCAAACCACACTGATAACAAGCCCTACCAGGTGATTGGCCTGCTCCATTTTCTGTCCTCTCTGAACCACCAAGGTTTGTTTGTCTGAGGGCCATGCCTAAGGCTGTGGCCTTTCTCTGATTTTGCTTTTCTTTTTTGGTCTGTTCCTATTGGTCGCTATTATAGAACATCGATGTTGCCAGGTTTAATAATGCCTCCAGATTTGTTCAGGGCTCAGGGCTCGCTTTTGGAGCTTTCTCCTTATATCTGTGTCTGATTTGGTAATAAACTTATCTTTTAGGATCAATTGACCTTTGAGGGAGTCAGGTGACAAGGGAGTATATTTTCTTAAGGCCTCCTGTAGCTGCTCAGGGAAGGCAGAAGGATTTTCTTCCTTTCCCTGAGTTATGGTGGACATCAATGAATAATTCATGGGCTTTTTCCTAATTCTCCTTAGTCCTTCTAGAACACAGGTCAACAGATGTTTGCATCTCCAGTCCCCATGATCTGAGTCGAGGTCCCAGCAGGGATCCATACTGGGGATGGCTTGCTGACCTGTAGGGAATTTTTCCCTTTCTTTGGCTGTCATTCTATCATTTACCTGACTAAGATACCAGGTATCTCCAAACTCTCGGGCTGCAGCTAAAGCCACATTCTTTTCATTAAAGGCCAGTGTTTGACCTAACAATAGCATGACATCTCTCCAATCGAGGTTGAAAGTTTGCCCTAGACCCTGTAGGACATCTATATACCTACCAGGATCATCTGAAAACTTCCCCAGTTCTACCTTGATCTGCTTGAAATCAGAGAGGGTGAAGGGGATGTGTATCCAGGTTGGGCCAAGTTCCCCTACCCTACAGCTTGAAGGAGACATAACCGATAGCTGGGGTTTTTTGTGGTCCTTTGGAGATTTCTTTGCTTGTTTCCTTCTGGGTGGGGGAGATTAGAGGAGGCTTATCATTAATAGGAAGGGGAGCTATAGGAAGGCTAGGATATGGAGGTAAGCTGAGAGGTCCTCCTGTGGGATATAAATTGCAAGCTTTGCATAGTTGTGGATTATCCTTCAGTGAAAAGAAAGCTTGGACATAAGGTATTTTACTCCATTTGCCTTCCCTGTTACAGAAAAGGTCAAGCTGCAGTATAGTATTGTAATTTATACTTCCCTCAGGTGGCCATTCTTCTCCATCAGAGAGAGAATATTGGGGCCAGGCCATAGTGCAGAAAAAAATGAGCCATCTCTTTTTCAGGGTCTGCAGGTCAAATTGGTCCCAATGGCTTAGGATGCATTTCAAGGGTGAGCCTGTTGATGCCTGAGTGTTTCCCATCTGAAAGAAAAAACTTCCTGTGGTTTTGGTTTGTTTGTTGCCCCCCTGTGCCCCACCCAAGAACCCACAATGGTCCCTGGACCCTGCTGAGCAGAATAGTTGTGCTCACCGATGCAGCAACAGATCCCCTCTTGCCCAAGAACCTGCTATGGTCCCTGGACCCTGCTTATCAGAATAGTTGCCCTCACCGACACAGAAGCAGAAACACTAGTTTTCCTCTTAGACCACAAAGGGGACCAAGGAAGCTCAGATTTAGTGGCCCTTTCCAATGCATTCTCAAAAACCTGCACCCTTGCCTTTCTTCTTAGACCACAAAGAGGACTGAGGAAAATCGGATTTAGTGGCCCTTACTGATGCATTCTCAAAAATCTGTTAGAGTCCTAAGCATTTTTCCTGTTAGTATTGGGACCTTATCCTTGTCCTATAAAGTTAGTATTTTTTTCTGTTAGTATTGGGACTTTATCCTTGTCGTATAAAGATGTTATGCCTCAAAATGGAGTGGAGGTCCATACCCTGAGGGAGGAAAGGGATCTCCAGGGTTGGAAGAGTGACGCTTTTTGTCCTCACTTCTCATCATATGAATAAGAAGGATATCATTTCTGAGGCTCCCCATATCCTAGCTTCAGGAATAGCCTTTGTTAGGCCTGCTTGTCTGAGGAGGGATCCTAAAATTCCAGATAGTCCCCCGACAATGGGGCTTTGGGCAAAAATTATGTCTGTCTGATTGGTGATTCTGGGTGCCTAAAGAATGGAACAGAGTCCCAAAACTTATAGTAGAAATCACTCTTATAGGAGAAACTAGAAAAGCACCAGAGGCAGGGAGTGGTTTGTAGAAGCAAGACTAGCCTTGGAGAAGGGGGATGAGGGTAAGTTGGTCTCACAGGCATTAAGACCCAGGAGACAAGGGTCAGGATAGATAGGATAGATGGGTGAGTCTTGCTTGGGCAACGTGACTTTGAGAGTTCCGCTTATGGATGCAGGGTCAACCAACTTTTTGTCAGGACCCCAGAAGTGAATGGCTTTCCTCTCTGTTGACCCTTGGCTCAGCCTGGACGTACAGGAAAAGTGGAAGCTGGTTCCAGGCAAACCAACACTCCCAACTCCAAAGAGTTAGGGGTTGTTAGAGAGCCCTTTCAAAGAAATCCTGACACCCATGTCTTTAGTCCAGCAGCCGCGCTAGTCACTTTTAACTGATCAGCAGTTGCCCTGTGTTTAGCCCCCAAATTCTAAGGAAAAATAGGACAGAATAGCAAGCAAAAGGGGTCCGATGATACTCACCACGTGGTGGTATTCTGGATGAGCCCTGAAGACGTATCTGGAGTTTGTTCCTTCCGGTGGGTTCGTGGTCTCACTGACTTCAAGAATGAAGCTGTGGACCTTCGTGGTGAATGTTACAGTTCTTAAAGGTGGCTCAGACCCAAAGAGTGAGCAGCAGCAAGATTTATTGGGAGGAGCAAAAGAACAAAGCTTCCTTAGTGTGGAAGGGGACCCAAGTGGGTTGCCGCTGCTGGCTAGGTGGCCAGCTGTTATTCCCTTATTTGTCCATGCCCACATCCTTCTGATTGATCCATTTTACAGAGCACTGACTGGTCCATTTTACAGAGTGCTGATTGGTCCATTTTACAGAGTGCTGATTGGTCCATTTTACAAACCTCTAGCTAGCCACAGAGCACTGATTGCTGCATTTTACAATCCTAGCTACAGATTGCTGATTGGTGCATTTTACAATCCTCTTGTAAGACAGAAAAGTTCTCCAAGTCCCCACCAACCCAGAAGTCCAAGCTCTGGAAATCTTTGTAATTTTGAGTTGGTCTGGCAATAATTTCCAGGCCTTCTCCCTGCAAATGGCTACAGAAATAAAAAACTCTCTTTCTCCAGTTCATCTGCATCTCATTATTGGGCCATGAGACATAGCAGCCCGAATCTCAGTTTGGTCCGGGAACATTTACAAAGACTAATTCTGTGTTGTCATGAACTTGCATTATATTGATGATTAACAATGGAGATTTCAATACTCAGCAAGACCCACAAAGTTGTGGTCTGAATATGAGATCCTGGAAAAAAAATGTTCAAATACTGTGACATTGGTGCATTTCTGAATTATTCAGTTTTCCCTTGGTCATTTCAATATACAAAGGAAGTGATGATTGCTGTAATATATGTTTTTAAAAGGGCCATTGAAATTCAAAACAGAAAGACTAAATCTACCTGAAGAAGCCCAGAAAGGATGAAGAGAAAATGGAACAGTTGACTTCGGTCTTGAAAAATGAGGGGGCATTCACTAGGAAGGAAGAGGAGAAAGGCTATTTAGGAAGAGAAAAAAAAATGACATTATCAATTCTTTGTTTTAGAAAGACAGTTTGGGGAATTATTTGGAAAAGGAAGTGGTAGGATGTGGGAAGATAAAGGAAACAGCTACTGGACAAGTTAAAAAAAAAGACATGGAAGGCTTAGAGAAAACCGTTAGCAATGGAGATATAATAGAAACACAGAGATTTGAATAACATGTCAGGGAGAAGCTTGACAGTTTGTAGTTTGAGAGGGGCTTAGGTAAAAGGAAAGAACCAAGGATGGCTCTGAAATTTATTTGGGGAGAAAAATTGGGGGGAAAAAAGCAAATTTGGATGAGTTGAGAGAAAGTATTTCTGTTTTTAACAGTAGGGTACTTGTGAGTCCCTAAGAGGAGAGAGTCAGTGGGTGTATATTAAACAGCTGGGATGATGGGGGGAAAGTGAAGGCTAAATATAAAGATTTCTAAGTCACTGACATGGAGATAGTCCATGCCACATCAGGAAATGTTATGACTCAAGTATAACTTGTTAACTAAAAAGGCAAGAAAGGTAAAGTGTAAATAAAGAAGAAAATTGAAATGCATACATGATAAAAAGCAATGACAGTGGGGAAGAGATCATTTGGACTAAGAATATTCATATAATTATTTCATCTCTGGGGATTATATCTCCTCTGGAGGAGGGGATTTGAATATTGCATCAAAATGCATTGGCTGCTTCTGATTCTTGCAGGAGGTTGGATGAGGCTCTCCACATTCCCAGTGTAGGACATATCTGTGTTCATCAATTAGCAACAGCTCATCACCATATAATGAGGCTTAATAGCCCTTCATTGATGTTATCAGTCTGCCTGATGATGCTGTCTCAGTTTTAAGTGGTAACTCTAATATACAAATGATTGCCGGTTAACAACAGACCTGCATGTCACTCCAGCATTTAACACACTTCAAAGAATAAAGAGAAATATCTCTCCCCAAAATGTGGAAAGATGCAATGGTATCTATTAATATACTATGACTGAAAGTGTTTTATTGAAGTCTGGCACAATCAACACATCCTTATTTCATGGCAAATCACTAGTTCCTATCAGAAAAGATCATACATGGTATTCAGTTAATAAAAAATGAAAGAAAAGCCATAAGAGATGAAGCTGTACAGTCATAGAGGATCCCAAAGTTCATATGAAATCTATATACCAACACATCTTTACAAATGCTTGCAATACACTTTTTAAAATTATTTCTCCTTAATTAGTAATTAAATATTTCCAGAAAAATACCATAGTATAATAAAAATAGAAAACAAATATATCAACACTAGTGTTTGAGAAGATCTGAGATCAAATGTGAATTTAGGCACTGTAATATTGGTAACTGTTGCTGAACCAGAGAATGACAAATGTCTCAAAGGTGTGCCACCTCATTCTGATCCATATTAAAATTAGTATGTTTCTGCAATTTACACATGCTGATGTCAAAATGTTTGAGCTGAGTGGATTGATGTACACATTCATTGGTCAAATGAAGTGTTGAGATGAGTGGATTGTGCAATGCTTGTGCAGACAGGGTCCAACATCTAGAAATTAAGTAATATAAGAGAATATCAAGCCAACACGAAAAAGGTTGTGAATTATCTCACTGTAGTCAGATTGTGGCTTGGGTTTGTATTCCAACCTTTGTCTATGTGTTTATGAATAACTTTGGTGTGGTAGATAAACACTGAACTTGGAGTCAGATGATTTGTGTTTTTCTGTTTCTGTTACCCTGTATCTGTCACTTACGTGTTATGTGGCCTTGAAAACTAATTTAACTGCTCTCAGCCCAATTTCTCCAAATGTGCCATGAATGGTAAGGATTAAATGAAATTTTCCTGGTGAAAGTTTGCAGTATGAAAGCACTGTGAAATGCAAAAGTTTATCAATGTGTTCTTGTCATCATAAACCCACATTTTGGAGACATCTAGTATTTCTTCACAGTGATCCATATGAAAAGAATAACAACAGTTAACACAAACATGGTAGCTACTGTGTGTTTGGCATTTCTGTAAGTGATTTACATATATTAATGAATTTTGTCATTACAATAACCCCATGGTCTGAATATTATTATTATTATTATTATCATTATTATTATTATTATTTTTAGAGACAGGGTCTCGCTCTACTGCACAGGCTGGAGTGTAGTGGTGTAATCATGGTTCACTTATTATTTTTCTCCCCACTTTACAGGTGTGCAGACTAATCACAGTAGATAGAATTTGAACACCAAAAATCTGGCTCCGGTGTCTGTTGTAAATTCAGATTTATGTAGTTGTAAGGATTGTTATTGATAATGTGTGGCTCTTATACTTTGTGTACATACAACCCTGACATGAGTTAGAAGCAATAAGGTTTTGAGTTCTTTGATTAAGAAAGCAATGCATTTCAAAGGCACAACATTGGTTTTCGTGTGTAATTTCAGGTAAAGCAGACTTAATTTGGGGCTTGTCTAGAATGCAAGGAAGGAAATAGTCTTTCAACTTCAATGCAAGCTAAAGAAAACAATGGTTCACTATTATTTAAAGGTAGATTGCTTCACAGTGTTGTAAATGATTCAGGGAGAAGATTTCAAAACCAAATCTACCTGCAGGCAAATATTTCAATAAGAAATGATTGACATAAAAAGGGGGAAAAGAACAAATACGTGTTGAATGAATACAAAATCTCAGATTCTGATAGGTTCTTGACATATATCTTACAACTTAAACCTCAGCAAGAAAGTGCAATATTTTATAGATCAAGAAAATGGGGATTAGAGAGATTAAGTTCGAGAGGGTGACAAATTGCTTGTTACTGAGGAATGAAGGAAGATGGAAACATCCTAAATGACAATAAAAAGTACTACTCTAGTTCACATTCACTTATTTCTTCATTTAGCAAATATTTACTGAACACTTTCTGGGCATTGTTATACTAAGGAGGCACTGTGACCATAACTTTAATAATAGCACACAGAGGCCTTCTCTTCAGGAAGAGACAGAATAAAAAGGCCATGCTGTCCTGCTATATGGATAAGACAGTATCTATAAGCCAGAACATGTAGGAGGGAGGCTTGATCCAGCCTTGGGTGGTGGGGAAATTTTTCTGAAGGATATAATAATGGCTATCTTGGAGAGAAAGGTGCTGGTCAGCATGACACCAAAGGTGTCTGCCATTTTTCTTTTTTCTGATGATAATTTATTTTGAGTCTGTTGAAACCCTACGACTATTGGCAGAGAGGAGATGGAGGTGGAGGATTTTGAGTAAATTACAACATACTTTTGGAAAGCTCTGGGTTTTAAATTAAATTTTGAAAATTGATGCTGAGAGTTCCTTTGGAGCCATGCCTTTTTACTTTTTGTATCTTTCTCTCTAGGTGCAAATAGTCTTATTCCTCCCCACCCATCTTGCATACTCTTTTCTTGTTCACCACAAACTGATAGGGTTCCACCTGTGTTTTTTTATTGTAGATGATGAACTTCCAATTAGATAGTCCCCTGCTGGCAATAATAATACAGTCTGTTGTAATCTACTAAACTCTGCTCAAGATAGTAGGTAACTCATTTTAAAAATTAAAACTCCTGCACTTTTATGTGGTATCTTTCTCCATTGAATTTATTTAGACAATATATTCTCCAAATTTTCCCTGAAGGCCTTTTGACCCACTTTGAAAACAGATCAAAATGTTTGAGCCAAATTCACTAATGCAATTTCCATATTTTCTTTGGTAATGTGTAGAAAGGACAGGAACTTCTGTTTACTGAGTGGCTAGTCTGTACTTGATCCCTTTACCTATGTGGTTCATTAACTCTGGGAGGTAAAAATTTGGTCAAAGAGGATAAGTAACTTGTCCCAGGCTACTCTTGAATGTCAGAGCTGGGACATAGACTCGTCTCTCTGCTTCAAAGCTATTGCTCTTTCCTTTGATCAATAAATGCAGGGACTAGCCAGTTGCCTGTTTTTGTAAATAAAATTTATTGGAACACAGCCATGCACATCTACTTACGGCTGCTTTCAGGTTACAATGGCAGAGTTGAGTTGCTCTAACAGACACCATATGGCTCACCAGTGCTTAACAGTGCTGAATAGCCACATTTGGCTAGTGACTATCACTATTGGACAGTATACTTCTAAATGCACCAGTGAATTAGTTGAGGGTTGGAAAAATGGGGTGAACAGAACAAACATATAATTATCATTTCCCGTCCATTATACATCATCCTACTTGTTTCCACATTGTGTTGCTTCAATATCCTTTTGAGGTTATCTCTTGGGTTTGTAAATGTATTATCTCCTGTATTTGTCTTGGTGGCCAAAACATTTACTTATCACTCTTGTTACATGTTAGCATCTGCAGGTCAGTTGCCATGTTCCTGCTCCCTGTGTCTTCTTATTCTAGGAGCTAGCTGAATGAGACACCCCAGTTTGGATATTCTGCTATTCTCATAGCAGAAGAAAGACAGCAAGAGAACAACAAGAAATATACAATTACTCTTAAAGGCTTCTTTGCAGGCATGGTTTCTGCCTCTCATTCCATTGGGCTAAGCAAGTTGCATGGGCAAGCTTAACATCACCGTGCCAGAGAAGTATCCTTCATCCACACGGGACATGACAGTGGGTGGATAAGTGCATCCTCATCTAGGAAAGGGGTCAGCAAATGCTTGGAGACAATAAAACAGTCTACCACATTTTCTTGTTTCTGATGAGGAAATTATGACCTGGAGATGACTGTATAACTTACTCATTGCCAACCAACTAGGCAGTGCCAGAAATAAGAAGGAAACTCAGGTTTATCTTACTCCAAATCCACGTTTTTCCATTACACATTTTGCAGGGTTCCCAAGGTATTTTGGCTGATAGGAGAAAAGTGTGCTGAACATCCTCTATTTGTCCTGTGAATACCCACTCTCCTTCTTCATCTCTCCCTTGCCTTGGGAGGCTGATATATACTGACTTCATCAATAGCTTCTCTCGCTCCCTAGTTTCCAGGTGGGTTTGGCATAGGGAAGCCCCAGCAACAGATTGGAGGGAAGCAGAGGAGTGAGGCTGTATGTTTTATTACTCCATCTCCCTCCCAGTAGAGTCACCAAGGGCTGGCTGTGTCTCTTCACAAAAAGTCTTAGCTTCTAGCAGGCAGCTCTCTATATAACCCCTCCCTGTGGGTTCTGGAAGCACCTTCTCTTCACTTCACCTCTTCAGGTCTAAGAGTATAAGACAGCTGAGCTGTCACTAAACTGAGTACTATCCCTGTGGCTCTTCTACACTATCCCTAGACCTTTAAAAATAATCCTTAAAGCTGAGCTCAATGGCTTATACCTTTAATCCCAGCACTTTGGGAGGCTGAGGCAAGAGGATCACTTGAGCCCAGAAGTTCAAGAAAGAAAGAAAAGAGAAAAAATAATAACCCTTAAATTCTGCTGGAATTGTCATAATTTTAGAGTGCTCCCTTCTTCTTGTTGGGACTCAGTTCACAAAGAGCTCATAGCTGTAACCCAAGGCAGAACTAAAGAGAGATAATCACAGTTTTGCACTGCTCTTTCCTCTGTTTTCCCCTTAAACATGGAGAAAAAAGTTATTGCAAAGCACTTAAGAAATTTAGACACAGGTTAAATGAATATAGAAGCATAGAAAAAAAATTAAGGAGGCTTGGGATCTAAGAAAGTAAGACTTTCTTGGCTTTATTTCTTGACACTATGATTGACTGGTAACAATATTCAGATTCTCTGAGCTATCTATTTCCATGACTGGAAAGATAATTCAAAATACATGATGCGTAGAGATGATAATGACTCATTCATTCATTCAAGAAATATTTATTGTGCATTTACTTTAAGCAAGAATACCAATTCAGAGTAACAATAAATTAAGTGATTGAATTACTGGTTTTATTAAAACATTTTTACTATTTTCTACCCATAGTATAAACTCCCTTAAAATGGATTTTTAAAAGGGAAATTTTGAGGCACTGTTGAGATGAAGAAATCAACAATTGTCTTTCACCTTTCTTGTCAAATAGTCATGTTCATGAATGTCTTCAGAAATTATGTACTTCTATGTTGAAATGAATCCCAGAATTTCTAAGGGATAACTTAAAAAGGAAAATGTTCTGTTAACAGTGAAGATCAAGTGAGAGAATCATAAGGAAATACGAAACTCAAGGCAATACAGTGGGGGTCCCTTCCTCATAAAGGCTACTCCTTCTGCAGAGAAACTGAACACGCTGGGGTTTATTTCAATAGAGGAAAGAATGTTACCTCACGGATGGCAGAGGCCTTTTTACAGGTGGGGAGGATGAGTCTAATAAAACCTTAGGAATAGAAAGAATCTCAAGATATTGATATTTAACAATACCTCCTAGAGAATCTAAGGATCAGATTTATTCATGTCACTTTGTTAAAGTTGTCAAGTGGGTCCACACTACCAATAGCTGTTAGATACTGTATTGAGATGGTGACAAGCACGGATCCTGGACCAAGGCTAGCTGGCTTCAAGGCCTGCCTCTACTACCTTCTAACAGTGTGGAACAGGCAAGTTACTAACTGTGGTGGATAGGGAGTTGTACCATTCAAAACGTCCTTAAGAAGATTATGATGTCCAGCAGCAGAGAGTGTGGTCTGAGATAGTCTGTAGCTCTTAGCTCCTTCAGGGTCAGCTTCAATCTATAGAGATCATTTTGCCTGAAGTCATACCTTTCCTGGGTCAGCCTGCACCTGCTGACAGAGTGAGGCAGGGTTATAAAGGTCTGACTACTTTTGTTCAACATGGAGCACTGTGATAGTCAGTGTTAGCATTAGAACTCCTTGGTGAGTTGGCCAAATCTTTGTCAAGCCTGCATCTAAGTCAACTTCTCTGTTCAATCCCATTTCCTCCTTATTTCCTTCACTTGGGTTGACCCCTGCTACACATCTGATTCTCCAAACTCTATCTCAGTCTCTGCTTCCAGAGATCCTAGCCTGTGATAGCACTGGAAGTGGTCTGAGAAATTAAGTGAGACAATAGTGGCATTTTGGAGCTGGATCATTCAGCTCCTTGTTGATGAGGAAGACTCTGTCACTGAAGGTAGATGGAACACAGAAGGGCTCTGGTTCCAGGCAATGGTCTTTTAACTTTCAGCAGTGGGGAGCTGGGAGGGAGTACCATGGATGGAAATGCACTAGCAGGTTCAATATATTAAATACTTGAAATATAAGAAGAAAATAGTAAATATAAGGATATTAGGGTAAGATAGTTATTGCAAAGCATCATTGGTGCACTACTGTAGCAGTCCTCAAACTGTGGTGTATATCAGAATCACTGGAAGGGCTTTTAAAAACACGGACTGCTATGTGCCAATGCCACAATTTCTGACTGAATAGATCTGGGGTGGGACTCAGTAATTTCCATTTCTAACACATTTCCAGGTGATGCTAATTCTGCTGGTCCACAAACATGCTTTAAGAATCTTGCTCCCAGAAAAATAGACAGCTGAGGAGAAGTTACAGGTCATCAAAAGTCAACCATGAAAGCCAGAGGGCTTTTCTGGTTGCATATTTATTAAATAAATAAATAAATAAGTGCTCATCTCTGAGTCAGAGGGCTGACAAAGCCAGGACCAAGCCTAGGACATAATAGTCACAGTAGCTGAATTTCAAAGATGGTTAAACACCCAATAAGGCAAGTCTTTATGCCAAGGTCAATCCCTTCATTAGGAAAACCTGAAATCTTTGCCCATTCCTTGGAATGGAATATCTGATGTCTTTCCTGGAATACTTTGAAAATTCAGACTCCTCTGCACCTCCTAAATTTTCAGTGGTGCCCCACACCATTCTTGTAAGAGTCAACTTTTTTCACTCTCGTGTTACCCCCACTGAAATACAGCTGCAGAAGCCTCTTCCACAAGGCAGCATGTGGTCCCTCAAGACCTGCCCCTATTTCTATACCATACCATTCCAGGTTATCAGATTCCAGCCCTGCTCATTATTTTTAGCTACTTTGCACCTCTTTATAAATTTGGGATAACTGATGATATGCAAACTCTGCCTGATGGATATTTAATTTACTGCTTCCCCCCACCAAAAAATACAACAGTACAAAACTCAATTTTGGTACCCATCTAGTAAATCCTTACCTTGCCCAAATTATCAATCCTTTCCAAGTTTTCAATTCTTCCAATTTTCCTCAATATGTGGTTATAATCTTCCAAACTTACTTTTTCTGATGATTCACCTTCCTTCTTCAATCAAGATTACTAAATAATAAAACCTTAATGCCTACATCCCTGTTGGAGCACTAGATTGCTGTGTGGCTGGCCCCTATCTGCAGGATCTAAAAAAGTTTTGCAGGCCAGGTGCGGTCACTCATGCTTGTAATTCCAGCATTTTGGAGGCCAAAGCGACAGGTCAGGAGTTCAAGACCAGCCTGGCCAACATCGTGAAACCCCATCTCTACTAAAAATACAAAAAAAAAAAAAAAATTAGCTGGGCATGGTGGCAGGTCTCTGTAATACCAGCTACTTGAGAGGCTGAGGCAGGAGAATCGCTTAAACCCAGGAGGCAGACGTTACAGTGAGCTGAGATCACGCCATTGCACACCAGCCTGGGTGACAAGAGTAATACGCTGCCCCCCCACCGCCTCCGCCCCCAGAAAAAAAAAAAAAGAAGCTCTGCAAACTGAAGCTTCATAAGTTAGTAAAAGCTTAAAAAGACTCATTCTGGCAGCCAGACTAAGCATAAGCTGCATTCTCTTTGTATTGTCCGGATCACAAAGGAAGTTGCACGAAATGCTCAGTCAGTCATGCCTGCCCTTACAGGAGAGGTAACCGAGACCTTGGACCATATCACCAAGATATTGGTGCATCAGCAATCCTAGCTTGAGAGCTTCAAGAAATCAATGAGGGCTGCTGTTTCACCAATTTCCCTCCACAGACATCTTGGCATCCATTAGACTGGTTACCTTCAGAGTTTACATGCTGTTTCTTTATTTTAATACAACTTTTTATACTAATATTTCTGATGAATCTCTTAATATTACCTAAGGCATCCCTCTATTGAGATATCTGATCTCCAGAATCCTAAGGCAACTAATCATTGTTTCTCCCTCTTAATAGCTAGTTCAACTGGTTTTGCTAACAAGAGTCCTTGAGAGGCAATTTTTTGGACCCTGCTTTGCCCACACAAGAGGTTTATTATGACCTCTGAGATGTTCATTCATGAATGATATTTTTTTCTCCAACAAAAGTGGAGGACTAACACTGTTGAACTTTACCTGAGTCCCATGCTTACAGAGAACGCAATGGCTAAGAACTGCTGCTCCCTCTGCCCCCCACACCTCCAAACTTTTTGTGTTCTGGAAAATGGGCAACCAGGAGGGAACACCTGCTCTCCCATACTCTGAGATTAAGACTTACCTCCACTCTTCCTCAATGGCACTCTTGTTTTATGAAACTAGATTTTCTCCCTCTTATTTTAGACAGTTATCATTAATAAATATTCTCCCCATTAGAATGACCTGAATAAAATTACCTCCTTAATTATCTGGCTCATTTTGTTTTTGTATCTGCTTCTTCCTCTTCTTTCTTTTCACTGATGTTGATCCCCAGTAAAATATTTTGCAGTCTGAATGCTGTCTCCATGTCTGTTTCTGAGGAAGTCAATCTATAACATTAATTTCCTGCCTCAAGTCCATCTCTTATATATAGTGGTAATCATAATACCTATTCCTACCTCATTGACTTTTTGTGAAGATTTCTTATGTTAACATATGTAAAGTGCTTAAACTTATGTCTAGCAAATAGTACTAAATAAATGCTAGCCATTAATATTATTAAAGAGCTTGCGATAGGAGAGGGAAAAGGTATATAAATAACTTTTTTTGGGACAAACAAAATTTCTGCAGACCCCACTGTGACTGCATACCACTGACTAGCCACATGATTAATCACATGTATCATGCAGTTACCCCTTGCCTTACAGCAAGAACATCTTTGAATGAAAAGAGTGCATGCTCATCAAATGGCATGTGACCTTCTCCATGACACAGCTGCTACCCACCTCTCAGGATTTTCATCTCCACCCTTCTCTCCCTGCTGCATTCTACCCTCGCATAATTATCAGGGGCTATTAGTTTACTTCACACAGGTCAGGGCCTTGTTATATGTCTTTGTAATGCTAGAAATGAATCTACACCTACCTTCTTAAATTTACTAAATCCTACTCTAAGATTCAGTTTATAAAATCTTTTGCCCAGACACACTCATATACACAATAGGCAAATAACTGAATTATGTACTCCTTTCATGTGTCTTCACAGGACCCTAGGCATACTTCCAACATTGTACCTGCCACATTGTAAGTGCTGTTGAAATTACTTATTTATGTGTCTCTCTTCCTCACTATAGCATAAGTTTTTAGAGAGCGGGAACCATATTGTGGTACAAAACCATTTTGGTGCTTTGTATAGAGGTGGTATCCAATAAATTCATATTGGATGATTACACTGAAATAAATGTAGAGAGCTCTATGCACTTTTAAGTAGCTTAAAATTTCAGAGACCTTGCAATTCTTTTATTATTACAAGAGGACTGGTGGTGGTGAGTTCAAGAACACGTGCATGCATGTGTACACACACACATGTATGCACCACCGCTATTTTTTTTTGTAAATCAGATTCATTAGCAAGACTATTAAGAAATGTTATTTACTTTTATATTATCTATTTTCACAGATATTTCTTGTATTTTTGTTAAAAACTCAGATACAAAATGCTCTAATTATACATTCTTTATGGATACTCTATATGTCTAAACATTTTTGATAATATATAGTCCTTCAAAATTAAAGGTTTTTAGCACTTTAAATTGAGATTTTTAAATGTTGAAAGAATGATATACAGAAGGTTCAATTTTAATAACTACATTAGTTTAATTTGAAAATTTGATAAAAATATACTAATGGGGCTGATTGTGGTGTCTCATGCCTGTAATCCCAGCACTTTGAGAGGAGGCCAAGGCAGGTGGATTACTTGAGGTCAGGAGTTCGAGAACAGCCTGGCCAACATGGTGAAACCCCGTCTCTATTAAAAATACAAAAATTAGCCGAGCATGGTGGTGGGCACCTGTAATCCCAGCTACTCGGGAGGCTGGGACAGGAGAATCTCTTGAACCCAGGAGCTGAGGTTGTGCCACTGCAATCCAGCCTGGGCCTGGGTGATGGAGAGAGGTTCTGTCTCAAAATAAGTAAATAAAAGAAATAAAATAAATAAATAAATAAATAAGAAATGAACTAATGGGATGAGGGAAAAAAAGATTGCTTATTTTACTTTATGAAATGAAATTTTGGAGGCCAAATATTACTGAAAAATTTTAAAGGTAAAATGTTGATATCCTAAGGAGATCCACCCTTAAACTGTATACCACGATTTTCTCTCATAACCTTCTCAATAAATAAAATTCATGCAATAAACAAATCTATTTCGGTATTCAATGTTCCATGATTGAGTTTGTACTCTGCCAGGTAATGCCAGAAGGGGTGGGTTATAGCTATAAATCAGATAGGCTGCTTAAAGCTCAGTGGAGAAGACAGGCAAGTAAATATTAATTAGAGTTCAAGGTAACAAGCACTAAGAGATGAAGTATTAGGTACTACTAGTGCAAATTAGAAGGTGACTTCCTCTGCTGATGGGGCCGGGGATGGAAAAGAATGGGTGGAGAGAATGATATTTCCATAATGTTCCTCCTTTGCCTCAGCTGTCACTTGTACTTACTGTTAAACTGCATTCTTTTAGTTCCTCATTCACTTTCTGTTCACATGTGCATGTTCTAAACCTTTAATTAGTTTGCAAATTTTCCAAGGTTGTGGGACAAACTTTGCTTTTAATTTCTGGCAGTCCTAAAGTCTCTGCACACAGTGGGTACTCAATAAATGCCATCAGCCAACCCTAGCCAGTAATTGCCTCTTACCCATGCTTTCCCTGAATCTTGCTATGCAACTAACTAGGTGGCATCCCTCTGGTTTACCATCAAAGCTGACTAGGAGGGCACTAAGGGAGCCATTCCAGAACTTCTCAGCAGTTTAGTAGTGCAACTCGTATCCTTGTTAATAAGATTTACAGAGGTAATCTACCTGGCTTGGTAGAGAAACCCTGCTATTAAAATTAAAAGGGCAATACCTTCAGAACAGAACAAAGTCAACTGTTTTACCTTTTAAGACATTAACATGATAATGTCACTGTTCCTCCAAGGGTGCTTGGCTTGCTAATAAATATGCTGGTGCCATTCAGAAAGACACAAAGGGCAGACTATTAGGTGAAACGTTTATATTCTGTTGCTTGAGGAAAAAACAGGCTTTCTCTTATGACCCTTTTTTCCAGAGCTATATTCTCATAGACATATCTAAGGATGGGTCTGCTGAAGTTCAAGAAGTCATGGAAGCCAAAAATTGAGGGTTGTATACAGGTAATAGTGAGTAGTTTCACATAGACCTAAAATTAGGAGCCCTGAAAAGGAGTAGTGAAGTACTGTTGGACATAAGAATTATGGCTAGTTCTCTGAGGAACTTGCAATGGTTGCCAAAAAAAATTGATTTTCCTCTAAGTAGTGTGGAGTTTTCTGAAGGATTTTAAGCAGAAGAGAGGTGTAGATAGATGTGTGTTTCAGGAAATTTAAACTAGGCTGAATGTATTGGAATAACTGTAGGTGTTTATTATGACAATAATGACCCTCCGTAGCTATAGATTCAGCATTCATGTATTCAACCAACCACAGGTTGAAAAGTGTTTTTTAAAAAGTATGGTTGCATCTGTACTGAATACATATAGACATTTTTCTTTATTATTATTCCCTAAATAATGCATTATAACAACTATTTACATAGTACTTATATTGTATTATATAGTATAAGTAATCTAGAGATTAAAGTATATGGGAGGATGCACATAAGTTATGTGCAACACTATGCCATTTTATATAAGAGACTTAAGCATCTGTGGATTTTGGTCTCTGATGGGCATTTTAAAACCAATTCCCCATGAATATGGAAGAACGGCTGTAGTTTTTCTTTATTTGAACTTTTGTCTAAAAAAATTTTTTTGCCAACACAGTATAACTACAAGTCAGATCATATTAATCTCAGAGTTCTTCTTTACTATATCAGAGATGTGTAGTGGACCACCATAGAAAGTGATTCTCAGTAACACTGGTAGTAACAGTGTATCAAAAGAAAAGTTGAAAGAACTGACTTCAGGCGGAGCAAGAGAAAGGGTAGTTATAGAGACCTGAGAATCAGGTCTTCTCTAGGACTCTGCCTTTGAACAAGTCAGCTTCAGTCATGATCAATTTTTATAAGGCTCTGCTCAAAATGCAAATTTCTAGGCCAGGGCAACTGATTTCTAGGCAAAGCCAACTTGATTAAGTTGAATAATCACCCCTGAGATTAGCAGATGTTGTCTCATGATTAAAAATCCCACCAGAATAACACCGCATAGGGAACGATGCTGAGCAGACAAACCTTGAAATCAGTGAAAAACACAAGTAAAACAAAACATGTCCACTACAAGGACATCCCTAAAAAGAAAGTTCACACTCTCACACCTCCATCAAGGTTCTCTAAGAAGGCCCTACTCTACCTTTCAAATTTTAGTTCTTAGTATAGCCATCTTTGCATAAGTTATTTCAGACATTTTCCTTCTTATACGAAGCATAGATTTTCATATCATCTTCCATTTGTTTATGACACTGTATTACTTATTAATACTCTATTTAAACTATTCATTGCTCACCTTTCCATACTTCATAACCAAAACTTTACTCATCTACACTAGCTTAGCTTAAATAAAATTTCCACAAATCTTCAGCTGTATTCGAATAACACTTTACTTGTATCTCTATTGTCGTTTATTTTATTTTGCCTTTAATAATTTATTGATAATATTATTATTATCAACAACTAAGAAACTGTACAGAAACTTACAATAAAAAATATTGTAAATGTTATTTCATTTGACCCTGGTAGTGCTCTCTGTTTTATTATATTTCATCTTTCATAGGTCGAGAAATGTTAGATAGATAGCTTAAGTTTATGCATCTAGTAACTGGCAAGGTTGAATCCCAATTCAAGCTCTTCTAGTTCATCCCTCCCTATGTTATTTGAAAGTATCTACTCAACTAGATTTCAGTTTCCAAAGGCAGAGACGTTTGTCTATCTGTGTGTCTCCCATGGTGCCTACCAAAGGTTTGCAATTGTAGGTAGTCAGTAAATGTGTGTTGAATAAAAGAATGACAGCATCAAATTTTAAAATGTATTGTCAAATGATAAGTAGTTTTGGATTCAGAAAAAGAGAAATCAATGAAAGCTAGATAATGGAATGAGTCTTCTTCTTGAAGGTAAGAGTTGAACTTTGGACATGAATGTTTGGAAAGTCAGGAAATGACAAAGAAATTCCATGGTGGTAGAAATCTGTAAGCTGAGCCTTTCTCACTGTCTGGATTGGTACATCTTTGTTGTTTAGTTTATAAACATAAAGAATCCTTTCAAATGGGATGCTGACCTGTTTAGGGGATGTGGGAGGTGGTATGAGGCCAAGATGCACTAAACAGTGATTTATCATTTACTCCCTGATTCTTCTTATCAGGTTGATTTACAAGGCAGCTGTCAGGCCTAGCTCTGTGATCTGTGATAGACTTTGAGCTTCAGGCTTCTTCAGTCAAATTAAATTTGACATTTAATTTAAAATCTGGGATACGGTATGGGCATCTCTAACTATAACAGTGATATAGCAATGAGCATTCTGCTTAACATGGGGGTTTCTACAGCTCCCAGGGTCTTCTCCACTATAATAGAGCATTTAATTCATTTCACCGAATCATACCCTTTAAGAACTAAAAGACATCTTACAAATGCTTGAGAACAAAGAGGATCTTGCAATTCTTGTATCAGTCATAGCAGCTAACATCTTCCTGTGTGAGATCATGTGCATAACAACCAGCATCCAGGATTTTGAGTCAGACAGAGTCATGTTTCATTCATAACTCTGCTGCTGACTTCTTGGGTAAAATTGGGCAGAATATCTAACCTATTTAGGTTTCAGGTTCCTTATCTCTAAAATGAGAATAATACCTATCTCAGAAATTATTGTAATGATTCATCAAGCTAGAGTATATAATTTGCTCCGCACAGAGTACACCCTTAAAACATCTTGGCCCCACTCCATTTATAACACTTAGTGCATTGGGTTAAAATGACTTGCCCAGTGGCATAGAAAATTAGTCCTGTAATATTCTGTCATTTAAGCCCTCCTGAAAGCAGACATTGAGATGGTCTTAGGAATGTAAGAGGTTTATTGAGCAGGGAAAAGATTACCATCCTCAAGTCAACCTGAAACCTGTGAAAGAAAAGGAAAGAAGAGGTGAGATTGGGCAAGGAGAGCCTCAGCTTCAAATGAAGTTCTGACAGTGTCTGCAAACTCACTGGATAGTTCTGAAGCAGAGATGAATTGTTAGAGGATTCCAGCTGGGGAGGAATGGTGCCCAGATATTGGTTGAGGGTTGCCTGGGATGAGAGTGGGCTTGATTCAAACTCTGAGACAATTCTTGCAGATGCCAATAGCTGAGGGCTGCCAGCTAACTACATTCCTTACAACTGAATTTCTTGCAAGTTCTTTCTTGAAGGGAGATCTGAGTTGCACATTCCGAGCCTGCCACAACTAGGAGCATAGTGTTCTATTAGATCAAAAAGCAGTTGTGACCTTTAAAGTTTCATATAATTCAAAGCCAAGAAAGACTCGATAACTAAAAGATAAAATTTTAAAAATAGAAAGAAAACTTTGAAGTATATGTTCAAACTGTATTCAGAACTTTATGGGACTAAAGAGGCAACAATTTCTATATTTCAAGACTCAAAGAGATCAAAAAAGCCATAGAAAAACACAGATGAATGTTGACAGAAATAGAGAGAAAAAATGAGAATGTTGGAAACAAAAAGAAAAAAATCAATTCTCTTTTTCTAATGGCAGTGTTGTATAAAGAAGACAAATGCTTAGAGGAGTCAGATAAGTTGTGAGTGCATTCCCAGCTCTGGTAACTGCTAGGTCTTTTACCTTGGGCAAGTTATTGAGCCTCTCTGAAAGTTAGTTAGTTCATACTTTTCTGTTTCTATGTTAATTAATTCTTGTATAAATAATACTTTCCTGTTTCTGTGCCAAACAGCACCAAGACCAGGCTAAAAAACTCACTTAGCTCCTTCTTCCAAGAAATATTTGCTCCTGGATAAGACTGAAACAACTGAATAGCTTACTTTTCATGACTAGCAGCTTGCTTATAATACTACAAGACCTTCATTTCACTGTGTCCACCAATCTAAAGCTAGTGTGTCATAAATTCTGCCATTCCCAAATATTTCCCCATCCTTTAAAACTTGCCTTTAAATCACCCCATCTAAGCATAAATTTGATAAATGCATTTTCCTGACTTTTGTGAGATACTATAAAAACACTGTCAAGATCGTCCTCTTCTTTACTTAATTCATCTGAATAAGTTTAGCTTTGTTCAATCAATAAATGTTTCTGGTGGTCTTTTTAGGGGGTGTGATGGTTAATATTGAGTGTCAACTTGATTGGATTGAAGGATGCAAAGTATTGTTCCTGGGTGTATCTGTGAGGGTGTCACCAAAGGAGATTAAAATTTGAGTCAGTGGACTGGGAAAGGCAGACCCACTCTCAATCTGGGTGGGCACCATCTAATCAGCTGCCAGCACAGCTAAGATAAAAGCAGGCAGAAGAACATGGAGGGACTAGACTGGCTAATTTTCTGGCCTCCATCTTTCTCCGTGCTGGATGCTTCCTGCCCTCAAACAATGGACTCCAAGCTTTTCAGCTTTTGGTCTCTTGATCTTACACCAGTGGTTTGCCAGGGGCTCTCCGGCCTTCATCCACGACTGAATGCTGCAGTCAGCTTCCCTACTTTTGAGATTTTGGGACCTGGACTGGCTTCCTTTCTCCTCAGCTTGCAGACAGCCGATTGTGGGACTTGACCTTGTGATCGTGTGAGTCACTACTCTTTAATAAACTCCCCTTCATATATACATCTATCCTATTACTCTTGTCCCTCTAAAGAACCCTGACTAATACAGGGAGTCAACAACCAACACAAGATTGGAAGTTTTGCAAAGAGTGGTAATGGAAGGTAATATGGGCAAAAGAATTGAGGAAATTAGCAAGAAAGAGATGTTGTGATGGACTGTTGAGCCTACCATGGAAGACTAAGAAAATGAAAACAATCAAGGGACTAAATGCAGGGGTTTTCAACCTTGGCATTCTTGATATTTGAGGCTGGAAAATTCTGTTGTGGGAGATGTCCTGTGTATGACATTAGCAGCATCACTGGCCTCTACCCACTTGATAGCATATATACCCAGTGGTAACTACCAGAAATATCTTCTGACATTTTCTTGTTTTTTAGAAGGCACAAGTTCCCAGTTGAGAGCCACTGGGCTAGAGAGAGAATGGAGAGATCAATTTATTGGTTACTAAAGTATGTCAAACAACTATTTTGGCAGGATTACTTGAGTAAGTAAGTGGGCAGGATAGGTGAGTTTGGTTGGGAGGGAGAATGCTTAGTTAGTGATTTCAAATATAGTGTCATTTTAGGCTTTATTATTTTTCAGAGTATAAGCAGAAGGAAGGATGAGTGATACACAGAGTAGAAGGATGCTACATAAGAGAAGCCCAGACTTGATGGGAACATTCGGTGTTCTAATGCATATCAAGTAATTAGTTCAGAGGCTGCCACAAGATGAGTAGTTAAAAAGCCTGATTGTCTTCTCAATTTGATTTGTGGCAAAGGTGGTTAAAAATAGAAAAGAAGCTGAAACTTTACATGTAAATATGTCCCTGCTTGAGTAAAAACAATGAAAGTGATCCTGATAAAATGAGTCTCCAATGAATAACAACAGGATTTTATTTTAATAGCACTGACATGTTCCTGTTTCTAAAATAAATGTTTAATAGGGGCGAGATGACTTCCATACTAAGGTACGTTGAAAGAAAAGAGCTCCTTTACTTACTACTGAGGTAGGAGTTATTAAGAAATTATTTTAGGCAGATAGAGAGGAAAAAAGGGGTCCTTGGAAAATTTTTCGAAGCTCTTGTCTAGCAAATGCAAGCCATTAGAAACTGGGTCCACTCAACATGGCGATTACCATGATTGTCCTCTTGCCCTTGCCCCAACATGTGCCTGGCAGCATGGGCACGCCCACATATCCCCATGTGTGTGGAACATCATGGCGTCCTGCATTTGCATATTAAAAGGCTAGGGTGGGAAGGCCAGATTTTTCGCGGGCTACACGAATGACATGACTGGTCAAAACAATACCCTGAGCCCTATGCAAATCAAATTGAATATACCTGGCTGATATTACCTAAATGTGGGGTCCTGTCTCTCCGCTTTGGAGCCCGCCTCCCTCTGTCTTTGGGGAGCTTCTTCTTTCTTTCTCCTCCCTTCTTTCTTGTCTGTTAAAGGACCTGCTCCTTAAAACTACTCCACGTGTGTCATGTTGGTTTTTCTAATTCCACTCCAGACTAAGAACCTGGTGTTCCTCCATTCATCAGAGCCACATCATTACCTTGGGTCAATTATAGTGAGACAATACACAAAGCTGAAGTATTTATTTGATAGTACAGAATGAGATTCAGGAATGATCTTAATGAGTCTTAATTATTCAGCAAATTTTATTATTTATCATAAATTATCTTAATAAGTAAAGCAATGACAAAAGTAGTATAGCTAAACAGAAAAATAAGTAATGCAGACTTCTGTGTGAAGTATGATTAGACTGCTACTATCATCCAGGAGTTAATTTTATTTCATCAGGCCATTATTCTATTCTTATAACATACACAAACACTGATCCACAACAAAAAATTGAATCAAAGATTGTACCAAGTAAATGATTGGATAATGTCACCACAAATCTCAATCTCATATCTTTTTGTACCTTCATCTGAAGCTATCTGGAAAAAGTCTGCCATCTACTTCTTACCCATCACTGAACTCTTATTTTAGCCCTTCTTCCCTTCACTCCCAGACTTAGAGTTCTGGCCCATATCATGCTGACTAGGTCACCAGGGCATTTTTGGCTTTTTGAAGTACTTTTGAATGAATCCTCACTACAATTTTAAAGCCATAATTTCAACTACAAAGGCAGATTTGAACAGAGGCAATCTGGGATTAGGCTATGGTGATTGAAAGCAAAGTTTTCAACCCTCTACACCTTTCCTAGAGACTAATGGCTTTATTGGAAAGGATCAAGCAAGCCAGTTGATAAAGGTTTTTTCACCCTACGCTAAAGTGGGAGTCTAGGTGAGAAATGTGCATTGTGTCCCATAACCTGTAGTTTTTCTTAATTATAAGGATATTTTTTTCTTAAGCTTGAGCCCTCCATAATGCCAGCAGAATTACACCATTCAAGTTGTGGCATCACAGAGGTGGGCAACTATTTTTCCCCAAAATGTCTGCATTGTGCTTCAGGAAAAAAAGAAAAAAAAGTACCAGAGAGACTCTAATGGCACTTTTCCATATAAAGAATTAAGAAACAAAGAAAAACTTTTCAGAAAAAGACTTTCTCACCTGATCTTACTCTGCCTAGAGCAGCTTCATAAAACTGTACTTCTTCTGAAATGCATGATTGTATTTTCTTCAAACAACCTACTTATATTTTTTATTTCTTCTTCATTTTTTGTTTGTTTTTTAATGAAGAAAAGGAGACTAAGGCCTTAAAAATAGACTCAACTTACCAGGCATCTGTGAAATACATTCAGAGCCTCATCTTTAGGCCTGAAGATTTGAAGAAAGCAGTTTCTTTACAAATTTTTATTTGAAATAAATTTCTTAATGATAGTCAGTTTTTCCTGGAATTTAAAGTAAGGATAATAGAGGAAAATGGACTCATCCTCTGTTGCAGGAAGTCAGGGACCCTGAACGGAGGGACCGACTGGAGCCAAAGCAGAGGAACATAAATTGTGAAGATTTCATGGACATTTATCAGTTCCCAAAATTAATACTTTTATAATTTCTTATGCCTGTCTTGACTGCAATCTCTGAACACAAATTGTGAAGATTTCATGGACATTCATCTGTTCCCCCAAATTAATACTCTTATAATTTCTTATGCCTGTCTTTGCTTTAATCTCTTAATCCTGTTATCTTCGTAAGCTGAGAATGTACATCACTCAGGACCACTATTGTACAAATTGATTGTAAAATGTGTGTTTGAACAATATGAAATCAGTGCACCTTGAAAATGAACAGAATAACAGAGATTTTAGGGAACAAGGGAAGACAACCAAAGGTCTGACCACCTGCGGGGTCGGGCAGAATATAGCCATATTTTTCTACTTGCAGAGAGCCTATAAATGGACGTGCAAGTAGGAGAGATATCACTGAATTCTTTTCCCAGCAAGGAATATTAATAATTAATACCCTGGGGAAGGAATGCATTCCTCAGGGGAGGTCTATAAGTGGCTGCTTTGGGAGTATCTGTCTTATGCAGTTGAGATAAGGACTGAAATATGCCCTGGTCTCTTGCAGTACCCTCAGGCTCACTAGGATGGGGAAAAATCCCACCCTGGTGAATTTGAGGTCAGACCGGTTCTCTGCTCTTGAACCTTGTTTTCTGTTGCTTAAGATGTTTATCAAGACAATATGTGCACAGCTGAACATAGACCCTCATCAGTAATTCTAATTTTTCTCTTTGCCTTGTGATCTTTGCTTTGCCCTTTGCCTTGTGATCTTTATTGCCTTTTAAAGCATGTGATCTTTGTGACCTACTCCCTGTTCGTACACCCCCTCCCCTTTTAAAGTCCTTAACAAAAACCTGCTGGTTTTGCAGCTCAGGTTGGACATCACGGACCTACTGGTATGTGATGTCATCCCCGGAGGCCCAGCTGTAAAATTCCTCTTTTTGTACTCTTTTCTTTATTTCTCAGACCAGCCAGCACTTAGAGAAAATAGAAAGAATGTATGTTAAAATATTGGGGGCAGGTTCCCCCCATAATCCTCCATATTTGAATCCCAACCTAAAATATTCTTACTCCCAGATTTCTTCATCTACTCATTTTTTAACTCTGGGTTTTACAGAGAAAATCAAAGGAAAAATCAAAGGAGAGAGGATAAAAGACATTGTGGTCCATTCATTCAATGCTACAAGTAAGACATCACAAACCCAGGTGTGCAAGATATGGGACTTCTTTTTTTTTGAGATGGAGTTTTTGCTCTTGTTGCCCAGGCTGGAGTGCTGTGGTGCAATCTTGGCTCACTGCAACCTCCGCCTCCCGGGTTCAAGCAATTTTCCTGCCTCAGCCTCCTGAGTAGCTGGGATTACAGGTGCGCACCACCATGCCTGGCTAATTTTTTGTATTTTTAGTAGAGACAGGGTTTCATCATATTGGCCAGGGTGGTCTTGAACTCCTGACCTCAGGTGATCCCCCTGCCTCGGCCTCCCAAAGGGCAGGGATTACAGGCATGAGCCACCGCTCCTGGCCGATATGGGACTTCTTTAATTTTTCCAGTTTCTTGTTCAAGCCACCATGTGACCGAGTTCTGGAAACTGAATCTCACTTTATTTAGAGTAATCTCAGTCATGTCAGGGCTTTTGTTCCTCTCTTAGAAATTGTGTTCAACGTCTTGTGGGAGTCAGGAGAGCCAATGTGTGAATATTGGCACTAGTCCTATACCATTATCATCCATGCTAGCCTATGTAGAAAGTCTCTTGTTCTTACTTGTCCTTTAGTCATGAGACACATTGATCACTGTGGTGTCTCCTTCATAGAGTACTTCCAGGTCTCTACACCCAGCTATTTCCTAGTTAGTCCTGTACTACTTTTGGATGCACAAAGAACAACTGGAAACTCTAGAGCTGATCAGATCAATCTGCCTAGAAACTCAGTGAACATCTTTATTCTGTGCCTCTTGTGCTATATCAACTTCTAAGAGGCTTCCCACCTGCTCAGGTTCTCCCTGGGAGGTAAGGCGCAGGTCAGCTCTGCTCTTTGATCCCCCAAACTTCCTCATATTTTCTACTGGGTATGCCCCTATCTCCCTTCTAATAGGTGGTATTTACACATCTCTGTGACCATGATATAATCAGATTTATATTTTATTAAGCTTTTTTTAATGAAATTATGATAGACTCACAAGAAACCAAAAATAGTATAGGAAGTTTCCATGTACCCTTCCCAATGATAACATTTTACATAACCATAGCACATTTTCAAAACCAAGAAATTGCTGCGATATCATTAACTAAACTAAGGACTTTATTCTGATTTTACCAGTTTTTACATTTACTCACACATTTTCTTCTCTTTTGGTGTATAGTTTTATAAAATTTTGTCACATGTATAGATAAAATTTGTGTAACCACCATTGTCGTAGCCAGAGTAATCCAGAGAAACAGAATCAATAGGATATGTGAAAACAACAACAAAAACAAATATATATATATATATATTTGAGAGAGAGAGAGAGATTTATTTTTAAGGAATTGGCTCATGTGATTATAAAACCCAAAAAAGGGCTAATGTTGCTGTTTAAGTCCAAAGACCGTCTACTGTCCGAATTCACTTTTGCGTGGCAGAGGTCATTCTTTTGTGCCATTCAAGTCTCCAAATGATTGGATGAGGTCCATCTGCATTGTAATGGATACTTTGCTTTCCTCAAAGTTCACCAAGTTAAATGTTAATCTCATCCAAAACACCCTTGCAGAAACATCCAGAATAATATTTAATCAAATATCTGGATACCATGGCCCAGCCAAATTGATACATAAAATTAACAGCCACAACCACTACAATTAGAGTACTGAATTGTTTCATCATCACAAAGAAACTTCTTGGTGCAACTCCTTTAAAATTTTGTCTTCCTTTTTATAACAATAAAAATAGCTAATATATATTTATTAAATGTTTACTAAATGCCCATGCTCTATTCGAAACATTTTATATGCATTACTACAGGCAATCCTAAAAGTAACCTAATAAGGTAGGTATTAAGATAAACCCATTCAGGCCACAAAAGAGTTCCAAAATAGATTAAATTAAAATGATAAATTGAAGAACTGCATGTATAGGGTAACAATTATATAAATACATATGTATGCACATATATACTCATACCCCACAAAATATAAATTTTTTTTCTCTCTCTCTCTCAGAGACTAGAATTGGTAGTGGTATTCAGGGAAGAATTTCATTTTATTTGTATGCTTTATTAAATAAAAACAGAGTAAGAACAGTTCTACATTACTTGTAAAATTAATACAAATAAAAATTTGAAAACTCAATTTTACTAATATTACTTTGTATATTGTCTTACTTGAACAACTTAAAACTTATTACAAAGGGGGCAGGATTCATTCTCTGTATTGCTTCTCCTTCTTTGGAAAAACTTCTCCAAATTATTGCATCTAATTTAAGTTTCTAAATATAAACACAATAAGTTGACTTGTTATTACACGGAATAAGCTTTAATGTCTTCCCCTTAACCAAACTACTTTCAGAAAGGTAGAAAATAAATTAGTACCTAATTTTATGCATTTATTTTGAACAGTTAGTGAGCACCTCTTACATGCAAAGCACTGGAGATACCATGTGAAAAGCCCCCCTACTTCCACTTCCTGCATGTAGAAGGTAGCTGCTGAGATGACACCCAATGATCCATACCTCCTGGTAGTCACACCCTCATGTACTTATCTTCCCTTGAATGGGAGCAAGGCTTATTGACTGGTTTCTAATAAACAGAAAACAACAAAAATGAAGGGCTGTAACTTCTGAGAGCAGATTATACACTGTGGCCTTCACCTTAGGCAGTCTCTTTTGATCTCTCTTGAATCGCTCTGTCTGGAGAGAGTCAGCTGCCATGTCATGAGGTGGCCCTGTGGAAAGGCCCAAGTGGTGAAGGGCTAATACTTGCCCACAACCATATCAGTAAGAGTAGAAACAGATTTCCTCCCCACTCCACACTGATTGGGTCTTCAGATAAGACCACAGCCCCTGCTAACAGCATGACTACAATCTCTTCAGAGATCTTGAGCCGGAGGTATACAGCTAAGCCATGCCCAGATTCCTGACACATACAAACTTTGAGATAGCAGATGTTTGATGATTTAAGCTGCAAATTTGTGGAGTAAACAGTCTTTCTTCTGTGCTCCCAAGATACCTTGTATTCTTCCTCTATTAAAATCTTTAACAGAAATTATTGTGCTGACCATATGGCAGGCATTGTTCTAAGCACTTTACATATGTTAATTTACTCAACTGTCTCACCACATCTGTACAGATATCACATTCATTCTTCTGGCTGCTCTGACAAAGTACCACAAACTGGGTGTCTTAAAACAACAGATACATTGTTTCAGTTTTGGGATCTAGAATTCCGAAATCAAGTTGTTCCAGGGCCACACTGCTGTGCGACATTCTGAGATTCTGGGCTGAATCCTTCTTTACCTGCTCCTGTCTTCTATGCGGGCTGGCAGTCCTTGGTGTTCTCTAGCTTGCCTCAGTTCAGTCTCTGCGTCTGTGTTCCCATGGTGTTTTTCTTGCATGTCTTTACATTTTCTTCCCTCTGAGTGTGCCTGTCTGTGTATCCAACTTTCCCTTTTGTAAGAACCAGTCGTGTTGGATTAGGGCCCACCCTAATGACTTTATTTAAACTTGATTATTTTCATAAAGACCCTATTTTCAAGTAAGGTCATATTGTAAGTTACTAGGGGTTAGGACTTCAACATATGTTTTTTAGGGGGACACAATTCAGCCCGTAGCAGGTGAGTTCTATCATCATTATTATTCCTATTTTAAAGAAAGAGTTTAAATACTTGCCAGCATTGCACAGATAATAAATGCTAGAGGAAAGATTTGAATTTAGGCATTCTGGCTCCAAAACCTGTGCTGACAACCACTTCCTTACACCACCTATAATATGGTCACATGCCACTTAATGACAGGGATACATTCTAAGGAATGCATCGTTAGGTGATTTATTTGTTGTACAGATATCATAGAGTGCACTTACACAACCCTAGATGGTACAGTCTTCTACACACTTAGGCTGTCTGATATAGTTATGGCTCCAAGGCTACAAACCCATACAACATGTTACTGTACTAAATGCTGTAGGCAACTGTAACACAATGATATATATCTGTTTATCTAAACATAGAACATTTACAGTAAAAATACAGTATTATAATCTTAAGGGACTTCTATCATATTTGCAGTCATTAACCAAAACATTCTTATGCATCACATAACTACGTCTATTTCTTTGTATTTTTGTTTTCCATAAGTAGCAGCTAGTTAGCCACTAGCACGCAGTATCTGATATGTGCTGAAGAAATATTTGTTAGTTTTAAATTTCAGTGATATTTGAGATGGGTTTTAAATCATAGCTGTTCTTTGTCAGTTGGGAAAGATAGTAAGTGTCCTTACTGAAGTTCTTACTCAAGTTGTATTTGATTAGAAGCTTAGAGCTGACAGATTATACATATTGTAATAAATACACCTTCAGTTGTTCCTGAAGAGCATCTTCTATTTCCTAAAGCACTTTTGGTCATCATACAATATATAATAGTTCTCTTTGAGACTATCTGACTGGCAAATAAATAAAAATATAAAACAAGTTTAAAAGGTTCCAAACAAAATAACGAGAGGCACATTTTGAAATGTACAATTGCTAGGTTAATTCTTCTTCTGAGCCTCAACATGACAGAGGGTCCTACTGCATCAGATGATCATGCCTGTGACGACTGATGAGAGCTAAAATGGAACTTTACAAGTTTATCCAAATAATGACCTCAGTACATAAAAGGTAAGTCAATTCATGTTTCCCTGAAGCAGTATTGTTTCTTAATTGTAGGTGCATTAGCAAGTTCCCTTTGGAGCATGAGTTATTAAACAATTAAATATATGTTGCCCATCTGTGCACCAGCGATTTAAATGACTTACTGTACAGTTAATCAGTCATGCTTAATCAGCATGTCAACGGTTACCCACTTGGCTTAGGGTCACAGGCGTTTTATTTGTGCTGGGAATTGCAGAAATGGAGTCGGATAGAATAATTTCACCATGGGAGCAGAGGAAGTCAGAGATTAAGGTGTTTTGTTGTCTTTGCTAATGTGAAGTGAAGAATATGTAGTTTTTGGTTTTTGGGTTCCCCTCCCCCCAATATTTGCTTCAATCTAAGCAATAGCATTAGAAATGTACATGACAAGCATCTGGTCATTTCCTCCAGGGTGTTGTCAGATTCTCTCAGCACCCCATTTGACTCTGTCTGTAAAAACACTTTGCATTTACGTTATACCTTTATGTAATGATACCAAGGAAGTAAAAATAATAATAATTATGTGAACCTGGGAAGAAATAGAAATTCTTATGCACAGTTGTGAGACTAAAAGGAATGCTTCATTAATGTTGGCTGGTTGTCTGAAACTCCATTTTCATTTCACTAATAACTTAAGGAATGTACTGACGCTAATAACGTCTTGCAGCCCTGTTCTTTTCAAAGGTGCCAAAATATTAGTGCTTAAGTACACTGATGGTGTGCTAAAGGCAGAATATTCACCTCCCTTTATTCCAAGGATTCATGAGAAGATAGCCTAAGAGTTCTGTCCACATGATGAAACTATTTAACCAAAGCAAGCATTGCCCTTCATCCACGATCTCATTATCAAGAGACTGATGTTAAAAATATAAATATTTAAAAGAAAAAGAGAAGAGGGAGTGTGAAGATTGAGAAAATAAAAAGAAAGTAAAATAGATGGCAGAATGTACATTTGTTTTTTAATAAAATATATATGGATTAGAATAAATTTTAGATGCATATGCAGAAAACTCAAAATAACTTGATTTATACCAAAGTCAAGAGCTTATTTCTCTCTCATGTTAAAGTTTGGAGCTATGCAGATTAGGGCCAATATGCCAGTTTTTTCCCACTACGTTCTCAAAGACCCTGGCTGCTTCCTGAATATGCTTTCTCTAGTGCATGTCTTTCACACTTATGTTCCAAGACAGTATCTATGTTTCAGGCAGCAAGGAAAAAGTTCATTAGTAAAAAGGGGCAAAGGGGCAAAAAGTACCCACCAATGTCTTTTAGTGATGGTTTCTGAAAGTTGCCACACATTTCTGAGCATACTCCATTGACCAAAACCTAGTAACATAGCCACGTTGCAATGCAAAGGAAACAGGAAAGTGTAGTCTATTTTGGAAGGCCATGTACTCTACTAAATATCCAAGAACCTGGCCAGGAGTAGTGGGTCACACCTGTAATTCCAACAGTTTGAGGGGCCGAGGTGGGCAGATCACCTCAGGTCAGGGGTTCGAGACCAGCCTGGCCAACATGGCGAAACCCTGTCTCTACTAAAAATAATTTTAAAAAAATTAGCCAGGCATGGTGGCACGCTACTGTAATCCCAGCTACTTGGGAGGCTGAGGCAGGAGAATCACTTGAGTCTTAAGAGGTGAAGGTTGCAGTGAGTCGAGATCCCACCACTGCACTCCGGCCTGCACGATGGAGTTAGACTCCGTCTCAAAAAACAAACAAACAAAACAAACAAACAAAAATTCCAAGAATCTATGTTAATGGAAATAATCATTTAAAAAATAGAGTAGGACAACACATTTCTGCACTCCATGATTTCATCCCACTCCAAAAAGGCAATTACTTTTGATTTTTTTCTATTTAATTATTCAAAAAGTTATATATATAACTAAAATATTTGTTAATTCCTTTATTTTTTGATTTATCAATAATATACTCTTCTCTGACTGCCATTATAAATTATATTATTAGTATAGTTTATCTGGTGTGGCCGAAAGCCCCCAGATAAACAAAGATGCTCTTATCAGGCATGATATTCCAAGGAATAAAAGATTTCCTCCCAGGAGCTGAAGGCAAAGGGCCAAACTTATCTTTGGGCAAGGTTAATCCTTTCTGCACACAACTCGTAATGTGACTAGGCAGGTTACTCAACTCTTTAAAGAATGGTTCTTTAGTTCCACCTGGGAGCAAACAGTACAATTGTATATGCAGGAATAAACAGGCATTATGACCATTCAGTCTCTGCTCCCCTTCCTGCTTTTACTTTCTTTAATTTTCTTATGTGAGTGTGGTTCTGCAGGTTCCACCTGAGCATTCCTTTAGCATACACTGCACTGATTCTATTTCTGTTCAGTTTTCCTATCAATATGATGCTATATAACTTCAATATTTCAATGCTTCACCTTCCATACTTAGAGTACAGATAAGCGCATCACCTTAATCTACCCCTCTAATGATCCTTCTTCCCTCTCTGCACTTTTATGAATGTATTCCTTTTTTACCTTCCTTACCATCATTTTAATTGGATTTTGGTAGGATATGAGATAAATACAACATATGAGATAAATACTCAGAGTTCAGTTCACTGTACCAAACTGTGAGCTCACACATAAATTTCAACTCACTAACTTTGGAAGAGATTTTTAAAAGTAATCTCTACCAAAACATTCAATTGGTTGGAAGTGAATTTCTGACTCTTTGGGAGGGGTGAACTGTTGTGCAAATGAAAGCCTATATGAAGTCATATCACAGAGTCCTACTAAAATCTTCCAGGTTCTGATAAATCATCATGGTGGAAATGAGGTTGTTTAGCATATCAAAAATGGTTGCAAATTCTTTGACATGCCTTGCATTGAGAGATGGAAATCTATGTCCTCTTTCCTTGAATCTTGGCATATTTTCACCAGAAAATATTGTAGAATTATACTTGTGGTGGTTTCCTTGTCCAAGCCTTAATAGACTGTCCACTTCCCCATCCTTCTCATGAAAATGTTTGCTCTGGGAAAGTAAGCCACTATGCAAGGATTGCCCTAAGATTATCATGCTGTGAGGAAGCTCAAGCTAGCCATGGGGGAGGCTGCATGAGAAAAAGAGGAGAGACGGCCATTCAATTCCAGCTATTCCAACCATCCTAGCCTACATGCAAGGCTGTCAGTGAAGAAGCCGTCTTAGACATTTTATCTTAAGCAGATGCAACACAGAAAAAACCAAAGAAACTGGTCGACAGCCAGAACTGAAGCCCCAGATACATGACCATAGTTAAATTGCCCAATCAACTTCCACTCATTTAAGTTATCTCAGCTGAGGTCCCAGTCACAGTGGAGTAGAGACAAGATACCTTCTCTGTGTCACTCTCAATTTTCTGACCAACAACATTGTGAGCATAATAAAATATTTACCTTTTTACTCGAAAAGTTTGGGGTGGAGTGTTATGCAGCAGGAGATAACTAACTAGCACAGGTTTTATAAGCCAGGATTTTTTTATTTTGATAAGCACCTTGACTACGCTATTAGTGATAGAAAGTTAAATATGTTTATCTTTTTTCCTGTGTCTCTGGAGAAAAAAGTATTGGAGCTTGACTCTAAGGAAGGCATTTTCTAAATGTAGGTCTTTATTGCCTTTTATCCACTGAAGCTTATTATATTTGTAGTCCAATAGATAGTTTATTTTCTAAGATTTATATTTAATCAATCAATGGATTAGGATATTACTTCATTTATAACATGTTAAATGATGCATAAATGTAATATAATACAAATGAAATGTGATAAACTGTAGAAATATAAAAACAAATTTGATTCAATATGTTCGCAGTTTCTTTTGCCCTCTGTCAGTGTGATTGCTTTTGCATAATCCATGTCTCTAATTATCCCTTCCCCTGCTTTGCATATAAATAGCTAATTAGATAGTGTCCCTGTCAGCTCTGAAGTATATAATATCCAAAGACACACTCCTTTAGAAATTTAATTTGGGGTGACAGATTGTACTAACCAATTGAAAAACCTCAAGATTCGTGTTTGGCGAATAATTTGATGTTTTAATTTGAAGTCAGAAATGTCACATGTGAATCAAAATAACAGTCCAAGTAATTTACTTATTTTGAAAAATTCCACTTTTTGCAAAGATTTTTCATGTCTTCTTCTTGCTTTATATCAACTCAATGGGTGGCAATGAAAACAATGAGAATGAAGGCTAAAATTTATTTTCTTTAAGAAAATATAATTTAAGAAAGTGAATGGGTGGGGGTGGGGGAAAGAATAACTATGTCCTACTTATCAGGTGTAAGAACCAGCAGGCCTGTTTTCTAGTAATTGAATAAATACTCATAATATGTGACGCTTTCACTAAATGCTGTTTGTTTACAGGCACAATTTCATCCAAGCATTATTGCTTTAAGAAATAGCTGCTGAACATGATTGGTGTAATCTGTGCTAAGGGTAGAGGAGAATGTCAGACTATCAGTGAATTCTGTTCAGGAGCACAGCCATGGGAAAGCATCAAGAATTCTAAAACTGAAAATGCATACTGTATTAGTTCATTTTTCTGCTGCTTATAACAGAGTACCTGAAACTGGGTAATTTACAAATAAAAGAAATTTATTTCTTACAGTTATGAAGGCCGAGAGGTTTCACGTTGAGAACCCATATCTAGTGAGAATTTTCTTTCTGGTGGGGACTCTCTGAAGAGTCCTGAGGAGGTGCAGGATGTCACATGATGAGGGGACTGAGTGTGCTAATGTACTTGTTCAGGTATCTTGTCTTCTTATAAAGCCACCAGTTCCACTCACATGATAACCCATTAATCCATTAACCCATCAATCCATTCATCCATAAATGGATTAGTCCATTTATAAGGTCTCTGCCCTATGACCCAGTTACCTTTTAATAGCCTTACCTTTCAATACTGCCATATTAAGGGTTGTTTCCAACATGTGAAATTTGGGGGGCATATTCAAACCATAGCACACACTGCCTTTCCTTGAGGAAAGGACTAGAGTCAGTTTCTAAAAGTGTACAAGCTCGAAAACTAGCTAGATCTTGTTCATATCCAGGGATACTATTTGCTGAAAATATCAGAAGCTTACTTTGGTTTATTTAAAAAATAGAAGGCTGCAAATATGAGAAGCTTTTTTGATTTATTTAAAAATAAGAGGATTTCACTTTGGGAGGCTGAGGTGGGCAGATCACCTGAGGTCAGGAGTTTGGGACCAGCCTGGCCGGCATAGTGAAACCCTGTCTCCAATAAAAATACAAAATTAGTTGAATGTGGTGGCAGGCACCTGTTATCCCAGCTACTTAGGAGGCTGAGGCAGGAGAATTGCTTGAACCCGGGAGACGGAGGTTGCAGTGAGCCGAGATTGCGCCATTGCTCTCCAGTGTGGGCAAGGAGCAAAACTCCGTCTCCAAAACAACAACAACAACAGCAACAAAAGAGGGTCGGGCATGGTGGCTCATGCCTGTAATTCCAGCACTTTGAGAGGCTGAGGCAGGCAGATTGCCTGAGCTCAAGAGTTCGCTACCAGCTTGGGCAACACGGGGAAACCCCCTCTCTACTAAAATACAAAAAAAAAAAAAAAAAAAAAAAAAAAAAAATTAGGCGGGCGTGGTAGCATGCACCTGTAGTCCCGGCTACTCAGGAGGCTTAGGCAGGAGAATTGTTTGAGCCAGGGAGGCAGAGGTTGCGGTGAGGCAAGAGCGCATCATTGCACTCCAGCCTGGGCGACAGAGCAAGACTCCAACTCAAAAAAAAAAAAAAAAAAGGATTTATGAGAAGAGTTGCAGGAAGTATTCCTATTAGAAGTTTGATGAATGACTCTTAAGTAGAAACCAAGGGAGGCCACATGCAGCCGAACTCAAAAGGTTTGCTCAAGAAACCACTGTGAGAAACTGTCACTCTTGCTAGCCCTCTATGAAGACTGACTACCCTGAACACTCATTGCTGATATGAACAGGAGACAGGGAAATACTGTACTGAAAGGGGTGGTTCCCCGTCAAAGGCCCCACCCTCAACCCTGGATACTGATGGCCCTAAATAAGAACAGGCATTTCTGTTTTGACACCCAAAAAGTTGTCTTTTGGCCTGCTGCATACCCTATCCTGCCTCCATATAAGCCCCAAACCCTAGGCTCCAGAAGAGACCAGCAGACCAGTGATGGTAGAACAATGCAGTGGAAAAGAGAGAAGAGCGGGGACATCTGGAGGCTGAGGGGAGTTCAGCTGGGGACGGTTGGAAAAGAGGCCACTGGGCAGCCCGATTCCAGGGGAAGACAACCTTCCTACTCCATTCCCTCCTCTGGCTCCCCATCAATCTCACTGAGAGCCACCTCCACCACTCAGTAAAACCTTGCACTCATCCTTCGAGCCCACGTGTGATCCGATTCTTACAGGATACTGGGCAAAAGCTCGGGATACATAAGACTATGACACTGGCCCTCTGCCCTTGTGATAAGGCAGAGAGTCCATTGAGTTGATTAACACACAAGACATCTGTAGACAGCAAAGCTGAAAGAGCTTGGTAACACTGGGGTTGCAGACAACCACTCCTAGACGCTGCCATGGGGCTGGTGCCCCAAAGTGCTAGCCCTGGTTCCTGCATCTGCCCATCTGCGTGTTGCCCCTCCTGTAAAGGGTTTGGGCTTGCAGTGGCCAAACAGCCACTTCCCTGTTGCATGTCCTGCGAGGGGGGCCAGGGAACTCTCCCATTTCATTGCCACATTCTTAATTTGGTGGATGAATTCCATGTGACCCTGAGCATTTGCATCACTACTCCAATATTCAACTTGAGAGTGCTTAAACGGCCGCACTTAGATTACTTGATCAAATTCTAAGTTCCTCCATCTTCAGACTCCCTAATACAAGTTAAGCAGTCAGAGCCATTAGAAATCAACTCCTTCAAAAGAGCTCAAGCAGGGGTCCTGGTCATTCAAATTTAATGAAACTCATCCCCTACTTGGTTAGGAGCAAGCCCCAAAAACAGATCTCAGCCCCCTGCCACCTGCACCTTCCATGGATTGGGATTAAAAAAAATTTACTGTCTTTTCCCAGGGGAATTCAGTTTCATCATCTTGGTAATGGAGAATGCCAAGCTCCAGGTAAATTTTGTTCATCCCATACAGGCACTGAGATTAACATCTCATTCTCTTAGACACTGAACCAGCATTGATAAGGTCAGAGAGCTCCAGAACCATCATTTGCCATCTCCCTACAGACTTAACCTCTTTAACACAATCTTCCTTGAGAAAACCAAAATCATCTCATTTTGCCCTTTCCTCCCTTATTGTCATTTTATATCAGTTCTCACAACCTCAGCCACTTTTCATTTTTAAAATTCTAACCTGTATATAGTCTGAAAATTTCCTCTTCTATCCTCCACTCACTCTCAACTCTTGAATCCTTTTTCACTGGGACCAATGTAATTCACTGTTCATCACCAGTGAAATCCTCTATGTCTTCAAACTCTGTCATGATTTTATTTTCTCTTTCTTGCTGTAACCTGAACCTGGATCTCTCTTGGGGTATGGCATTCCCCAACTTCTCTTAAGTGGTGGTTATTTCTATCTCTATATCTTTTACCATTAAGCACATCCTTCATATTTCCAGATCCTTCTTCCTTCCTCTTCCTTAAAATTTTAGCTTAAAATCTCATGCCCTTTAGACTATATTATCTATTATCTATAATTAATGGTGTAATTTACCTACCCTATCTACCCCCATTTCTCCACATTTTAGTTCCTTCTGAGCAGTTTGCCTCTCTTATTTCTTATTGTCTTCAATATATACATACATGATATTTGCAATTCTGATACCTGCCTGTTACTTGATCTCTTATTTTATGATCATCTTGTCAACTGCTCTACTTAAATCACTACTCTATGGCCACACCCTGGACTTGTTATTACCCATAATTGAAACCTGGACATAATTTCAATTTTGTGCACAACCTCACTTTTCAGCTCACTCCTCTATGACCACAATTTCAACAATTCCACCACTCAAATTAGACCTCCCATCCATTTGTCTTACCACCTCTTCTCTGTTCTTCAATGTACCACTGGATGTCCTTTTTTTCCTCTTTATCCAAATTCAATTCCATGGCCAATCATTTTATTTATTCCCTTGAATATATTCTTTATTCCATTGTTCTTCTTTCAATTTGGAAACTTACTTGACAAAATCACAACTCTGGTAAATCCAACCTTTTGCCAGCTTTGCATCTGTACCAATGCAAATAATTATGGTTGCATAGAAATATGGAATCATGTTGATAGGTCTCATTTAAAATTTATGACTACAAGTGCCAGATAAGCTCTTAAAGTTGCTACACAAATCATAGAATATCTCCCTGGTTCATTCACTTCCTAGTTTCTTATAAGTCCATTCACACTTTGTTCTTCCTTCTCAAACCTCTGACATCAGCTCCACCAGCCTTATCATCAGATGATTATCTTTTTTACTGAGGTGAGTAAAAAAAAAAAAAAAAAAGAAAATAACTTCCATAGACTTCTACCATCATTATCTACCTACTTATTGGCATCTATGCCCACATATCCATCCCTTTTACTTTTTAGTATGGATTAACTATTCACACACTTATCCAAAGCTAATTCCCTGAGTTGGGCAATGAATTTCATTTCCTCTTAACTGCTTAATAAATTCTTAAGGAATTTCTACTCCAGCAATTTTTCACTTTGTCTCCCCTGCATCATCAAATTTCCCCCTTGTACTGGATCATTCACTCCAGCCTACAAACATGCTGTTATTTCTTGCATCTTAATCAAACAAATAAAAAACACCTTTAAAAGTTACACCTCCCCCACTATGCACACTGCCCTTTTCAGAGATTGACATTGCAGCCAAACTCCTCAAAAGAGACCTCTCTGCTCTCAAGTTCCAGTTCATCTCCCCTCACTACATATTAGCTGGTAAACTACTCGGAGAGTTTTAGCTCACCTACTAAACCAAAATGCCTTAAAGGTCATGAAGAACTTGATTGTGCTAAATCCAGTGATATATTCTTAGTATTTGTTATATTTGATCTTGCTAAACATCTTTTATTACAGTTGATTACATTTTCCTTCTTAAGCTATTAGCTTCTCCTGGCTCTGAGACGTCACCTCTGTTTTCTTTCCTCCTTACTGATTACTCCTTCTTGGCCTTCTTTGGTGAGTCTTTCTCATTTTCTCATCCTCTTAGATGTATTAATGTTGTGATAATTCAAGGCTCTCTCTCTAACCCTCTTCTCTTCTTTATCTACACACTCTTCCTTGAGTCTACCAGTTTCATGTCTTTAAATTCCATTCTCATGTTCCAACCCAGCCCAACCCAGCCCAACCCAGCCCAGGTCTCTCTTCTGACTTCAAAAGTTTTAAATCCAACTCTTTATTTGGCATATCTATTTGGATGTCTAATAATCATCTTTAACTACTGTTGATCTTTCCTGAAAATCCTCCTCTATCCACTGACTTGTCTTTTTGGCTGATTATTCTCAGGCCCGAACCCTTGAAGTTAATCTTAACTCTCCTCTTATACTCAAATCCATCAGAAATTTCTGTTGGCATGACCTTTAAAAAATAATGAGAAACTGTTAGCTTCTGGTCATCTTCACTGTAACTTCTTGCCTAGAAACACATTCTCATTTAGAGTGCCATAGGCGCCCCTTAATACAGCAGCCAGAGTAATTGTTTTAAAACATGTCACATCTGTAATTCCTCTCCTGAAAAAGCTTAGTGGTGTTACATCTGGCTGAGCATAAAAAACAGATACATATAATGGCTTCTAATTTCCCATGGCTTATACCTGGCACATCTATACTACTCCCTTAGTCACTTCTACTTAAGGCCATGGAACTGGCTCTTTCCTGTGTCTGAATTGCTCTTCCCCTGGAGAGCAGCATCTCCTTCCCTCCTGTGTTTAAGTGTGACTTCTGAGGATTGACAGCTTTATGTAAAATTTCACCCACCCTCCCTTCTACCCCCACTTCCATCCCTGTCCTGAAACTTCTAATCCATTTTTTCTCCCTTGATTCTGTCACCTTTTAACATAATGTTAATTAACGTGCTATATTTAGAGTTTAAAGTCTTTTCCTTTGGTATAATGCAAGCCTCTAAGGGCAAAGATTTCTATCCTTTCCTTTTATTTTTTACATAGTCAATAGTCAATAAATGTGGTTGAATAAATGAATAACAGTCCAAACCTATTCTGATTTTTTTTCCCACGATATTTTATGGTCATTTGAGTGACTTTGGCTAGATAATTAATCTATAATTTAATTTTTAATATTTTAAAATATGGCTTTAACTCTATTTCCTCCAATAGATAACTATCACATCCACATTTATGGAATAATTTAGCTTTCTACACCAAATGCCAAATTCATCACATCCTTATGTGAATAAATGTGATAGATCTTTTTCAGGATTCTATATTTTTCTTTATTTATTTATCAACTAGTATACCTTACATGAACTGTAGTAGTAATAACTGTGGTGTCAGAGTATTTGTCCTGTCTGGGAGGACAAATGTCTGTTTGTTGTATAATTGACAATTCTTGCACATTTAATGTTTTAGACAAACTTTAAGTCAGCTTAAAGAGTTTCTTAAAAACCACATTGGACTTTTCTTTGAAATTGAATTATTTACATTCATAGATTTTGGAGAAATCATCATTCATTTTTCATTAATTCACTAAGCATATCATTTTTGATTGACATCTATATGTCAGAATTGAATTACATATAGAATTTAAAATTTTCTAAAAGTCAACTGAAAAAAGAGAAACAGGTAAAATTAATTTTAACAATATCTTATTTAGCTAAATATGATTAAAATATTAATCATTTCAACATGTAATCAATATAAAAACTAATGCCACAAGGCACTGAAGTAGACAGTGGGGTATGATGGTTGGAGAAAGCAGACAGAATATTGTCCTTCTGTACCTCATGTCTTCTTTATGGTACTGAAACGTCAGATTCTCAGCATTGTAAAATATCTCCTTATTTACACAATTCTTCTTTTAAGCTCTATAAAATTAATAAATTCTCAGATAACTCTAGCACATTTTTTTATTTATTCCTAGAGTTCTGTCTTTGTTGTCTTTAACAGTTGATGTACCAGTAGGTGGTGTTAATTTTTTAAGATTTATTTTCTACTTGATTATTGCAATATAAAATGAATAAAATAAATATAAAATCAGTTATTTTACTTTTTTTGTACTCAATCACCTTATTACATTCTTTATATTTTTAATCGCTGTTTAGCTATCTGGAAATTCATAGAAAAAAATCATATCACTTACAAATGTGAGATAAATCTTTTCCCTGCTAATATTTTTTTATAGTGGTTTGGTTGAAAATGTTACAAAATGTTTTGATGTTTGTTGTAGAATTCCGATAGTTATCTTTTATTAAGATGAGAAATTTCGTATCTCTTTCTAGACTGCTAACTTTTTATAAAAAAACAGAAAAATGTGTATCTAAGAACACACATTTTAAAAGCTAATTTTAAAGCTAAGCTCCATGCTTATGACTGTGAGTGTTCTACTTGTGGCTTCAGCTGTAGGATGTTGAGGCTGGAAATTTCCCATTTTGCTGCAGAATCTTCAAGTGCCAATATGCTAAGTTCCCCCATCCTCCCCGGGGATTATTCAACTGGGGAGATAGAAAAGCAATAATTGATCAGCATCTTGGGGTATAAATGCCCAGTTGCTGGCATTCTGTGTATCTTAGGGAATTAAGATCTAAGACTTTAACTTAAATCTCTGGTTTTCAGATTTTCTTAGAGCCTTGAGTCTTTGCTCAGTTTCTCCTGAAGAAACACCTTTGATTTTGTACCTAAAAAGAGAGCCAGGGTGGTAGCTGGCTGAGGTGAGGAGGGTTAGCCTGTGTTGTATACTGACTTCTAAGTGAATCCTCCTGATTTCAGCCTGTCAGCTAATTTCGGCCTTCTCCTATATCAAATTTCTGAATTCTAAAATAGAAGATTTTGCCAGGCTACTATGATAAATTCTTTTCTTTCCATATTCTGTACAGCATGCCCTGCAGCGGGGGTCCCCACACCCCTATCCATGGCCTGTTATGGACTGGACTGCACAGCAGGAGGTGACTGGCTGGCAAGTGGCAAGTGAGCAAAGCTTCATTTGTATTTACAGCCACTGCCCATCACTCACAGTACCACCTGAGCTTCGCCTCCTGTCAGATAAGTGGCGGCATTACATTCTCATAGGAGCACGAGCCCTGTTGTGAACTGCACATGCAAGGGATCTAGGTTATGTGCTCTTTATGAGAATCTAATGCCTGATGATCTGTCACTGTTTCTCATTACCCCCAGATGGGACTGTCTAGTTGCAGGGTGGCAGGGAAAAGAGTTCAGGGCTCCCACTGATTCTACATTATTGTGAGTTGTGTAATTATTTCATTATATATTATAGTGCAATAATAGAAATAAAGTACACAATAAATGTAATATGCTTGAATCATCCTGAAACCATCTGCTCCATCACTCCAGTCCGTGGAAAAATTGTCTTCCATGTAACTGGCCTCTGGTGCCAAAAAGGTTGGGACCATGTCTCCGTAGTCTATGGCTTCCTCTGCCATTGTAAATCAGTTCCTGTTTCTCTACTTGCTTTTAGTCATTAAAAATTTTGGTTAAAATCTTCAAATCTACAAAAATGTAGATATCCTTTTCCCCATTTCTTGTGTGCTGATGCTTTTGTATTTATTTATCATAATTCTAGTGAGGTCTCCGGAAAAATGGAGAAATGAGTGATAAAACATGTTCAGTCAATCTGCTATTTAAAACTGAAGAGTCTTCCATTTTATGAACTTCATAAATGAGTTATCCATATAGTTTGGAGTTAATTATGTATTTTACTATTTATATGTTCTTCTTCATTCTCTTTTCTTCGATTCAGTTTTTTGTTTTGCTGGAGAGCATACTTTAATAATTAATCAAGGGGAAGGAATTAGTTTTCAGCTGCCTGATTCCTTGAATTTATGAAAATGTATTTCTTTTGCATTCATAATTGAACATAATTTAGATGAGTCTAAAATATTTTCCATAAGCCCTTTATAGGCATGATTTAATGTTTTCTGTAATACTGGAAATATTTATTATTTTCTTACTCTGTCTGTTAGTTTATGGAATTTTCCATTTGTTCCTGGGCATTAACAAATTTCATCACAATGTCTCTAGGTGTTTTTTTTTTCAATTATAATTTTAGTACTCATTGGCCCTTTTCACATAAAGACTCAAAACTGTTCAGATTAGTAATTTTAAAAATTATTTTTCCAGTTATTTATTTGGTGGGAAATAAATATTCATTGACTTCTTACATGTATTCTTCACATCTCTTAACTTTATATATAATATCTATATGTAATTTTCTAATACATATATACACATACATATATACAAAATTACATATATACAAAATTACATATACATATATACATATTTATATGCCTATGTATTAATATATAGATTATATATGTATATACATATATACACATATATATACCCATATATGCATATACATATATACACATATATACATATATACACATATATGTATATACATATATACACATATATACATATATACACATATATACATATGCATATATATACATATATAATATATACACATGCGTATATATACATATATAATATATACACATATGTGTATATATACATATATAATATATACACATATGTGTATATATACATATATAATATATACACATATGTGTATATATACACATGTATATATACACACGTGCATATATACACATGTAATATATACACACGTGTATATATACACATGTAATATATACACACGTGTATATATACACATGTAATATATACACACGTGTATATATACACATGTAATATATACACACGTGTATATATACACATGTAATATATACACACGTGTATATATACACATGTAATATATACACACGTGTATATATACACATGTAATATATACACGCGTGTATATATACACATGTAATATATACACGCGTGTATATATTACATATGTATATATACACGCGTGTATATATTACATATGTATATATACACACGTGTATATATACATATGTAATATATACACACGTGTATATATCATATGTAATGTATACACACGTGTATATATACATATGTAATATATACACACGTGTATATGTACATATGTAATTTATACACACGTGCATATATACATATATAATATATACACACGTGTGTATATACATATATTGTATATACACACGTGTATATATACATATATTGTATATACATACGTGTGTATAATGTATATATACATATATTATATATACCTGTGTATGTATATATAATATATATACCTATGTGTATGTGTATATGTATACATATATACATTAATATATAATGTGTATGTATATAATTAATGTATATCTATTTATATATGTATATATGTAGTTTTTTCTGCTTTTTTCTTTTGCCTGTGTTTTGAGGAAATTATCTGTCTTAATCTTCTGGTTCTTTAACTTAATTTTCAGCTACAGTCGTTCTACCATTTGACCTTGAGTCAAGTTTCCACCTGCCTGCTCTCTTTTTTTCCATCTACCCATATGACTTATCTGCTGCTTCAGAACAAATTGCTCCAAAACCTGATATCTTAAAAAAGAAAACAATTATCTCATAGTTTCTGTGTTTCTGGAATACAGGCATGGCTTCACTTGCTTCCTCTGCCTTAAATTATCCCGCAAGACTGCAGTCAAGATGTGGCCAGGGCTGAAGTCTTATTTAAAGGCTCAATTGAAGGAGTATCTACTTTCAAGCTCACTCATGTGATTGTTAGCAAGGTTCAGTTTTTCATGGGCTGTTGGAGAGAGATCCTCAGTTTTTCACTAACTATTGGCTGGAGGACTCCATCAGCTTTTTGCGATGTGTGCTTCTTCGTAGGGCAACTCACAACATGGCAGCTGACTTTCCTCATAGTAAGCAAGTAATACAGCAAAAGAAGTACCACATGCTGGAAACCGCAGTCTCTCTGTAACCTAGCCTTGCAAGTGTTATCTATCATGTTTGCTATATCCATTTATTAGAATTGCTAAATCCAAACAATACTCAAAGGTAAGAAATTACATAAAGGCATAACTACCAGGAGGGGGGAATCATTGGGAGACATCTTAAAGGTTCCCTACCATACACCCCCTCCCCATTATGTTCATTTTAACAGCAAAAGATTCTGATTGGTCTTTAAATAGTGATCAGTTAATTTTTAATAAATGTGAAATCATTCTGAATTTCTCAGAGGATGCTATTTATAATTAATTTGAGCACGTCTTCTGATTCTTGCAATAACTGTTTTGTTCAGTGGTCAGTTCTGATTGTTTAATATGACTGCTTAGTGATTATGGCATAGTTTTTCACATTTATAAATAAGACTAGTTCGGTCGGCATTGCGTGTACCCAACAAGAGAAAAATCTATATTGTGCTGGTAGAGAATACAAATACTGATTTTAAGATTCTGCTAGTATGGTCATGCAGAGAAGGGCGGGACAAAGAAGGAGCCTGGCAGGTCCACACAGCATCTGTCTCCTGAGTGCAGTCGAAAGTTATTTGAGAAACTCCTCTTTTTCTCTCTAGAATCAAAGCTCATGCTGGGTGTTTTCTGCCATTAAATAGAGAAGACTATCTGAGATTTAACCTGAGGGCAGCTTCTCAGAGAGGAGCCTCCTGCAGCTGTTCCTGTGGTCTTTAATTAATTACATGGCACCTGCCTGATGGCTCACTGAATTTTTTCAATCCGACTGGCTTTGATTTGAGGTTAGGCCGTGGCTTTTTCAGGAAAAACTTTCTTCTTTAGTTTCTCTCTCTTTCCTGTAGAGATTCTCAGGCTGCACTGTCTATTGAGTTTTCTGGTGAAGTCAATATATTTCCTTTTGTTATCTAGAATTTCTTTAACTCTTTGTCTCTTAGTGAAACCATTTCTGGTTTTCTAGTGACCAAGATGGTGTTAATTCCCCTCAGCTTTACTAAACTTTAGACAGGCTTCTTCCTGACTCTGGATCCCTGACCTCCCTTTTCTTAGAGCCTCTACTTCAGAAAACTTAAAATTGCATTTTTTTTTTCTCTGCTTAGTTAAGATATGAATTTTCCTTGAACCTCTAGTTACTCTTAAAACCCAGGAATGTCTTGCTCAAGGCCCTGAGAGCCACTTCCTAGAAACATAATCACGGAAGGAAGGAAATAGTGCTCTTATATCCCAATCTCTGTGAGAAGCCGGGAGCCTAATTTCAATAATTAGTTAGCAAATACTGATGTCCTAATCATACTCACTAATCTCTTGGATGTCTTGGAGTACCCTTTCCACTAGCTTAGCACAGCATTTAAAAACTCCTATTTTTTCTTTAAGCACAATTGAATTCAGTCTATCTCCCCTATTGCAATAGTCTTAAATAAAATCTTCCCCATTTAACTCCATCCTGTGTAATTTTTCTTTGACATCAGAGCTGCTCTAAATTTATACCTATTTTTAGAGTTTGTTCTATCATTTCAATGAAATGTTGTGTGAGCCAGAGGTAAGTGTGCGTAGTGAGACTTCTGGAATTGGCAGTGCTAATTCAATTATTATATTTTAAAAATTCATTTGTCACTGATTAATAAATTGCTAATGTTTCCATTTTATATAGCTCCTGGATCCTCTCAATGTTCTTCTTTAATTACAGCACTTTATTTTTTTCAGAGCAAGTTTATAGTAATATATTATTTTTATAATAAGGTATATATTTTGTAAAATATTTTTCAGTTTAACTTCAGAATTTAGAAAATCAACTCATAAAATTTAGGATATCTAAAATTACATGTTACATCATATACTTCTCTATGAGTCTAAGCTTTCTATCAAAGATATCTGAATATAACACAGATAAAAATTATAGAGGTGTGGAGACTTCTGCTTAAAATTTTATCATAATACTCCAGGTCTTTATGCCAATTTGAAATTTTATCCTCTGAATTTAGTGGTGTCAGGCCTGTTTTTAATTTGGTACTATTATACATTTGGCTTAACCCCTCTAGCCCATATCTTGTATGAGCTCAAATATTCTTGCCTAAATATTTTCTAGTTCCTGTGGATTTCTCATGAGAACTTTAGTTCTGGCTTTCAGTTTATTTGCATTTTACTCCCCAAATGATGCTCTTCCTCAACTACCCACTAACCCAGATGTAGAAATCACTTTCTCTTGGTTATCTCTCGATCCCCATGCCCACAAACCACATGCACCTGATATTTGTGTGTATAGGAAACATCCTTAAGGAGTTTTGGTTTTACATTAAAGCAAAACAAATAATCTAAACCTTATTGTTAGACATGTATTTCCATAAAAGTCTACAAACTTCTCAAAAGCAAGAATGTTTCATAAGATATCTGTTTATTATATACTCCAAGTTTCTATTAGTGTGCTTCTCTCTGCTCTGTCTCTCGATGTCCTTCATATAATTTTTGTTTTTCTAGGTTTTGCATTCCTTCTACTCAGGGTCCTCTTCAACCTCTTTTCCAAAGAAATTTAGCTCTCAATTCATTGTGCAGTTCTAGAACCAATTTTATATAGCCAAGACTCTTTATTGGCTCAAAGTCTTACTCTAGTTGGTACAAACTGATTAATTTTTTTTTAAATTCTGGTTTTCAGTTCTACTTTTGAAAATTAGTAGCTATGATCAGTTTGAATTATAAACGTTATTTTGCTATGTTACAGTTGAAATTGTCTAAACATTCTTATAAGGTCATTTTTAAAATGCCTATAACTAAAGGCCAGAGAATATTTCAGCTTTAATTTTCCCACTAATTATTCTGTTGCAGAATATGGTATGTTGTCATAGGATCAGTGGAACAGAATAGTTCCCTAAATCTCCTTTTTTAAAATTATGAGCTTTCTTTGTTTTTACATGGATATGTCTACTTTGCTTGGCCAACTTATTTCCATATATTTTTCAAATGAAAACCTATATTAAATATATTTAGAAATTAATTTCTGTTGTCTTAACTAAAGGGAAAATAAATCATTACTTAAAAATACAAAAAAGTCTGTATCATTTGAAAAGCAAAAGACTAAAATTAATGAAGCATTTATTCTTAGGAACCTAGGAGGACAAATACAACAAAATAATTATAAGGAAAGGAAAAGATAAAGATAAAAACTGATAGTTATAAAACAGACAATATTCAGAAAAAGTAGAAGGGAAACAGAAGCAAGTGGAGATAAAACCTGAAACTAGTAAAAGAGAGAAAAGACAATACAATAGATTAATAGATAAATCTCGGAACTAGTTCTTTTGAAAAATATAATTAATACATGATGAATTATTTAATCAAGATAAAATATTGGAGGGAGTGGAGAAAGTACAGAGGCACAAAATAAGAAATAGGAAGGAGAATTTAAGTACAGATTGCAAAATGTAATTTTGCTCAATCCAAATTAATTGAAAACCTGCATGAAATGGATGATTTTCTAGAAAGAGGACAAATTATTTTATACTTCTGGAATTTGGAGAATTTTTCTCAGCAAGAAATAAACCTCAAAAGATGAAAAAAATAAATATTGATATACTTATCTATAAGATTTTGGCAATAGGAAAATAAGATAAAGAAATTTGAAAGACTAATAACCAATTGAAGTAAAAATCCTTGCTGACAATAGCAAAAACAAAAACAAATAAACAAAAAAGCTACTTTCTTTAATAGATGAAAAACTCATACAATCAATGAGAAAAAGAATATCAATCTAATAGAAAAATTGACAAAGAACACAAACTAGTAGTACACAGTACACACAGAATAAATGGTTAGAAAAAATAAAGTCAATGTCATTATGAAATAAATACATGCCATCCATTTTTTATCTATCAGATTGACAAAAAATTACTTGAGAGATTATATCTGGAGACAGTTTGGGAAACAAACTTTAGTGAAATATGCATGTAAATTCTCATCCTTCATTACAATTTGCAATATTTACCAAAATTGAAGACACATAGCCTTTAACCCAAGCAATGCTCCTTCTAATGAGCTAACTGATCTTCAAAGATACTGACACATTTGAGCACAATTACATGTACTAAGTAGTTCATGGTAGCAGTGATTTATGGAAAATGCAAATTGGTTTGTCTAATTCTTCTACATTTGTTGAAAAATATATCTACAAACACATATATGGTTGTATAAACATAATATTTCTGGAAGGACACAGAAAAATTGGCAGTACTAGGTGCCTCTACAGAGAGAGTTTGAGGGGGACTCACTGGGGGAAACAAGATTGAATTTTTACTATCATCCTTTTGGTTCTAAATGTTTTCTATTGGCAAACGTTGTTTTTACATAACAATCAATTAAAATGACAAAACCAAAATGAATGAGAATGTGAAATGCACAAGCATATTTTACAATGAAATCCTGTGAAGTGTTTAGCACTATTGACTAATGGTTCCTTAAAACATTAGCTAAGAGTTTGTTTTTCAGCACCTATTCCTGTGTCTACCAGCTCTATCAATAGAACTCCAATTAAACTCCTCTTAAGCTAATTTAGAGAGTCAAATACCTTGAGTGTTTTAAAAGAGAAACTTGATCATTGTTCATTTACTTTTATTACTTAGGGTTTATTTTACTTGAGTCATTTATTATTCCTGTGCAATGCACTAGGACTGAAAAGTCATTCTATTTTAAGTCACATTCAATTCATGTGGTCATGTTTGTTAACACAAATGAAATTTTAGGTCTGTTAGAATCTAACATGGGTATAATTTATGAAAATAATTTAGTTCACATAAAATTTTCTAAAGAGGGACAATTGGGGCTTGAATACTTGGCTTTACCTATTTGAGTACAAATGATGGTTATATCCCTGTGCCAGATTAATAATTTGAATATATTTGAGTTCTAAGTACACTCTGAATTGGTCTTAGGCAAAATTGTGAAGTATGGAGCTTGTCCTCATCACATTCTTATTTGAGTTTCACATTGTCACTTATGCATTTAGTGAATCTTATCAAACTGCCCTATTCTTCCAAATTCTATCCTCCCATGAAACCAAACTATCAGAAAATTGCTCATTTTTATCTTATTCTAGTAATAAGATCTAACATTTATTGAACACTTTAATACATGCCAAGGACTGCACTAGGCACTTTATCCACATAACTTTATTTAATCCCAACCAATTTTTCACTGCTGAGGGGAGTATACATTGGTATGGTCATTTTGGAAGCTTATATTAAAATAAGAATGTTTAGTTTATGTTGCATCAATTCTTTTCTTTAACTCTAGAAAAAATGCTTACATTTGCATATTAAGATATCTTCAAGGAAGTTCATTTCAATATAGTTTACTATAGTTAAAAATAAAAAACAGAATAGGTTCTTTTTAATTTGAATGTCCACAGGAAGCAATGTGGGGATGAAAATATTATAGGACAGCTTAAAAAATAATATTACCCTGTATGTACTAACCTGAATATAATTCCAGAAAATATGATGAATAATAAAACAAGTAAAAGAACATTATGTACAGTATAATAGTATCTATCTGAACACATGTAAGACAAAATGATCTATAAAATTAGTTATAATTGCATAGCAAAGTTCTGAAATAATATATTTTAAAAAATCAATAAAAGTAGTATCACTGAGATTATAAATACAACTGGGGATGGTGATCACAGGGAATTTTTATCTATGATGCTTGAATTTTTACAAAAATAATATATTTACATATTTTAAATTAAAAAAATTGTTTGAGAGCTGCTTTCCCTGACTTATGAAAGAGTCATAAAAGAAAGACTATTTTCTTTCAAATATTATTGCTGAAGATACATAATTTCCCCCTTTTGTCTTTGTTGCTTGAGACTCTACTGGTAAATTTAGTGCACAGTTACATTTTATTTGCAGGAGGAAGTGGCCCAGGGTATAAAGAGGAAGGAGCAACTCTAAAGCCAGTTTCTTTTTTACCTCTGGGATTATTTAATCTAGATAGCAAAACTGACAATAAGGTATGTTTATTATTCATTTTACAGATCAATCAACTGAAGTTATATAATTTGCCCAAGATTCCATTGCTTATTAGTGTGAATACATAACAACGAAACGTGGGTGTACAATAAAGCTTCTAGCCTGTGGATCATGCTTATTCTTCAGCAGAATTCATGGAAATTAGACAAACCTGCTACTTTTCTCTCTTCTTCAAACGTTCTTGCTGTTTATTGACCAAAATGACTATTTGGGGCACACACACACACACACACACACACACGAATTTGTGGAATTCTCTTCCCTTGAGTGTAAATGGGACCCGTGACTTACTTCTGATCAATAGAATGTGGCAAAAGTGAGGGGGATGCCACTCCTATGGCCACATTACCTAATATAAGAATCCATCTTGCTAGCAGGCTCAATGTAGAGATCCTTCTTTCTGGCCCGATGAGACGAGCCATGTTGAAAGTCTATGTGACAAGAAACTGTGGATGGCATCCAGGAGCCTGCAGCAGGCTCTGGTCAAAAGCCAGCAAAAAAAAAAAAAAAAAAAAAAACAAAACGAAAACAAAAAAACCTATAAACTCTTAATCCTATGGCTGTAAGAAAATACATTCTACTAACTGAATGATCTTGGAAGCAGATTCTTCCCCAAATAAGAATGTGGCCCAGCCAACACATTTTTGGCAGCCTTGGGAGACCCTAAGCAGAGAATCCAGCTAAGCCTGGTGTCCAGAAACTGTGAGATAATAAGAGTGTACTGTTTTAAGCCAGCGAATTTGTGGTAATTTATTATATAGCAATAGACAACTAATACAATCAATCCACCATAGATTACCATAAGTGAGATCCAAATCTCCTGAGAATTAGTCTTGGCAATTTGAAAGGGTAGAAGGAGGCAGAAACTAGCTCACTGGATAGCAAAGGGTGTAAGTAGAGCTGTCCCTAAGAGGATAACAAGTGTGGAAAGAGGATTTTGATTAAAGATTGCTGAAGATGAACTTTGCTCACTTCACAATTTTACCCAAGGCCCTGTAGTGAATACTGATTGGATGTCTTGATTCCAGTTTTGAATAGAAATAAAAGCCTCCAGGAAAGGAAGTGTTTGTGTGTGTGTATGTGTGTGTGTGTGTGTGTGTGTGTTTTCTGTGTAAGTATTAAATCTCTCCACCAGTTCAAGTCATATGAGTAAGGATTGGCAGCTGAAGGTTATAGAAGCATTTGCTTTTGAACTTGTTATCAAGATATTACAAATCACAGATACCATGAGATACCATGGCCCATTGGTCAAAAACTTTAATTATTTTCTGGTATCACACTGACCCTGATCATTTTATTCCATCCCTCCTAAGGTGATGTCTGTGCTTTGGCATAATTATTCTGCCACTGTGGATTTTCAGAACTGCTTCATTGAATCTCTTTCTCAGTGATGACAGGGAAATCATACTTCTCTTAAGCAGTCTCCTCTTTCATTACACAGTGCAATGCTACTGGCAAATTTTCCAGATCCTATTAAATGTCAGATAATCAACTTTCTCATCACATCAAGGATCTCAAAGTTTAAGCCTACTTGTCAGCCCTATTCCTTCAATTTTTAAGAAACGCAGAAATAATTACTCATGGATCCGGTATAAGAGAGGTTTCTGTATCAATTGTACTTAGTAAATACATGAAGTGGAGAATGAATAAGTCTTGCCTGTTAAAGTCTTCATCTGTCAGCCTAATGTAGTATGAGGTAGAAAGAACATGGAATTTGGGATAAGGTAGACCAGGAATTGAACTTGGTTCTGCCACTTGTTTTCTGTGTCTGTTCTCCTTCAGCATCAGTTTGCTTATTTGTAAATAATGATGACAATATCTACCTCAGATATTGTGCTTGAAGACTGGTGAAGGCAAGAATATTAACATTGTAGATGACTAGTCTTAATTCAAAAGAAGCCTTAGGGTCAAACAGAATTGGATTAAATGGCATTGAAGGGCACATGCTTGTTAAATCTCTATCTTTTTGCTTTCTGAATCCTAAGTTAGAAATTACATAAATGGTTACTTTTACTGAAGCTTTAATAGTCACTGTCCCCTCTGGCTTCTATCTAAAATCTTTTTGTGATCTGGAATAACTTCCTCCAAGTACTACATTTTTATTTATCTCAAAGAGGAGGCCTGACAGTATTTCCTGTTGGGTTGGAGCTTATAAGTCTGATAAAAAACCCGAAGGATAAAAAGTGCCTATTTATTTTGTCTTATATATAAATCTGTGCAACTTCAAATTTTTGATGTAAATGTTCTAGATGATGGGAGAACTCAAAGACTTAAAATATTATCATGGTGAGGAGTGATAAATCTGGAACAGCTTGAGGTTATAATTTAGTTGAAGCTGTTTTCAATCATAGAATGGAATGTCAAGAAAAAAAAGAAAGGAAAAAATAAAACCTGGGAAGGCAAATGTGACAAACGATCCTCCTGTCTCTTGTTGAAGGCTCTAGTTGTTCCACATAGAATGTGGAATGTTATAATGACTGGGATGCAGAAGCATGCATGGAATCAAGAAGACGGTAGATTAAATGTGTAAGGGCTGATTTACAAAATCTCTGTCAATTATGCTTCCCTTGCTCCCAGATCTATTATTTGCCCTTCCCTGTCCTTTGTGTGCACTACAGCCTATGTCTAAGCACTATGTCACCTGTTCTGTCAAATACAGTGCTTAATAAATACTAAACTTTTCCTTTCTTTGGTCTAGTTTTTCCACTGTTAAGAAATAGTATAATTTTTCCAAAAGTCAATAATCTCGTGAGATAAGAGTCTTAAAAACTTAAAAATGAGAACCCAAAATGTGTTCATAACTCAAATTTTTTCACTAGTTTCCACATCTACGGTGTCACACACATATTTCAGGTTGAGCAAATGCTTATTTTGTGAATGAATAAATAGCCTGTCATTTGAGCTTTAATGGGCTCTGCTGTGTTTTAATGAGAGGAGGATCCAACCAGCGTGTGTCTAGAAAAAAGTTAACAGGATGTAACTGACCATATCTGGAGCCATATGGCAAAGCAAAACATTTTCACATGAAAGCTTGCCAAGATGTGAATCGCCTTGCTACCATGTGAAGCTACATTCTAGCTTAAAAAAAAAAACTTTACGTCTTTCAGGTATATCAGTTAAATTATATTCATGATTCTTCAGATAATGAGAGATGATACTTTTATACAAATATAGACAGTGACTCAGACAAGCACATTTATACATACATTCATGGACCTATAAATACAATCAAATAAAGGCTAGAGAGAAACTGTTACAGTGAATCTTGGTGTTTACGACATCATTTCAATTGTGTTGACTGAGACTTGGGCAAAAAGAGAGAAAGACAAAGAGGACTTAATCACATAACACTGAGTAGTTGAAAAAAGTTGTTTCTCATTTGGGCCAGGTTTTTTCAAATATGTGTGACTTAACTCCCACGACAATCCTTAAAAATAAGCATTATTTTTTTCATTTCCAGATACAGTTCAGGGGTGTTAAATGATTTTGCCAAGGGCACACAGCATATATATACAGAATTTGTATCTGACTTGGTGCCCATGGCTTTAAACACAACACTTGTCTGTTTTCAGAACATTAAAATACCATGTATCTACAGCCATACTACTCAAACTAGGTTTGGGGGTTGTTCATTACCCTCCCTGTTCTCATAATACCTTTGAAAAGCAGTATTTGAGTTCACTCCTGCTGCTATAGCAAAATACTACAAACTGGCTAATTTATAGGTAATAGAAACTTATTTCTTACAGTTCTGGAGGTTGGGAAGTCCAAACAAGATCATGGTGCTAGCAGATTCAGTATCTGATGAGAGCCTGTCTCATCCTAATGGCATCTACTCACAGTGTCCTCACATGGCAGAAAGCAAGAGGGCAAAAGGGGAGAACAAGGAATGAACCATCTTCCTCAAGCCCTTTTATAAGAGCACCAATATTATCAATGAAGGCAGAGCCTAGTCATGGCCTAATCATCTCCCAAGGACCCTACCTCTTAATACCATCACCTTGAGGGGGTAGGTTCCAACATATAAATTTTGAAGGAATGCATACATTTGAGCCACAGCAGACAGTGATTAATCTATTTCATGGAGTCCTCATAATTCCTATAGTCTGGGAGGAAATGAATACAAGTCTAATGGGAATGAATAGGTTGAAAAAAACTGCCCAATGGGGCAACAGGATGAAACCAGTCTGTCTACAACACAATTATTCAATTTTATCACCAAAGATAATAGAAAGGGCAAAAGGACCTAGGTTCAAATTCTGGCTTATTGTCAGTTCTTCTGATCCAGAATGAGACTTCCCATGCCCTAGAATGAATATATATATATATTCATTCTAAAATAAATATATAAAATATATTAAAAAATATAGTTTTCTATAATATGTAATGTTACAGAAAATGTTATAGAAAAAATATATTAATATTATACTATATATAATATTAATATTATGCTGCATGTTCAACTGCAAAGCACAGAATCTATGAAAGTAAAAATATATAAATGTAACTTAAAGAGAAAAAATGGCTTCCATAATTGAGATTTGGTAGTAACCCACTCATGTGTTAGGGATTAATCAGCCATGGAATATGGAGAAAAGAGGGTCAAAGGGTGTGTATTAGATACCTATTCATGTACTCAGGTTCCCTCAACTGTATCCACCATCCAGACCCATGGACACCACCAGGGACTGACAAGTCACTTGACCAGAGTTGCTAACCAGGCCCTCCTTTGTGCCTCTACTGCACAGCTATGGTGAGCGGCTTCAGCCTGGGGCTTCTGGCTTTTCCTGCTATTTCCACCTTTAAATGAAGCCCACTCTACAGAGTGTGAGGTTTGGCATCTCAAATGACTTCCAAAGTTTCCAGATGACAAAACCCAGAAGTGTGGGAGATTCCTTGTGGTAAGAGCATTGATCAATGGAAAACAGACAGTGGGAGGGAACCAGGCAGATGTGTTCTCCCTTATTTATTTTTACATGGATGTCTCTGAGACATGCTTACTCCAAGACACATGCCACCCTGCTGTCAAGCAGTTTCTCAACACCCTGGTTTCCATTCGACTTGTCTGATACTCAGAGAATTGTTTCCTGTGGCCCTCTCCCAACCCATACCAATCCATAGACCACCTCCTGTGAGCACGCTCCACACACCCTTTCTCTTCATGCCTGCCTGCCATACTGAGTTTGTGCTCACTCCATGGTTGCTACCTGGTTTTACAGTGACTGCAAACCACTGGCTTGTGGAAACTAGTGAACTTCTACACTATCCAATGCACCGCAAACACATCTTCAACAAAGTTCGAATTCCTGCCTTATTGTGGGGGTCCCCTTTCTTCTTGTCCTCTCTAGGGTACTCCTCCTCAGCCACAGGGTATTCTTAAGAGTTCTCTCCATATTTTTATAGTTACTTTCCTGTTATAGTTACTAATTCTTTATATTAAACTTTTCCTGTTGAAATTACTGTGTAATTTCTATCCACTGATTGAACTTTGACTGAATCACCAGGTAATATGACTCAACATCACCACAAGACAAAATGGGAATATAAAGTTATTTGAACCTCACTCTCAGAGGCTGAACCTGACTTTTCTCATCTGCAAGTGGAAAAAATAATACCTAATTCATTGCTGTAAAAATTAAAGGAGATGATGTCTATAAAACTTTATAAATTTCGAGGTATTCTATTATAGTTTGGGAAAGCTTGACCTTTTAATGGAAATGAGATTCCCTACAATTTATCCAGTTAACTCCTTCTTATCCTTCAGACCTCTGCTTGGTTATCCCTAGCAGAGACTTATTCATATTGTAGCACCAAAGATGTTTCTCTATCACAGCACTCGTTATAATTACCTATTTAGTCAAGGTAGTCATCTTCTTAAGGTCAGAGGGTCTGTTCTTTTTACTGTTGTGTCTCCAACTTTTAACGCTTGATGGATGGGAGGCATCTTAGAAATATTTATTAGGTGCATAACATACATCTGACGGGGCAAGTCAATGTGCCACTGGAAAAAAAGCTAATATAGAATAATTAATATAAGTTTTTCAAAAGAAAAATTTCGGAATGCTATTCTAAGTACTGAGAATATTGTAAATGAAAGCACAAAAGCATCAAAGTGTATGACATTTGTGAGAAATGTGGAGTGGCCGATTGAGCTCAGAGCTTAACTGTGCCTGGAAGGTGATATGTGTCAGGAAGAGATGTCGGAAAAATAAACTGATATCAGGCTGAATGCTGAGCTAATCAGTCTGGACTTAATCATTAGGGCTTCAAGTACCATCAAAGATTTAAAGCAAGATGTAGCGTGAAAAGACATAAAACTATGATTCAACTGGTAATTCATAGAGTGTGCAGCAGTTTTCTTTGGCATGGGAGAAGAAGAGGGCTTTAAAGGAAAAAAATTTATATAATTATGATTATAATATAATGTAGTATATATTATAAAATATATATTTCATATATTATTATATATGTAAGCACATAGTCCAAGGGTTGCCATCCTATGCTATACACTGGGAAAAATTATATATATATATATGTTTAATGTATACATGTTTAATATATCATATAGATTATATATATTATATTATATATATGCACATAATCCAAGGGTTGCCATTCTATGCTATACACAAAGTAAAACAAAAAACAAAAACAAAATCATAAGAAATAGGGACATCCTTCAAGACCTCAAAGACAGCCAAAAAAGAATAAAATCATGAAATTAATGAACTGCCCTTCAGTGCTAGAATCCTGGGTGAAATGGTCCTAATTGTATTAGTTTGCCCTGGGGACACGCGGGTAGTTGGGTCTGGGGCAATATTCAGATAGAATACAATATGATTGGTGTATTACAGAGTTGCACAACTTAGTATCCCTGGGCATCAAAGAGGCAAGATTCTAGGATTTAATTTGTTTTCTTTATGATATGTCACTATAACATAAATGTTAACCAGACCTAAACTTTTTGTTTGTTACTTGCCAGTTGCCATGAAGATTTGTGGGTTTTTGACAACTGCAGAGAACTAAGATGATTTCTGATGACAAGGCTGCATGCAAAGAGAAACATTTGGAAATTTTAATAAAGTCAGGTTATCTCTATTTAAAGCACTAATCTGTGATTTTTAGAATGAACTATTTTGAGGGTGTCCTATTTATGAGATGGGAAGAATAAATGTGTGAAAATAACTATAGATTTTAATCTACTGATATTTAGTTTTGAAAGAGTCCATTTCATGGTCTGTTTAACTCTATCACAGGAACAATCTAACTAGATGGGAAGTGAAGGGAATTGCTATGTTCACATCTTGCTTTGTATTCTAAAATGTGACATTTAAAACTAAAAGACCTTCAAGATTTTACAATTAATATTAAATACTGGCATTGGGGAAAGGACATCTGTTCTTAATCCGCATTTTGGATTTTTTTTGTAGGTGTGTATGTCCGTGCAGAAGGAAAAAGTGGATCTTTGAATCTGTGAAAATATTGGTGGTATTATAACAATAAGTAGACAACTGAGTATGAATTACTATGTCATTAATGCAGGCTTCTTGATTAAAGTCAATTTGATTCTATCATTATGATTTATCACATGCCTGAGGCATGCATTAAAGACTTCAAAGCACACATGCTTAGACTTGTTTTATTGTTTAATTATTTATAACTATTATTGCTTGTTGTAACAAAAATATCTTAATAAAATTTAATAGAAGTTTACTATTTTCTTCATATAAAGTTGTCCTTCTCAAACTTAATTTGGGAAGCTGCCTATTCTCTGCCACTCACCAACTTATTCTCTCACAAACCACATTAGATAAGAAAAATGATGACAGAACTTTTCAATGTATTTACTCACTGAGAGTCTCAAAGCAATTTACAAACATCGATCAATTATGTTTCAATACATCCCCATGGGTTACATAGCTGCTAATTTTTTCAGCTATGTGCAGGATGTGTGAAACTTTTTTACACAATCTTTTTTATTCCCAATTTTGCCCTTGGCTACTTAGAGTGTGCAATTCTGTGGAGTTAAAAGGGGTTAAGAAGAACATGTTTAGTAAGAAAGCAAGAAGAATCTGAATATAATTAAACAGCTAAGGTAGAGTGAGTTCTCTGTATATAAATATATACATTTCCATGTCTGGGACCATCCTTCTTCCCCAAATACCATGATTTTTAAAAATCTACCTAACTTTATACTTGCTGTTTTGTCTGCCTAGGATGCCTTTTTGGTTCTTCAGCCTCACTCCAATCTCCTATAAACTCAACCTTTTAGACCCAAAGTGCGGCTTTCTCTCATGATATCCCCATAAACAGAATAATCATTTTTTTTCTGTGCCAATTATACCCATATAACTTGGTTTACAACATTTACATCAATTTACTGGATATATGTCATATCAACTTATGTCCAGTCTTGAAAATGGAAACAGAGAGTAATTATTAGGTTGGTGTGAAAGTAATTGCGAGTTTCAACATTACTTTAATGGCATAAACTGCAATTACTTTTGCACCCTAATAATATAAGGAACTAAAGGTGAGAGAGAGAAAGGTAGAAGGGGCTTTCTCCAAAAATCAGAATGCTGCCACAGTTCCTTTTGTAGCCCATAGGCCTGTCTTTGCTGCAGAACTGCTAGTGCATCTGGAGTCACTGCTGTAGATTTTATAAGAAGCATTGCAACCACAACTAAGTAGAAGTTACCTCTGTTGCTAATTCTGGAATTACCAATAAAACTGGAATTACCAATGATGTTGGAGCCTACAGTTCCCTCAAGTCTATTCCTGCTGCTGCTATAGAGGCCAGAGCAGAGAACATACATTTTTTTTTTTCTCCAAAATGCTAAAATCTCACCAATGCCTTTTATTTTATTAAGGCTTTTATTGGAAAAACCCAATAAGAGTACAATTAGCAAGAGGGGTTTGGAAATGTAGTTTTCTTGCTTTCAGCCTAGCAACAGAGTGGAGAATATAGCACAAGTATAGGGCTAAGAACCAAAGGACAAACCACTGGCACATATCTGTCTGTATTTTAGACTAGGATGATTCTTGCTGTTGTAATTGATAATTTACTATAAGGTGGCCAGTCAAGGGAACAACTTATAGCCATAATTTAGGAAAGGAATTCTGGTGACTCAAAAGTAGTAGTGATCTCTAAGAAGTAGTCAGATATTGGACATATTTCCTGATAGGTTAGGAATTTATGATTGATTGGATGTAGGCACGAGAGAAGAAGATGGTAGAAAGACATATTTGCCATCACCTGAGATGCGGTGCATTGTAAAAAGAACTGGTTAAGGAGAAGGTGTTGATCATGAATTCAGTTTTGGACTTCGTTATATTTGAGATGCTGCTTAGATATCCAAGTGAAGACATTTAGTTGGTCATATAAAGCTGGAGTCCAGGAGGAAAATTCATGCCAAATTAGTAATAAAAACAGTTTGAGATCACAAGGGAAGTGAGATTAGATAAAAAAGAAAAGAGAGCCAAGAACTGATCCCTGTGACACCTTAATACTATAAAGTCAAAGAGATTAGGAAACATCCATAAAGAAGAATAAAAGGAGATATCAGTGAGTAAGAAGAAAAGTAGAAGAAGTTGGTATCCTGAAAGGCATATAAAGAAAGAACAATTGAAGAAAGTGTTTGTATTAGTCCGTTTTCATGCTGCTGATAAAGATATACCTGAGACTGTACAATTTTCAAAAGAAAGAGGTTTAATTGGACTCACAGTTCTACGTGGCTGGGGAGGCCTCACAATCATGGCAGAAGGCAAGGAGGAGCAAGTCACATCTTACACGGATAGCGGCAGGCAAAAAGAGAGCTTCTGCAGGGAAACTCCCCCGTACAATACCATCAGATCTCATGAGACTTATTCACTATCATGAGAACAGCAGAGGAAAGACCTACCCCCATGATTCAATTACCTCCCACCAGGTCCCTCTCACAACACATAGGAATTCAAGATGAGATTTGGGTGGGGACACAGCCAAACCATATCATTCCACTCCTGGCCCCTCCCAAATCTCATGTCCTCACATTTCAAAACCAATCATGCCTTCCCAACAGTCCCCCAAAGTCTTAACTCACTTCAGCATTACACAAAAGTTCACAGTCCAACATCCTATCTGAGACAAGACAAGTCTCTTCCACCTATGAACCTGTAAAATCAAAAGCAAGTTAGTTACTTCCTAGATACAATGGGGGTACAGGTATTGGGTAAATACAACCATTCCAAATGAGAGAGATTGACCAAAACAAAGGGGCTACAGGTTCCACACAAGTCCAAAATCCAGCAGGGCAGTCAAATCTTAAAACTCCAAAATGATCTCCTTTGACTCCATGTCTCACATCCAGGTCACACCGATGCAATAGGTGGGTTCCCATGGTTTTGGGCAGCTCCACCCCTGTGGCTTTGTAGGGTAGAGCCTGCCTCCTGGCTGCTTTCACTGGCTGGCATTGAGTGTCTGTGGCATTTCAAGGTGCACAGTGCAAACTGTCAGTGGATCTACCCTTCTCACAGCTCCACTAGGCGGTGCTCCAGTAGGGACTCCATGTGGGGGCCTTCACCCCACATTTCCCTTCTGCACTGCCCTAGCAGAGGTTCTCCATGAGGAACCCACCTCTGCAGCAAATTTCTTCCTGGGCATCCAGGCATTTCCATATATCTTCTGAAATCTAGACAGAGGTTCCCAAACCTTAATTCTTGACTTCTGTGCACCTGTAGGCTCAACACCACTTGAAAGCTGCCAAGGCTTGGGGCTTGTGCCCTCTGAAGCCACATCTCAAGCTCTGCATTGGCCCCTTTAATCACAGCTGGAGTGGCTGGGACACAGGACACCAAGTCCCTAGACTGCATACAGCAGAGGGACCCTGGGCCTGGCCCACAAAACCATTTTTTGCTTCTAAACCTCTGGGCCTGTGATGGGAGGGATTGCCATGAAGACCTCTGACATGTCCTGGAGATATTTTCCCTATTGTCTTGGGGGTTAGCATTCAGCTTCTCATTACTTATGCAAATTTCTGCAACTGGCTTGAATTTCTCCTCAGAAAATAGGATTTTCTTTTCTATCACATTATCAGGCTGCAAATTTTCCAAACTTTTATTCTTTGCTTCCCTTATAAAACTAAATGCCTTTAACAGCACCCAAGTCACCTCTTGAATGCTTTGCTGCTTAGAAATTTCTTCTGCCAGATACCCTAAATCATCTCTCTCAAGTACAAAGTTCTGCAGATCTCTAGGGCAGCGGCAAAATGCCACCACTCTCTTTGCTAAAGCATAACAAGAGTCACCCTTCCTCCATTTCTGAACAAGTTCTTCATTTCCATCTGAGACCACCTCAGCCTGGATTTTATTGCTCATATTGCTATCAGCATTTTGGATGAAGTCATTCAACAAGTCTCTAGGAAGTTCCAAACTTTCTCACATTTTCCTGTCTTCTTCTGAGCCTTCCAAACTCTTCCAACCTCTGCCTGTTACCCAGTTCCAAAGTCATTTCCACATTTTCAGGTATGTTTTCAGCAATGACCCACTCTACTAGAACCAAATTACCTTGTTAATCTGTTTTCATGCTGCTGATAAAGATATACCCAAGACTGGGCAATTTACAAAAGAAAGAGGTTTAATTGGATTCACAATTCCACATGGCTGGGGAGGCCTCACCATCATGGTAGAAGGCAAGGAGGAGCAAGTCACATCTTACATGGATGGTAGCAGACAAAAAGAGAGCTTGTGCAGGGAAACTCCCCCCTGTAAAACCATCAGATCTCATGAAACTTATTTACTATCATGAGAACAGCATGGGAAAAACCTGCCCCCATGATTCAGTTACCTCATACTGGGTCCCTCCAGAACATGTTGGATTTCAAGATGAAATTTGGGTGAGGATACAGCCAAACCATATTAGTGTTCCAAGGAAAAGAAGTGATAAATAGTGCTAAATGCCACTAGTAGGTTAAGCAAGATGACATTTAAGCATTCATCATGGATCAAAGAGATAATAGATGGTGGAGTGAGGATCTGAACCTAAGAACTCTGACACTAGTGGCATGTGCTTAACTATGACATTGAATTTTAACATTATTACCAGCTTCCAGACAACTCTGGGGATGGAGACAGCTATAGGAGCTTCTCTTTCATACATGTATTACAAAAACCATATATATATATAGTTAGTGCAGCACACCAGCATGGCACATGTATACATATGTAACTAACCTGCACATTGTGCACATGTACCCTAAAACTTAAAGTATGATACTAATAAAATAAAAAAAAAGAAAAGAAAATTTAAGGAGCAATTTTTTTTCTATGTACTTTTACCTGCTGTAGCTGGGGTACAAAACAGAGAACAATGGTGAGTTTTACCCATGACTATTTAGGTAATTAGGAAATGGATATCCAAGAACCAGGACATACATTTTTGTGTGTGTTTGGAAACATAAAAAGATGAAACTTTTCACTAATTAAATAATGGAAAGGTTACCTGTCTTATGGGCATCTTGATTGATTGCATTACACACTAGCTCTTCTGTTTAAACATGGTTTCTTCAGCCAGCATCTGGCTTTGTAGAGACTCAGGATTGGTATCTTATGCTGACAGAGTGTCAGGCAATATTGATAGCCAACTGCTATTTCCAAAGGAAATTTTTCACTTATTCCTAGAACAAGATTATAAAAAGTATTATTTGAAAACCTGAATAGAGTGTAGTCACTTCTATTTTCTGATGTGGGGATCTAGGATGAGAGTTGCATCTCATCATTGCAACCTCGCAGTAAGAGTGATTTATGTGGGAGGAAGGAGAGATAGATGAATTTCAAAGGTTTCGGCAGCTCCTCTGTCCTACCAAAGAGGGAACCTGGATTATATGACGTTTATTTTGGCAGAGTACATTCAAAAATATGTTTTCTTTTTTTTCCTTTTTCTTTTTATAGATTTAGGGAATGCAAGTGTGGATTTCTTAACATGCATACACTGTGTAATGGTGAAATCTGGAATTTTAGTTTACCCACCACCAAATAATGAACATTGTACCCAAAAGGTAAATTTTCAAGGCTTGCCCCACTTCCACCCTCCCATCTTCCATAGTCTGCAATGTCTATTATTCCAACCTTTATGTTAATGAGAGTAAATTCAAGAATCTTTGAATGTACAAAGGTAGATAAAATATGGATGGAAAGAAAAAATTATTCTGAGGACTTTTTTTAATGAAAATTGAGCTATGAGGAAAGAGTGGGGCCCCAAAGAAACATGACCAATTAAGTGGCCTTAGTGAGAAATCCCCTAGTGTGGGGGTGATTAAAGAGCTTTTCTTAATAGGCATTGCTAATATTTTAAGTAATGTGCTTTTCTGAGATATAAATCCTTCCAATCACACAAGGCCTTCAGTAAGTTTGTTACTCATAAGTGTTTTGCAGAATCTATTTTTGAAAAATTAAAGGAAAAAGAACTTAGCCTTCCACCTGGGTTGGTGCAGGGCAGATAAGAGAATGGTTGCTGGAGTGATAAGTGAGTGAAATTGATAGTCCAAGAGAGTGCAGAAAATCAAGCCATGAAAACAGCCCCTGGCAATTGACAGAAATGTTGGGGAATGCACCGGACTTTCTAGAGAGTAGGAATAGCAGGCCAAGACAACTATGTTTAAGCTATATGGAACAGGATAATGGTTAACATCTAGATGATACAGATACCTAAAGTTGTGTGTGTGTGTGTGTGTGTGTGTGTGTTTTGCATGTGTACATGTGTTGGCTATTGGTTATGCCGGGGACTAAGATAAAGTGATACTTCTCCAGCATTGAGGCAGCACAATATGAATAGTCATAATTGTGTAATGTCTGATCTAGGAGTTAGGATAACAAGTTTTGAATCTCAGTTAATTAACTGAATGCGTAATTTTTGGTGAGTCCTTCACTGCTGGGGGCATATATTTCCTTAATTGAATAATCATAAAATTAGAGCTTGTTAACTGATATACAAGAATTTATGTGTCAAATCCTATGACGTACTATTTAAGCAATTTTGACACAAATTCTGCCCTTGAGAGAGTAAATGACAGAGTTTAAATCAATAATTTAAATTTTGGTTATGAAAGTGTTTTGTAAACTCTGAGGCATTCTTTCAATATAAAGTTTGCTATGTTTCACTAAGTGATCACTTGGCTTCCATTCTGCTAGAAGCCCTCTCTTGATTTCATTAGATTGCTCATAGGATGATAGTGTTGGGTAGGAAAATGCCCCAGCACAAGATGGAAATTCCTATATCTTAGCTAATTACAAGTCTGACTCTGAGAGTTCATACAACACGTGATTGTTTGGAGATTCTTTCAATTCATATGAAAAGGCTTGGCTCAAGAGCCAAAGACTTGTCTTAAGTCCTGCCTTAGCTATTGACAAGCTCTGAGACCTTAGACAAGTTTGTCTTAACTATTCTAAGCCTTGGTTTTTCCATCCAAAGAAGAAGTTAGACAATGCCTGCATTGCCTAATTTACAAGTTTGTAGTGACTTAAGAGAGTGAGCATGAAACCACTTTGTATGACAGAGAACACTACATCAATGTTAGAAATTATTACAGTATTTCTGTTTTAATCACTAGCTTCTCTGTCTCTAGTAACTATTGCCTACTGTCTTTTGATTGGTGATATAGCGATATTGCTACATTTGAAGATGGTTTAGGACGAGATGGATGTATCCATATGTAAATGAGATTCATAGCATTCCTTGATTTCGTGATGCTAATAAGTACAGCTCTTGACAGTTGTGATTTTCCTAGTGGCATCTTTATATGGCTTGACTGACTCTTTTACCAAGATTTATGTTTGCTTGAGCAGGCTCCCTGAACCACAATCATAGATAGTCCCCATAAATCTCCAGCATATTTGCTTTGACAATAGCCACATCTCCTGCCACCTTAAGATACTGCAGAAGGGTCTCTTAGATGCTGTGTTTCCTGTGGTTGGCAAAGATTTCTTTAAGTTTTGCTATGTTTGCTGGGAGGGCAGAAGTTTTGGGGGGAAACTGAATGGCACTAAATTAAGGTCAATCCCAGTGCAAATGCTGTTAAAAGCCAAATGGTCCTTCCTGATGATTCCTTGAACAGTTGGGACTTGAAACAGTCAGAGGAATATCAGACTGCTGCTTCCTTTCTTTTCCTATGACTTAGGGCCCCTAATGCCAAATTAAAAGATAAAAGTCGGCCAAGCGTGGTGGCTCACGCCTGTAATCCCAGCAATTTGGGAGGCTGAGGCAGGTGGATCACCTGAGGTGGGAGTTTGAGACCAGCCTGACCAACATGGAGAAACCCTGTCTCTACTAAAAATACAAAAATTAGCCGGGGATGGTGCTGCATGCCTGTAATCCCAGCTACTTGGGAGGCTGAGGCAGGAGAATCACTTGAACCCTGGAGGCGGAGGTTGCGGTGATCTGAGATCGTGCCACTGCACTCCAGCCTGGGCAACAAGAGAGAAACTCCACCTCAAAAAAAAAAAAAAAAGATAAAAGATAAAAGTCATTCAGAACTTGCTATGTGAAGGTTTTTGGCCCAAACAGCAAGTGTTTAATCAAGAAAACCATTCCACTGTGTAGCTAGATAAGGGGTAAATCAGTTAAATACTCAACCTTGGGTCTATGCTTTGGGAAACACATAAGAGAGCCCCTTAACTTTTATAATGGACGGGAGAACCCACGGAGTAATTGTGTTATTTCACTCCATAAAAATTTCTACTCATTACTTAGGGAATACATTCCAAATTTTTTTAACAATGTAATCTCAACCAACATTTGCAGTTTAATGTTAAGCTGCTCACTACACATACCCTGTATATTGGCAACATCTAATTACTTGATACTTTGTAAACATATCATGCAATTTATTACTTTCATTCTGTTTTTTTTTTTTTACATGTTGCTACATCTATCTGGAATATCTTTCTTCTTCCTTAAAAATTCTTATTTGTGTTTTGAAACCCAACTTAAATATTGTATTAGTCAGCCTTACATAAAAAAACGAACTCAGTAGTTTGCAACAACTAGCATTTATTCTAATGTTCAGAGACCTGCAGTTTGACTGTAGTTTGAGTACTCCAGACTGAGCTTAAGTTAGTGACTCTGCTTCAGACTGTAGCCAGCTAGGCTTGGTCCTAGACTGCCAGTTTTACCTGGAGCCCCTGCTGAAATGACAGCAGCTCTTCAGCGTATATTCATCTGGAATGCAAGGGCAACTCCAAATTCACAAACAAGTTTTAAGTTTCTGCTAGTCTTACGTCCACTGACATCTACTCTTCTAAAGTAAGTGACATGGCCAAGGCCAATGTTAAGGGATAACAGTTATACTCGAACCATCAAAAAGTATGTCAAAGTGTAGCTATATAATTCTATCACAGTGAGGTTAGCTTGAATAGTTATTTAATCTATTGCAAATGTAAAGCTTTCTTCATCCTCATAGACAAAGTTAGCCATCCCCTCTTCAGTGTTCTTTGAATACATTTCATAATGCTTACCTCATTGAATTGTTCTTATTTAATTAGGCTTATCTTTCCCAAATATGTGGCAAATTGTAAGGAATCCTCTAATATTTATTTTTGTTAGTATATCACACCATACTTTGCTTATAATAGAAGATCAATAAATGTTTGAACAGAGGAATGAATGATCTGCATCTCAAGCTCTCACTTATGAATCCTTTCTACAGAGTCTTTCTGTTGGTTTCAAACAGATTTCACTCTTTCTAGGCAATACAAAATAAATCAAATGTGAAAATATCTTATTATAGTAATTTTCTCTTTATTCATTAGGTCTCTGATCTCACCAGAACAATTGAGTTCACAGAGTCTGGGATCATTTCAGGTGGGACTAGTGACATTGTTTTTCAAGCCCATGCTTAAGTATTTTAACTGAGGAATAAGTTATTTTACTGCATTAGTCCACTAGCTGTGTGATTCTGGCTATAAGTATAGTGGTCTGAGAGATTAATATTTAGCCATACACTTCATGTCTGAGCTCATAAAATGTAATATTCACTGGTTGGTTTTAAGCCAACAAGAAATGCTAGCATGAGATGAGAATCTCCTTTCTATGGCAATTTAAAGCAAATTAACAGTGACACTAATGCCGTTTTGCTTGGCAAAACACTTCTTCATCCTTTTTGTCAACAGCTTTCTAAGGTTTTGAAGTTTAAACTGATTTTGGGTCTTTTATATGGAGACGGAGGTGGATAAACACATTTCCATCATTATATATTTCAGCTTTAGTGAAAGAATAAATGAAACATTTACATTTTATTTAAAAGCCCAACTTTTACAAAATTGTCAATGAAAAATGACAGGATATGTATTATATTTATATTGAAGCTAGAACTATTAAATTCAATAAAGCAAGAAAGTCAATTTACAATGGAAACTAGTTTCTAATCCCTTTGGAGGAAGAAGATTGGAACAAAAGACTCCAATTCATGATTTTCTAACAAGATTGGAAGAAGCTAAAAAGCAAAGCAGCTGCTATATTAATTAATCAGATGTTGAGAATTACTGTTACAATATGGGTTTCATGAAAGCACATGACTAATGTAATTTTAAGGTATCAAGTGTTCTTAATTCATGTTTTGCTTAAATGAGCAAGGGGTTTATATTCTTAATAAGATTTTCTTCTTTTACCCTATACTGGTCTCTTTATTATTTCTTTGTCGTGCATATTACAGCCCAACTATACTGTACTGATCCTTATCTAAAGCACAACCATATTGAATCATTTGCTGGCTTTAAAACATGTCTTCATGACTTTGCAAATAAGAGGTTTTGTCTTGTTTTGTTTTGTTTTGTTTGCAAACCCATTCTTCATTCCTGCACTAATGCTTCCAGCTACAATTGCAACTTTTCTGCATAAATGTATGCACTCTGCTTTCTGCTTTCATTGGCCTTGATATGTTCCATTATCACAGCACTTAGGGCAAGGCATTGTAATAGCCTCTTTGCATACCTATCATCCCAAATAAACCATTTTAGTCCTTGTGCCTCATGCAATGTCTGGACCAGAGAAGCACTCAATAAATTTATTAAAATAAACAGATTTTTAGAAAGACATAATACATTATTTCTACTATGAATTTCATACTGGTTCACTGTTTCATGGTTGCAATAGCCTAAAAAGAAAAGCCTGTGATGTCAGTCAGCTATTGTTTGCCCTAATTCTCTCCCAGTGCTTTTCAAAATGGTGAATTTTCTCTATCATATTTACCAATTTTAAAAATAGGACCTCTGCTGTAGCCTTTGCTTGTCTTAGTTAAGCATGGTGAGATTCTCAGTAATTACTGCTTGTAAAACACCGCCAGGTTCTCAGATGAATTAAAGTGTGAAATCTTATCACAGGCTGTATATTGCTGGAGTTACAAACAGGCATGGCAAATTACACCATTTCCTAGTCTCTATTGCTTTTAAGGAACAACACAATTCGTAATTATTCACAAGTACTGATTCAGTTGTCTCCTGCTATCTTGACTGCCAGATTAGCAATCCTCCCTGCACTTGGTTGGTTTGAGGGCATGTAGAAAAGTTTCTTTTTCCAAATGATGGGTTTTTTTTTGGCAGCTTCAGATGTTCGCGTCTGTAGAAAAAGCATTCTGCATAAGCGCAATGAAATTATTATGCCCATCAGGGACAGAATAGTTTAAAATTACACAGAATTTCTCTAATTGCCATCAGTGAGTAGTTGCAGGTTCACAACAGCAATAGATATTTTAGGGTGCCTCCTCACCTCTAAAGGGAGGGGGGTCTAGAAGTTTTTGCTTCCGGTAAGCAATTTGCCATATTAAAACTATACGGCATCTATACACCCTGCAAGATAGCAACAGAGAGATTAGTTCTGAACTGAATTTTGCTATTAGACTGAATCGGGGGGTTGGGTGGATATAGAAGTGTCTAGCCAATCAGCTTGGCCTTGCATGCCAACCAACTCAAATGCTGAAGCTGTAGCTATGTAAAGATTTAATTTCATGCTGTGGGGAGAAAAAAGGAAACACTTAAAACCCAGGAATCATGGATAAATTAATTTAGTAATTACGGTAAAGCACAGCAAGCTTGTAGTGATTAATAGTCATAATGGCTTTTGTTTCTCTTTGTGCAAATAACCACCTATGTCAACAAATCTGGTAACAACCATTTTCTTAAAGAGTAAAGTTTCTTGAATTTCTTCTGCTTTTTTTCTGACTCCCAGTAGTCATAATTAATATAATAAAACCCTCATTATAAACTCATTAGTGTAAATGCAAAAAAGGTCTTGCGTTGTGAATGCCCCCACCAGGCCCTTAATCATTTGAAATGTCACGCTGCCTTAAGTATAACATCGATTACCTATGATAAAAACACACAATACAAAAAATATTAAAGTGGTATTTTCAAGCTGTTATCTAGAGCAGAAGGGCTTTAAAATGAATTTCTTTCCGGAGCTTTGAACATTTTGGAGTCTAAAAACTTCATTAATTTATCAGTAAAAGCCTTGAGTCCCAAAATAACCTTTTGGCTTTTTCTTATTTTTTTAGTTGTGTCCCTCAACCCTCAGTCATTCACTCTTCTTTCCTTTTTAACAGCTTTTCTCATTAAATGATAGATGTATGGAGGAATATTTTGACAACGTACTAAACATACTAAAGTAGTTTAATCTTGAAGTTGTTTTAAACACCTTAATATTATTTTCTTGAGGGAGTGGATGGTGTGTTTTCAGATATGGGAGAAGTGAAAATTTGATGTCAATAGTTCTTCCAGAATGAAGCTTTGCTGAGTATGATGGAATAATAAATACTCTGCACTAAAACCAAGAGCTTACAATCATAAAGCCTATTAGAATTTATGCAGCATTGCCTTCTACATTATCTGATTGACCACTTGTAAAATAAATCACAACATTGATCATTTGAGGTTTAACTAACTTTTCTTAAGGTCATTGAAAGTTATTTAATTTGCCTGGAAAAAATGGTTAGAATCTTCAAAATGGGCCAAAAAAAAAAAAAAAAGAAAAAAAAAGAAAGAGATGGAAAAAAATAATTACCAATTGTCTTGTATTGTTCATCCTTCTAGATTATAGCCACATTTTATTGCATTTGAGATAATTTGCAACTCTATAAATGGTAGAAAACTGAAAGTAATGCAAATAATTCTGGTACATAGAAATGCAATTAGTTGTGTCTAGTGAAATGCAATTGATTATTGCCCCGTGGACAGATCCACTGTAATTCTGTTTGTCAATTCATTTCAGCATTCCTTATATGCCTATGTGTATGTGATACTCTGAAAACTCCTTTGAACCTTCTAACACTTGACTAATGTACTCATTCATTAATGAATTAGTTGAAATGTTTGATACTAGTTCATTTTATATGTATGAGAGTCATGATTATACCCTTAAAACTATGTTCATAGTGGAGAATACCTATGAAACATCCTAATGAAATTCAAGGAAAAAATTATATTTCATCTTATACCCTACCCTGGTCCCACATTTCTTTGCTTCTCACCAGTGCATCTGCAAAAACTTCTGCCAGCAGTGGATCTAATCCCCCATGACCCCACCCTCCCCTGTATTTTTATATCTATAGAAGTCATGAAACACCAGATAACCCAAAGAAATACTTAGAATATCATGGTGGGGCTGCTGTTAGGAATTTCAAGATTTGCTGTCAGGGATTTTAAGAGTCTGCCTCACCAAAGAGCCCTTTCTTGCCTTTCTACATCTTTAGTAATCAGAGTCGTATTTATGCTTTTTCAGGGCTCAATGACTTTGACAGCAGTGATAACAGAGTGCCGGAAGGTAGATTCAGATGACTTTCTGCTTGGCCCTCCTGTTTATGTCCTTGGTTTTTATAAAATGTAAGTCTATCATTTGACCTGGCATTATCTAAAATTCTTACAGCTCTTCTGTTGCAGTCACAAAGGCAGGAGCAGAGAACGGATAAAAACTCACTTCTTTCAAAAATGGAAAGAGACAATTTTCAAAGAATTATTGAGGGAAAGTAAAAATGCTAGGATTGGAGTCCTCAACTTCCTTTCAGGAAAAAATCCTAGATTGGCCTTTTGCACGTAGAGGTTGAGGCATCCATTCTTTTGTACATAGAGGCCTTTGTAAAGAATGGGCAACTATTCTATGGCATAGGTAAAATGCTTATGCTGAAGCTGCATCAGATATTGCTATACTGTAGGTCCTATATTGGGAACAAGGTGGCACCTCTGTAGTTGGCAGACAAGAAACAATTCAAAGGCGAGATTGTTCCTAGTATTTATTTCACAATGATACTTGAATTTCATACTGGACATTCAGAATGAAAACTGTCAGATAGGTAGAAAAAAACCTCTTCCCCTGTTGTTAGTTCTTGACTAAACGTCAGAATGTGGACAGATTGCCCTGTGGACAGATCCACTGTAATTCTGTTTTTAAATTCATTTCAGCATTCCTTATATGCCTTATATCATCTCTTCTTAGAGGTGAGTTACAAGCCACGGGTGAAGTTGGGCAACAACTAAACACGAGAAAACCTAGTAAGACTCTCTGTCCTAGAAACTTGCTACCTAAAACGAGGGCAGAATCTTATAATTTTGTAAGCCAAGTGGCTGAGAGTTCTTGGAGCCATTGTGTTTATTTTATTTATGTTATCCCTTTGTGTTTAGAAAATCTTTTGGAAAGCTCCAGCATGTATTAGCTGGACTAAGAGGCATCAAGAAAGAGATTTGGTTTGGGTTCAATCAAAGTGTTAAAGGGATTGAAATAAACCCTGGGGCCAATGTGCAATGGCAGCAGGAGAGTGAAATAGAAAATAATCTCAAAGGAAAGAGAAAGTCTGGATGGCAGAGTAAATTCCTATTTGGTACTCGTTTCTTCCTAGAAAGATTTTCCCTTACTAATCAGAATATCTGAATTCATGGCATCATCCAAAAGACCACTAGGGTGGCTAAATAAGGAGAGCTTTATTGGCAATATTGGTTTGTAAGCCAGGAAGAGAAAGTCTATAATGTGTACAGGAGGTGCTCTCTCTTTGGAAAGGGGAGAGACAGGCTGGATTTTATGCCTCACAGGGACTGTATTACACAGTAAAGTCATACATGTTTAGCATGTTTAAAGGAAAAGCTGTACAGATTTATGAGGGAAGCCAAGCACATGTGTAATGGGTAATCATACATGTATCATACCATATTCACTTTGGGGAGGGGGTATAGCATTAAAATAAGGTAGAATTTGCCTCTTAACATCAAAAGGTAAACTATAGGACACAAAGAGTTTGAGCACAGCCTCTATAAGCTGACTGAAACTGACCTCAGATCTGTAGTAGTTTATCACAAAAGAATGTTTGTCCTCTGTCCATTCAGAGTTGTAGTGGTCTGGGTTGCAAATCAAAGTTAGGAGAGGTCCGATAGCTCCTATTGTAAGAGAGTTTAGAGAAATAAGAATTCAGAAATTTGCCATGCCAGATGACCCCTGAACCCTTGACCCTCAGGTTACTTGGTTTCTTTATCCTTAGTGTTAAGCAGAGTCTCAGTTGACAAGGATCTATTTTGGTCTCTCAGATCACAATTGTATTAAGAAAGTTCTTACTAACTTTAGCATCTCTATCACAGTAAAAAAGTGGGTATGAGTGGTTAGAGAAGTGTGTGTAATGGTCTGGAATGTATAGTATGTTTGTACAATAAAACATTTTTAAAATCAAGAAAAATGTAAAACATACATTTCTGCTGGCATTGACCATTATTTATATGCAACATTCATTATTAAGCATGAAGTCAGAGAACAGATAAATTAGCCATGGTGCTTTCCTGGTCAGTAGATGTTGCAACATAGAAGATGAAATACTGCTGCAAGATATTGATGAAAATGTTGCTCTGTGGGGAGAAGGATGAATAAAAGTGAAAGTTACTTCAATTTCTTTTGTTCCCCAACTCTAAGATTCTATGATAAGGAGCAGGTTGCACAGTAAATCTGGAAAACAAAGGACACAACTGAGAATATCCCTGGGTCACAGAGTTCACTGTGAGTGCTAAAAAATTTTGCAAATGAAGCGTCTCACCAAGCCCTCGAAAAGTAGAGTTTGAAAGATATGCCAACTTTTTAGTACCCCAAGCAAGAAGGAAATTGAGAAGTTTGTAATGTAGTAGTCCAGAAATTTCCAGCTTTTATGTTTCTTTTAAATTTTATGTTTCTTTTAAATTTCCAGCTTCTATTGGGCTGATTGAAGAGATTTATTGAATTTATTAAAGATTTGTTAAACTTCGTAGAAATGGTTTCTTTCAAGGTGGAGAAAAATGAAGTTTAGAAGAGAGGAATATGTTTCCATACAATATTTCAGACAATCACAGAATGTTAGAACTAAAATAGTTCCTGGAAAAAGTCTTCAGAGATTTTATGCCTTTCTTTTGCCCAATAGATTCATTTTTAAAAACTAAATCTTTTTTGTTACCTCTGCAGGTTGTTCTCTATTTGGTCTCACTCCTCCTTGTCCTCCAGCCTCTGAGTGGTTTTTCTCATTGTCCAAATCCAACCAGAGGCAGAAACCAAGGAACATGAGGGTTATATCCCACAGGACTCAGCTCTCTAGGGCCAAAGCAGGGCTGGGAAGGTTGGAGAATGGATGGGAGAGGCCAAATAGAGAAGAGGTTATTGCATTCTCTGCCTTTCTCCCCTAGCTCCCGTCCTGTTTGGCTGTGTCTTCCTGCAGCCCTAGCGCACTCCTGCAGCTTCCTCTGAACTCCTCCTCCTTCACAGCGCCAGCTCTCATTAAGTTCCAATAAAGATAAGGCTGTTTCTTCCTTTGTTTCTTCGTGGTTAAAGGTGGCAAAGGTTCCTGCTTGCTCTTGTTCTTCTCAGAGTGTCTATTTGGATCCTCCAATCTTGCCTGAACCCTCTTGCAAAAGTATCTTTATGAAGGTCTCTTTTGATACCTGTGGGAACTTAACTATTCATTTCTAGTGGTCACAGTAACACATTACCATCAAGTTGGTGGTTGAAACCACAGAAATTTATTCTCTTATAATTCTGGGGGCCAGAAGTCTGAAATCAATGTATTGGCAGGACTTTGGAGGATGGGATCCATTCTTGCCACTTCTCAGCCTCTAGTGACTTCAGGCATACTTTGGCTTGTGCCTGCGTCACTCCAGTCTCTGCCATTGTCATCACAGGATGTTCTCCTCTGTACTTTCCTCTCTCTGTCTCTTATAAGGACACTTGTCATTGAATTTAAGGTTCACTCGGGTAATCCACGATGATCTCATCTCAAGGTCCTAATTGAATCTGCAATGATATTTTTTCTAAATAAGGTAATATTTACAGTTTTTAAAACATACAGGTATATTTATTGGGAACTTCCATTCAACCCACTGCGTTGACTCACACAAGTTCTTAATACTTAAAACACATAATAAAAGTGCTTTAAGGGAGGATACTTGTACCACACCAGCTGGGCTTCCCCTCATCTATGTTACGCATAAGGAAATAGAAGCCTAGAGATCAGAAGTTATTTTCCCAATATCACAAACTTAGTTAGTAGTACTTGTAGACTTGGCTTTCCCCGTGAAACTTTCTCATTCCTGATATTTGAGTAGCTGGGAAGGTAATCATGTGGTCAGTATCATTTACTGTGCTAGTAGGACAATTAGGTATTCCTGGCAAGGTTAATTTTTGCCTTCCAGGTGTTTTCTGTTTAGCTGGGTAAAACATTATGATTAATGCGTCTTACTCTCATGATTTTTTAAAAGCTATAACTAAGGTGAAGGAACATGAAAGATATTCTTGAGCCGAATTACTGTCAAATTTAGAGTACTAAACACGTTACTTTCCCCTCACAGTTCTGTAAATTAAGGAAAATTGAAGTAAAGAATGTCAAAGCAACTTCTAAATTTCTTTTGGCAATAGACAACAGGGCTTCTAAAGTTATATGAAAAGAATACCCTCTAGTTGTGTAATGGAGTGATTCTTAACATATGGTGTTTGCTATTTCCAGTGGGATTTCCAAAACTTAAAATCAGAGAAAGCAGCACTTTTTTAGACTGTCAGGTTGGCTCAGGTATGAAAAAGAACTGTTTCCACATCTGATATAATATATCTGAAATAGGGAGGTGAGGGGGCAGTGAGAAATTCTTATTAGTCTCTCTTTAGTTTGGATCCCAGCAGTGTCACTTATGCTTTATGTATTCCTACGTTTGAATCGACTTTCTGGATCATTGTCTACTAATCTGGATGAAATCAAATACCACAAGGAATTGTCAAATAGCTTGGACTACACTCCTAGGAGTTCATATCCTTTTTATTATGTTTAAAAATATGCCAGGCTTGCCTCTCTTGATCTTCAGTGGCCTGGTTTTGGTTTTTTTGATGTGCTTTGGCTCAACTGCATGTTCTATCAGGCAGTGTAGATGGAAGCTCCTTAGTTAAAATATTCAGGAGAGAAGAGAGAATTAAGCCCACGATAGTACTTTTTAAGCAGGCTGGAAAATGCTAAGAATAAAATTGCTTTGTATTTTTGATTCTGGTAATTTCATTTGGGGTTTGTGGTGAAAATACTAATGTTGATTGAATGTATTGGTTATTGCGTGTTTTAGGCACCTCCCCTTCATTTACTCATTTCACAAAATGAATTGTGAAATTCAATGATTGAGAGTCTGTTGTATACCAAACCATGTTCTGGGTTCTGGAGTTACTGTGGTAAGCCAGAGAGATATAATCCTTGCTGTCTTAGAAATTACTTTCCAAAAATAATAAAAATAAAATAAACAGGTAAATAATTAAGAGAGAGGAAAATAAACAGGTTATGTTATAAAGCAAAACAGGTTAGCAGGTTATTTGTGCCTGGGTTGTGTGACTCAGGAGTATAAAAAGTGGTACCTTGAAAATAGGAACTTGAAATTCTTTGGAGCAGGCTGAGCAAAGAGATCAGCCTCCCAATGCATGATGCTGCTTCTCTTTCACCTGGGTCAGCCTGAAGACCAAATCTTAATCTTCCCTCATCCACCAATGGAAGGACCCATTTTCTCTGGGACCTGACAGGGTGTTGGAAAAAAAGATTGTATGACAGGTATCATACTTCATAAATGGAGAAAATAGTATCTCTTTATCCTATCTTCTTTTCTTCTCCACTAGATCTTAGGAGTGTACAAAGTAGCATTGAAGCTTGACTTTGTTTCATCCATAGGTTGTGAGTCTGTATTGTGTCCTCTGAGCAAATGAATCTTTACTTGCTACATGTTCACATACCTCTTTGCCTAGGCAGAGTTTTTTTTTCTCATTGAAATTTGAAAATAGCAAGTTATTCTTTAACAGGACTAACATACTCATGCATCCCAAGAGGAAAAAACCTAAAACAATTATAACTTTTGAACTGATGCAGTCAGCCTGGTCCTGTAAATGTGCATCTCCACATTGATGAATGTTGTCTATTTAATTAAAATATATCGATCATGGCACATTTGTCTTTATCAGAGTGGCCATGAATGATCTTTCAAGGAGTTATTGTTTATTGGTTTGAGAAACTAACGGGAAGCTTTAAAAGAATATGTAAGGTTTTAAATTTATTTTCTGTCTCCTAAGTTGTTACATACTGCTTTTAGTTAAAATATGCTGTATTACCTGCTTAAAGTTTCCCTTGGAAGATATGTAGGTTGTAATAAACACTAATTAGTTTGTGTGACCATTCAGCAAACTGCTTTGGAAGAATCCAATGATTTGCCTTACAAATATCAGCTCTTTAATGGAATGTGATGCGAAGTGATTACACATTTATAAAGGATGTAGACTTAATCCAAAGTTATTAAGTCTCTTGTGATCAATTCACCTGATGCCACAGGAAAACAATTTAAGGGGAAGCTTTCCTAAATTAATATGTTAGCAGAGGTCACACTTACTGGAATTTGCAATTGCGCTCAGGGGTATAGTTCATTCTTTAAGTGGAAACTGACTAATAAGAAGGAAATTATAATTCACTTTTAGAGATAATTCTAAAAAATGTGCATGTCAAACTTATTTTCTGAACAAATTAGCATCCTGTTTGAATGTTTAAATATCAAATGGAACATCTTCCAATTGCAACATCTAAGCTGTATAGAGAAAACAATATCTTAGGGCATATTGAACACACATAGACAGCTGTAAAGAGGCTACACCCTTAAATCATGACCAATTCTTGGGGTCTGCCTCAAAACACTATCCGAGAAATATCCCAAAGATTTAAGATGTCTTTGTTCAGCAAGTGTAAATTATAAACTGTGATGAGGGCTATGAAAAGTTTTCTGGAATGCTGTTAGAACAGATGATACAGAGATCTGAGAGGTCATAAAGATAGCCATGAGGAAGTGATATTGATTTGAGAGATGAAGCATCTCAACGTTCCTGTCAAGTAGCTCTCCACCTTATGCTAATGTATCATGTACTGTTTCGTTGCTACCCCAAAACCACGTAGAATCCCTTCTCCCTTGTTTCCTCTCTTTCAGTGTGGGTTGGCCACACATCTCAGACCCGGCCTATGAGAAAAGAACAGAAATCTGGAAAGATTAGCTTTTTAAATCAAAAAGAAAGAGAGATATAACTGGCAAAGCACTTCTTCTTCTTCTATCTTCCTAGTTTTCACATGGCAACTAGGGTAGCTATCTTGGTGTCCTGAGGCAACAAGTAACAAAAGTTGGCCAAGGTTATTACAGAGATATCAGCTAGAAAGTCATCAATCCACTGAAACAGCAGACAGAACGGCTTACTTCCAAACTCCACGTTGTTGATGCTTCTGTTCCTATTTATTTAAGCCCTGGTATTGGGTTTTCTGTTATTTGCAGCCAAAAGCATCTCTAAATGTTACAATTACAAACCCTGTATAAGTAACCGTGTGATCAACTCTAACAATCCAATGCAATTGTAGGCTGCAATGGTAGAAATAGAAATGTCTAGTTGGCGATATTAATATGCTAATAGTTACTAGTTTCCAACTCATCATTGCAGAAATGAAAAAAAGCCAATAGAATGTGGGGTTTGCGGGAAGGAAGTGCAGGAATCAAAAGGTAATTATATTTTGAAGTCAGTTGAGCTTTAGGATATTTATTTCTTGTATAATAGTTTTAGAGTGAGATTTTCATATGAATTATATTTTAGATTTACAAATGTATATATTTTAAATTAAAGAACAAAAATTTATATTTTATCCCTCTAAATTTCGGGCATGCTGAGGCATTACAGTATTTCTTTTTTGTTTGTTTGATTTTTTGTTTGTTTGACTTTTTGTTTGTTTGTTTTGTGAAACAGATTTTGATCTTTCACCCGGCTAGAATGCAGTGATGTGAACATAGCTCACTGCAGCCTTGACCGTCTAGGGGCAAGTGATCCTCCTGCCTCAGCCTCCCATGTAGCCGGCACTATAGGTGTGCAACACCACAACCAGTTATTTTTTTTTTAAATTTTTTGTAGGGACAAGGTCTCACTTTGTTGCCCAGGCTGGTCTCAAACTCCTGAGCTCAAGCAATTCTCCCACTTTGGCCTCCCAAAGGGCTGGAATTACAGGAGTGAGCTGGCCCCATTACAGTATTTCTGAGGTCAGGTCCATCTGGATTGGACTTCTATTTCATCATTAGTTGTGTAACCTAGAATAAATTATTTAACCTCTTTGAGGCTTAAGCATTCTCATTTGTACAACAAGAAGATTAAGGGTATCTCACTCTAGCCGTCATTGTGAGGATTACCTGAGATTTATTCAGCAGAGTGTCTACCACACTGTAAATGCTCAGGTGGTGTTGGCTGTGGTGAAGTGGATGCTGCCCATGACTGGCAGCTGCTCTGATACCTGTACAGGTGATAGTGTTGTGATGCCCTTGTTTATTCTGTGGTCAATGTCAGTAACTGCCACTAACTATTCTTATATGTCTGTTTTTCTAGATTCATGACTTTTTTAAGGGAAAGAAGTCAATGTCCAAGGCTTCAGGCTATGAAAAGGGTTATAAGACTCAAAATAGCCATGTATTATCTGTGTTCTATTTGACTCCTTTTTCTAATAATGAATTCAGTGTTTATTAATCTTTCCTCATAATATTTTCTCTTTCAAATTCCTTCATTCTGTTTACTGAATACACATTATGCAAATCCGTGTTTTAGACATTCTGGGGAATAAACATGTAAAAGATATGGTCTTTGCTTCCTGGAGCTTACAGGTTACTAAGAAACAGAAGATAGCTAGAATAATACCTCTAGTGTAAATAAGGATAAACACTATACTCTTGACCCTAAGAAAGTACTGTAGGAAGTCAGATAAAAGGGAGAATTATACCAGTAGGGCTGATCCTGGAGAACTTCACAGAGAAGGTACATTGCAATAGAATCATATACAGTGATTAGGGTTTTAATAGTCAGACATAGAATTGGGGAAAAGAATGTTGCTGGCAGAATAAAGAAAGGAATTGGAGGAGTGGAATGAAGAGAGAAAAAAATCAATGCAGTCTTGGGAATTAATATTTTCACTTGAGACTTCCTAAAAATTTATTTGGCATGTGGAGGAGAGAAAACATGTGTCCCTCCACTAAAGACAGTTGTGATTTTCCAGTGAACAAATGAATCTTTCAAAGAGCTTGCCATATACTTATTTACCTCTTTTCCTAGTCACTTGTTTTTCCTCATTGCAGTTTGCCACTGTAAAGCCAGAGAAAGTTGATGAGGCCATTTAGCTTGTCAATCTATCTAAAAAGTAGACATTAAAAACACATCTGCAGAAAATGCAAATGGAAAGAGTTCAATTAAAGCAAATGAGTGTGAGATGAATCCTTTACATTTTGAAGGAGGAAGATTCTGATATTGAGCTTGGTTTTATCTCAATATGATTTACAGATTTAATTTCTGAGGCTTTATAAAGGAAAGTAAAATTAATAATTTTATACTATTTATTTTTACATATTTTTCTGGGAGTATAATCTTCTTTGGAGGTGGGGAGGAGTGATATATTTGGGAATCTTTAAAACTGTCTTGAAGGAGGTGCTAGCTGAACAAAATTTTTAAAGTTTTTCAGACAGTGGAGGTTTTGAGAGTGCATTGAATGGACATAATCAAATTTAAGAAGGAGCTAAATGGCAACCCCTGTTTAGGAAAACATAAGCAGTTCAGAGCTGAGAAAAAAAATAAGGCGATAAATCAACAACAACTGAGGCTAAAGAGGATGGCAGAAGCCTCAAGAACAAATGGTCAGCATTTTTTTTCTTTTGTTTTTAGTTGATACACAATAATTTTATATATTTGAGGGACACAGAGTGGTATTTTGATATGTGTATACAATGTATAATGATCAAATCAGGGCACTTACAATATTTCTCACCTCGAACATTTATCATTTTAAAAAATTCAGCCATGATCATGCTTAACTTTTGTTCTTTTTCTTTTTTATTAACTTTTATTTTAGGTTTGGGGGTACATATGAAGGTTTGTTACACAGGTAAACATGTGTCACGGGGGTTTGTTGTACATGTTATTTCAGCACCCAGGTATTAAGCTCAGTACCCAATAGTTATCTTTTCTGCTCCTCTCCCTCCTCTCACCCTCCAAGTAGAGCCCAGTGTCTGTTGTTTCCCTCTTTGTACACATAAGTTCTTATCATTTAGCTCCCACTTATAAGTGATAACATGTGGTATTTGGTTTTCTGTTCCTGAGTTAGTTTGCAAAGGATAATAGCCTCCAGCTCCATCCATGTTCCCATAAAAGACATGATCTTGTTCTTTTTTATGGCTTCATAGTATTCCATGGTGTATATGTACCACATTTTCTTTACCCAGTCTGTGATTGATGGAGGTTAGGTTGGTCCCATGTCTTTGCTATTGTGACTAGTGCTGCAATGAACATTCACTAGCATGTGTCTTTATGGTAGAATCATTTATATTCTTCTGGGTATGTACCTAGTAATGGGATTGCTGGGGTGAGTGCTAGTTCTGCTTTTAGGTATTTGAGGAATTGCCATAGTGCATTCCACAATGATTGAACTAATTTACACTGCCTCCAACAGCGTATCAGCATTCTTTTTTCTTCACAACCTCACCAGCATCTGTTATTCTTTTTCTTTCTTTCCTTTTTTTTTTTTTTTGGAGACAGAGTCTCACTCTGTCACCCAGGCTGGAGTGCAGTGGCGCAATCTCGGCTCACTGCAAGCTCCGCCTCCTGGGTTCACGCCATTCTCCCTGCCTCAGCCTCCAGAGTAGCTGGGAATACAGGCGACCCTACGTCCGGCTAATTTTTTTGTATTTTTAGTAGAGACGGGGTTTCACCACATTAGCCAGGATAGTCTGCATCTCCTGACCTTGTGATCCGCCAGCCTTGGCCTCCCAAACTGCTGGGATTACAGGTGTGAGCCACTGCTCCCAGCCGCATCTGTTATTTTTTGACTTTTTTTACAATAGCCATTCTGACTGGTGTGAGAAGGTATCTCATTGTGGTTTTGATTTGCATTTCTCTAATGATAAGTGATATTGAGGTTTTTTTTTTTTTTTTCATATGCTTGTTGGCCACATGTATGTCTTCTTTTAAGAAGTGTCTGTTCATGTCTTTTGCCCACTTTTTAATGGGGTTGTTTTTCTCTTGTAAATTTTATTAAATTCCTTATAGGTGCTGGATATTAGACCTTTGTGGGATGCATAGTTTGTGAATATTTTCTCCCATTCTGTAGGTATTCTTTTTACTCTGTTGATGGTTTCTTTTGCGTGCAAAGGGTCTGAAGTTTAATTGGATCCCATTTGTCAATTTTTGCTTTTGTTGCAATTGCTTTTGGTGTCTTTATAGTGAAATCTTTGACTGTTCCTGTGTCCAAGATGGTATTGCCTAGGCTGACTTCCAGGGTTTTTAGAGTTTGAGGTTTTACATTTAAGTCTTTAATTCATCTTCAGTTGATTTTTGTGTATGGTGTAAGGAAGGGGTCAAGCTTCAATCTTCTGAATATGGCTAGCCAGTTATCCCAGCACCATTTATTGAATGGGGAGTCTTTTCCCCATTGCTTGTTTTTATTAGGTTTGTTGAAGATCAGATGGTTCTGTTCCATTGGTCTATGTGCCTGTTTTTTTTAACTGGTACCATGCTGCTTTGGTTACTGTAGGCTTGTAGTATAGTTTGAAATTGGGTAATGTGATGCCTCCAGTTTTGTTCTTTTTGCTTAGGATTGCCTTGGCTCTTCAGGCTCTTTTTTTGGTTCCATATAAATTTAAAATGGTTTTGTTCTAGTTCTGTGAAGAATGTCTTTAGTAGTTTGATAGGAATAGCTATGAATCTGTAAATTGCTTTGGGCAGTATAGCCATTTTAATGACATTGATTCTTCCAGAAGCATGGGATGTTTTTCCATTTGTTTGTGTCATCTCTGATTTCTTTGGGTAGTGTTTTATAATTCTCATTGTAGAGATCTTTCACCTCCCTGGTTAGCTGTATTCCTAGGTATTTCATTCTTTTTTGGCATTGATTCTATATCCTGCAACTTTGCTGAAGTTGTTTATCAGCTGGAGGAGATTTTGGCCTGAGACTATGGGTTTTTTTTAGATATAGCATCATGTCATCTGCAAACAGAGATAGATTGACTTTCTCTTTTCCTGTTTGAATGCGCTTTCTTTCCCTTGTCTGATTGCTCTAGCTAAAACTTCCAATACTATGTTGAATAGTGGTGAGAGGGCATCCTTATCTTGTGATGGTTTTCATGAGGAATGCTTCCAGCTTTTGCCCATTTAGTATAATGTTGGCCATGTGTTTGTCATAGATGGTATCTTATTGTGGTTTTGATTTGCATTTCTCTTATTATTTTGAGGTATGTTTCCTTCAACACCTAGTTTATTGAGAGTTTCTAACATGAAGGGGTATTGAATTTTATTGAAAGCCTTTTCTGCCTCTAGTGAGATAATCATGTGGTTTTTGGCTTTAGTTCTGTTTATGTGCATTTATCATTTCTTTGTGTTATGAACATTCAAAACTTTTTCTAGCTTTTTGAAAACATATAATATATTATAGTTTTACACAAAATGGAAAGTTTTGTGGGCATATCCTTCTATATAGTTAAAATGAATGATAGGTCAATGAAGTTAGCTCTGTTGAGCTCCAGCTCAGTCACATGGAAGGTTTGGTTATCTAAACTCAAATGAGCTCATAGGATATTTATATATATAATTTTTATTTTATTTAAAAATGAATTCCTGAAAATCTTTTTTAGCTATAAATGTACATCTGCATCAACATTTGTCAGTATCAAATACCACTACGTGATAGTCCATTGTATGGATATACCATAGTTTAAGCAATTCTCCACTGTTAGACATGAATATCATTCAGATTTGTGTATTATAAGTAATGATATGATGTATGCTTTCCAACTTGCATAAATTTTTTAGCATATGTCTTAGAACTGTTTTGCTGGGACAAAAATTCAAAATTTTTGTAATATTGACAAATTGTCATTCATTTATGCTATATGTAAACTTATAAAGCTATCAGCAATATATCTAACAGAACTTATAGAATTTATTTTCTCGGCTGGGCACAATGGCTCATGCCTTAATCCCAGCACTTTGGGAGGCCGAGGCAGGTGGATCATGAGGCCAGGAGTTCGAGACCAGCCTGATCAACATGGTGAAATCCTGTCTCTGCTAAAAATATGAAAATTAGCCGCATGTGGTGGCGTGTACCTGTAATCCCAGCTACTCAGGAGGCTGAGGCAAGAGAATCATTTGAACCCATGAGGCAGAGGTTGCAGTGAGCCAAGATCACGCCACTGCACTCTAGCACTCCAGCCTGGGCAACAGAGAGAGACTTTGTCTCAAAAAAAAAAAAAAAAGAAAAAGAATTTATCTTATCTTTCCAAAATAAATTATTGCTTTATATATTAACTTACAAATAGTAGGCATAGTTTATTGCATTGCTTTATTTAATAAACAATCACCTTTACAAAAAAATCTACTGATGAAGAAAAATATTAAAAAGGCCTTTTAAGCTGGAACTTTAATGACCAAATACAATTTCATAGCAAAAAAAAAGAAGAAGAAAAAATATTAAATGGTAACTTTACCTTGGAGAATGCAACTAAGAGATATCCTAAAAGGTAAATATTAATATATGTAAACTTATATTTAATGAAAATAGATTTAATTACAATTATTAGACTAAGCTAAAATGCTTATATTTCGGTGTTTAAAAATATATCACAGCAAAATGTGATATTTTTTACAATAAATTCATATATAATACAACAGAATTATGAATACTGCAACAATTGTTTTTACTAGTTTTTCTCTAAGGCATTTCTTTATCTTTAGTTATTTCACTTTTATTTCTTTTCCAAGTGCCTGTTTTACAAAAACTATCATTGAATTTCTCTTTGTGAACCATTATCTGGTCTAATTTTCCAGAATTTTATTTATTAAAGATTTTGCAGGTTACTCCAGCAGTTATTCATTACTTCCATTTCTTTAATGAAACCAGTATTTTGACATATATATTTTATTTGGGTATTCTTTGATATTGTATATGCATTACCCAGCAACCAATAAGGGACTTTCTAGAGTGACATGGAATGAATTAGTGGGAATAGACACTAGAATAAGGGTGGAATATTTGAATGGAACTAAGGGACAATTAAGTGACCAATTAATGTGAAAGTATTTTCATGTTACAAAACTTTGCTTCCCTGCAAAACAGGGAGATTACTTGATCATATGGTTTCTTTGAGTATTTTAGAAAAAGGTGCCCATTCTAGGTAAACACAACCCTCAAATTTGCATGTGTTAGATTCACTTATTGGCAGGGTTCTCTTGTGCAGAGTCATAATCTGCCAGCCACACATGGTTGCCAACCTATTGGATATGACTCCAAAATTTTACTATATAGTAATAAGTACAAATTACAAATAACTGGACAATTCAGTTAATAAAAATAATAATGACAATACCAATAGCAACATTTGTCAATTCATTGGGGAATATTTGCAAAACAGTTTATTGCAAATAGACAAAATTCTTAGCTAACTAAATGTCACTTGAATGTCATTACGAGTGCAGGTCGTCCCAACAGCTAAGTTGTTTGCTTTTGTTGATGCAGATGAGTAAATAAGGCTGTGTGCCTTCTATTCCTTCTAAAATGCCTTATCTTTTCTATCCATCCTCAACTTTCTGTCTTTATCAAGGCAAGACAAATATATTCATCTCTAGTATGAGCCTTTGCTCATTCCCTGTTGTGAATTTCTCTTCAATAAACTTAATGCTGTTTTTAGATTAGAGTTTTATTAAAACAGTTATCACAATTAAAACACTTATCGCAATTCTGCCTTGTATTAAAAACACAAGTGTATGTCACACTTCCATACAGAGGGTAATAATAATGGTGTACTTATCTTAATAATTTTCTATATCTTTTCTACTTCTTACTATTAGACAAGTTAAATTAATACTAATACACAAAGAAGTTAAAAAAAGATAGAAGTCAAATGGACTGATAAGAGATTTAAATTTTTGCATTCAAATTATTTTATCTTGAGTAGATAATACTTGACCATGGCAGAACGTTTGAAGTGAAATGTATAAATTTTGTCTCCTGACTCATACAATTCCCCTTCCAAGGGACAGTAGTATTACTGCAACTCATGCATTGTTCCAGAAATTGTCTTTGTCTGTCTATCTAGTCCACCTTTTTAAAACCCTCATTGTAGTAGCATATTACAAACATTGCTGTGTACGTGCTATATTCTATTAAAATATACCTTAGGCATCTTTCCATAGCACTATCCAGATACTTCCTCATTCTTTAAATCATTCTTTCTTTATACTGAAAGGCCTTTAAGATATTCTAGCTTCATTCGTGTCCCTACAAAGGATATGAACTCATAATTTTTTATGGCTGCATAGTATTCCATGATGTATATGTGCCACATTTTCTTAATCCAGTCTATCATTGTTGGACATTTGGGTTGGTTCCAAGTCTTTGCTATTGTGAATTGTATCATTCTCATCAAACTATCGCAAGGACAAAAAGCCGAACACCGCATGTTCTCACTCATAGGTGGGAATTGAACAATGAGAACACATGGACACAGGAAGGGGAACATCACACACCGGGTCCTGTTGTGGGGTGGGGGTTGGGGGGAGGGATGGCATTAGGAGATACACCTAATGTTAAATGAAGAGTTAATGGGTGCAGCACACCAACATGGCACATGTATACATGTGTAACAAACCTGCACGTTGTGCACATGTACCCTAAAACTTAAAGTATAATACAAAAAAGATATTCTAAATCGTTGTAGGGGTGGGTTGCCCCTCCACACCTGTGGGTGTTTCTTGTAAGGTGGAACGAGAGACTTAGGAAAGAAAAAGACACAGAGACAAAGTATAGAGAAAGAAATAAGGGGACCCGGGGAACCAGCATTCAGCATATGGAGGATCCCGCCAGCCTCTGAGTTCCCTTAGTATTTATTGATCATTTGTGGGTGTTTCTCAAAGAGGGGGATGTGTCAGGGTCACAAGACAATTGTGGGGAGAGGGTCAGCAGACAAACAGGTGAACAAAGGTCTTTGCATCATAGACAAGGTAAAGAATCAAGTGCTGTGCTTTTAGATATGCATACACATAAACATCTCAATGCTTTACAAAGCAGTACTGCTGCCCGCAGGTCCCACCTCCAGCCCTAAGGCGGTTTTTCCCTATCTCAGTAGATGGAGCATACAATCGGGTTTTATACCGAGACATTCCATTGCCCAGGGACAGGCAGGAGACAGATGCCTTCCTCTTGTCTCAACTGCAAGAGGCATTCCTTCCTCTTTTACTAATCCTCCTCAGCACAGACCCTTTACGGGTGTCGGGCTGGGGGCCGGTCAGGTCTTTCCCTTCCCACGAGGCCATATTTCAGACTATCACATGGGGAGAAACCTTGGACAATACCTGGCTTTCCTAGGCAGAGGTCCCTGCGGCCTTCCGCAGTTTCTGTGTCCCTGGGTACTTGAGATTAGGGAGTGGTGATGACTCTTAAGGAGCATGCTGCCTTCAAGCATCTGTTTAACAAAGCACATCTTGCACCGCCCTTAATCCATTCAACTCTGAGTTGACACAGCACATGTTTCAGAGAGCACGGGGTTGGGGGTAAGGTTATAGATTAACAGAATCTCAAGGCAGAAGAATTTTTCTTAGTACATAACAAAATGGAGTCTCCTATGTCTACTTCTTTCTACACAGACACAGTAACAATCTGATCTCTCTTGCTTTTCCCCACAATTTGTTATTATAAAAAGTGTTGCAATTAATAACCTTGTAGATATATCATCCTATACATGTACTGGTGTATCTGTAAGATCCCAAGAAACAGATTTTCTGGGTTAAAAGGCCCTTGTGAAGGGCCAAATTTCTCTTTTTTATTTTTTGCCATTCTCAAAGCTGAAAAAGTGGTATCTCAGTATTCTTTTTATTTGCATGAAGAGTGAAACTGAGCATTTTTCTGTATGTTTCAGAACAATGTATAGTTTCTTTCCTCTTAACTTTCTGTTTAGATTATCTGCCCATTTATGTATTGGGCTATTGGTCTTTTCAAACTGACTTATAAGAGCAATCTTTATATGTTAAAAATATCATTTATCTCTAAGTTTCAGATGTTTTATTCCTCAGCTTGTAATTTGCCTATGTACTGTTCATAACAAATTTTTCCACGTCAAAATTTATGTTGTATATAGCTAGTTTATCAACATCAAAAACAACTTAAATTTTTTTTTCCTTTGGCCATGAATAGCATGTAAGAAATACACATGAATTACAAATGCAAGAGATTTGAATTAGATATAAAGAAGCTTTAAGAAAAGGAACTATCATTTGAGCTGATTTTGCAGAATGTTTATTGAGTATCTTTCTCCAGAGATATGTCAGATTATGGGTAAAATAATGGTCTTAGTCTTTGAATAGCTCTTGCCTGAAATCAGCTAGATTAGGTAACGTTTTGAGACCATCTTTGGCACTATGGATATAAATGTTATTCAAATAAGTTACTATACATATTGAAGTATATATAGCATCCTCCCAAAGTTCCACAGGGATCATTCAGGCTATTTTTCCCCCTGTACCAACAGGAAAAAGGGGAATAAAAGATGAATAACTTGTCACTTCTATCACAGTTAATAAATGGGACATTGGGACCAGGATCCCCCGCCAAAATGGCTACACTGCCAATGTCATCAGCAATGTCTTGGCTGTTTTCCCCCCATACAGAGTGCTTTCTCCCAAACTGAAACCAGCACTAAACTAAGCTATGGTAAACTGAACAAAATTGCACTTGCCAAAGTCCAAATGATTGGAAACACTGTCCTCTTAAAGTTTCATGTGATTTGGCCTTTCACAACATTCAAATAAACAATACATGCATAAATGAACTTGAATGGTGTGCTTTTGAAATGAAGTTCTCTAAGCAACACATTAGCGTTTATACAGCATCGATCTGTCCCTTTGGACTAATCAGCTGACTTAAATAAGAAGACACTTCTCAGAATATATTCGAATAGAAAATAAAAGGACAGAGAAGAACATTAAAATACTTCAGAGCTTCATTCACCTCTTGAAATACAAATCAAATTAATATGTTCAAAACCCCTTAGGTTGAAAGTCTGGAGATGAACACACACAGATGTACATGCATGTATATAAGCTTGTACGTGTTCTTAAAATATCCATAAAAACTATAGACTTGATCTGAATTAGAACAAAGCCACTAACACTACTTTAGGACAGTAGGTATTTTTGAGGAGCAAACATTAAGACTTTGACATTTATTCTAAAGTCAGAAATGTCTCAAATAACTGGTGAGAGATAGACTTAGTATTGGTTTTATGTCTGAGCCCTGGGCACTCCAAGAATATTGCAACACAGATTAAAGAAAGCCCTTATTTGTTATACAGAGTCTGTTTAACCATTAAGCATAATCAAGAATGCACAAGATGGCAGGGGTTGGGGGGAAAGGGGAAATAAGGATGGCTAATGGGTACAAAAATATAGTTAGATAGAATGAATAAGTTCTAATATTTGATAGCACAACATGGTGATTCCAGTCAACAATAATTTATTGTACATTTAAAAACAACTAAAAGAGTGTAATTGGATTGTTTGTAACACGAAGAAAATATAAATGTTTGAGATGATGAATCCCCCATTTACCCTGATGTGATTATAATGCTTTGTATGTCTGTATCAAAATGTCTCATGTACCCCAAAAATATATAAACCTACTATGTACCCACAAAAATTAAGAATATTTTTTAAAGAGAATGCACAAGAAACTTTAGCTCTTGGTTAAGGCTACCAGATTCCTGGAAAATATTAAGTAAAAAATATGGAAATAGATCTAAGTTTAATGATCCAGTGGACAGAGGGAGAATGGCAGACATCATAATAGAATGAGCCGTAACAGATGGTTGCTAAGAGAGGCTCTGGTAAAGAAATTGGAACAAGTATAATTGGAAGTTGACTGATGGAGAATAATAATATGCAGGAGTTTTTTGTTTGTTCTTAGTTAGGAATTCTCTGTAAAGCACTAACCAAAACAGGGTTTATTACCATGAGTGTACACACTGGGAAAAGTCAAAGGAGTAGAGGATGAGTCAACATTTATGATACATGTGCCTGGGAAAGCATAGAGGAAAGAAAGGGACATACAATGTCACATTTTCTGCTGTTCTTTCTTTATGGACAAACACCACCAATGTAATTTTCCAAATCCTATTTCGGTTCCTTGATGCCTTCATAAGACATCTTTTTATTATACTCGTGTGTTTTATTTTCTTGCAATCTTTAAAAATGTAGTCTCTTATGACTTAGACTATGTATTTTATACAGATTTATCTTCCTATTTGATGAAGGCCAAATCTTGATGAAACCTTTTTATTTAAGAGAAAATGTTTTAATACCAATCTTACTAAAGAATATTCTCTTCCTCTGGTTGTTAAGAATGAGGGATTTTCCTTCTATGGTAATTTTTTCACAAGCCTGATGCTGAATGTTTGCTTATTCATCATTAGATAAAAAGCAATCTTTTCAGACTTAATGGTCAAAATTTGAAAGAGTACATGGATTAGTGTTTGATTTCTTAAATAATCAAGAGAATGTAAATAGAAATTACAGTAAAGTGTCATTACACACCTGTCATCTATCAAATTCACAAAAATTTAAAAGCCTGATAATCCCAATGTTGACGAGAATATGGAATAATGGGAATTTTTAATACTTCCAGTGGTAGTATAAATTAATACAATTATTTTTTAAGATAAATGTTATCTGATATTGTTGAATATATATGATCAAATATCTAGTAATTACACTCAGATATAGAAACATTTATATTCCTGGGCATCAGGATGTAAGCAAAAGATTGTCTATAGTTATACTATTCATAATAGCCCCTGATTTGAAAAAATTCAATGGTTCTTTAAGAGGGGAATATATAACTATATCAAAATATATTCATACAATAAAATATTTTATGTCATTAAAATGAACACAATACAGTTACAAACAACATAGATAAATCATACAAATAATGTTGAAAGAAAGAAACAAGAAAAAAAGAATGCATTCACTATGATTTCACTAATGCAAAAGCTTGAAAAAGGCAAACGACTAAACTTTTTAGAGGTGCATACTTTGGTGATAAACCTCTGAAGAAAGTAAGGAAATGATCCATCAGCATGTCACGATAATGGCTACTTCTGTGGGGATCAGGACTGGGAAGTCTGAAGATGGGCAGTATTCTCTTTCTTTAGCTCAGTAATGGGAACATCAGTGTTTATCATTATTCATTAAACTGGCATTTAAGTTTTATGAACTTTTCTATATATGGAATATTAAAAATAAAATAAAGAGTATATAGATTTCTTTCTCTTTTTTTTTTTCTTTCGAGATAGGGTGTCACTCTGCTGCTTAGACTGGAGTGCAGTGGTGTGATCATGACTCACTGCAGCCTCAATTTTCCCAGGCTCAGGTGATCCTCCCACCTCAGTTTCTGTATTTTTAGTAGAGATGGGGTCTCACCATGTCTCCCATGCTGGTCTCGAACTTATAGGCTCAAGCAATCCACCCACCTCGGCCTCCCAAAGTGCTAGGATTACAGGCACAAGCCACTGCACCCGGCCAAGTACATATTTCTTTGGCCCCATTCATTGTCAACTAAGGGGACTTGACTGGATAGACAAGTCAAAAGAGAAAAAGCAATCAGCAAAGCAATAGATTGTAATTATTTGTGTACATATTTAGCTCCGCCACTGAACCTCACCAGACACTAACCTGGAGATTAGTTCAGAATTCATGTATTCAAACCCAGTGCCTATCCCTGAATTTCATAATAACCACACTCAAAAATGTGTGTTGAAAGTACAGGTGGGTGAATAAATGAGTTATGCAGAATCCACAGTCAGCTACTATGGTCCTTAGAATGTGTGTGTGTGTGTGTGTGTGTGTGTGTGTGTGCGCGTGCGTATATGTTTGTGTGTGTGTGATGAGGTAAAGGCTTGTTGTCTCTGTGATGGGCCAGTGAGATCTAGTTTCATGTATAATAATAGCCAGCAAAGTAAAAGACTGCAATATTGTCAGCAGACCCTACATAACATGTATCAGAAGTGTTTACATGCATCAGTCATCGAGTTCTATCGTATATACGTTGAAATGGGATGGATGTTTATTTAGGTAAATAAACACGACCAGAGACACGCTAAAAATAAAAGCATAAGTTTACCTGTGGATAAAGAGAATTTTGAGTTCATCTACAGAAGTCAGCAGTGGGGATGGGAAAAGAAGCAGGGAACTTAAGCTCAGCTGGGGCAAATTCAGAATAATTGTCTGCTAAGAGGCTTACATATCCCAAGTAGGTGGCTTTGGCCCTGTGCAGAGGAGTGTTTAATATGGCCTTCCTTATGAGGGGAGGCAAAGTATGGTGGCGGTTGTTTTGATTTCACTGGCTTCTGGACAGTATGTCCTAGGATAATTGGTGTTATTTGCAAATAATATGAAGAACTCTGATTAGACTTTGAAACATTCTGGAATAATATTCAAAATGGTAATCATGTTATTTCTCTTCTGCTTTTCTGAAGATTTTTTCTCCTTTCCTTTCTTCCTGAATAATTGTATTTTATTTTATTTTTTTTGAGATGGAGCCTTATTCTGTCACCTGGGTTGGAGTACAGTGGCGCATTCTCAGCTCACTGCAGTGTCCGCCTCCCAGGTTTAGGCAATTCTCCCATCACAGACTCCTGAGTAGGTGGTACTACAGGCCTGTGCCACCACACCCAGCTAATTTTGTGTTTTTAGTAGAGATGGGGTTTCACCATGTTGGCCAGGCTGGTTTCAAACTCCTAACCTCAGGTGATCCACCTGCCTTGGCCTCCCAAAAGTGCTGGGAGTACAGCCATGAGCCACTGTGCCAAGCCCCTGAATAGTTGTATTCTAAAGTCAATAGGTGGAGCTGAATATGGTAGACATTAATTGTGAATATAGAGGAGTGCAGTGGCCCAGAATTGAGAGTACCCTGGGTATCTATACAGGAGAACTGCCTGTCATAGGTGTTAGAACCTCGATAGAGTGAGAAGGGCATCCCTTCAGTGGGCAACATGGCATGGGGGATCAGAGTGAAAACAGGTAAAGAAGGCGGTCCTTTGAACTTTTCACCAAGCAGGGTGAGGAGAGAGTGCATGTGGGAGGATAGCCAAGTCTGTTATGTCAGAGACTGAGCAGCTTGAAGAGGGTGTCCACATCAAGTTATGAGAAAACAGAAAAGCCCAGATTGACAGACATACTACAAAATAACTGACTCATCTATTAAAGAATGTCAAGGGCAGATGGAGGCACTCCTCCAAATGAAAGGTTGCTAAAGTGATATGACAACTAAAAGAGACAGATGCTTTTAAACAGGACTATTGCTGTAAAGGATACCATTAGGACATTTGGCAAAACTTGGAGTCTGAGGATCAGATAAATATATCAATCCTAATGTCCTATTTTGATGGCTGTATTGGGGTCATGTTGGACAATATCTTTACTTATAAGAAATACATACTATAGTATTGGGGGTTGATAGGGTGTCAGGTCAGCAATGCACTGCTGATGAAACCCAAGCTCGGGTAAGTTAATTGTTCAACTAGTGATTGAGCTGGAATGTGAAACTGCAGCTGACCCTTTCCATTAGATTTTTCCCTTGCTTCTCTGAGTATTCAATAACTAGGTACGTTGTAGCCACTGTGCATCTTCATTTCTCCTGTTGGGAATGTTCATGATAGAGAAAAATGGTGAAACGAAAGTGTGAAATTACTGTAGGAACATTTATAAAATGGCACTCCTCATTGGATGTAGCAAAGCTTAGCTCAAATGTAACCAACTCAGAGAGCCCTCCTCTGGTGTCTGTTTCTCTCTGTTGGGTGTAAGCCCCATCAGAGCCGATACCCTGTCAGTTTGTTTAATCATATCTTCTGTGGCCAACACAGTGCCTGGTACAGGGAAGGCCCGTAATTAAACGTGGATGGAAAAAAACAGAGTATAGTTTGCTTCAAGAGCTATTCCATAATTCTCCATTTTGAAGTCTGCTTCTCATTTTGGGAAGTCCAATCAAATATCCAATACCAATCATTTACCAGCAGTCTTCTTGGAGTGACTTGAGCTTCTGTGCACCTGCCCAGATGGAAATCCCCAATAAGCCTGCCATTTCACCTGTGTTTCAGAGGCTGAAACTGCAGAAATTTTCTTGCCCTGTGTCTGCCTCAAACTGGTCCCAGAATAAAGCTATATATGTTATCACATGCATTTTCTGTAACAGCCACAACTTTCTTTGGTCTTGGCTGACCTACATTATGCTTTAACACGGAGATGAGAAGGGTAGAGGTGCAAGTCAGACAAATAGAGGAGCCCAGCTATTAACTTTCTGTCTCTGCGAGGTTAACAATATTCTTGTTTGCAGACTGGAAAAGAAAGAGACAGAATTTTGTCTCTCATTTAGCTGGATTCACAGAGACGAAGTTGCCTTACTGGATTCTGTGAGAGCATAATCATCCCTATGGCAACGGAAATCTATCTATGATGGTGATTTCACTATTGCATCAAAGAGACACATATGGTTTTTATTTGTTTTTTGGAACATGACAGGATCTTATTCTAATATTCCATACTGGCATAAAATAAAAGGAAACATGTAAAATGTGAGTGGAGGTAACATACCTTTTAAACTCAAGGTTCTCTCTTGTTAGACTCAGTGAGAAAGTCCCTCTCTTTTAAGGGTTTAATTTCGAGGCTTTCCTTTTCTCACATTCTGATGTGGTAAATGACTGCCTTCTATTTCTATCAGACTGACACAATCAGTCAGCCTTCAGATCCCAAACATGTTTGCAAACCATCTGTTACATTTACTAACAGAGTCAAACAAAAGATCTGGCACTTGACAGTGTTTCAGATATCAACTTTGAAGCCTCATGAATTTGCTAAAATCTGCTGGTATGCTACACTCAGCTATCTATATTCCAGAAACTTGCAAAGGACCTCTAACCAAAGCCTTGTTATTACTTTCCTAAATACTATCATTAAAATGCTGAAGGCAATTTGCAACCAACCCTTCGCCTTTACATAGAACGGTGTATTACTCTTGGAAAAGAGAATTGGATCTGCAAATATTTTATTATATTCTTGAACATAAACATGCAATTATTCAAATCCATCCTCTATGCTTGTACACTTGAACTGTGCTATTTGCGAGAGATCCATAAAGTGATGTCAGATGAATAGAATTAAGGGATTAGAGGGTAAACAGCATTTAGCAGTAATTTGGGGGTATATGATACTTCGTGCTTAGCTAATGGGTTCTGTAGAGTATGGCAGAAAATATTGTTCTGGTTGAAAAGAAATGAGCTATTGGGCAAAGTTTTAAAAATAATTTTATGACTGTTTCTTTTCCAGAGAGTCCAATCGAATAAAGCATAAGACAAATATATTCATTGTTAGCATGAGACAGCCGTGAATTATGATGGTACCAAACCTGTATATCCATATAGTGCTCAACTGTTTACAAAGTATTCCATTAACATTATCCTACCTGTTCCTTCGATGACCCTGTGAGGGGAGAAAGTAATTACTCCCTACCTTCTACATCTGAGGAGGTAGACTCAGATAAGTGATATGTTTCACTTAAAATCCCAAAGTTAGTAAGACCGAGAGCTGAAGGTACGGTAGTCAAACATCCTTATTTTCCTGGGACTGATGTGGGTATTGGGACATGGGAATCTCAATTTTAAAACTAAGGCTAAAAGGTTTCCTGAGACATGAGACTTTTATTTTTTAAATCAGAAAAGTCCTGGACAAACTTGGAGAAGTTGATCACTTTGGCTAGAGAGCTATGAATCAAAGAATTCTGACTTCAGTCTTCTTACCTTTCTACACTACTTCAATGATAAGTTTCACGGATCAGATTCAATGATTCAGTTTACTCAATATGCCTTTATTCGCTCACGCTGGGAAACTGAGGCTTATATGGTGGAACTGTCTTACAGTGGGTTTTACAGGCTTGCTTGTTTTAGATGGCACAAGAAACCAGCATTCATCCTCAGTCTTACGAATTGCATTCTTCCTTCACATGAAACTTCAGGAGATTGTGCCAAGAGGAACATTGCAACTCAGAACCTAGAATAAAATTCTGCAATTAATCAGAGAAAAAGAAGTGATTTGTAATGTGTGGCTTTCATTTGAAAACAAACCACATTAACTACACGTTGCTAGGAAATATTTTTACTGCTGCAAGGCCATCACAAGTCGATAGTTCACACTGCGAACTACAAATTAATTCCAGTAGCAGTCCTGATGTCCAGAGTCTCTTTTTTCACCATCATGTATACTTTTAGTGTCAAAAGCTCTGCATCCAAACCCCTACTATTTATTAGAATGCCATGCTAGCAAATGGTGACATCATCGGGAACCTTAAAAATACTGAGATCTGGCTTTGCATATAAGGGTTAAGCTCAAAAAAAGTACATATTACAAGACTTTGAGTCCTACTAATGCAGCTAGAAGACACACTATTATGAGAAACAACAGAAATAAATAGATGAGCCTTGCCAAACCCAGTTAGTTTGCAGCTATGGGTTTTCTTGATTTTGTCAGTCAGATAAATATTGGTAATTTTTGACATAGTCTGTTAGAAAGTTGTTTCTAAGCAGCAAATAGATGATTTTTAAAACAGAAGTCCAACTAATAAACCCTGAATATGTAGACGCATAGTGACAAGAATGAATAAAAAGTGGTATCTCCTCAATAAAGAAGGTTTTATTCCATTCTGTTTTTTTTTTTTTAAGTTCAGGTGTAGATCTAACAAAACTTTTACAATAGTTGTATGCCAAAATCTAAAATATGCTGATGAGAGAAATCAAAGATCTCAATAAATGGAAAGACAAACTGTGTTTGTGGAAGATAAAGCTCAATACAATGTAGTTATGAATTATCTCCAAATTGATATACAGATTTAGTGCAATTTCTATCAAAATCTCAGCAAGATTTTTATTCATGCACTCAAGATTATTCTAAAATTTGTATGGAAATGCAAAGGAACTAGAGTAGCTACAATAATTTTGAAAGATTATAAAGAGAGAAGAATTGCCTCTACCTGATTCAAGACTTATTATGTAGCTGCAGTAATCAAGACTGGTATTGATAGAGAGAGACACACACATTGATCAATGGAACAGAATAGAGAATCCGGAAATAGATCCATAGAAAAATGTATCCAACTGATTTTTGACAAAGGAGAAAAGGTAATTTAATAGAGGAGGTAAGATTGCTTTTTTTTATTAAATGGTACTAGAGCAACTGAACATCCATAAGAAAAACAAAACGAAGCAGAACAGAACAAAACCCCTTGACCTAAACTTCATAACAACAACAAATGTTTGCTTTGAGAATGACCCTGTTAAGAAGACAAAAGAGAAGGCACAGACTGGGATAAAATATATGCAATTTATGTATCCAACAAAGGACTAGTATCTACAATAAATAAAGAACTCTCAAAACTCAACAGGAAAAAAATAAACAATCAAATTAAAAGATATGCAAAAGATTTGAGGAGACATTTCAAAAAAGAAAATATACAGGTATCAATTCTGCACTAGAAAAGATTTTCAACATCATTCATCATTAGGGCAGTGTAAATTAAAACCACATGAACACGATATCACTGTACCCCCTATCAGAATGCTTAAAGACTAGTAACAACATTAAATGCTGTCAAGGATGCAGAAAAACTGGATTTCTCACACATTCCTAGAGGGAATGTAAAATGGTATAGTCATTCTGGAAAACAGTTCCTTAGCAAGCTAAATATGCAGCCACCATATGGCCCAACAATTACACTTCTTGGCATTTGTCCCAGAGAATTAAAAATTTATCTTCACACAAAACCTGTACACAAATGTTTATATCAGTTTTATTTGTTATAGCAAGAACTGGAAACAATTCAGATATCCTTCAACTTGTGAATGGTTAAACAAGCTGTGGTACAACTATACCATGGAACATTACTCATCAATAAAAGAACAATCAATATAAGAAACAATTTAGATAAATCTTTAGAGAAGTATGCTGAATAAAAAACTTTAATAAAAAATTGTTATGTAACATATAATTCCATTTATATAACATCCTGAAATAACAAAATTGTGAAAATAGAGAACAGATTAGTGTTTGCTAGGGTTTCAGTAGGAGTTGGGGGTAGGAAGGAAGTGGGTGTGGCATTAAGAGGAAAACATGAGTGATCTTTGCAGGTGATGGAAATGTACTGTATCTTGACTTTATCAATGTCAATATCTTGGTTTTTATATTGTATTATGGTTTTGCAAGATGTTACTATTGGGGGATATGGAGTAAAGAGTACACAGGATTTCTCTGTATTATTTCTTACAACTATGTGTAAAATGATAATTATCTCAAAATAAAAAAATGTAATTGCATGACTTGGATGAGATTGGAGACTACTATTCTAAGTGAAGTAACTTAGGAATGGAAAACCAAACATTGTATGTTCTCACTGATATGTGGGAGCTAAGCTATGAGGATGAAAAGGGTAAGAATGATACAATGGACTTTGGGGACTTGTGGGGAAGAGCGGGAGGGGGTGAGTGATAAAAGACAACATATATGGTGCAGTGTATACTGCTCAGGTGATGGGTGCACCAGGATCTCACAAATCACCACTAAAGAACTTACTCATGTAACCAAATACCACCTATAACCCAGTAACTAATGGAAAAATAAAATAAAATAATAAAAAATATAAATAAATTTTAAAAATGTAATTGCAAAACAAAGAAGTTCATTTATAATCTGATAACATGTTCCATAGTATAAACTGTGTGGTTGATGCCTCAGGTGATTTTAGTCACCCAGAATATCCCAGATAGGTGCTTAGTCTTCTATTTGGGGTTGTGCTTGCCCCCAGATGACCCTGAGAGAAGAGGATCAGGGCTGACTAGGAAGCTGTGATCTTTAATGTTTGCATTCACTTGGCTAAGCTACGGGGCCCAGTTGTTTGGCCAAACACCAGCCTAGATGCTGTAAGGTATTTTTAGATGTGATTAACACCTAACATTTTCAGTAAAGAAGGTTACCATCTATGATGTGGGTGGGCCTTATCCAATCAGTCAAAGGCCTTAAGAGAAAAGACTGAGATCCTCTGAAGAAGGAATTTTGCCTCCTGATTGCCTTCAGACTCAAGACTGAAACATTAACTTTTTCCTGTGTCCCCAGCCTACTGGCCTAATCTGCAGATTTTGGACTTGATAGTCCCCATAATTGCATAATTTATTCCTTAAAATACATTCTCTCTTTCTCTCCCTCTCCGTGTGTGTGTGTGTGTGTGTGTGTGTGTGTGTGTATTCTGTTGTTTCTTTTTCTCTGGAGAACCCTAATACAGAAGCCTAAGAAAATTTTTTGGGAACTTAAATTCCATGAATCCCCTCAAATATCCATGTGGTTACACTGCAGTTTCTTCTGAGGCTTGAGGCTATCCCTTACCCCAGGTGAGGCATGCATGTGGGTGGTGATTGGATCATGGGGGTGCATTTCCCTCGGGGAGCTGCTCTCATGATAATGACTGAGTTATCATGAGACCTGTTTTTTTTAAAAATGTGTAGCACCCTCCTCCTCTCTCTCTCCTACTCCAGCCACATGAGGTGCTTGCTTCCCCTTTGCCTTCCACCATAATTATAAGTTTCCTGAGGCCTCCATAGAAGCAGATGCTGCCATGCTTCCTGTACAGCCTGTGGAACCGTGATCCATTTAAACCTATTTTCTTTATAAATTACCCAGTCTCAGGTATTTCTCTATAGCAGTGAGAGAACGGATTAATACAGAGTGTTTACATCAGGCACCTTGCACATGTCTCATTGAACCTCAAAACAACTCTGTGAAGCAGGGTCTATTAGTAGTCTCCATTTAATAATATAGGAAACGGAGGCTTTGAGAAGGCAAGTAAGTCATCCAAGGTCATAATTCTCACTTGCAAGTAACTTCCTTTGGGTCAGGAAACTGTCATCTCTTAGGGATTTGATCATCTACAGCCAACATTACCATAATGGAGATACAGAGAAGGCTACTTATTCTCAAGACTTATTGGTCTTTTTGTCAGATATTTCTAAACAGTTTTCTTAGTTCAGTGATTTTTCTTTTGGGAAGGAGCAAATCCTCTAAATAATCAAAGTTGCATAAATGATTACTTTGAAAAGATGTATATGCCAGAGAAGCAGAATGGGGAACTGACGCAAACCAACAGAGGCAGAGAAAACTCATCATACATGTGCTTCTTTTTTTTTGAGACAGAGTCTCGCTCTGTCACCCAGGCTGGAGTTCAGTGGCGTGATCTTGGCTCACTGCAAGCTCTGCCTCCCGGGTTCACACCATTCTCCTGCCTCAGCCTCCCAAGTAGCTGGGACTGCAGGCCCCCGCCACCACGCCCAGCTAATTTTTTGTATTTCTAGTAGAGACGAGGCTTCACCGTGTTAGCCAGAATGGTCTTGATCTCCTCACCTTGTGATCTTCCTGCCTCGGCCTCCCAAAGTGACATGTGTTTCTTTTAAGATGTATGCACTTGTAACCTCATGAGCTTGTGTTCTTACATGTATACATAGAAATAGTTGTGGAGACCCAGGAGGAGATGCTGTACAGTTAGCTATGACCCTGAAGAAGAATTATTGTTAAAGTGAAGGACACTTCCCTCCCAAAATAAAGAAAAACACATAGGACCATATAGAAATTAAAAACCAAGAGCTTCAATAAGTATATATCATTTAAATGCTGAGGATCTCTCTGCTCTAGTATGTGGCAGTAAAGGTTATGTTTTTATCTAGATAAACAAAATGTTGCTAAGAAACATCTTGTTTCCAGAACATCTTGTCAGTTGATTCTGAAAGAAAAGTCAGGCAACTCAGGAAGAGTGGGCAAGAGAACAAAAACAATAGGAATTTTATCCACGAAGTAATGTGAATTTTAAAAATACACTTTGCAGAACTTAGGCATCTATATGAATATTGTCCTTCAAGCTGGCTGCTTTGTGTATGCTTGTGAGGATTAGAGGAATAAATTTTAGTTATACAAAATGTTTTGGCTCCTCTTTGGGAACCGTATCTAGAGGCAGTTTGTAAACCACACAATGATGGTGGCCACATTATTTATTCCAGGATATACTACAAAGAAAACAGCCTTTGGGAATTATTTAGCCTCCATGAGTCTTTGTTTCCTCATCTGTAAAACGGGTCTAATACCTAACCTCAGTATGTTGTTGTAATAGTCATGGATAATAAGAATAGCTACCATTTTGAATGTGATATGATTGGATCTGTCTCTCCACCCAGAACTCATGTTCAATTGTAATCCCCAGTGTTGGAGGTGAGGCCTGGTGGGAGGTGACTGGATTGTGGGTGTGCATTTCCCCCGGGTGCTGTTCTCATGATAGTGACTGAGTTCTCGTGAAAGTTGGTTGTTTAAAAGTGGGTAGCACCTTCCCCCTCTCTCTCTTCCTCTTGCTCCAGCCATGTGAGGTGCTTGCTCCCTGTTTGCCTTCTGCCATGATTGGAAGTTTCCTGAGGCCTCCACAGAAGCAGATGCTGCCATGCTTCCTGTGCAGCCTGTGGAACTGTGATCCAGTTAAACCTATTTTCTTTATAAATTACCCAGTCTCTGGTATTTCTCTGTGGCAATGAGAGAAGAGATTAATACAGAGTGCTTACATCAGATACTTTGCCCATGTCTTATTGAACCTCACAACAAATTTCTGAAGCAGACTACTACTATTAATAGTCTCCATTTAACAACGTAGGAAACGGAGGCTTTGAGAGGGCAAGTAAGTTATCCAAGGTCATAATGTAGTAACTGACAAAGCCAAGAGTTGATTCCAGATATCTCTGATTCATAAGTTCATGTCTTAATGACTGTATCATAATATCTCTCAATAATTAAACTTACCCAAAGAGGTATCTATTATGCTGTATGCACTTAGTAGTTATTCAAGGTTAATACATATTATACTTTAAGCTCCACTCTTTTATATAAGCCCATGGATGCTTGAGTTGATTTGGAATAGTTCTTTTAAATGTAAAAATGACTGGAAGCAACAATCAACCTTAGATAAATTTCTTGGTGATTGCTCTGAAAACAAGATACTTGGGTAATTAAGGCAATCCAAACAGCACACAAGTAAACATAGGCAGGCAAGTCAACTTGCCTTTCCACTGACCTGCCTTTGTAAACAAAGATGGAAAGGTCCTCTTTCTGTTCAGCTCCTCTCATAGGAGTTTGCCAGGTATAATAGAACTCTACTTTCAGTGGGTGAGTCTACTCGCTATAAGCATGTAATTGGTTTTTTTAATGCATTGGACTGGTCTCTGGCGTTATGCATTTGTAACCTTGGTTAGCTGGAGATGACTCGTGTGTCTCACGAGTAAAGACAAAGAAGATCCTGAAGTTACATCTTTCTGAAACTGAAGGTGCAGCTTCATCTGTGATAGGAGATAGTGGTGTGAGGTCTTTATAGTTTAGAATCTAAATTGATTACATTCTTATTCAAAAGCATTGAAACAATAAATTCTGGGATAGTGGAAGTGACTTGGAAATAAGGAATACTTCCTAGGGGAATTGATACCTCATCACTTGGAAAAGGCATCAGGCTAGAGCAGGGCCCTTGCTCACCTTTCATGAAGGGCTGATAGTCAAACTTGGGTATGGCTGTGCCAGTTGTTTATGGCCAGTGGTCTCCTGGTTAGTCAGTACCTGAGTGTGATCAGTTGTTACATGTTTTGTATATGAGTGGGTACAACGGTGCTTCTGTAGCCAAAGGTAGAATTAAGCCCAGATGAGAGTGGATTACTGGCTATGAAGAGATTGTTAAGGTATAAAATATAAGAACTTTCAAGAGAATAAAAATTTCATCAGATCTGTTATTTTAGTTATATTCTGCTAAAGGAGATATAGCCTCTACTTAGATTGGAAAAACACCTTCCAAAGTTCCCTGATTCTTCCAGCCCAGAAAAAAAGCTGTTGCTATTTATGGTCAAATTAAAAAATAAAAAATAAAAAGACCAGTTCAAGAAACAGTGGCACTAACACAGCTAACAACCAGCATAGTAGGAGTCACACCAGGGGAGCAGGGAAGAAACACACACTGTGTGAGACACTAGGAGGGCAGAAGAATCATGCCATTTGGATGCATGTAAACAGTGATTTCTGTTTTCTCCAACCAAAAAAAAAAAAAAAAATAGACAGTGAGGAGTTATAGTTTTAGGTAATTTGGGGACTTTAGAATATATATGTTGTGGCCGAGCGCAGTGGCTCACACCTGTAATCCCTGCACTTTGGGAGGCCGAGGCGGGCGGATCATGAGGTCAGGAGATTGAGACCATCCTGGCTAACACAGTGAAACCCGTCTCTAATGAAAATACAAAATATTAGCTGGGCATGGTGGCAGGCACCTGTAGTCCCAGCTACTTGGGAGGCTGAGGCAGGAGAATGGCATGAACCCGGGAGGTGGAGCTTGCAGTGAGCCGAGATCATGCCACTGTACTCCAGCCTGGGCGACAGAGCGAGACACCATCTCAAAAAAAATAAAAATAAAAAATAATAGCTACACATTTTTCATTGCAATAAAGCTTATTTTTAAAACAATACAGTTTAATTTGGGGATGTTGTAGTCAGCATACTTGGTTGTCTTACTAGAGTTATTTCCTGGAGTAGCTAAGTAGATGTTCAAGCCCAATAAAATGTGATCTCATAAAGTAACCTGGGCCATGGTTATCTTTCACTTCATTGTGTATTTTACCCAAATCCTGCATTCTAAAGCTATCCCAACTCAATTAAAAAATGAGCTACATGGCTAGGATATTGATATATTAGCCTTCATCTCAGCATCATTCAGGACATTACCTAATTTCTCTTATGAATCTATCCTCCCTCTTTTCCAGTTTTTCCCCTTTCAATCCCACCACTGCCCTTTCTGTTTATCTGTTGATTATTATCCCCTTTTATCACCATTAAGAGAAACCTAAGAGCTCGTTTGGAATAACATTAAATTATTTATTATTTATTAGATATCAAGTACCTACTATATATCACAAATTGTGCTACATGTGGTGGAACTGAGCAAATGATCTTTAATAGTAGTGTCTAGAAGAGGCAGTCCAGAGGAATAGAGGGGTGACGGCTTTGGAGTCAGGGACACCTGGCCCTGCCAGATAGATTTCATGTTGTTACATTTGTAAAGTTATAAAGAAAATTATAAGGTTGTTGTGAGGTTTTGGGAACAGAGTCTAGCACATAGTAGATAGTCAACAAATGAGACCTTTTAAAACATAATCTAGTGTTGTTTATTGACAAATTATGAAACATGCATTCTAGTTTAGTTCTTTAGAGATTATTACTGAAATTTTAGCATGTCATCTTATATCCCTGAGGATCAATTGTTTAATCTGTAAAAATATGGTGCAATTAGCCAGTTCCAAGAGTGTGTGATTCTAGTGACTCTATGAGCTATTTCCCTCTGGGAAATACAGAATCAATATCAAAGAGGACTTGGCACAAAACTGAGACTATGGACAGAATCTAAAAATGAGACCAACAAATGCTAGTTTCTTCGGTGTTTTTTTGTTTGTTTTTTGTTTGTTTGTTTGTTTGTTTTGAGATGGAGTCTCACGCCATTGCTCAGGCTGGAGTACAGTGGCGTGATCTCGGCTCAGCAATCTCCACCTCCCGCGTTCAAGTGATTCTCCTGCCTCAGCCTCCTGAGTAGCTGGGACTACAGGAGCCAGCCACCATGCCTGGCTTATTTTATTTAATTTATTTATTTTAGCAGAGACAGGGTTTCACCGTGTTAGCCAGGATGGTCTTGATCTCCTGACCTCATGATCTGCCCACCTCAGCCTCCCAAAGTGCTGGGATTACAGGTGTGAGCCACCACGCCCAGCCTTCTTAGGTGTTTTGAAGTCCAATAATATAAAGCATTTGTACAAATATGCTGTGACTAAAAAGCTGAACCAAGAAGACAATGACAAATAACAGGGTGGCAGACAAGATCAATCTTTTCATACTTTCCTAACTCTCTGCTTTCTACTTGTAATCTTTTGATTTGGATGTTATGATTTTTAGCAATGACCCTACACAAACTCAATAACAAGGTGTAATCACAGCAAAAGCAAACAGAAACCAAAACAGCCACAAACACAAAAAAACTATGGACAAAAAAAATAAGTTTTCAGGAGGTTCTCATTTCTTACTGATACACAAGACAAAAAGGCACTGTATTTATTCATTCAACAAATATACATTGTTTAATTATTATGTGCCATGCAGTGTGCCAGGACATTGAGATAAACCAGATAACCATTGCTCCTGATATATGAATCTTGGTCTAGTTTGGGTTAGGGAGGAACCCACAAACAACTACAATTCAATGTAATCAATGCTGCAAAAGAGAAATCAAGCATGACATGAATACACAAAGAAAAACACATGTCTGGATCAGTAGTTCTCAATCAGGGGTGATTTTGTCCTCCCAGGGACACCTGACAATACATGGAGGCATGTTTGATTGTTACAACTGGGGGTGGGGGTAGGGATGTTACTTGCATCTAGCCGGTGGAGGTTGCAGGACAGCCTCCTCCACATCAAAGAGTTATTCATTCCCAAATGTTAATAGTGCTGAAGTGGGGAAACCCTGACCTAGATGTAAGGGGCTGAAGAAGACTTCACAGAGAAAGTGATGTTTAATCTGAGAGTTGAAAGAGGAGTAGGTGTTAACGATCTATTGAATTTAGCAAGAAGGGGGTTGTTACTCACCTTGACAGGGTGCAGTTGGAAATGGTTTGAGGAGAGTGGGTAGTGAGAATATGGAGAGCCAAAAACAATTCTTTTAAAAAGCTTGCCTGGGAAGGAAACAGACAGTGCAGAAGCTGGAGTGGGATGGGATATGCTAATGCACAATTATGTTTTGTTTGGTTTGGTTTTAAAAATGGGCAGGATTTGAACATGCATAATGCTGATGGGAAAGAACAAGTGGAGGAGGAGATATTAAAAACAAAAGAGGAGCAGAGGAAAGTTAATAGAGTGAGGCCTCCACATACCATATGATTCCATTGATATGAAATGTCCAAAGCAGACAGACCTACAGAGATGGAAAGCAAATTAATGGTACCTAGGGCTGGGGCTGGGGATGAGGGGGTTGAGGTAATGAAGAGTAACTGTTAATAGATACAGTTTTTGGAGGGTGGGGAATGAAAATTTTCTAACATGTATTATAGTGATGGTTGTACAACTGTGTGAATAGATTAAAAACCATCAAATTGTAGGTTAAAAACTTTTAAATAGGTTTGTTTTATGGTCTATGGATTATATTTTAATAAAGCTGATGTTAAAAATAGAGTGAGAAAGTGAGGGTGGAGGGAATATGATTCCTCAGAGAGGGAGAGTGGTGACTTTTACGTAAGAGAAGATAGCTCTAAGTGACAGTAAAGGAAGAGAGCACCTGATGGATCCAGGTGGAGACCCAGCCTTAAGGTGGCAGAAAGGTGAGAAAGTCTGATGACTTTTGTTTGTGAAGTCAATGTATAGAATCGAGATCAAGTGAGGGTGACTGAGGAGGTGGTGGGATGGAGATTGGAGAAGACTGTATGGTTTAGAAATAGCTGGTCCCACAAAGAGTAGCAAGCGATGAATAAGGAGTCAAAGATCTTGCCTGGGATTACTTAGAGACTGAATTTGGAGACCGTGACTTTATAGTGGCCTTAGTCTAGCGGACCATGTTATTAGTTGGTGCAAATTTATCTGCGATGTTTGCCATTAAAAGTGCATTCATATTACTTTTCACAGCAAAAATTGCAATTACCTTTGCATCAACCTAATAATATGCAAGACATGTAGACCTAACATTTAAAGAACAGGCAGCAGCTATGAAGGACTCAGATTCAAGGTCTCCTCAAGACAGTACCAAATGATAGTGGGACGGGTGCACTGGGGATAATGGCAAGAGTGAGTTTGAAGTGGTAATCCACAAATTTAAACTGTCCAGGGAAAACATTTCTAAGTTTCATTTGTAGAGTAGGCCAATTTCTTACGGTATATTGTATATTTGATTATAGTTCAGATTTTTGCCATGCATTACAATGATAAAATATGTTTGCATATTTTATTTTGTCTTACTTATACAATGTCTTAGTGTCCTTGGGCTGCTATAACAAAAAACCATTAATTATGGGGCTCATCAACAACAATAATTTATTTCTCACAGTTCTGGAGGCTGGGAAGTTTAAGATCAAACTGCTGGCACATGTGATATCTGGTGAGAGCCTGTTTCCTGGTACACAGATGGCAACTTCTCTCTGAATCCTCACATGATGGAAGGGGCAAGGCAGATTTCTGCGGCCTCTTTTATAAGGGCACTATTCCCATGTATGAGTGCTCTGCCCTCATGACCTAATTATCTCCCAACAGTCCCACCTCCTGATAGGAACATACTGGTGATTTGATTTCAATATATGAATTGTGCGTGGACACATTCAAACCAGAGTAAGTAATGTTTATTACGTTTTATGTATATCATTATAAGACACAAAAAAAAGAGCTCTTTTTTTTATTACTGTGCATCTACTCTCCCCCACACACATGCATGTGCACACACACAGAGTCTTGTTCACAGTGGACGTTTAATAGATGATATACAACAGTTTTGCTGAACGGAGGTGACTTAAATAAGCTTAGAACTCAGTATCAAACTATTTAAGTAGTAGTTATATCTCTTCAAGTGTGTAGATTAGGGCAAGTTATTTTACCACTCTCGACGGTGATTCCTTACTCTTTAAAACAAGGTATGTCACCTATCCTGATTTTTATTTATTCATTGGTGTTTTTTAGAAGGATTGCTATTCAGAAGCAGGGGATACTTTTCCATCATTCTCCCTAGCTGCTGCCTTACCATGTGGTCTAGTCCCTCTGCTTCTGGACACAGTATTTGATCTTTGTTCTTCTTCATAATTACGCCAATCACCCGATAAACTAAAGGAGATGTATTGTTTTGAACTAAAAGGGAGTTGCTATGCAGTACTAAGATACACATCAAGTGAAAAAGTCCCAGCTGAGCACTCGTTAAATCATCAGGCTTTCCCCAAGGTCTTGCTCTCTTTGTGATAATTGATGCACAGCTGTCGTTGGCCCAGGACCAGGCCTCCAGCATGTAGCCAAGAAAAGGAAATCAGAAGCTGGTGCTTTGCTAGTGTGATGATATAGTAAGCTATACATCCAGATCTAGACTTTTCTGACCTGTTTATGTGTAGGCATGGAAAACACTCATTCAACATGGACCAGGTCCTTCACTGGTGAATCCAAGCATGTAATAACGTTGCTCTTTCATTAAAGGGAAAGCAAGATAAGGGAGATGTATTCAGCTATGGGTGGGACTTTGAAAGCAAGGCAAGGAAGGTGTTACCTTCAGCCATGTGGATACTGCTTGGCATTCCAAGCGGGCAAGCTTGGTCTCTAATAGAGAGCCAAGGAGACATGTAGCAACCAAAGACAGCAGAGTGAACAAGAATAATATGCCACCATTGATTGTCTTTTATGGATGTTACTTTTCACTGAAAGCTATTTACCTGGTTATAACAGCTCAGTTTGGGGGCAATAGGGTAGATGTGTCCTTCTAGGCACTTAAAATGACTAATAATATCTTTTGTGTCTGCCTGTGTGGATGTGTGTGTGCACTAGAAAGTTGAGACAGTCTTCATGGAATAAAGTATGTGAAAGCACTTTATAAAAGGCAAAACATTATAAACTTGTGACGGACTATTTTTTTAATTGAATTGAATCCTCCATACATTCACTTCACTTTCTTTATGCCATCCTCCTGTCCCTATGCTTAGCTAGTTTCTAAAGTGTTAATTAATAACAGCTAGAGGCATAATCCCTTCCTGGGGTGAAAGAATATATATATATATTCTCATTTAAGTATTATTTAAGTGTAATTACTATTCTTTTAAAATATGAAAGTAATGTATGCTTATTATAAAAATTGGAATATCCATAAAATAATGAAGAAAATTATATTATCTATAATCTCTCTGCAGCAAGATAATCATTTATGTGTCATTGCTTTCAGCTCTTTTACTACACACACTAGGATATAAAACATATATACTTCATACGTTGTGATCATCCTGCATATTATTTTTGAATATTCCTTTTCCATTTAAGTTTATATGAAGGGTTTTATCTTGTGATTAAATGGTCTTCAAAAATACTTTAATGGATTCACAAGAGTTCATTATGTGAACATAATTTAAAAACTAACTTCTGAAAACAACATTTTATTGCTCCAATTTTCATTATTATTTTAAAAATCTAATTAATATATTTTTATCATAAAGTTTTTGGTTTATTTTGTTTTGTTTTCTTACATTTCTACTTTTATTTTTTAGGATCAGTCCTCAAAACGATATTATAAATTAGGCATTATCTCAATTGAGATAATTGAGATAATTGGCATTATCTCAATTCCCATATCTTCTTTAACAAAGCCAATCTCTCTTCGGAAATATCCATCCACTAATAGATGGGTCAGCAAACAATCCAAGCTGTGAGCCAAAGTCAGCCAACTATGAGGCCAACTCTGTTTGCACCCGTTCTTTATAGCTTTTACACTACAGTGGCAAAGTTAAGTAGTTGTACATATGTCTATATATTTAGTAGAACCCTCTTGAAGGTACAAATGACTTAATAGGGAATGTAAAACTTTAAACCTTTTGTCAAGAGCAGCAGAAAGGATGATGTGTGGTAATGACGATCTCCCATACTGTTCAAGTCACATACTACCCACCAAAGAAAGCATATTCTGCATCTTGAGCATAATCCAAGTATAACTGGCTTAATCAAAAATTGTGTTCTTTTAAAAACTCTGTATTTCCTTGGTATGGCTTGAAGTCCTCTCAATCAATGAGTTCACTTTGGATAAATTATTATAGGAACCTAGCTTATATATCAACACACACATTGCACTATCATTTTCCTAAGGCATTCAGTCTTTCTACTACTGGAAGCATATGAACTTGTATTATTTACTGTTTGTAGGTTTCCCTATATATTTTCAGACTTATGGCTCCTAAAGGTGATAGAATGTGTTACTTGTTTATTATGATAGCCTCTGGCTGGATTTAGAAGCTACATATCAACAGAGTAAATACTATTTTAAAATATCTCCATATTGTATCTGTATTTTGATATTATGTTGATGATTTTCAATTGTTCAAGGGTAAAGAGGTTAAGCACCCCATGTACTCCTGAACCACCCATACCTCCCACATATACATTGTTTGATAAAGCCTAAAACCAAATAAATAAAGATGTGGGAAAATGAGAATACTGGCATTCTTGGCCTGTTATTTAAGATGACTCTATCAAGGTAACTCTACTTTTTGACATTTTTCCTTCCCCTAGGCTGGTTCTGCTACTGAACTCAGCAGGCTAATCATGCTTTACCTATCCATGCAGAGGTAAAATGTCATTAAAATGATTGATAGGGTATACACACCTCAAACATGACAGTAGTGATGGCTTCCCCATGTGACATGTTGCTTCTGAAATAATTTTGAGATTGTTTATCTATTATTACAATAGAACCCTGATTTATGTTTCACAATCCAGTTAGCTTCTCACAGGGACCTTGAACAATTCTCTTATTTTAGTAAGTTACAACACCTTTTCCCTGATGGGCCATTGGATTGATGCAGGAGGATGTAATTATGTGAAACTGAGACAGCAAAGGCCCCAAATGAATCAGCAGCTTATTCTACTTTTATGGGTACAGGGCAGCTTCTTCTGTATTTTCCTGGCCATTTGAATTCTGCTGTTTGCTGTTCTCTCCAACTTTGATTCTTTGATCCGGAGTGTATATGCCTGCTCTGCTTTTGTTAACTCAATGCCTGCTGGTCCTTGCCTTGTCTCAGTCTTCAGAATATGGATGTGAAGACTGGATCACAAAGACAGGTCATGCTGAGACTGGGGAGGCATATCTGATCTCTGGGTTTGAGTCCCGGTTAGTAACAGAAGGACTTTAGAGCAGCACTAAAATCTCATTCATGACATGAAACAAAGTCAGAGTTGAGCCATAGTCAGACATTAAATCAAAGTGTCAGATATGACAAATCTGAGCAAGGCCGTGCATGACAGGATGAGTGTTCTTGAGCAAAAGGGAAGTCTAAATCCATAGTGTTGACAAAGAAGTAAGTATGCTGAAATGAGGGAGAGCCCAGGGGCAGGTTTAAACCATTATTCTTGGATTGTACCTTGCTGTGGTACAACAACTGGTAAATTTTGACTTCCCTTGCTCTGCTAAAGTTCCTAGTTGGTCTTCAAGGCACACTGTTTTGAAACCTGTGCCTGTCAATCCTAAGCCTAGTAGTTCTACTAAGATTCAATAGCAGAATCAAACCAGCCACGTGGTTTCAGTAGAAGACAGACGGCTGCAGTGAAAATGAAAACAGAGGCTGTTTCAAGTTAAAGGCTATTCCTGGGCTGGTTGCTGAAGATGTTGTGGGTCTGTTGTTATATGTGGTTCAGTCATTGTCCATTTGTATATTCAGTCTCTCAACATACACATATTCTAAATTCTTGTCAGGCAATTGTGGTGGATTCATATCTTATATAAATTAATTTCAGTTAAACTACTTCAATGCTAGGGGCAATACCTCTCTTCAAAGAGTTTATAATCTACTTGGAAGAATAAATAAGCATTACACAGTAAATTCCACAAACAAAATGCTCTAGGAATCCAAGTATGGGTTATCATACCTAGTTTTGTTGAGTGGATAAATTAAAAAGGGCTTCACAGGCAGATAGCATTTGAAATGAGCCTTTAAGAACATGAAAACAGCTCTTTAAAATGGGGTGGGGGAAGAATTGGGGAGATGGCCTCAAAGAAAACAGTGGAGTAGGGAAGTAGGAACCCAAAAACAAATTTAATGACTCCACTAGGTTGTATTGATCTGAGCAACTCTGTTTTGAATTATGTTATTGATTCTTTTTTTTTTTTAAGGCTTCTTAGCGTTATGTTTTTTTTTTTTTTAATTATACTTTAAGTTTTAGGGTACATGTGCACAACGTGCAGGTTAGTTGCATATGTATACATGTGCCATGTTGGTGTGCTGTACCCATTAACTCGTCATTTATAGGTATATCTCCTAATGCTATCCCTCCCCCCTCCCCCCACCCCACAACAGGCCCTGGTGTGTGATGTTCCCCTTCCTGTGTCCATGTGTTCTCATTGTTCAATTCCCACCTATGAGTGAGAACATGCGGCGTTTGGTTTTTTGTCCTTGCGACAGTTTGCTGAGAATGATGGTTTCCAGCTTCAGCCATGTCCCTACAAAGGACATGAACTCATCATTTTTTATGGCTGCATAGTATTCCTTGGTGTATATGTGCCACACTTTCTTAATCCAGTCTATCATTGTTGGACATTTGGGTTGGTTCCAAGTCTTTGCTATTGTGAATAGTGCTGCAATAAACATACGTGTGCATGTGTCTTTATAGCAGCATGTTTTATAATCCTTTGGGTATATACCCAGTAATGGGATGGCTGGGAACTCCTACCCTGCAAGTTTTCTTATTCTGTATTCCATTCCCTCTTTATGTTGTTCTGTTCTGATCCCAACCATTACCTGTCACTTTTTGTATGAAAGTGTGCTAAATGGTAAGATTCCAATTATCTAATACTGCTTAGAGATAGTCTTACCAAACTTCCCAGAAAGAACCTGAAGATTTTCAAAGTATTCAACTAGTGTGAGAGTCTGGAACTATAAAAGTCCAGACAGTGAGGTTTTTGGCTTTACAGGTTATACAGTCTCTGTTGCAACTACTTAACTTTGCCACTGTAGTGCAAAAGCTATAAAGAATGGGTGCAAACAGAGTTGGCCTCATAGTGGGCTGACTTTGGCTCACAGCTTGGATTGTTTGCTGACCAATCTATTAGTGGATGGATATTTCCGAAGAGAGATTGGCTTTGTTAAAGCAGATATGGGAATTGAGATAATGCCAAAGCACTGGAGACATTTGGGAAAGATTCCAAGTAATATGTACCACTTGTCTTCATGGAACCTTATCTCTGTACTTTTTTTTAAACAAAATACATAGTTTCTTATTCAGAAAAAAAGGGTTAGAATATTTTTTCTCTTTTGAGACATAAATTTAACTTAGTTATAATACATTTAACAAATGTTTACTGGGCCTCTACTGCTATTGTGGATACCAAGAAGAGTAAGTCTTGGCTCTTTATACATTTATACCTTTAAAGATCTTATAGATTAACAGTAGAATAAGGTAAGCACTAAGAGAGAAGCACACACACAATTTATGAATATTTATGGTAAGAAGAGATTATGCAAATGGACCACACCATTCTTTTCCTTCATGAGCACTTGAGATGCAATTCAAAGTCTAGGTAAAATTAATGAATGAAACCATGAAATATTAAACATTTAGACAAGCAAGTTAAGACATCTGGGAAATAGTGTATAGTCTGCTTTAAATTTTACTCAGATCTCTAAATCTATCATGTCCCAACTTTCCTCTTGACTTTTCCCTGGACTTAAGCTCCCCTCGTTAACCAATATACCTAATATTACTTAGGTATATTTGTAACAAACTTTCCCAGAAAGGATCCAAAGAAAACCACCATCTCATCATTTGCTCAACTTAGAAGACTAGTATGTCTCCTTTTTTCCACTCATCAATTTATTTTGCTTGCATTCAAAATTTTGCTTACATCAAAATATAAGATATGTTTTTAATTCTTCTACCTTTCTCCATCTGTGCTTCCACCAGTTAGTCTCAATCACATGCCTGGACTCCTGGACTAGTCTCCTAATGATTCTTACCACTTCCATTCTTGTTCTGTTCTAATCTCTTCCTCACATAATTGTCAGAATAATATTTTTTAAAATCATAAAATGGATGGTTTTAATGCCCTACTTGAAACCCTTTAGGAGCTTCCACTTATGTTCAGGCAAACAACCAGACTTTCAGTTCTGCAAATCTTCAGCAGTCTTCCCTGCCCTCAAATGTATTCTTTCCTTCCTTTGGAACACTTTCATTCTCACTGTTTGCTTGATTGATTCCTTGGCTTCTTTCAGATCTTATGTTAATTTTTAACCCTTTAGGGACTCCTCCGATTGTCCTATCATAGAAGATTGCTTGTTCATGGATTTCATGACAATATGTATTGCTTAACTCTTCTATTAGCCTGAATCTCTGAAGGCAGAAAGAGATTGTTTGGTTCACTGTAGATATACAGCACCTAGTAGTACAGTGTCTGCCAGTATAGGTATTTATTCAAATGGTTATTTGATAGTTATTTCTTGAGAATAGTCAGGATATTTACAATTGCAATTTGGGAGTGTGAGGTATTGAGGAGTGATTGACGCAAATTTGGCCATCACTTGCATACAGGTGATTGATGGTTGAGATTACGAAAGTGGATGAGATTTTCAAAGAAGATAAGAAATGTTGAGAAATAATTTAGAATGCTTTGGGTAACTTAAGAGTAAGTTATCTAACCACTTTGTCTTTCTGTTTTTTTTTTTTTTTGTCTCTAACATATGTATATTATGGCCTCTATGTATGTATGGTGTCATGTCTCTAATGTATACATAATATTAGTACCTTAGGTGACTAAGGCACCTTCATAGGAGCTGGCACGTTAAGTACTCTCAGAGGACCTGACATATAGTAGGGTCTCAATAAACATCATTTTCTTGTCCTTTCTCATTCTAAACTACTACACTCCCATGAAACATAAAATAAACAAATATAAGATCTCATGTATGTTATTTAAAAATAATAAAATCTCCTTCAACAAACTTTCAACAAGCACTAATTTATCATATTTTATGAATATCAGGTTTGATGCCAACTGCTGAGAGTATTTTTAAAAAGGAGTTTATGGTTTGAAGGAGCATACAGACTTTGGAGAGAAATAAAATGGGTGATTAAAATGTAGTAAGCACAGAGATAAGGGTGCAAAATGAACACACAGAAAAGTGGTTTGCTCTTTTTAAGAACTTGGATATTTCAGTGGGATTCAGCGTGGTCTTGGCAAGTTCTTGAATCTCTCCTTAGGCTTTTACTAGGATGCCACATGGCACAATTTGCTTAACTCCTCTGAAAATCATTCCTCACCTGTAGAGTAAAGATAAGAATCACATCTTTCAAGGTTGTTGTTAGGTGTCACATAGATTAAGGTAAATGACTTGATATATTCTAAAATGCTTTAAGTGAGGATCTACCATGGTGAGTCAAAGGGAATCTGAAATAAAGCAACTGCAGTTGGTAAAGGACTTATCAAATAGTGTCAGCTGAACAGGAATTACAGAACTCTCCCCACCTACCCATATTACCTACGGTTCCCACCATCTTGAGAATACTTAGTTATAAATAAAATCATAGTTTTCATGAACTGAAACTCTTAATTAAATAGAATCTTTAGGCATGCTACTCTTTAGAGGATAAAGAAAGTGATAAGAAAGCAAACTGATAACAGGGAACCAGTAAGAAAAATAACTCCAGGCTATGTCTTGGAGATAGTAGACATTTCAGATCAATCTTTCCTATCTTTTTTACTTACTTTCTATGCTGCACACGGAGAGCATATTTAGAATGATGAACCGTAGGCAACATAAAAGCATCATCAAAGAACATTTCTTTCATGTTCATTATACATACTCTATAGCAAAGGCTGGAAAATGGGTGGCTATATTTAGCACAGACTTCTGAACAACATAGTCTAGAAAAATACTATACTAATCAATTTTTAGCTAAAAACTTTAATTTATCATCCACTCAATATTAAAGGTAAAAGTTTGTAACAGAGGTTAATTTTAAACAGCTTGGAAAAGAAAAAGAATCTGCATCACTTGATTCCAAATTAGACCTCCTGTGGTTTTAATGCAAGCAGGTTTTAAAAACATATTCATTTTAATATTAACAAAATATTATCATTTACATAAATTACTATTTAAGTATAATTTCTGGGTAAAATTGTTACAGTGAATATCCTTGACAAATGAATGATACAGCAATCTTGAAGCAATAGGTAACTTTCTTTTGAAAATCTGACTAATGTCACTGGAATTTCTTGGCTATCTCTTGTATTTTCACATGTCAATTACATAATAATGTTCACTGAATATTTTTTCTTCTTATTTCATGCTTCCTACCTTTTTAAAAATATATATAATAATGCTCTTTACCATTACCAAGTGTAGTTTGAAAGTTTTTGTGAAAGATATCTATTTAGGGCAAAAGGAACCCTAAATTTGACAACTTTCTAATTGAATTAATATTAAGTGAATTTATATTTTGTGGAAACATGGCAGCAAAATTCAGCCAGTTATTCCAGCAGGTGGCTCCCTAGCACTGCCTGCTGATTTATGACTTTGTGTTTAAAGGATTGTCAGCATAAGCAACGAAAATTCAAATGTAGAATTTTAAATGTGGATGAGTTCTCCTGCCTTTCAGATTCTAATGAACTGCAGCCCAATGCCAGTTTGCCACATGGTTTCACTGTTGCTACAGTCTCTTCATTTGAGAAGCAAATGACACAAAGAAGTTTGCTAACAAATTCAACAAAATTGTAACTAAATAGTTACCTTTGTAATCATTTAATAGGACTTAATTGACGATAGATGTTGCAAAAATAGGGATAATAAATGGCCTGGGAATTGTATACCTCCTGGTTGTTTATTCCCGGAGCAAAAGATTCTCTCAGCAGTGTGCATTGTTATGAATCATTTAAGAGGAAAAGAGAAGTGATGGAACCAAGATTAGAGACTGCATGTTACCACTGATGAATGCTTTTTTGTCTCTGCCCTAATCCCTTAATAAAGAAATTTATAGCTAATATAATGCATTTGTACTTTGATAATTTCCTCATTATTTCCTTAGAGACAATGTTGCAGAATAGAAAGAGTCAGAAGGGCAAAGATAAGAATTTCATTTCAGGTCTAGCAATTATTAACTATATAACCTGGGGCAACCTACTGAACTTGGTTTTTTATTTGCAATTGGAGTTCTCCAGATGGCAAATATTCATCTAGAGAATTGTTGGAAAAATTAGAGACAAGTTCTGTAAAATTCTTGGAATACATTAGATTCTCAACACATTATACTTATTATTTTCATAAGCAATCATATTTAATCCTTACCAAAATCCCATTTTTTCTGCAATGTATTGTTATTTCAACTAGCTTTAAAATGTGCAGAGCCAAACATTAATTCTGTTTACTGATGACAAAAAAAAAAAATCACATGGTTTAAAAGAGTCTGTTCTAAAAACACAACTAGTTTTTCTATGGTCCATTATTATGTTACTGTCAAGCAGAAATCAGCAAATCTGGAGATAAATACTGGGTTGACTACTGTATTTTCAATCTAAGAAATTGTTTCTTTTTTCATCTCAATAGTTGCAAGCAATCACAGGGATATTTAAGAAAATAAATTTTAGCTTTGGGGGGACAAAGAAATTAACACAAACAATTGCTCAGATTGACAAGTTTTTAGAACTACCATTTTTTAAATTTGCTACCATTTTATTGAAGGCAGCAACAGTCATTGTTGAGACAATTCAGGCATGAACTACATAGGAAAGTTCAGCCTCAACATTATAACGGTTTAGGTAGAAAGTTTTATGTTATGAATTTTCCCTTAAATAGTAATTTTTTGATAAATAAATATAACCAGATGTAAGTCAGCAACTACTTTTAAAAAATTTTTATATTCATGTGTATGAAGAGCATTTTCTTAATCACCTTTCTGGCAACTAAAGTATTTTAATTTCTATTTTTTCCTCTTTAATTTTTTCACTTTACAAAATTATTTTTTAACTAAAAAGTTTAAAATTAGAAAATGTGGCTGTGCACGGTGGCTCACGCCTGTAATGCCAGCACTTTGGGAGGCCGAGGTGGGCGGATCACGAGGTCAAGAGATCAAGACCATCCTGGTAAACGTGGTGAAACCCCATCTCTATTAAAAATACACAGATTAGCTGGGTGTGGTGGCATGCACCTGTAGTCCCAGCTACTCTGGAGGCTGAGGCAGCAGAATCGCTTGAACCCTGGAGGTGGAGGTTGCAGTGAGCCGAGATTGCACCACTGCACTCCAGCTTGGTGACAAAGTGAGACTCTGTCTCAAAAATAAAATAAAATGAATAAAAATAAAAAGTAAAATTAGAAAATGAAAGAAAATAGACTTTGGGAAATCAAGAGAACATTTATTTTTCTTTTTAAAAACTTATTATGAAAAATTTCAAACATGCAATACTAGAGAGAAGATAAAAATAAACCTGCATGTACTCTTTATGTCTTCAACACTTATCATTATTTTATCAATCTTCTTTCTTTATTGGTTACGGTTTAATTAAGCCTACTGTATATTTCTTATGTGATAGAGTATTTCAATGTGCAAGTCAACATATGATCAACGATTGTAACACAAATAGAAATCTGTCTTGTGTTCTCAGATTATTTGTACTAAATACCTTGAATTCATTGTGTATCTCCTTCATAGTACTTTGCCTCAAAGCTTAAATTCACCTGGAGGAGATAATCAGACACTGCATTTTTCAATACAATAATCAACCTGTGCCTCATACAATTAATCCTAAGTATGTTTCTCCTTCTAGTATCACATGCTTCTTAGATAAAGTCCTTTTCTAAGTAGAAGGGTTGTATTGTTAATTCAGAATAATATTGTGTATTTTCAGAAAGCAGTATATTTTTCTAGGAAAAATCTCAGAGCCAATAGTCCATACTAGATAAAAGCTGCTTCTTATTCATGAAGCTAATGCTAAATGTATGTGAACAATTTATCTTTTTGCTGCACTTAATAGCAACGAGTTACTTTTATAACTGAATGCTATGTATGGAAACTTTTTTGTCCTGTTACTTAGTACATTAAGGAAAACAAAAAGGAGTTGTTATCCCTTTGTATTGCCAGTGGTGATAACAATATTTCTTATTTATGTTGAGGTGAAGTAGTATAATGGTTACTTTTGGGTTTAATTATGCAGGTTTGCATCTAAGCTCTATTACTTATTTACTATTGTGTTTAAGGTCTTCCATCTTCTGTGTCTCATTTTGACCCTCTGCATATAATAACATACTCATTATTGTACGTATATGTAATATATATTTATATACAGATAAATATTTATATATTATTTATGTATTTTGTTGTTAGGCTAGCTATAAGGTACATACAGTAATGGGTATATCATTATATACAGACAGTCAAAGGAGACACAGAAGACACAGAAGAAATATATATACATATGTGTATATATATATTTGAAATGTGCAAATATATTCTATAGGCCAAACTAATTAATAGCACACCTATTGTAACACTATTTTCTCAATTTACTATACCATGCAAAGTTATCAATACATTCGTCTTATTAATTTTTTATTCATGCAAGAAGTATTTATTTAGCAACTACTATGAGTCAAACAATATTTTAGGGGTTGGAAAATCATAACTTCGATGCAGTGTCAAGGACTTGGGTTTGGATATCATACAGCTTAATGGTAAAATTAGTAGATGTGTAATTTGATGCCAGTGACAACTTTTCTGAGTCTGAGTTTCCTCATGCAAAATATTGACATAATAGTATCCCTTTCAATAGATTCTTGTGAGGATTAAATAAAATAATTTATGAAAAATATTATGATCATAAAAAGCACATAGTGAAGACTCAGTGATGTTGGTTCCCTTTGCTACTTCCTGGCAGCATACGGTCTAACACAGGCCACCTGCTTTTGAGATTGTGACATATTTTCCAGGGAAACAGTTATAGCGTTACAGATAATTAGGATACAATGTGAAAAATATCCCAATAGAGGAATATATATGCAATGTGCTATGGAGAATATAAAGAGATGGATCTGCTCCTTCTTGAAAGAATCAGAAGAGATATACCAAACAAATATTTCAAGTAAAGGATATGGAAGGTTATCTGTTATTTTGAGTTGCCATTATTACACTTTGTACTTAAGCCTATTGTAGCACCTGCCCATACTATGTGGTGTTTTTCTTAATACACTTATCTGCTTTTTGTCTGTTCAATTCCTTAAGTTACTAAGTATGGCTATTTGTTTTAATATTTCTAGCACCTGGCATAGTACATGGCACATAGCATATACTGTCAAATATTTTGTTATAGCGATAACTATCCCAAAACACAAAGGTCAGAAGATATAGGTTATGTTCAGGAAACAGTGATAGTATTCTTAGCCAAATAGTAAGAGTAGAGGCCAAACTTGGAAAGGTCATGAATGCCATACTAAGAATTTAAAATCAGTCTTGCAGGTATTGACTAGCCATTGACAATTCTTAACTGGGGAGGGCTAAAGCTTTATTAAGCAAAGAAAGTAGAAAATACAATTCTCCATTTTATTAAATTATTACTTTATTAAATTTAAGAATATATGGGATCAATTTACAAAGCTCTGCTTTTTTTTCTTTTAACAACTCACTGTTAAAGTGCCTAAATTGTATTTAGTTGTTTTACTTTGCATCAAAATCTAGGGTGGCTGGCTTGGACAAAATTATTTGTATACAAATATAATATTGTTTTTTTATACGGGACAAGCATAACTGATGCAGGAGCACAGATTCAAATTGGAATCTAATTAGAAGGCAAGGAGTAAAAACCAAAATGCACATTTGCAATTATATCCAAAGTGTACTTTAATTACAATCTTTGCTCACATCAGACTACAGTCATGATAATTTGGTCCCTGTACCCTAGATTCATTGGATATTCTCAGGGTGCAGGTAACTAATGAAACTAAAAAACACCTGTGAAAGATCTAGCAGTCTTTTTGAGTCCAGATGAGAATTTTAGGAACATGTATTTCTGCTTGTTTCTTAAAGAGCAAAAAGTTGGCAAAATTCCCCTTTTCTAGGAGAAATTGTATTTTTTATTCTATTGTGGCAGATTGAATGCTGATGTATATATAGCGATTGTTCTCATTTTGGTAGTATTAATACTATCTTTGGAACTGTTCAGTATCTCTGATATTTTTAAACATCTATGCATTCACAGTGAATAGGACAGTTTTATAGACATTAGTGTCCATAATGAGAAAAAGTCACATATTAAACTGAATATGTTTGTTTATTTATAACCAGATCAGTTACAGAGAACTTGGCCAGGCGCGATGGCTCATGTCTGTAACCTCAGTACTTTGGGAGGCTGAGGCGGGCAGATCATTTGAGGTCAGGAGTGGGAGGCCAGCCTGACCAACATGGTGAAACCCCGCCTCTACGAAAAAAACAAAAAATTAGCTGGGTGTCGTGGTGCATGCCCGTAATCTCAGCCACTCAGGAGGCTGAGGCAGGAGAATTGCTTGAACCCGGGAGGCGGAGGTTGCAGTGAGACGAGATAGTGCTACTGTACTCCAGCCTGGGTGACAGAGCGAGACTCTGTCACACACACACACACACACACACACACACACACATACACACAGAGAGAGAGAGAGAGAGAGAGAGAGAGAGCAACTTAGTGCCATTCAAAGCACTCAGAGAAAGGGGTTATTAGAAATGCTATAACATTATTTTTCTTCTATGGCTAGTCACTTGCAGGATTTTAAAAGTATGAGACTCTCAAGAATTAGTATAAGACAAGACTGAGAAATGGAAATTGATGCTTTATTGAGGATTTTTAAAAAATCACTTAAGTAAAATTTAAAGTTCTGAAAGATTGGTTTCTAAGGAGTTGGGCCAGTTTAAGAAAGTTACCATGGTCAAAGTATGCCTATTTGTAGTTTTAGAAACATGCACTTACATAATGATAGACTCAGAATCAATACTTGTGACCAAGTTCAAATCCCTAACTAATACAAGCATTGCATCTAGAGTCTTTCTGACTCTACATTTGGACATCCTATCTTTGACAATGATGGAGGAACTCCCTTCCACACTGCATGGGGAAGCTTATTTCATTTTTGGAAAAGTTAAGCTGTGGAGAAAGTTATTTTACAGTCTGGAGGACATACATCAAGCACACAACACTGGTTACCTTTGTCCAAATGTAACATAAGGGTAGGGACTGGGCATAGTATTTAAAAGGGACTTTTGTTTTAACTGAAACGTTTAATCTTTTAGGTACATGTAATGTCTTGATAGAAGCACACAATGTGTAATGATCCAATCAGGGTAACTGGGGTATCCATCACCTCAAGCATTTATTATTTCTTTGTGTTAAGAACATTCAAATTCTACTCTTTTAGTTACTTTAAAATACACAATAAATTATTAACTATAGTTACTCTATTGTGTTACCAAATAGTAGGTAATATTTATTCCAACTGTATTTTTGTACCCATTAACCATTCCCACTTTATCCTTGCTCTCCCTGCTACCCTTCCCAGTCTCTGGTGACCATCATTCTAATTTCTATCTCTGTGAGTCCAATTTTTAAAATTTTTAACTCCCACATGAGTGAGAATATGCAACATTTGTCTTTCTGCATGTTGCTTATTTCACCTAACACAATGTCTTCCAGCTCTGTTCATATTATTGCAAATGACAGGATCTCATTCTTTTTTATAGCTAAATAACATTTCATTGTATATACGTTTGACTTTTCTCTTTCTTTTTTTTTGAGACAGAGTCTTGCTATGTCGCGACTTTTCTTTATCCTTTCATCCACTGATGGACACTTAGGTTGATTTCATATGTTGGCTATTGTGAATAGTGCCACAGTAAACATGGGAGTCCACATATCTCTTTGCTTTACTAATTTCTTTCTTGTGAATATATACCCAGAAGTGGGATTGCTAAATTATATGGTAGTTTTATTTTTGTTTTTTTGAGGAACCTCTAATACTATTCTCCACAGTGACTGTACTAATTTATATTCCCACCTACAGTCTACACATGTTCCCCTTTCTCCATATTCTGATCAAGATTTGTTATTGCATGTCTTTGTACAAAAGCCATTTTAACAGGGGCGATATGATATGTCATTATAATTTTAATTTGCATTTCTCTGATGATTAGTGATGTTGACGATTTTTTCATATGCCTGTTTGCCATTTGTATGTCTTCTTTTGGGTAATGTCCATTTAGATCTTTTGCCCACTTTTAATTGGCTTATTTAATTTTTCCTGTGGAGGTGTTTGAGTTTCTTATTAATCCCCAGCATATGTCAATTTTAAAATGGTAGCTTTCTTTTTTTAATTTTTTTTAAATTATACTTTAAGTTTTAGGGTACATGTGCACAACGTGCAGTTTAGTTATATATGTACACATGTGCCATGTTGGTGTGCTGCACCCAGTAACTCATCATTTAACATTAGATATATCTCCAAATGCTATCCCTCCCCTCTTCCCCCACCCCACAGCAGGCCCCGGTGTGTGATGTTCCCCTTCCTGTGTCCATGTGTTCTCACTGTTCAATTCCCACCTATGAGTGAGAACATGTGTTTGGTTTTTTGTCCTTGTGATAGTTTGCTGAGAATGATGGTTTCCAGCTTCATCCATGTCCCTACAAAGGACATGAACTCATCATTTTTTATGGCTGCATAGTATTCCATGGTGTATATGTGCCACATTTTCTTAATCCAGTCTATCATTGTTGGACATTTGGGTTGGTTCCAAGTCTTTGCTATTGTGAATAGTGCCACAATAAACATACGTGTGCATGCGTCTTTATAGCAGCATGATGTATAATCCTTTGGGTATATACCCAGTAATGGGATGGCTGGGTCAAATGGTATTTCTAGTTCTAGATCCCTGAGGAATCGCCACACTGACTTCCACAATGCTTGAACTAGTTTACAGTCCCACCAACAGTGTAAAAGTGTTCCTATTTCTCCACATCCTCTCCAGCACCTGTTGTTTCCTGACTTTTTAATGATTGCCATTCTAACTGGTGTGAGATGGTATCTCATTGTGGTTTTGATTTGCATTTCTCTGGTGATGATGAGTGTTTTTTCATGTGTCTTTTGGCTGCATAAATGTCTTCTTTTGAGAATTGTCTGTTCATATCCTTCACCCACTTTTTGATGGGGTTTTTTTTCTTGTAAATTTGTTGGAGTTCATTGTAGATTCTGGATATTAGCCCTTTGTCAGATGAGTAGATTGCAAAAATTTTCTCCCATTGTGTAGGTTGCCTGTTCACTCTGATGGTAGTTTCTTTTGCTGTGCAGAAGCTCTTTAGTTGAATTAGATCCCATTTGTCAATTTTGGCTTTTGTTGCCATTGCTTTTGGTGTTTTAGACATGAAGTCCTTGCCCATGCCTATGTCCTGAATGGTATTGCCTAGGTTTTCTTCTAGAGTTTTTATGGTTTTAGGTCTAACATTTAAGTCTTTAATCCACCTTGAATTAATTTTTGTATAAGGTGTAAGGAAGGGATCCAGTTTCAGCTTTCTACATATGGCTAGCTGGTTTTCCCAGCACCATTTATTAAATAGGGAATCCTTTCCCCATTTCTTGTTTTTGTCAGGTTTGTCAAAGATCAGATGGTTGTAGGTATGCAGCATTATTTCTGAGGCCTCTGTTCTGTTCCATTGATCTATATCTCTGTTTTGGTACCAGTACCATGCTGTTTTGCTTACTGTAGCCTTGTAGTATAGTTTGAAGTCAGGTAGTGTGATGCCTCCAGCTTTGTTCTTTTGGCTTAGGATTGACTTGGCAATGAGGGCTCTTTTTTGGTTCCATATGAACTTTAAAGTAGTTTTTTCCAATTCTGTGAAGAAAGTCATTGGTAGCTTGATGGGGATGGCATTGAATCTATAAATTACCTTGGGCAGTATGACCATTTTCACGATATTGATTCTTCCTACCCATGAGCACGGAATGTTCTTCAATTTGTTTGTATCCTCTTTTATTTCATTGAGCAGTGGTTTGTAGTTCTCCTTGAAGAGGTCCTTCACATCCCTTGTAAGTTGGATTCCTAAGTATTTTATTCTCTTTGAAGCAATTGTGAATGGGAGTTCACTCATGATTTGACTCTCTGTTTGTCTGTTATTGGTGTATAAGAATGCTTTTGATTTTTGCACAATGATTTTCTATCCTGAGACTTTGCTGAAGTTGCCTATCAGGTTAAGGAGATTTTGGGCTGAGACGATGGGGTTTTCTAGATATACAATCATGTCATCTGCATACAGGGACAATTTGACTTCCTCTTTTCCTAATCGAATACCCTTTATTTCCTTCTCCTGCCTGATTGCCCTGGCCAGAACTTCCAACACTATGTTGAATAGGGCTGGTGAGAGAGGGCATCCCTTTCTTGTGCCAGTTTTCAAAGGGAATGCTTCCAGTTTTTGCCCATTCAGTATGATATTGGCTATGGGTTTGTCATAGATAGGTCTTATTATTTTGAGATTCGTCCCATCAATACCTAATTTATTGAGAGTTTTTAGCATGAAATGTTGTTGAATTTTTCCAAAGGCCTTTTCTGCATCTATTGAGATAATCATATGGTTTTTGTCATTGGTTCTGTTTATATGCTGGATTATGTTTATTGATTTTCGTATGTTGAACCAGCCTTGCATCCCAGGGATGAAGCCCACTTGATCATGGTGGATAAGCTTTTTGATGTGCTGCTGGATTCAGTTTGCCTGTATTTTATTGAGGATTTTTGCATCGATGTTCATCAGGGATATTGGTCTAAAATTCTCTTTTTTGGTTGTGTCTCTGCCAGGCTTTGGTATCAGGATGATGCTGGCCTCATAAAATGAGTTAGGGAGGATTCCCTCTTTTTCTATTGATTGGAATAGTTTCAGAAGGAATGGTACCAGCTCCTCCTTGTACCTCTGGTAGAATTTGGCTGTGAATCCATCTGGTCCCGGACTTTTTTTGGTTGGTAAGCTATTAATTATTGCCTCAATTTCAGAGCCTGTTATTGATCTATTCAGAGATTCAACTTCTTCCTGGTTTAGTCTTGGGAGGGTGTATGTGTTAAGGAATTTATCCATTTCTTCTAGATTTTCTAGTTTATTTGCATAGAGGTGTTTATAGTATTCTCTGATGATAGTTTGTATTTCTGTGGGATCGGTGGTGATATCCCCTTTATCATTTTTTATTGTGTCTAATTGATTCTTCTCTCTTTTCTTCTCTAATAGTCTTGCTAGCGGTCTCTCAATTTTGTTGACCTTTTCTAAAAACCAACTCCTGGATTCACTGATTTTTTGAAGGGTTTTTTTTGTGTGTGTCTCTATTTCCTTCAGTTCTGCTCTGATCTTATTTATTTCTTACCTTCTGCTAGCTTTTGAATGTGTTTGCTCTTGCTTCTCTAGTTCTTTTAATTGCGATGTTAGGGTGTCAATTTTAGATCTTTTCTGCTTTCTCTTGTGGACATTTAGTGCTATAAATTTCCCTCTAACACATTGCTTTGAATGTGTCCCAGAGATTCTGGTATGTTGTGTCTTTGTTCTCATTGGTTTCAAAGAACATCTTTATTTCTGCCTTCATTTCGTTATGTTCCCAGTAATCATTCAGGAGCAAGTTACTCAGTTTCCATGTAGTTGAGCGGTTTTGAGTGATTTTCTTAATCCTGAGTTCTAGTTTGATTGCACTGTGGTCTGAGAGACAGTTTGTTATAATTTCTGTTCTTTTACATTTGCTGAGGAATGCTTTACTTCCAACTATGTGGTCAATTTTGGAATAAGTGCGGTGTGGTGCTGAGAAGAATGTATATTCTATTGATTTGGGATGGAGAGTTCTGTAGATGTCTATTAGGTCCACTTGGTGCAGAGCTGAGTTCAATTCCTGGATATCCTTGTTAACTTTCTGTCTCATTGATCTGTCTAATGTTGACAGTGGGGTGTTAACGTCTCCCATTATTATTGTGTGGGAGTCTAAGTCGCTTTGTAGGTCTCTAAGGACTTGCTTTATGAATCTGGGTGCTCCTGTATTGGGTGCATATAAATTTAGGATAGTTAGCTCTTCTTGTTGAATTGATCCCTTTACCATTACGTAATGGCCTTCTTTGTCTCTTTTGATCTTTGTTGGTTCAAAGTCTGTTTTATCAGAGACTAGGATTGCAACCCCTGCCTTTTTTTGTTTTCCATTTGCTTGGTAGGTCTTCCTCCACCCCTTTATTTTGAGCCTATGTGTGTCTCTGCACGTGAGATGGGTCTCCTGAGTACAGCACATTGATGGGTCTTGACTCTTTATCCAATTTGCCAGTCTGTGCATTTTAATTGGAGCATTTAGCCTATTTACATTTAAGGTTAATATTGTTATGTGTGAATTTGATCCTGTCATTATGATGTTAGCTGGTTATTTTGCTCATTAGTTGATGCAGTTTCTTCCTAGCCTCAATGGTCTTTACAATTTGGCATGTTTTTGCAGTGGCTGGTACCGGTTGTTTCTTTCCATGTTTAGTGCTTCCTTCAGGAGCTCTTTTAGGGCAGGCCTGGTGGTGACAAAATCTCTCAGCATTTGCTTGTCTGTAAAGTATTTTATTTCTCCTTCACTTATGAAGTTTAGTTTGGCTGGATATGAAATTCTGGGTTGAAAATTCTTTTCTTTAAGAATGTTGAATATTGGCCCCCACTCTCTTCTGGCTTGTAGAGTTTCTGCCGAGAGATCAGCTGTTAGTCTGATGGGCTTCCCTTTGTGGGTTACCTGACCTTTCTCTCTGGCTGCCCTTAACATTTTTTCCTTCATTTCAACTTTGGTGAATCTGACAATTATGTGTATTGGAGTTGCTCTTCTTGAGGAGTATCTTTGTGGCGTTCTCTGTATTTCCTGAATTTGAATGTTGGCCTGCCTTGCTAGATTGGGGAAGTTATCCTGTATAATATCCTGCAGAGTGTTTTCCAACTTGGTTCCCTTCTCCCCGTCAATTTCAGGTACACCAATCAGACGTAGATTTGGTCTTTTTACATAGTCCCATATTTCTTGGAGGCTTTGTTCATTTCTTTTTATTCTTTTTTTTCTAAACTTCTCTTCTCGCTTCATTTCATTCATTTGATCTTCCATCACTGATACCCTTTCTTCCAGTTGATCAAATCGGGCTACTGAGGCTTATGCATTTGTCACGTAGTTCTCATGCCTTGGTTTTCAGCTCCATCAGGTCCTTTAAGGACTTCTCTGCATTGGTTGTTCTAGTTAGCCATTCGTCTAATTTTCTTTCAAGGTTATCTTTCAAATATATAAAAATAGCTGTAACTTCTTTGCAAATTATTCCAGGAGAAATATTTTCATTTAACTATTCTTTACATTTGTCATAACGTATACTTGTTAAATAGGAATAAGATATTGTTTTTAAAAAGACATTTTTGTCAAATCAAATGTGCATAAAAACAAAAAGTTAAAATAAATGTCATGGTCAATGACTGCCTGAGGCTGGCACGTGAGTGGTAAAAGAATGGACCAAGAGAGGAATGAGTTTAGAAAGGCAGATTCATTAGAGAAAAGGGGGAGATATGTTGCAAGAAAACAGCGAGTAATGCAGCAGATGAAAAGCTGTCTGCAAAGAGGCAGGAGTGGAGGGAAGTTTTGTAAGGTTGTGCTGCTTGGTCTCATTGCTTGCGAACAGGATGCTTGGGTGCAGGTGGGCCATGAGCTAAGGGATTGTAACAGGATGTTTGGGTGCAAGTGAGCTGTTTTTGTGGACCCCGTTTCTCGGAACATTTGCTCCCCTTTACCCCTGTTTCTCTTCCTACCAGCTAAGCCCATTTTTAAATTTTCTTCTTAGAGCCGCACAATAAATATTCCAAAGTCTGCCACAGTAAAACTGTCAAAAGATATACAGCAAAGACCAAGGCAATCATCTGTGTGGAAAGATCAGAGAAGACTTCACCAAGAAGGTGACATTTACCAAAGTCGATGAACTAGGACAAAAGCAGCGGTGAGAGGGGTGGAACAAATTCATATTAAGATTCTAAGGCACAATTGACAGAATTTTGTGATTGACTAAAGAAAGGTGAATAAAAAAAAGAGAGAGAGAGAGACGTGAGTGTTGGATGATACCAAGGTCACTATCTCATATTCAGGAGCTTGGACAGAAAATTTTGGTTAATTATGCTGTGAAGAGGAAAATCATTTACACAGTTCAAATACCAAAATTTTAAAGGGGACAATTAAAAAATCTTCCTGTCTCCAAGCTCCTTAGATCTCATTTCCATAGGCCAAGGAAGATTTTATATTTGTTTCAAAGATAATTTTATTGAGTTAATTGACATATAATAAACCGCACAGTTTGACAAGTTTTGATATATGCATACACCTATAAGACTGCACTGCTATTAAGGTAACACATATGTAAATTACCCCCAAAAGTCTCCTTGAGCAGCTTTGTGTTTCCTCCCTGCTACCCCTTCCTGCATCCTCCCTGATCTGCTTTCTGTAACAACAGATTAGCATTTATTTTAAATAATTTTATATAAATAAAAGTATATACAAACTCTTCTTTTACATCTGGCTTATTTCACTTAAAATAATTTTAAGATTCATTCATATTGTTGTGTGCATTAATACTTTCTACTGTTCTATTGCTGAGTAATATCACATTATATGAATACACCACAATTTCTTTACCCAATTACTTGTTGATAGGCATATGCATTGTTTATAAGTTTGGACATTAAAAATATAGATGACATAAACATCCCTGTATGCATTTTTAAATAAATGTTTGCTTTAATTTCTCATGAGTAAACATCTAAGAGTAGAATGGCTGGATTTGATAGGTGTATCTATAATTTTTTAAAAGTGTTACGTTTTTTCAAAGTGGTTGTACCATGTTACAACTCCATCAGCATTGGGTGCAGTTTCAGTTGCTTCATATCTTTGCTAACAAGGGATATGGTCAATTTTTTTTAATTTTAGACATTTTAATAGATGTTTAGTGGTAGCTCATGGTGGTTTGAGTTATAATTTTTCCGATGAATAATATCATTGTGCAACTTTTCATATATTTTTTTGCCAACAACAAATCTTTGGTAAAGTTGCTATTCATGTCTTGTGACCAGCTCTCTCTTGAGTTTTGCACACTTATTATTGAGTTTTGAGTTTGCTTTCCTCTTTCAAATATATCCTTGATACAAAGCCTTTCTCAGATATGGAATTTTAAATATTTTCTTGAAGTCTGCGGCTTATATTTTAATTCTCTTAAGTGTCTTTAGAAGAGCAGATGTTCTCAATTTTAATGAAGTACAATTTATTTATTTCAAATAGATCTTGCTTTTTATGTCATAACTAAGAAATTACCACCTAAGAACAATTTTGTCCTATGTTTTCTTTTAGAAATTTGATAGTTTTTGTTCTTGAATTTAGGCATATTGTACACTTTAAGTAAATTTTTTTAAATCATGCAATGTATGAATTGAAATTCACTTGTTTTGGAATATGGTTTTATAATAGTTACAGTAGTAATTATAGAAAACACTATTCTTTCTCTGTTGGCTTTCCCTTTGCACTGCCCAGGCGGGAGTGCAGGGGTGAGATCTCAGCTCACTACAACATTTGACAGCTGGGTTCAAGTGATTCTCCTGCCTCAGCCTCCCGAGTAACTGGCATTAGAGGTGCCTGCTATGACACCTGGCTAATTTTTGTATTTTTAGTAGAGATGGGGTTTCACTATGTTGGCCAGGCTGGTCTCAAACTACTGACCTCAAGTGATCCACCTGCCTCGGCTTTCGAAAGTGCTGGGATTACAGGTGTGAGCCACCGTACCTGGCCCTTTTGCACCTTTGCTGAAAAACAGTTTATCATATATGTGTGGAATTATTTCCAGACTCCACATTCTGTTTTTTGAATCCTATTATCTCTTGTTGTCAACACTGCATTGTTTTATCTATTTAAACTTTAAAATAACTCCTGAAGTCAGGTAATATGAGTCTTTCAACTTCTTCTATGTCGAATTTGTTTTGGCTGTTCTAGGTCCTTTGCATTTCTACATGCCTTTTAGAATTGGCTTTTCAATTTTTAACAACAACAAAAAAAGCCTGCTGGACTTTAAATTGGGAAGGCATGGATCAATGTGAGAAAAATCTTAAAAACACTGAATTTTCCAAAAGTTGAACAATTATCTCGCTCCGCTCTCCGCTTATTCACGTCTCTTTTAATTTCTCTCAATGAATTTTTTTGTTGTTTTCAGTGTGCAGGTCTTGCATATCTTTTGCAATTTGTGCCAAGATAATCAATATTTCTGATATTTTAATATTATACTCACCACTTTTAGTTATTATTAGTGGAAAGTTGGTATGTATTATCTCGCCCTCTATCACCAAAAGAGTCCTACAATTACTTGTTTTTCTTCATCCTGCTTAAGCTGTCAGCAATATTTTACTTAGCTGAGCATTTTTTTAATTCTTTGAACAATCTCTTCTCTTGATCTCTGCAGCATCATACTCTCTTGGCTTTATTCACTTATTCCTCCTTCTGAAACTGCTTTGTTTAACCTCAAAATATAGAAATATCACAGGCCTCAGTCCTATGTCCTTCATTTTTCTACTTCCACACTTTCTCATTACGTTTTCTTAATGGCATTAGATATCATCAATTTGCTGACATCTCCAAAATATGCCCCTAAATTTGACCATTCCAATGGTCAAATCATTTGTGCTGAGTACATTACATGATTGGTCATGATTTGTGCTGAGTACGTTAATGTTGAGTGACCTACTTAAAAAATACATTTGAATATCCAGTTGGTATCTTAAACTTAATATTTCCCTCTGTAAACTTCCTTCATTTCAGTAAATTCTACTACAATATACCCTGTTCTTCAATTCCTATAACCGTGGGTTACCCTTAACTCTTCTCTATACCCCCATGTTTAACTCCTCTTTCACTCTGTTTGATTCACCCCCAGATTCTATTCTAAATCCATCCATTTTTCCTGTTTTCTATGGACACCTTTCTAATCTAAGCCACAGTTGTTTTTCACCAGGATTACTCAATAAATTTCTCTAATTCAACACTTGGGCTCTTACATTCCTTTCTCTGGATGGTAACTAGAATAATCTTTTAAAAATTCAAAAGAGATCCCATCTAATCATATTACTTCCCTATTCAAAATGCTCCAAAATCTTCCTGTTGCCCTTGGGATGAAATCAAACTTCTTTATTAATACCTACAATATCTTTACATTATCTGACTTTAGGAAACCATTGTTATTTCTATTCTTTGACTTGACCAAGCCCATCTTTTCCTTTAGGGTTTTTGCACCTGATATTTTCTCTGCTTTAAAACTTTAACCCCGACTTTCCTATATCAGATCTGTCTTCTTTTAAAAGCAGAGCAAAAATACCACCTCTTCAGTGCTCATTTCCTACCAGTTTAAATTAGTTCCCGTACACTACTCCATCTAATTCACATATTTTGAATCTTATTTCTAATTGAAATTATCTTGTTTATTCATTTACTTATTAATTTTCTGTCTCAGGCTACCAGAACATAAACTGTAGAAGATTCCTTATTTGTCTAATTTACTACTATATTTCTAGTACCCAGAATTCAGGACCTAGTACATGGTATGTTTTTGATAGATATTTATTAAATGAATGAATAAATCAATCAAATTTGTGAATAAATAAAGCCACTAAATCTTTTTTATGTAAAACCTGCTACCAAAACAAGTTTTCTTAAACCTACTATGTAAGAATTCTTGGATTATTTTTATATACCTTTAACAGTTCCTTTGTTGATTCTGGTTGATTCTGTTGATTTTAACCTTTCTAGAATATCACTCTAACAAATATTTCCAGCTTTTGATATCAAACTTCATATTAAAAGTTGGTATATGATTTGAAAATTATTTTTCTCATCAAATCAATGATTAAGTGGTACTCAACAGAGGCAGAAAAAATGCAGTGCTATAGTATAAGCTTTATTCAACAAGATAGATACCTATTAATCTATGCTTAAGTAATCTTCTTAATGTTACCGTTACTCAGTAAATACTTATTACCTTTATTCCAAAAGTATCATATCATACTTTGCTGAAATCAATACATCCCATTGGCTGTATTTTGCTGATGAGTAACATTAAAAACTTATTAGAGAAAGAACATTATGTCACTTGAATCATTTCCTCCCAAGGAAATGTTGGTTCTCAATAATCCTCCCTATTCATCCTACATTGTTATCGTCCATTGCATTAATAATCAATCCTCAAATTTATTAAAGATGTACATTTCCAGAATGTTCCATTTTGGAAACTAAAATATGGATCTGTCATTGGTTATAATGTGATTTTTATTTTCAGCATTTCCAATAATAATGGAAGTGGCCATGAAATTAAACCTTTAAATTCCAACATCATTTTGAAAAGCAATTTGATAAGACTGAAATGTATGAAGTCACTTAAAGCAGGTAGATGATTTCTTATGACTTCCCAATTTACTTTGAGCTAGAATACTCTCTTTCTGATGTTTACTTTTTTTATTCCTGTTAAAAAAGCTAGGCTGTAGTGGGTCATAAAACTTCAAAGTGAAGCTACTGACAAGGATGGTGTACAGATCTTATTTTGAACTTTGTTTTAAATTAGATTTCAGATTTCATTGGAGGCAGAGAATTTGAGGAAATGGGACACATTTAAAGACAAACGTATTTCATCTGTAAAAAATCTTCAACTTTAAATATCATAAGACAATTATGAAGGATGTTCAGAGCAATGAAACAGGATAAGCTGTTTGTTTTGATAAGTGGTTGTGAAATCAGGAAAGAGGCATTAAGAATGTAGACGTAGAGAATAATGTAAAAGGATTAACATTGATTCATTGATCAAAAAATACATTGAATAAGTTGGCAAGAAAAATCAAGAAAGAATTATCTAAACAGAATTTTTCCAAATTAAAACTTTCCTTTGAACTTTGAGAAATGTTTTTATATACAAGAGACTTAAACTATGCATGGGAATTTTTGTTGTCAGAAAAATAAAGTACATAAGAGCAAATCAGTTAACAGTAAATGCAATCCTGACCCCAAACAAACAAAAGCTCAATGACTGTGGATAATACCAGATTATGATCTGCTAAACACAATGAACAATTAAAAAGTGTTTTCTTTTTTAAAAAATAACTTTATGCCTTTTATTCATTTTACTATTCTTTACATTAGAAATATCCACTCTGCTAAATCATTTTCTTTGTTTATTTAGAGACTAACCATCCTGAAAACTCCTTTCTTTGTGATTATGAACAATATTCCTTCAATAAGAATAGAATTCACACTTATATTCATCTTTGTATAAATATGAAGCCTGGAAGGGTAGACCCAAACATGGTGAACATGAGAAGGATTTCCTAAAAAAAAAATTCTAAGAAACATTTTTGTTAGAATATTATGGACTGTATTTTTTATTTTGTTTTGTATTAATAAACAATAAATTTTTAAGAAAAGTATGTCCCATGCAATATTTGGGTTATCCTTTTTTTAAATTATACTTTAAGTTTTGGGATACATGTGCAGAACATGCAGGTTTGTTATATAGGTATACACATGCCATGGTGATTTGCTGCACCCATCATCCCGTCATCTACATTAGGTATATCTCCTAATGCTATCCCTCCCATAGTTCCCCACACCCTGACAGGCCCCAGTGTGTGATGTTCCCTCTCCCTGTGTCCCTGTGTTCTCAGTGTTCAACTCCCACTTATGAGTGAGAACATGCGGTGTTTGTTTCTCTGTTCCTGTGTAAGTTTGCTGAGAATGATGGTTTCCAGCTTCATCCATGTAACTGCAAAGGACATGATCTCATCCTTTTTTATGGCTGCATAGTATTCTATGGTGTGTATGTGCCACATTTTCTTTATCCAGTCTATTACTGATGGGCATTTGGGTTGGTTCCAAGTCTTTGCTATTGTGAACAGTGCTGCAATAAACATACTTGTGCATGTGTCTTTATAGTAGCATTATTTATAATCCTTTGGGTATATACCCAGTAATGGGATTGCTGGGTCAAATGGTATTTCTGGTTCTAGATCCTTGAAGAATCGCCACACTGTCTTCTACAATGGTTAAACTAATTTAAGTGCCCACCAACAGTGTAATAGCGTTCCTATTTCTCCACATCCTCTCCAGCATCTGTTGTTTCCTGACTTTTTATTGATCATCATTCTAACTAGCGTTAGATGGTATCCATTATGGATTGCATTTTAAGACGTGTTTTTCCCTTACATCTGCTTTTCGGTATCACACACAAGAAATTTATGCAAGGTGTAAGAATTATATTTGTTTATACCATATTTCATGCTTATCTCTAAGTGAATCTGGCAAAGCTGAAGATACACATAATAAAACTGCCAAACCAATCTTAGATTATTAAAAATATGTGGAGAGAGGGAAATAAGTGTGCTAAACTAAACAATAATTGAGGATTCAAATAACTTGCTGGTCTCCTGGAAGTCTTAATGGAACATCTGTCTAACCCAAAGTCAGGTGTCATGCAATGTTAAAATATCAAGATGTTTTAAACATTTGGATATCTACTGTTGAGACTGGGCTTATGTTGACCAAATAAAATAAAACGGCATTAGTATTTCTTGCAAAAATCCCTAATGTAAAGACAGAGAGGCTATTTTGTCTAAATAATCTGCAATGATTATGTATACTGATTGACTTCATGAGATAATTACCTTCCTACTTTTGCCAGTGTTGAAAGAGTCTTACTTTTTCTAATCTTATTAAGCCCTCCTGCTGAGAAGGCTCACTCTCTGATCTCTGAACCTTGAGTTGCCACTTAATGGAAAAGTTGACAAGGCTAAATCTCTTAACAAAAAGAGAAGGAGGACTTAATTTCCTGAATTCAATATTCAGAATCCAAACCAAAGCTTGAGAGAATAACTTGACAAGGTCCTTGAGAAGGATACCCTGTTAACATTTGAAAAAAGCAAAAGCAAAAACAAATTCAGTCCTGAATTTTCCAATTCTGTTCATAACAGAGATTCAGAGAATGACATATAAGCTAGAATGAAAGCTTGCACTATGACCATCAGCATTCTAATATTTTTCTGAGCTGCCCTATAGAGCCTGTCACATTGTGACAGATTTTTATTTTAAAGTGAACAATAAATGCTATCAATAGGGAAAGATAAGAAAAATAAGACACAAAGGAGTTGGCTGGTTCTGCATGTTAATAGCTTCCACTTGTATAGCATTTTATTTAAAAAATGCTTCTACATAAACATTGTCACTGTTGTTCATCTTGCATGGAACCTTATATGTTGCAATTTCTGCACCTAAACCACAACTGGGAACGAGCTGTAAAAATCACTGCTTTAGACAGCCACTTAAACATGATAGCCTTGTTTAAGTAAGATTTTATTTTTCCATTTATACTTTCCAGTCCTTACTTTGAATCATTTTGTCATAAACTAGACTATGGGTTAATGGGAAGACTTTGAGATTTTGGGTAATGGAGCAACAAGATCTGGCTGACAGTGCCCACAAGGTGCCAGGTATTATTCAAGGTGGTGAGGTATAGTAGTCAGAATTTCAGAAAGAATCTCCAAGATTCCTTGAATAGTATCTTGTACATGATAAGTGGAATGAATAAGTAGATGGATCAATGGATTGATACTCTTGATTTAATATTGTTTTCTTATTTCCATCACATGGCTTTGTGTCTAGATTATCTCTTTCTAGATTACCTTTCTAGATTACCTCAGTTTCCACTGAAAACTTTTTTATTTTGTGGTCCTCTGCTTATTAGCATAGGATCCTTTGTTTCCAAGTCCAGTTCGGGATTTCCTACCTTATCATCCAAAACACACACAGATCCCTTCTTCCACTTTTCTGGGAGGAGTATCTGGTAATCTTTCAATGTAATCAGCTTTGTAAAGAGAAGAATGAATATAGAACCAAGCTGGGGGAATGGCAAAAATGGATGCCTAAGCTGGATACAGTAGCTTACACCTGTAATCCCAGCACTTTCAGAGGCTGAGGCAGGAGGATTGCTTGGGCCCAGGAGTTCAAGGCTGCAGTGAGTTATAATCGCATCATAGCACCCCAGTCTGGGTGACAGAGTAAGACCCTTTCTCAAAATTAGAGAGAGAGAGAGAAAGAAGGAAGGAAGGAAGAAAGGAAGGAAGGAGGGAGGGAGGGAGGGAAGGAAAGAGAGAGAGGAAAGGAAGGAAAGAGAGAGAGGAAAGGAAGGAAGGAACGAAGGTAAGAGAGAGGAAAGGAAAGGAAAAGAAAAGAAGAAAGAAAGAAAAGAAAGAAAGAAGAAAGAAAAAATCTAATGTTTCTCGAGAAGCTGTATAGGAAGATGCAGCTCAAGATGAGAGGACTGAACGTGTAAATCATGAAAAATGGGCAATTTGAATAAATCTGGGGATATACAAGGCCACAGACAGAATCATGGAGCATGGGAATGGAGTTGCTAGCAAGAAATAGGTCATAAGTGGAAAAAGTGAGGTTGACATTCAAGTTGGCCAGAAACATGTAGTTATGTAAGCAAGAAGAAATGTAGCCAATATACATAGAATCAATATCATTTATCTGAGCATACACTGCCTGCAGACTCTGGTTCTCCAGTTCCTAATTGAAATGGGTATAGCTTGTGTCATCTATGTAGGAGCATATTCGAAAATTTAACATTTCTATTTCCAGGTGAAATTTAAAATCTCTTTAAGAGTGAGCTCACCTCAATTTAACCTTGTACAGATCTTATTTTTCTTAGAGGCAATAAGAATAGCACAACCACACCTCCTCTTAGAAGAGCATACTGCAAATGTGTGTTAGGTGACCCTGACACCTTTTATCTTAAAGAGTTCTCCTGTTACTTAGAAAAGTTTTAAGTGAAATTAGGTAAAGCTATATATAGGAGATTTTGTAATTCCAATAAAATGAAAACTTTTCTAAGGCAATTTTCTATTTCTTCAAGATCCACTGAATATTCTATCCAGAAACATTACCATAATACTTTAGATAGTTTCCTGCCTCTCCATTTTAGGACAGCTTCTCCAGTGCTCTTGAATGTAATATTAAAAATATTATCTAGAACGCACTTTCTTCTTTTTCTTTGTTCTTCTGTTTTGTGTCAAAACTGCCTTTCTACTGAAAGCATCCTCTGTTTAATCCCATTAAAATTGCATTTTTAATTTAATTTGCCTTATTTTAGTGTTTTTTGTCATCACTTGGTGCTGTATTAATCTATATGTTACGAAGTGTGCTGTAAATATAAAGTATGTAAGTGGTGCTGTAAATGAAATTATTTCATATATTTATTCTGTGCTATCTATGGAACTCCTTGCTATAGTGAAAAAAACACTGGTTTTGGATTCAAAATTATCTGGAATTGAGCCTTTGCTATAACTGACTTAAGGTAAATGATGTATCTTCTCTGAGCCTTTGTACTCTACTCTGCATGAAGGTTAAGTAGTGCATGGGCTTGTAAGAACCAAAATGTCTTATTTAAATCTTAGCTCTCACTCTTACTAGCTGTGCCACTTTTGCAAACTAACTTAATCTTCCTGAGCCACAACTTTCCGTCTGTAAATTGGGGATTACAATAATGCTTTCCTCACACCAATTGTTGTGAAGCTTAAATAATATACTGCATGTGAAAGCATATCACATTTATTAAGACTGATATAAAATGTAAAGTAGAGAAATCTTGTAACTACCTTAAAGTGTTTCTAGAGTGAAAAGCATGGTAAGTTGTCTAAACCAAAAAGCTGAAATGCATCGTTAAAACTGATCCTTAATCTGTCTCTCCTAATTCCTAACAGACACATACACACACACATACACATAGCGTTATTGAACTACGATACAACCAAATGGACCCAGCAGTATATTCATCCTCTGCAGTGGAATTCTACTATGGCAGCACCCTTTCTTTGTTTTCGTAATAAAAACATGTCCTGTATTGTAAGAAGACACCTGCTGAAATCTATGACAGAAAGTTGTATTTTCATAATCCTTGCCTATTTTTTCCCTTTTAACCTCAAACCTTCATATAAAATAGTGTTATTCATGGAATGGAATGTATCTAATAGTTGCAGTCACACTAGCTTTATGATTCATTTTCATAGACTGGTACAAGTAATTTTTTCATAAGGAATGCTGGAGATAGGTGCAATAAGCGGCCGGCCACTGGGAACTTGTCCCTCAGTAGCAGGGAAGTCCTTGTGTGGTCCCACGTCTGGAGGGTGGAGAAGGACTCATGGTCAGACCTCTCATTGTCTTAGGAGTTGAAAATTTCACTCTTAAAGATACGACCATAACCAACCCTCTCTGATCTGTTGGAGGCGATCATACCATTTTTCCCAGAGGCTAATGGAAGGGGAAGAGTCAGATTCTCTGTTGCGGTCAGATGGTGGCTGCCCATTTTTCATTATGTTACAGGGGTACCAATAGCATCTATTCAGTTTAAATGCTTACTGTGATACCTTTAGGAGAGTACCCTGAACATTTATAATTTCTGCTGAAACACACTTCAAAATCATATTGAAAGTGAACATTATTGTTTCTTCCCTAAAACTTTAAAACCAATGAAATCTGCTGCATTGCAGTATTCAAACAATTTCTGGAATGCAAAATCCAAACTATACTTTTAATACAAAATGTAAAAATAGAATTTGTAAACCTACTAATTGCCTTTAAAAGCACAGCCTGGGAGACTACTATGTTTCCTCTGAGGGACACGCCAGATGTCATATCAGATCAGGGGGATTTTTAGTATTGCTTAAAGAGCCTACAGTCAAACAATTGATGTGATCCCGCAAGCTAAATTTTATTGACTTTACTCAGGTCTGGCCTGCATGTTATATACACATGCATATATAATTAGATAGCATGTGTGAAATAATAGACCACAGGGTCTTAGCCATTTACGTACAATTTACTTTTTCTAACTGCCACCAGGATTCTAGCTAATAAGCTTGGCTCAGTTGATAATTATAGCAGAAGGTGAGTGCTATTAATTAAACAGTTACCATAGCATAATCATTAATAGTTGGTTAATTCTGTGGCTTTTTGTGTCAGACAAATCAGTGACCAAGATCCCCATTAAAAACTATGTTACCTTGTGTAAATTACTCAACCTTTCTGAGCTCTAATTTTTTTCACTTGTAAACAGAAAAATAATTGTTTTGCATAGGGTTGTTGTAAATTTTAAATAATATTACAAGGTAAATGTTTATTCATTATTTTTGTTCATTATAGTAGAATTTAGAGCCATGCAAATTCTGTTCCACTAAAATTGCAATAAGACACTCTTGCAGTGTATGCTATTCCTATTAAACTATAATGATATTCATCATAGAATTAGAAAAAAAATTTAAAAATTCATATGGAAACAAAAAGAGCCGGACTAGACAAAGCAATCTTAAGCAAAAAGAACAAAGCTGAAGACATCACCTGACTTCAAACTATTCTACTAGGCTACAGTAACCAAAAGAACCTGATACTGGCACAAAAACAGACAAATAGACCAATGGAACAGAATAGAGCTGAGAAATAAATCTGCATACCTACAACCATCTGATCTTCAACAAATTTGACAAAAACAAGCAATGGGAAAAGGACTCCCTGTTCAATGAATGGTAGTGGGATAACTGGCTAGCTATATGCAGAAAATTGAAACTGGATCCCTTTCTTATACCATAAACAAAAAATCAACTTAAGATGGATTAAAAACTTAAACGTAAAACCTAAAACTATAAACACCCTGGAAGATGACCTGGGAATAGCATTCTAGAAACAGGCCCTGACAAAGATTTCATGATGAAGATGCCCAAAGCAAATGCATCAAAAACAAAAATTGACAAATGGGGCCTATTTAAACTAAAGAGCTTCTGCACAGCAAAAGAAACTCTCAACAGAGTAAAAAGACAATCTATAGAATGGAGAAATATGTGACAACTATACATCCAAGAAAGGTCTAATATCCAGGATCTATCTGGAACTTAAACAAACGAAGAATCAAAAAACAAACAACCACATTAAAAGGTAGGCAAGAGACATGAACAGACATTTTTCAAAAGAAGGCATACAAGTGGCCAACAAGCATATGAAGAAATGCTCAACATCACAAATCATTAGAGAAATGTAAATCAAAGCCACAATGAGATACCATCTCATACCCATCTGAATGGCTATTATTAAAAAGTAAAAAATAACAGCTACTGGAAAGGTTGCAGAGAAAGAGAATGCTTATACACTACTTGTGGGAATGTAAATTAGTTCAGCCATTGAGGAAAGCAATTTGGCAATTTCTCAAAGAACTGAAAACAGAAATTCAACAGAGATCCTATTATTTAGTACATACTCAAAGGGATATAAATTGTTCTACCATAAAGATATATGCATTTGTATGTTTATTGCAGCAGTATTGACAATAGCCAAGACATGGCATCAACCTAAACGGCCATCAATAATAGACTTGGTAAAGAATATGTGGTACATATACATCATGGAATACTATGCAGCCATAAAAAGCATGAATCATGTTCTTTGTAGAAACATGGATGGAGCTGGAGGTCAGTATCTTAAGCAAACTAATGCAGGAACAGAAAAGCAAATGCCACATGTTCTGACTTATAAGTCAGAGCTAACCATTGCTTACACATGGACACAAAGAAGGGAACAACAGACACTAGTGCCTACTTGAGGGTGGAGGGCGGTTTATTACCTGGGTGATAAAATAATCTGTATACCAACCCCCTGTGACATGCAATTTACTTATATAAGAAACCTGCACATGTACCCCTGAACCTAAAATAAAAGTTAAAAAAATAAACTATTGCATTGTAGAAAGTTGTTTACAAGAGTAAAATAAGTCTGGATTTCTCCATTCTTAGGAATATCAAAAATTAGAATTTCTCAGAAGAAAAGGGAAATGTAAATCTGATAAATGAGGTTAAGTTCTGAATCTGATTTGAAAGGATCAGCAAGAATGTATAACCCTGTAACCCTAGTATATTTTAAGATTATGAGGAAAAACAAATTTCTTAACTCTATGTGCTGAAATTATTTAGTAGTACTTATCAACTAAGTAGAATAAGCAACCCTAGTGCACATACTATGGTTTCTAAATATCATTCTCCACTAAAATGAACCAGAGCTCATTGGAGGCCTGGCACAACAAATGTACAAGGTTAGCCTGGATTATTTTGTAACAGCCAGAATGCACAGGGGCTATCCTAGTGCATATGCTATTATTGTATTAAAAGGACTTAATGAGCCCTGGGGATGCTTCCACTGGCCAACAATGGGACAAAGTGACCATCAATGAATAAAATAAACCTAAAGGATAAAACACACCTGATGTATGAAACCCCATGAGACTATAAAGATAATAAAAAGAAGGTGAGGTGGAATTCATTAATATTTATTTCACTTATTATTTTAAAATAAGCAAGAAAGTGAAACTGTCAAGAATTTTTTCTGGCTTTTTATGTGTATTATTCACTGGAAAACAAAACGGTACATTAGGAGATTTTCTCTTTATAGAAATATTCTAGCTAAGAAAGGAAGAAAGAATGATAAAATTAAAATATCATCATTTCACAAAAGCCCTAATGAATGAACGGATCTAGGCATTTATCAACAACTGCGAGTATCACAAAAAGGGAAACAAACAGGCATGTATAGCTTCTGAAAAAGGGACACAGCACTGCCTATGAAATCTCTTTGCCAAAAATGAATAAATAAGTAAACATGAATATGACCAATCTTCTAGATTTAATTTACATGGAGTATTAAATACAGAGAATAGACAGTAAAGTTAAACACCAGCAAAGGGATGTAAAAAGAAAATTCCAGAATGTGGAAAACTATAACAGACAAAACAACTTGGTTTCTTTAACAGATAAATGACAGAGAAGGAGAAAGAGAGAGAGAAGAAGGGGGACATCTGTAGACTGAAGAGCTACCAACCACTCAAAACATACGCATTTTACTTTGAATCTGATTATAAAGAACAAATTGTGAAAGAGAATGACAGTGAATAACCAATGGATGAGGCCAAGAAATAAGTGTTAATATTATTAAATGTGACAACGGTATTGCGGTTGTTTTATCAAAAAAGAGTAATTAACTTTTGAAATACACATTGCCAAATTTATGGATAAAGTGATAGAAAATAAAAGCTTTTTTTATAGAATTGTGTTTGGCATTTGTGTTGTCATTTACTCTTTTCACTTACATTTATATTTAAAATAATAAAATCTATTACTAAGCTTTTAAAAAAATGTGACACTAACCTTTAGATCACATGGCTAGAATTGAAACAATGATTTGACGTTTCTGTCTTAAGCTTTTGCTCACGTATACTTGGAGCTCTCCAAGGACAAGGACTATAGCGCATCAGCTCTATATTCAAAGTGTCTAGAATATTGCTGTTTCATAGTAGGTGTTGAGGAAATATTTATTTAAGCTGGTGTTGAATTTAACTATATTTAATCATGTTAACTCAAACTTTAAAGATGTTCCCATATGAATGAAGCACACACTGACCTTTCCTATTCATTTGATCACAAGAAAGGAGGATGTATAAAAGTACTGATCATCATCATTTATCTCTCTCTCGCTACTCCTTCAATGAATAACATTTGTGTGATATACTCTCCTTTTGGGATAATCACAACATAGAAACATGGGACCCACTACCCACTCATCCACAAAAAATTTGCTTTACTTAGTTTGAATAGAGCCTGGCTTCATCAGATATGTGATTCTTAAGCTAAAAAGATACAATAAATTTCATTTTCCAGTATTTTTTTCTGATTTTAAGTAATATTTTGGAAAGAAGGTATATTAAACTATCATCATCATCAAGACTTCCTGAGCAGCTTGGGAGATGTAGCCATGCACCAAATTTATAAACAAGTTCCTAAATTGCTACAGACAAAGTTTGAACATCACAGAACATCCTACTTTTTGTTACATATTTGGAAAATAAACTGTGACTTTTTTATTCTAGATGATACAAAATTTAAAGGTTATTGGTTGGTGTCTTCTTTACAAGTCAGTCATTTACTTGCTTTTTAATTTGCAGAGTTCTCAGGTAGAAAATAAAGCAAAGCATACAAGATTTGCTGCAAGAAAATTTAATTCAACAGTGTGGCTAGATCATACTTCATTTCATGTTGTATATTTTTAAGGACAAGAGAAGGAAAAGGAAAGAAAATTTACCAAATCCTTTCTATGTGCCAGGCCCTTTGTACATTATCTTTTAATTCTCAGGGCAGCCAGGAATGGGGGATGGCAATTTATTCATTTCACAGTAGAGGAAATGGTGATGGGAGTGTGTATCAGTGAGGGTAAGACACTGATTAAACTTAGCTCAAAAGTGGTGAGGTAGGATTCACACTGATTTGCCTGACTCCAGTACGTAAATATGCTCCTTCCCATTGTAGTGAACTATATCCTCAGAATAACGAGTTTAGATTACTACTGAGTGGCAAGACGAAAGGATGTTTTAACAGAGTCCTTCATACCAAATTAGATATCTATGTGTGACATAGAACCCAGGAAGACTTTGGTTGCATTTCAAAGAAAACTTCCCCCAATAGATGATGAAGATGATTCTATGTTTATGTAACTTATAGCCATAATAGACCATGATACCATATATTCTGAAGTATTTTTAAAAATTACAAATGCAAACAGAAAATATACATAATGCTCTTCACGAATATGAGAAATTCGACATAAGGTCAATGGTGTCATGAATGAATGAGTTGGAAATATTATCTTAGAGAGACTATATCTATAGTTTTTTGAGACAGGATCTTACTGTGTCAGCCAGGCTGGAGTAAATTGACACAATCATTGCTCACTGCAGCCTCGACATCCTGGGCTCAGGTCATCTTCAAGGGGCTTGTATTTAAAAGCTTATGTTTTCTAACAAATCTGACCACCTATTCACTGTGTAGTCAGTATTATTTCTTGAACCCAATTCTCTAACTATATAATCACTTGTTCATTTAACTAACTTCTACTTTTTCTTGCTTGCAAATAATTCTGTATTGCATTTATTAACTTCCGCAGTACTCTCTTTATGGCAGATAAAACAGCTTGTGGTGTTATCCTCCTAAGGCAATGCTGATTGTTGCAGAGATGTGTTATATTAAGTTCTGTTTATGCTAGAGATAGCTCTATGGTTTATCTACAGGTTTTAGCTACACTTATTTTTGCTCTTTGTCCATTTCTCTGTGATACCACTAGGAAATGCAATGTGATTACATTGTAGTCTCCATTTTGGTGTCTGCACAAGGAAATACCATACCCTAGTTTTTTGTTTAATATATGCTTAACAGTAATATTGTTAGCTGCTGAATGTCTCAGCTTGAGCAAGAAAATATAGTTCATAGTGCAATAAAAGTAATATTCTTAATTTGAATTTGGGGTCTCTGGGGCTGTGTGCTCTTGTTATCAGCTCTGAATACAGCTTTAAAAGCCATGGTTTTAAATTATTTTTATTTTAAGCATTGCTTTCTTTGGTATAATCCAAATATTTGATCTTCCTGAATAGAACAATCCCACCATGGTTCAAATGAGATAATGCATGCTGTGAAGAGTCTCATAATGAATAATTTGTAATTTCAAGTGTCTATTATGTCTTCAGAAAATCTTCTATATCTCAATCCTCAGATTGACCTGTGGCTCAGGTAGAATTGTAAAAAATACCATTACAGGTTGTCAAAGGAAACAATCTCTTAGAACTGGAGCAAAACAAGCCAGTCCTGATGTTTGCTTACTTAATTTTGATTAACAGTTAATTACTTTTTCGTGTAAAAGGGGTTAACTACTTTACAGCACAGATTTGTGTGACATCAATTTAAAAATGTGATTTTCTATATACGTTGATATCTTTTTTTAAAAGCAGGTATCTTTCTTCACAAAGATGAGTACCATAATTAATTATCAAGGTCCGTGCGATAAGGGCTACATTTGAGGGACACAATCTTCTAAGGAGGCGTTTACAGTAATTTGGGCAGCTTGACTCACTTGGAAGATGAAGTTAGACATAGGTACCTATACATGCCCTGTTGGTGCTCCCAAGAAATATGGTATCAAAAGCATTCCCAGAATTCCTTGTACTACAATTTTTTACTTGTGTAGCAAAGCATGTCTCTTATTTTAAAGAGCTTGCACCAGAATTCCTTTTAGGGAGAGAACTATCTTTGATTAAGGACGTACATTGATCAGCCTTTGCAGTTGTGGAAACAATAGCACTGAAACCGTAATCTGAACGAAGATAGCACTAAAAGGGATAAAGTTCTCTGCCTAAGAAGCTAACAGAATTTTACACTGCACTCAGTTGTCACGTCTTCATCTTCCTCAGTCTGGAAAGTTTCTGAGTCTTCCCCCGTCTTTCATGACCTTAATACATTTGAAGAATTACCTGTTTATAAATGTCTTTCAACTTCAGTTTGTTCAGTTGTTCTTCAGGTTAAATTTCAGTTGTGTGTTTTTGGCAAGAATGAAAGAGCAGTGATATTATATCCTCAGTGCGTCCTATCAGGAGGTACATGATGACAGTATTTTTAGTGCTGTTAAATTTCTTTACTTGGTTAAGGTGATGTCTATGGGATTTCTCTTCTGTAAGGTAACTATTTTTCCATTTGCAATTAATAAGTATTTTGGGGGGAAAGAATTTGAGGTTACACAGATATCCAGTTTTACATCGTATGTTTCCCATTAATTTTAGCATCATTTGTGATTCTTGGCTACAATTTTGACTGCATTGTTTGTCTTAGATATACTGTACGTTGAAGTGATGTCATGAATGTGTTTCTGCTAAATTGAATGAAAGTGTGAGTAATTGAGGACTGAAAATTATCCAAAATGTATGTTCTGAAAAAGTAGAAGGCTTGAATTATCACTGTGTGATATGAAAAAATTAGGCTATAGCAGATTTGAGGGAGCAGTTTATGAATAGAATCTTGGGTATGCTTCACTTTGAGATAATTCTTAGGTATGTAAGTAGATATATCAACTAGACATTAAATAAATGAGCCCGGAGTTCAAGAAGAGTAATGAGATAGAGGTATAAATTTGGGAGCATTTAAAACAACAGGATTGTATATAAGGCATTGGGATTGTATAAGATCCCAAGGGAGTGTATATAGAGAAAGAAGAAATCTAAAGACTGAGCCCTGAAGTAACTCTGAGGTTAAGGGATCAAAAATTTTGCAAAATCGGAAAGTCAGAATAAGAAATGTTCACAAGAATTTAAGACCCTAGGAAAAGAAAGCTTCACAAGAGCATTGGAATTCAAGAAAAAGAGCATGGAAGCTTTGAGCCAAGTCTGACCTGAGGACCTTATTTAATTGCTTGGCCCTATGAGAATAATATGTGAATTCATTGCTAGAGTTTCTTTCCAACTCAACCATTTCAATTCAACATCAGTGGGATGAATACAAATTGTTTATGTTAGTAAATCCTGCCTGAAAGGAAGGGTTATATGAATGTGTCAAAGTCAGCAGTAGTCAACTCCCCAAACACCAGAAAAATGCCAATTTCCTAGGATTTAGATCATATTTTCTTTTTCATCAGAAGAGCCAAAGAAGTAGTTTACTCAAGAAACAGGGAAAATAACTTGCTGTTGATCTGGGGTGAGAATAGGTAGTTCTCATTGATTTGACATTATTTTAAATTCTCAGATTTAAATAGCAGGGAGAGAAGATCGAGGCATGTTATTTCATATAATATAAGAGCTTTGCTAGGTCTCAAATGCTTCAGAAATGATGAGGTGCTGTTCATTATAGTAAAATTTGCTGTCATTATTTCAGCATTAATTCAAAGGCTTTCAATTTATGATTCTTAGGAGGAAAAGGAATAACTGTGATTCATTTAACTTGGGTGAGTTAATCAATAATCAAACTATTATTCAAAGCTGGCAATTACTTCCTTTTAAACTAAATTTTGTTTTATTGTTTTAATTTATCTACAAGACCTTGTTGTACTTCAGTTTAAGGAAGTATATGGAATAAAATATTTTGGGATAAGTCAAGTTTCTGTACTAAATATACAGTATAAAAAACACCTTTAGTGTTTGGGGATCAATATTTCACTTTTAGGCAAAGGGATAAGTTAAACTATCCTGGGGAGATCATAACTGAATCAAAAAGACAGATCAAATCATTGCTTTTTGTTCACCACACACCTGAACCTTAAATTGCTTAAATTTTCCCCTAATTGCCCAAAGGAAACCCAGGGACATTACCAATATTAGTTTACAATATTATGAAACTGAAAATAATTTTTTACTTTTATATATTTCCTTAGTGTATATATCTATTTGATTCTACATTTTCAAATATACTATCTGTGTGAACTTTAGCATGAAATTGTTTCCTACTAACGTAGTTTGACTTATATATACATACATGCTTTCTCTGATTATTGAAACTTATTAGAATAGCATGTCAAACACATTGGTGGGAAGATGGAAATTTCACTTAAAATATGCGTGTAATCTTATTTTATCCAAATCTACTCTTTGCAGATTACTGGACTGATTCCATTGGATGTAGGTAAATGGGATGGAGTTGGGGTCTGCAGAGTTAATTAAGATAGAGCATCCTTCTAAAGATAGTTCAAACTGCAACAAGTCAGGAGAGGGAACTACAAAGCCAATGTTTTTAGAAGAAAATTAAGGTCAAATACACAGTATTAAAACAATATTCTAGTGTTTGGCACCTACTTTGTGGTTAACATTTGCTGGTGAATAAGTAAATTAATAAGTAAATACAATAACATTGAATCCAAGGAATAGTAAATGAAGCCACAGTGGAAGCTGAGGTTGTAAGCTAGTCATACAATCAAATCAGAAAGGATATTAGAGACTGCCATGAAAACCATGGGAATATCAATGATTTATTTCATTGACCTGTATGTACTGTGTCAGACATGCTTAAAGAGAGAAAGCAAAGGTAATTAAATTATACTACCTGTTTACTATGCTTTGCTTTTTCTACCCTTTTGGGATATTAAGTCATTTTGATACAGAGCGATTTGAAAATACACATTTGAAAGAGATTTTGAGAGACGTGATATAATTATGACATTACCGGATATATCCATCCTCTAAGTAGTTCAGCACTGAAAAGTAAAAAATAAACCTCTTTGGAGTTCAGGTACTGCTATGAATTTAAAAATATACTCCTTTAAAGGATTACAACTTTTGCGTGTATTTTTAAAGTAATTTGCATGTATATTTAAAGCCTGAAATAAAATGATTTCAGGCTTATAGAAAAGTTGGAAAATTGATACAAATAACTCCCATATATGTTTCATCTAGATTATGCAAATATTTTATGGTAATTTCTTTATCCTTCACTTCAAAGTGTTCTAATATGTTTATTCCAAATACAGTATGATTCTCAAATTCAAGAATTAACAATGACAGAATGCTATTATCACAGATTTCCTTTAGACTTTACCAATTGTCCCACGAGTGTCCTAAATAAAAATTTCTTTTATTTTTTGTTGTGCAGAATCAAATCCAGATCACATTCAGTATTTAGTTGTCATGTGTCTGTAGTCACCTTTAACAGAATAGTTCAACATTTTTATAAACTTGACATTTTTAAATGTATGAAGTCGTTATTTGGTAGAATGTCCCTCAATTGGGTTGTCAAACTTTTCCTAATGATTAGATGTGGGTAATAATTTTTTTGACAGGAACACCATAGAAGAAATGTTGTATCCTTCCTGTTGCATCATATCAGGAGAGACAAGAATCCCCCTGTCCATTACAAAATGCAAAATGACGGGGTTGGTCCTCTACCTTGCTTTCTTCAGTGTAGTTATTCTTTTAAATACAGGGTCATTTTTTTCTGTTTGTATTCTGTTATGGGTGCCTCCCCACTTCTTCCTCTTGTTTCCAGTATATAATGTATTAGAGGCCAGGCGCTGTGGCTCATGCCTGTAATCCCAGCACTTTGGTAGTCCAAGGTGGACAGATCACTTGAGGTCAGATGTTCGAGACCAGCCTGGTCAAGATAGTGAAACCCCATCTCTACTAAAAATACAAAAAAAAAAAGTTAGCTGGGCATGGTGGTGGGTGCCTGTAATCCCAGCCCAGGAGGCAAAGGTTGTATATTTTTTCTCATATATATATATAATATATATATAAATATATACTATATATAATATTATATAATATATACTATATATATTATATATAATATATACTATATATACTATATATAATATATACTATATATATTATATATAATATGTACTATGTATATTATATATATAATATGTACTATGTATATTATATATAAATATGTACTATGTATATTATATATATTATATACTATGTATATTATATATATAATATATACTATGTATATTATATATATAATATATACTATGTATATTATATATATAATATATACTATGTATATTATATATAATATATACTATGTATATTATATATATAATATATACTATGTATATTATATATAATATATACTATGTATATTATATATATAATATATACTATGTATATTATATATATAATATATACTATGTATATTATATATATAATATATACTATGTATATTATATATATAATATATACTATGTATATTATATATATAATATATACTATGTATATTATATATATATGTATTAGAAAAGTGGCTGGGTATCATGGCTTATGCCTATAATCCCAGCACTTTAGGAGGCTGAGGCGAGAGGATTGTTTGAGAGCAGGAGTCTGAGATCAGCCTGGGCAACATAGCAAGAACCTGTCTCCACAAAAAAATTAAGATTAAAAAAAAATTAGCCAGGCATGGTGGCATGTGCCCATAATCCCAGGTATTTGAGAGGCTGAGGCAGAGGATCACTTGATCCCAGAACTTCACTGCTTCAGTGAGCTATGACTGCATCACTGCACTCCTGCCAGAGCAACAGAGCAGCAGCCTATCTCTGAAAAAAAATTACACACACACACACACACACACACAGACACACACACTTTTTAAAACTATGCACAAGTCCAGAACTACACAAAAACCTACAAGTTAAGAAACAAATGTGAAGATTCTGCCAATGAGTCATAGGCCAGGACTTTATTATCTGACCTGGTACTCCGGGATTCTTACTGTAACTGTAATAGCATCAGCATGAACCTCGTATTCAACAACGCTCAAGAGATCTGGTATTCCCCTTTCTTCAGTGTATGGTAAGTTGAGTAAAAGGTCATAGGTTGTCTGTGGGGAAGTCATTCCTATAAACTCTTGCCCTGGTTTTGTAGAGTCTTTCTTAATTAAGATGCAGCCCTTTCATCAGCTGTTTGGGTCTGGGTATGAGGACTAATCATATCTAGGAAATATGAGGGGCTTGTGACTTTGTAGTGGGCAGCTGACCTCAGCTTTCTGCCCAACTATTCTTGATTTCCTTTGATTCTAATAAACAATGTGCTTTTTTGTTGTTTATCTATCCTGCTCCTAAAATGACATATTCTATTAATCATCTCCATAGATAGCTATGGATTAGGCCTTACAGCTGCTATTCTTATCTTGCCAATTGTAGTTGTGCCTACCCCTACCCATTGAAATAGCCCACCTTGCTTTTGTTGGTTAAGTGCTGCCACCTGGCCTTTTTTTCTCAGTTCCTGTCATACCCATTGTTATTAGAGAGTCCAGTTTGTAACAGCATCTCTTTCAGATAGCATTGCACACAAGGACCAGCTTCTCTGGGTCTCTTAATGACACTGTGATGCTGGCTTCCTTTTCCTTGATACATTCTTTATCACTTTTGTAAATCGTATAAAATGTACTCTGGACCCTCTTGAGAAATATCACTAGATGATGTTTTGTGGTTTTGCTTTGGGTTATTTATTTATTTATTTTTGGTCTACCATATAAGTAGATTTATTTCAATAGGTCCATTTTCTGGGCCTTTGATCTTTACCTTCATGATTTACTATGGCAATTATGGCACCTGTGCTTCTATTTTTTATCCAGGCTCCCAAGAGCCATTCCGGAAGCATATGAGAATCTTCATCTGGGTGTTAAATCCTGAATCACAATAGTGCTTCCATATTAACAAACTCTTTATTCAGTTATATATTTTTATATATACATAAAATGGAATAATATATATTATATATATAATTCGATATATATAATTATATATATAATATATATACATATATAGACTGTTTTGATCCAACATTGTTAGTATCTACTATTCAATATAATTTCTTAGTTCCTCACAGTGTATTAGCCAGGCTCTGAAGTTTGTATGGTTACATTCATTGTTATTCCTTAGCAGATGACAGTAATGCTGAGATTTGACCCTAGTTATGATTGTGGCAGCCAGGAGGGGAGCTCGGGGTACCCTGAGGAGGGAAAGCATTATGGTATAAGGCACCTGTCTCATTTGAGGCTTCTGCACAGTCTTTTAGCAAGAATGGGGCTTTATACTCCAAGGGAGTAGGCCACTTCTGCAAACACAGAAATATTAGGGTAATCAGCGGATTCAGGTTTAAGTGCATCTACGCATACATCTCCATTCAAACATCAACGTCCCATCCCTTCCTTATCATGGCCCTAACTTTGGCGTAGGAGACTTACCTAGGCTGAGAAGTCAGCCTTCTCTAAGGTTCTGCCACTCTTAAATGATCTCTTGTACCTTCACTGTGCCTTCAGTCTTCAGTTCTGTCTGTCCTCCAACTGCAGAAGACGGGGTGTCTGTATAAGGAAGTCACAGATGCCTTTCCCCTCACACTGTTTTACATGGCTGATTACTAAATCTGAGCTTGTCATCTGCACTTTACATGAATCAATAGTACTTAGTAATAGACACACAGTGCCATAGTTTCTATACTCTTTTCTTTATTCCTCTTAAATGTAAGAGACACTCTCCAGATAGTAAATTCCCTTCCACTTTTATCCAGTTCCTTTTCAATAGAGAAGTCTTAAAAATCACACTGCTATAACATGCAATGGCCCATCGATACTTTACGTACAACCAGTGATGGAGTTCTCATTACAAGAGATTCAACTCATCTTTTGAGCCTGCTCCCTAAAATCAGTCCTGGTATCCACTGTACTAGGTCAAATTCTTAGAAGCAGAGCCTGAAACAGGAATTATTTGCAGTTGATTTATTGAGAAAGTGCTATTAGGAGAAGGTGAGTGAGAAAAGCAGGATAGAACAAAGGAGGAAAAAGGTAAGCAACTGTGTGACTCCAACTGTACCGAATCTTTAGTCTGATCCCTTGGGGAGCTCTGCAGTATTAATTGCCCCACAGAGTTGATTCCACTTTGAGGAAGAAGGGTAGGGGAGTTGTGTATCCCAGTGTAAGCCAGTAATTGTCTTACCCCTGTGAACATCGGCATAACTTACCTGGCAAGGTAATTCCCATTTGGCCGAGGACAATTCTGTAGATAAGGGGCAACTGTTAGCAACCAGTAATTAAAGCAACTTGGAGACAAATGCACTATTTCAGTAAAGGGATCTAGGAGCTACATCTATGAGCACCACTACTTAGAGAAATACATCCAACACATGATAAGCAAGAGAAAGCGGATTGGGGAAAAATTGGCTTAATAGTACTCCCACCACCCCATCTTCAGCAGGAGGCTCTCATTAGCTAATTACAGCTGCAAAGCTGCACACAGATGAAGAGGGATCATATTGATGCATTCCATAGACGTCAGCATCACAGGGCAACAGAGCAGACAGGTAAAGGTGATGAAGAACGATTCTAGATGGGTAAATGAAAAACATCTATTATCCAAAATAACATTGCAACCAATAATCCTTTGGATATATGTTTTATCTTTGGAATCAAATACGTTAAAAAAAACCCTCCAAAATCTAAGTACCACTTTTCAGCCTTCAAATTGCCAACAGTATTAGCAAAAGGAGAATTAAGCCTTCCTATGTATTGTTATTGGGACAGTAAATTAAAAAGATTTCTTTTTTCTGGAAGAAAATAGGACAATACATTCAAAATGGTTAAAAATTGCATAAACAGATTAACTCAGAAATTATAGCAGAAATTTAGCCTATGAAAATATTACAGAATTTTAAAAATATTTGTAGAAATTTAACCTAAGAAAAATATCATAAATGTTGACAAAGATTGAACTTTAAGAGGGATTATCATATTATTATTATTTATAATAGGAAAATAATTCACAGTGTATGTTTAAGGGAACAAAGAAGGTTTCAAACAGTCTTCAAGGAATTGTAGAATTTTATTAATTTTTGAATAATTATTTTCTTAAAAAGCTAATATTTAGCTTACCTTTACAAATGAGGAAGATAAATTGGGTTTCAGAGTCTAAACTTCAAAATTCAGATTTTAGAAAATAAAAGATAAATGACACCAACATAAAATAAATTGAGGGCTGGGCATGATGGGCTCACACCTTTAATCCTAGCACTTTGGGAGGCTGAAGTTGGCTGATCACTTGAGCTCAGGGGTTTGAGACCAGCCTGGGCAAAATGGTGAAACTCCATCTCTACTATTAATAATATCAGAAAATACAAAAATTAGCCAGGCATGGTGGTGCACATCTGTAGTCCAGCTACTTCGGAGGCTGAGGCAGGAGAATTGCTTGAACCTTGGAGGCGGAGGTTGCAGTGAGCCAAGATCATGCCACTACACTCCAGCCTGGGTGACAGAGTGACAGTCTGTCTCAAAAATAAATAAATAGATGAATAAATAATAAAAATAAATACATAGAAACACGATTTTTGAGGCCATCCATGCTCAAATTTGAATTTTTAATCAATTATCTCTCACAACATGCAACTTAAAAAGAAGCCCCCATCTGTAGGAGGCTTCATATATAGCAGTATACTCATCAAGATATGTGCCAAAAGTACATTCTAATTGCAGAAATGTGCAAAATGCCTTTATCTCTTTCAAACTTTTAAGATATCATGGATCAATAATATTTATATTTTCCCAGTACCATTTATCCAGCTTTGCTCAGAAAGCAGTTACACATCTCTTCTGAGTGCCCTGACCTTCTTGGTCTTGTTGTTTGTCTAGTGGAGCCTGCTTGAGAATAATCATATGGCCTTTATTTATCTAGTTTTTTTTTTTAATGTTTTTAGAGATGGGGCCTCACTCTTGCACAGGCTGGAGTGCAGTGGCACAGTTATAGCTCACTCCAGCCTCGTTCTCCTGAGCTCAAGTGATTCTCCCACCTCAGCTTCCTGAGGTATGTGCCACCACACCCAGCTTCATATGGCCTTTAATCAGAAGTTTTTAACTAGTGATATCCCAAAACCACGGTATAAAGGACTTCAGATCCACTCAGTCTCTACTTCTCCAATTCCACATATATTTCATAAATGTCCGTTATTTTCAAGGCACTGTCAAAATATTATGAAAACATGGAAATGACAAAAGAGATTATTGGGTGTTCTCTCAAAGCAGTTCTGTGTTTGCCCTCTTGATTGACTTTTTATTGACTGGGTTCTTTAACAGCTTGGAAGGGGCAGAAATTCACTTGTAGATTTACTTCTGATAGAGATGCAAATCACTTCTTTCCAGAAGAATAGATAACCACAAAGGTTATGTTTTATTAACCTATTGGATGTTAACTAGTGTTGTATCTCATTCAGAAATCTTATTCTAGCATTGCTTTATTAAATTTTCTGTAAATAGCTAACCACCTTAAATTCTCATGTGAGCCAGTTTTAACATTGCTTCATTAATTCACAAGTTAAATAATATCACTAACATATGTTCATTTGATATTTTTATGAGAAGTATGTTATTACATTTTAGAAAATTATATATTAGGAGCACTCTCTTAGGTGCCACACATAAAATGAGAACAAGTTAGAGGGTGTGAGTGAAAATGAAGAGCAACCATCATTATGCTTAAGATGATGATAGAAGTGCTCACCAAGGCCTACTGCCTCTAGATTCCACTTCTGTGTTTCCACCTAAGGGGAAGAAAGAGATAAACTGAAATGGTAATTGTTATAGATTTAAAGCAAATGTTCCAGGTTGGGAAAAAAAGTAGTGTATGTCTCTCACTAAAAAATTTAGGGGGTGCATTCCAAGGTGGCTGAATAGAAACAGCTCCAGTCTGCAGCTCCCAGCGTGATCAACACAGAAGACTGGTGATTTCTGCCTTTCCAACTAAGGTACCTGGTTCACCTCATTAGGACTGGTCAGACAGTGGGTGCAGCCCACGGAGGGCAAGCCAAAGCAGGGCGGGGTGTCACCTCAACTGGGAAGCACAAGCGGTCAAGGGATTTCCCTTTCCTAGCCAAGGGAAGCCATGACAGACTACCTGGAAAAATGGGACACTCCCACCCAAATACAGTGCTTTTCCCAAAGTCTTAGCAACTGGCAGACAAGGTGATTCTCTCCCGTGCCTAGCTCAGTGGCTCCCATGTCCACAGAGCCTTGCTCACCACCTGCACAGCAGTCTGAGATCGATCTGTGAGACAGCAGGCTGGCTGGGGGAGGGCCTTCACCATTGCTGAGGCTTGAGTTGGTAAACAAAGCCTCTGAGAAGCTTGAACGGGGCAGAGCCCACCACAGCACAACAAGGCCTACTGCCTTTAGATTCCACCTCTGTGGGCAGGGCATAGCTGAACAAAAGGCAGCAGACAACTTTTGTAGTCTGAAGGGATGTAGACATCCCTGTCTGACAGCTCTGAAGAGAGCAGTGGTTCTCCCAGCATGGCGTCTGAACTCTCAGAACGGAGAGACTGCCTCCTCAAGTGGGCCCCTGATCCCCATGCAGCCTAACTGTGAGACACCTCCCAGTAGGTGCTGACTGATACCTCATATAGGCGACTGACCCTCTGGGGCAAAGCTTCCAGAGGAAGGATCAGGCAGCAATATTTGCTGTTCTGCAGCCTCCGCTGGTGATAGCCAGGCAATGAGGATCTGGAGTGGAACTCCGGCAAACTCCAACAGATCTGAAGCTGAGGGACCTGTTAAAAGGAAAAACTAACAAACAGAAAAGAATAGCATCAACATCAACAAAAAGGTCATCTACACCAAAACCCCATCTGTAGGTCACCAATATCAAAGACCAAAGGTAGATAAAACCACAAAGATGGGAAGAAACCAGAACAGAAAATCTGAAAATTCTAAAAATCAGAACACCTCTTCTCTTCCAAAGGATCGCAGATCCTGACCAGCAATGGAACAAAGCTGGATGGAGAATGACTTTGACAAGTTGACAGAAGTAGGCATCAGAAGGTCGGTAATAACAAACTTCTCTGAACTAAAGGAGGATGTTCGAACCCATCACAAGGAAGCTAGAAACCTTGAAAAAAGATTAGACAAAGGGCTAACTAGAATAAACAGTGTGGAGAAGACTTTAAATGACCTGATAGAGCTGAAAACCCTCACACAAGAACTTAATGACACATGCACAAGCTTCAATAGCCAATTCGATCAAGTGGAAGAAAGGGTATCTGTGATTGAAGATCAAATTAATGAAATAAAGCAAGAAACCAAGGACAGAGAAAAAAGAGTGAAAAAAAAATGAACAAACCTCCAAGAAATATGGGACTATGGCCGGGCACAGTGGCTCACGCCTGTAATCCCAGCACTTTGGGAGGCCAAGATTGGTGGATCACAAGGTCAGGAGATCGAGACCATCCTGGCTAACACGGTGAAACCCCGTCTCTACTAAAAATATAAAAAATTAGCTGGGCGCAGTGGCAGGTGCCTGTAGTCTCAGCTACTCAAGAGGCGGAGGCAGGAGAATGGCATGAACCCAGGAAGTGGAGCTTGCAGTGAGCCGAGATAGCGTCACTGCACTCCAGCCTGGGTGAAAGAGCGAGACTCCATCTCAAAAAAAAAAAAAAAAGAAATATGGGACTATGTGAAAAGACCAAATCTACGTTTGATTGGTGCACCTGAAAGTGATGGGGAGAATGGAACCAAGTTGGAAAACACTCTTCAGGATATTATCCAGGAGAACTTCCCCAATATAGCAAGGCAGGCCAACATCCAAATTCAGGAAATACAGAGAACACCACAAAGATACTCCCCGAGAAGAGCAAACCCAAGACATATAATTGTCAGATTCACCAAGGTTGAAATGAAGGAAAAAGTGTAAAGGGAAGCCAGAGAGAAAGGTCGAGTTACCCACAGAGGGAAGCACATCAGACTAGCAGTGGATCTCTCAGTAGAAACCCTACAAGCCAGAAGAGAGTGGGGGCCAATATTCAACATTCTTAAAGAAAAGAATTTTTAACCCAGAATTTCACATCCAGCCAAACTAAGCTTCATGAGTGAAGGAGAAATAAAATCCTTTACAAACAAGCAAATGCTGAGAGATTTTGTCACCACCAGACCTCCCTTACAAGAGCTCCTGAAGGAAGCACTAAACATGAAAAGGAACAAGCGGTACCAGTCCCTGCAAAAACAGGCCAAATTGTAAGGACCATCGATGCTATGAAGAAACTGCATCAATTAATGGGCAAAATAACCAGCTAACATCATAATGACAGGATCAAATTCACACATAACAATATTAACCTTAAATGTAAATGGGCTAAATGCCTCAATTAAAAAACACAGACTGGCAAATTGGATAAAAGGTCAAGACCCGTCAGTGTGCTGTATTCAGGAGGCCAATCTCACATTCAAAGACGCACATAGGCTCAAAATAAAGGGATGGAGGAATATCTACCAAGCAAATGGAAAGCAAAAAAAGCAGGGGTTGCAATTCTAGTTTCTGATAAAACAGACTTTAAACCAACAAAGATTAAAAGAGACAAAGAAGGCCATTACATAATCGTAAAGGGATCAATTCAACAAGAAGAGCTAACTATCCTAAATATACATGCACCCAATACAGGAGCACCCAGATTCATAAAGCAAGTCCTTAGAGACCTACAAAGAGACTTAGACTACCACACAATAATAATAGGAGATTTTAACACCCCACTGTCAATATTAGACAGATTAATGAAACAGAAGGTTAACAAGGATATCCAGGACCCGAACTCAGCTCTGCAAAAAGCAGACCTAACAGACATCTACAGAACTCTCCACCCCAAATCAACAGAATATACATTATTCTCAGCATCACATCACACTTGTTCTAAAAAGGACGCATAATTGGAAGTAAAGCACTCCTCAGCAAATGTAAAAGAACAGAAATCACAACAACTCTGTTGCACTCAGACCACAGTGCAATCAAAGTAGAACTCAGGATTAAGAAACTCACTCAAAAACACACAACTACATGGAAACTGAACAACTTGCTCCTGAATGACTACTGGGTACATAACAAAATGAAAGTACAAATAAAGATATTCTTTGAAACAAATGAGAACAAAAACACGACATACCAGAATCTCTGGGACACATTTAATGCAGTGTGTAGAGGGAAATTTATAGCACTAAATGCCCACAAGAGAAAGCAAGGAAGACCTAAAATCAACACCCTAACATCACAATTAAAAGAACTAGAGAAGCAAGAGCAAACAAATTCAAAAGCTAGCAGAAGGCAAGAAATAACTAAGATCAGAGCAGAACTGAAAGAGTTAGACACACAAAAAACCCTTCAAAAAATCAATGAATCTATGAGCTGGCTTTTTTTAAAAGATCAACAAAATTGATAGACCACTAGCAAGACTAATAAAGAAGAAAAGAGAGAAGAATAGATGCAATAAAAAATGATACAGGGGATATCACCACTGATCCAACAGAAATATGAAGTACCATCAGAAAATACTATAAACACCTCTATGCAAATAAACCAGAAAATCTAGAAGAAATGGATAAATTCCTGGACACATATACCCTCCCAAGACTAACCCATGAAGAAGTTGAATCTCTGAATAGACCAGTAACAGACTCTGAATAGGCAACAACTAAAAAAGTCCAGGACCAGACAGATTCACAACTAAATTCTACCAGAGGTACAAAGAGGAGCTGGTACCATTCCCTCTGATACTATTCCAATAAATAGAAAAGGAATTCTCCCTAACTCATTTTATGAGGCCAACATCATCCTGATACCAAAGCCTGGCAGAGATACAACAAAAAAAGAGAATTTTAGGCCAATATCCCTGATGAACATCGATGTGAAAATCCTCAGTAAAACACTGGCAAATTGAATCTAGCAGCACATCAAAAAGCTTATCCACCATGATCAAGTCTGCTTCATCCCTAGGATGCAAGGCTGGTTCAACATATGCAAGTCAATAAACGTAATCCATCACATAAACAGAACCAAAGACAAAAACCACATGATTATCTCAATAGATGCAGAAAAGGCCTTTGACAAAATTCAACAGCCTTTCATGCTAAAAACTCTCAATAAACTAGGTATTGATGGAACGTATCTCAAAATAATAAGAGCTATTTATGAAAAACCCACAGCCAATATCATACTGAATGGTCAAAAAGTGGAAGCATTCCCCTTGAAAACTGGCACAAGACAGGGATGCCCTCTCTCACCATAGTGTTGGAAGTTCTGGCCCAGGCAATCAGGCAAGAGAAAGAAATAAAGGGTATTCAATTAGGAAAAGAGGAAGTCAAATTGTCGCTGTTTGCAGATGACATGATTATATATTTAGAAAACCCCATTGTCTCAGCCCAAAATCTCCTTAAGCTGATAAGCAACTTCAGCAAAGTCTCAGGATACAAAATCAATGTGCAAAAATCACAATCATTCCTGTACACCAATAATAGACAAACAAAGAGCCAAATCATGAGTGAACTTCCATTCACAATTGCTACAAAGAGAATAAAATACCTAGGAATCCAACTTACAAGGGATGTGAAGGATGTCTTCAAGGAGAACTACAAACCACTGACAAGGAAATAAAAGAGGACACAAACAAATGAAAGAATATTCCATGCTCATGGATAGGAAGAATCAATATCATGAAAATGGCCATACTGCCCAAAGTAATTTATAGATTCAATGCTATCCCTATCAAGCTACGATTGACTTTCTTCACATAATTGCAAAAAACTAAAATTCATATGGAACCATAAAAGAGCCTGTGTAGCCAAGACAATCCTAAGCAAAAAGAAGAAAGCTGGAGGCATCACTCTACCTGACTTCAAACTATACTACAAGGCTACAGTAACCAAAACAGTATGGTACTGGTACCAAAACAGATATATAGACCAATGGAACAGAACAGAGGCCTCAGAAATAACACCACACATCTACAACCATCTGATCTTTGACAAACCTGATAAAAACAAGCAATTAGGAAAGGATTCTCTATTTAATTAATGGTGTTGGGAAAACTGGCTAGCCATAGGTAGAAAGCTGAAACTGGATCCCTTCCTTACACTGTATACAAAAATTAACTCAAGATGGATTAAAGACAAATGTAAGACCTAACGCCATTAAAAACCCTAGAAGAAAACCTAGGCAATACCATTCAGGACACAGGCGTGGGCAAAGACTTCATGACTAAAACACCAAAAGCAATGGCAACAAAAGCCAGAATAGACAAATGGGATCTAATTAAATGAAAGTGCTTCTGCACAGCAAAAGAAACTACCATCAGAGTGAACAGGCAACCTACAGAATGGGAGAAAATTTTTGCAATCTACTCATCTGACAAAGGGCTAATATGCAGAATCTACAAAGAACTTAAACAAATTTACAAGAAAAAAACAAATGACCCCAACAAAAAGTGGGCAAAGTATATAAACAGACAGTTCTCAAAAGAAGACATTTATGCAGCCAACAGACACATGAAAAAATGTTCATCATCACTGGTCATCAGAGAAATGCAAATCAAAACCACAATGAGATACCTTCTCACACCAGTTAGAATGGTAATCATTAAAAAGTCAGTAAACAACAGATGCTGGAGAGGGTGTGTATTGGGGGAACCATCCGCCAATATTTCAACATAGGTTCTTCCTATTTTCCCTAAGTGATGGCCAGTCTGAGAAATAAAGAGAAAGAGTACAAAGAGAGGAATTTTACAGCTGGGCCTCCGGGGGTGACATCACATATCGGTAGGACCATGATGCCCTGAGCCGCAAAACCAGCAGGTTTTTATTAAGGACTTTAAAAGGTGAGGGGGTGTATGAACAGGGAGTAGGTCCCAAAGATCACATGTTTTAAAAGGCAATAAAGATCACAAGGCAAAGCTCAAAGCAAAGATCACAAGGCAAATTACAAAATTAGAATTACTGATGAGGGTCTATGTTTGGCTGTGCATGTATTGTCTTGATAAACATCTTAAACAACAGAAAACAGGGTTCAAGAGCAGAGAACCAGTGTGACCAAAATTTACCTGGCTGGAATTTCCCAATCCGAGTAAGTCTGAGGGTACTGCAGGAGAACAGGGAGTATTTCAGTCCTTATCTCAACTGCATAAGACAGACACTCCCAGAGTGGCCATTTATAGACCTCCCCCCAGGAATGCACTTCTTTTCCTAGGGTCTTAATATTTAATATTCCTTGGTAGGAGAAGAATTTAGTGATATCTCTCCTACTTGTATGTCCCTTTATAGGCTCTCTGCAAGAAGAAAAATATGGACCTTTTTGCCTGACCCCACAGGCAGTCAGACCTTATGGTTATCTTCCCTTGTTCCCTAAAATCACTGTTATTCTGTTCTTTTTCAAGGTGCACTGATTTCATATTGTTCAAACACACATGTTTTACAATCAATTTGTACAACAGTGGTCTGAAGGTGACATACATCCTCACCTTAGGAAGATAACAGGATTAAGAGATTAAAGTAAGACAGGCATAAGAAATTGTAAGAGTATTATTAGGGAAGTGATAAATGTCCATATTAAAATGAAATCTTCACAATTTATGTTCAGAGATTGCAGTAAAGACAGGCATAAGAAAATATAAAAGTATTAATTTTGGGAACTGATAAATGTCCATGAAATCTTCACAATTTATGTTTCTCTGCCACAGCTCCAGCTGGTCCCTCCGTTCGGGGTCCCTGACTTCCTGCAACAGATGTGGAGAAATAGGAATGCTTTAACACTGTTGGTGGGAGTGTAAATTAGTTCAGCCATTGTGCAAGACAGTGTGGCGATTCCTCAAGAATCTAGAACTAGAATTACCATTTGACCTAGCAATCCCATTACTGGGTATATACCCAAAGGATTATAAATCATGCTACTATAAAGACACATGCATCTGTATGTTTTTTGCAGCACTATTTACAATAGTAAAGACTTGGAACCAACCCAAATGTCCATCAATGATAGACTGGATTAAGAAAATGTGGCACATATACACCATGGAATGCTATGCCAAAAAAAAAAAAAAAAAAAAACAGGATGAGTTCATGTCCTTTGCAGGGACATGGATGAAGCTGGAAACCATCATTCTCAGAAAACTATCACAAGGACAAAAAACCAAACACCACATGTTCTCACTCATAGGTGGGAATTGAACAATGAGATCACTTGGACACAGGGCGGGGAACATCACACACCAGGGCCTGTCGGGGGGTGGGGGCCTGGGGGAGGGATAGCATTAGGAGAAATACTAATGTAAATGATGAGTTGATGGGTGCAGCAAACCAACATGGCACATGTATACCTATGTATCAAAACTGCATGTTGTGCACTTGTACCCTAGAACTTAAAGTATAATTAAAAAAAAAAATTAAATGGGGCTGGGTGCAGTGGCTCATGCCTGTAATCCCAGCACTTTGGGAGGCAGAGGAGAGTGGATCACCTGAGGTCAGGAGTTCGAGACTAGCCAGGCCAACATGGTGAAATCCCATCTCTACTAAAACTTCAGAAAATTAGTGGGGCATGGTTGCAGGTGCCTGTAGTGCCAGCTACTGGGGAGGCTGAGGCAGGAGAATGGCATGAACCCAGGAGGCGGAGCTTGCAGTGAGCTGAGCTTGCACCACTGCACTCCAGCCTGGGTGACAGAGCCAGACTCCATCGTCTAAAAAAAAAAAAAAAAAGAAGAAGAAGAAAAGAAAGATATTTTTATCGTATACATCGTTGCAATATTTCATAGCTATTACTGAACTTTTACAAATCTTATTTTACATTTAATCTTAAAATGTTTGTGGTGCAGCTTGTCTCAAAAATCTTTTAATAAATGTAGGAAGAATGGTGAGCAAACTAATGCATTGATAGAGGAGGATTCTCCCATCCACACAAAGGAAAATCCTGTTTAAAAAAAAAAAGATAATGCTATCTTTAAGTCAACAAGTTCATGATGAAAACAAAAGTCTTTACAATTACTTTGCTCAACGGAAAGTTATTAAATTACTAGGTAATTTTTTAAAGCAACAACCGGAGTTAATATTGTAACCACTGAAATCAATTCTGTGAAATAAATTCATAGCTCTCTCTTTAATGCAAGATAACAGAAACATGCACCAAAATCTAATGATGCCTAATCTCCATCAGGGGTAACAGACTGAATTTAGTGCAAAGGATTTTACTACATCGTTAGGCTGTCCACTTTGCCAAGTGTTTAATAGCAGAGATTTTTCCATAGAGTGATTACAGCTGTGTTTCAGATTTATATTTCTGTTTCTGCATAGTTAACTATCAAAATTGCTTTTAATGTAATGACCTGCCAATGCTTAGATATTACATTTGTTCTTCTTCTAGAAGTAGGGTACATCTATATAGACTCTTTTTTTATTTTAATGGTTCATTCTTTATAAAAAGACTTTTGCAAACATTTGCCTGAAGATGCACTTGATTAGACTACTTTGAAATTCTTATTCTGTAATGGCTTTGTGTGTGTGTGTGGCAATTTTCCCACTTCTTCCTATTGCACAACTCTTTAAGTATCAGCTTTACATTTTAAAAGAGCCAAATGTGATATGATCAACCAGGACATTTTGATATAAATGTCTAATAATTTTCTTCTGTTTATCTAGTTTAGACCAGAGTCTAAATATTTCGTTTTATGACTAATCTCACAGATAATATTATGCATTTAGGAAGATACTGTCCTATTTTGTGAGACCTTTTTCCCTTATCTACTATTTCAGACATTTGGCAAAGGTAGACGTTGACTGACTGACAATTAACTGTGAAAAGAAAATGTCATTAATGAAAGCATGATTCCTTCTAAAGAACCAAGTGTGAATAAGAGACATCTAGGAGACAATTGTTATCAGATGCATTTCTGGAAAGTTTTCCAGTTACAAGAAAAGCTGTCGGGGGGAAACATATTTAGTTCTTCACATTTAAATTTCAGAACAATCCTGAGACAATTTTTGCATTTTGCAAAACATCAAGCATTAATTCATCCTGCCCTCTCATCATTCTGAAAAATTAACATGGATAATAAAGAAAGGAATGATATATTATTGGAATTCCTTGTCCTTTTTTTATTTTCATTTTTTATTTTTAGCATTCATACTACAATACCAGCATTTTTGCTTGTATAAAAGTTGAATAATACTGCAACTATTTAGGATGATTCTCATATAATCTGAAATGCATAAAAACCAAAATTTCAAGGTTAAACAGAAAGGTCTCACCCTATAACATATTTGAATTTTAAAAACATATTAAACAGTGCTTTTTTCCAAAATCTATCTCCTTGTAAATTCTGTCCATTGTTTCTGATTCTGGCCTCTAATTTCTCATCTATGTAAGTATCAGACTTGTGAAAGTCAGTGTTTGCTCAGTTTACAGCATCTTTTAAAGAAAGTTGCACTGACCTATATATTTACTAAGGTTATCTATATGACCATATCCTGAAGCTTTAAATATTTGCACACCTCATCACTAGACAATCGATTCATAAGCTCAACTGTTAACTTTGGTGCGGTCTTGTAACAAAAGATGAATTGGGTAGATGGAATTCCCAATTTTGGATACTTGAATTGTGAATTATAAAGTAACTGAAGTAATTGGTAATAGGAATAAACATGAAAATATCTACAGCAAGGGTGGAACTTGGCTTGGATATCATAACAGATCTGCCTGAGTAGTCAGGAACTTGAATTTAGAGAAACATGTACAGAATAGAGGCCAGCAAAGCTGGTAGATGGTGAAAGAGGCAGCAACAAGACATCTAAAGGAAACAACAATAAAAAAGCAGAGGGAATAGGGATCATAGCAGTACTAAAGCATAGATTGAAGTGCAATGAAATCATGTTTCACTTTCTGGATTTAGTTTGAATTTCAATGATGCTCAATGGTATATTAATATATTTTCTTGGATTATTTCCATGTGATTCCATACTGATTGTTGTAACAACCACCATCCCTATTTTCATCTACTTATGAAAGGCTCTCTTTTTTTGTTTTGCTTTTATTTTTATTTATTTATTTATGTATTTATTGAGACAGAGTTTTGCTCTTGTTGCCCAGGCTGGAGTGCAATGGCACGATCTTGGCTCACTGCAACCTCCATCTCCCAGGTTCAAGCGATTTACCTGCCTCAGCATCCCGAGTAAATGGAGTAACAGGGCCCACCACCAGGCCCAGCTAATTTTTGTATTTTTAATATATATGGGGTTTCACCATGTTGGCCATGCTGGCCTCGAACTCCTGACCTCAGTCGATCCACCTGCCTTGGACTCCCAAAATGCTGGGATTACAGGTGTGAGCCACTGTGCCTGGCCAGAAGCCTCTCTTTTTAATCACAAAGACCTAACTGAAACAACCTGAGTGACCATAATATTGGACACCAGCTTTTATACCTCTGTGGATTTTCTCTGTATATACTATTTCTACTACTCTAATCATTAAAAACAGTTTGATATTCATTGAAATGATCTCTCATGGAGACTGTTTGAAAATATCATTGAAAGCATTGTAACAAACTCATTCAGACATGACATTTCATATAACATACCACAGACCTTTTTGTTCCCTGAAGACTAAATTTTTGCTTGCAGTTGTGATACAAAAATAAAGAACATTTTCAAAAGCAAAAGAAAAATAAAATTACTTTGAAGATGTGGGGTAGAGAATGATAAAGTGAATTACAAACTAGACCAAAAAAGTCCAGTTGTTGAACAAATTAATAATCAAGTGTCTTCATTATTATTTCTGGACAAGATGGAGTAATGGAGACCCAATTTTTCCTCCCACCTCAAATAATAAAAATATTGGACAAAAGTATTAACCAGTGGATTTCTGATATGAGATATCGGGCACCAGAGGACAGTAATACCGACAAAGGTGATACAAATGAGTCATATAATTGACCCCGGTAGCAGCACAGGCAGCATGTGGGGTCTCCTTGAGATGAGGAAATAGAGTTTGGACCAAGTTTGCAGAGTCCAAGGCAGCTCAAAGTCCCAGTATAGTCATTGAAGAGGGAGTTTCAGAAAACTACAATATGTCCCATTAGAGTTGCTCAGTGCTATGTGTGATGAAACTACCCACGACAAGGGAAATAACCATCCACATAAGAAAAAAGGAACCAATTTTCAGTTCACAGAGTACCAGTATTTCTACCAGCCAGACTGAGAATCTTATTTATCCAGGAATATTAGGTAGAGTACTTTGAGGGTCATTGCCTCAATTGTGGAGCAAAACTAGCCCTAATGTTTTCTTCTCTAATGTCTAATTTAACCTAAGAAAGCTTAAAAGCAAGCCTTGAAATAATCAAATTGATTCCATGTAACTTAACGATATCCCAGAACAAAACTAAAAATATTTATAGAAACACAAAAGACCCAGGACAAATATTCACCATGATAAGGTGAAAATCAAGATGTTTCTCGTCTAGTCACGTATGCCGAGGCATGCAAAAAAGCAAGAAAATATGACACAGAAGGTGTAAATCCAATTGGTAGAAACAGATTCAAAAATGACAAATGATGGAATCAATAGATATTAAAATAGTTATTATTATTTTATCTCATATACTCAAAAACGTTAAAAAATTGAATTTATTAAATAGAGGCATGGAAGATATAAAAATACCTAAATCAAACTTTTAGAAATGAAAACTATAATGGTTGAAGAGAAAAAAATGCACTGGAGGTTAATAATATATGGAATATTGTAGATGAAAGATTAATAAATTTGAACAGAAATCAATAGAAATTGTCCAAAATGAAACACAAAAAGAATAAGAGACCACAATATGAGCACTGCGCCCCCAAAAAGAATAACACGTATTATTTTCAAGTACACATGGAACAGTTACCAAAACAAGCAATATTTTTAAATAGGCCATAAGTAACAATCAATTTAAGACGATTTAAATTGGACAAAGCATGTTCTCTGACCACATAAATCATAAGGAAATCAAAGAGAGGGGAAACAAATGAGTCGTACAATTGACCCCTCTCTAAATCAAAGAGAATTTAGAGTATCTTGAAGTCAGTAAAAATAAAAACAAAGCATACAAAAATGTGTAGAATGAAGATAAAACAGTATCTAGAACAAAGTATACAGAACCAAATGTCTCTATTAGAAACAACAACAAGAACAACAAAACAGGAAGTTCTTAAATGACCTAAGCTTCCATCTGAAGAAATCAGAAACTGTATGGCAAATTAGACTCAAAGTAAGCAGTAGAAAGAAAATTTAAGAAGAAATAAATGGAGTCAATAATAGAGAAATAATAGAGAAAAAAACCAATGAAATTTAAAAAGGATGTCTCTCAGAAGGTCAGTAAAAATGTATAAACCCCTAATAAGATAGATGGGGGAAAATAAAAATAAACACGTTACCAAATATGAAAAGTAAGAGGAATGATATCACTATAGATTCTGTACATATTAGAAAACTGCTAGGAAAATATTACAATTTTAAGTCAATAAGTTTGAGAACTTAAATGAAATGAAAAAAATTTCTTGAAAAGGGTAAACTCTCAAAGCTCAATCAAAAAGAAATAGATAACTTGAAATATATATGTATATTTATATATATTTGAAATTAAGTTTGTAGTTAAAAATATTCACAACATGAAAATTCCAGACCCAGAGGCATCACTGAAGAATTCTACCAAGCATTTAAGAAATAATACTAATTCCATACAAAATCTTCCAAAAAATTGAAGAAAAGTAAATTTTTTTGCTCATTTTATGAGGCAAGATTTACAGTGATACCAACACTAGACAAACAAACGGAATGAACACTAATATGCAATTTTCTTTTTTTTCTTTTCTTTTTTTTTTTCTTTTTTTTTGAGACAGGGTTTTGCTCTTGTTGCCCAGGCTGGAGTGCAAGGCCATGATCTCAGCTCACTGCAGCCTCCATCTCCTGGGTTCAAGTGATTCTCCTGCCTCAGCCTCCTGAGTAGCTGGGATTACAGGCACCCACCACCATGCCTTGGCTAATTTTTTGTATTTTTAGTAGAGATGGAGTTTCACCATGTTGGCCAGGCTGGTCTTGAACTCCTGACCTCAGGTGATCCACCCACTTCGACCTCCCAAAGTGCTGGGATTACAGATATGAGCCACCGCCCCAGCCAGAAATTTTAAATACAATTTTAGAACATTAAATTCAACAATATATTAAAAGGGTAATATTTTAGGATCAAGTGGTGTTTATTCCAGGAATGCAGGGTTGGTTTAATATTTGACAATAGAACAATGTAATTTATTTTCATGAATCAGAAGGCTTAATAATTTTAAGTTTTTGTTCTCTCTGAAATTGGTCTCTATATTCAACACAATTCCAATCAAAATTGCAACTGGTTTTTTTTTAAGAAATTGATAAGCTGATTTCAAAATTTATAAGGAAATGCCAAGGAGCTAGCATAGCTAATCAACTTAAAAGAACAAAGTTGAAAAACTTTTTTTTATAAAGCCACAATAACAAAGATAGTATTGGTATTGGAACCAATAAAGACAAAATGATTAATAAAACAGAACAAAATAGAGATTACAGAAATAAACAAACACCTATATAATAAACTAATTTTTGACAAAGATAGCAAGGCAATTCATTGAGAATAAATAATATTTTCAATAAATAGTCCTGAAACCACTGAACGTCCAATATGTAAAAAATAGTGAGCTTTGGCATATACTTCCCACCATATCCAGTAAGTAGTGCAAGATAATCATTCATCTAAACACAAGAGCTAATCTTACATCAGAAAACATAGAAGAAAACTTGGATTTGTCAAAGATTTCTTAAATTTTAACTGTAAAAGGAAAAGACCTTAAGTTAGACTTCAGAAAAAATTTAAAAATACATTGTCAAGAAAATGTAAAGGCTCAAGTTAAAGTGAGGGCATAAAAAAGAAAAAAGAAATTGTAAAGGCAACACACAGGCTAAAAGAAAATATTTGTAAAATGTATCTGAAAAATAATTTATGTTGTTAAATATATAAAGAACACTTGGAACTTAATAATAAGCAGACTAACAATATAAGTGCAAAATATTTGAACAGACCCCTCATCATGGGTATTTATATATACAGATTGTTAATAGTAATAAAGATGATCAATATCACTAATCATTAGGAAAATGTAATTTAAAGCCATAATGAGATATTACTACACCCACTGGGATGGCTAAAATTATAGACTGAGCATACTAAGGGTTAGCCAGGATGGAGCAGCTGAAACTCTCATACACTGATAGTTGGGATAGAAAATGGTACAGTCACTTTCAGAATCACTTTGTAACTTTCTTTACAAATTAAATATGCATGACCATCAGATCCAGCCATTCTACTCTAGGTAACAATGAAAAGAAATGAAAGCCCATGTTCACACCAAAAGCTATACATGAATATTTGTAGAATCTGTATTTTAAATATCCTAAACTTGGAAACAACACGAATGTCAACGTCGACGTTGACATTCGATGTCAACAACACGAGTGTCAACAGGTCAATGGATACATGAATTGTGATACACCTATACCATAAAGTCCTACTCAGCAATATAATAGAGTGGTTTTTGATAAATGTAAGGATACGGAACAACCTTATAATAATACTGAGTGAAAAACTGCAGACAGAAGTAGTGCATATACTTTGTTTCTATTTATATACAACTATTTAAAATGCAAACTAATCTAGAGTGACGGAATACAAATCAATAGTTGCCTGAGGAGAAGGCCTGAGAGGCATAGTGGGAAGAAAGTGTATTAAGTTGTTGCAAAAGTTGTTGCGGTTTTTGCCATTACTTCCAATGGCAAATATCATAATTTCTTTTGTAACCATCCTAATAAAAGGACGCAAGGAAATTTTGGGGGGATGGTTATGTTCATTATCTTGATTGTGGTGTTGGTTTTAGGGAAGTAGGCATATGTCAAATTTCTTACATTATACATTTTAAATATGTGCAGTTTTTGCATGCCAATTATAATTTCATTTAATAAAGCTATAAAAAGACCATATTCAAAAACCATGTTAAAGATTATACTCAGTTTCAGGCAATTATTTTTACTTTAGGTCCTTCTTGGAGTATCCTTTCATTCCAGGGTTTCTGTATATAACTTTTCCTCTAGGTCATATTCTTACATTTAGCAATGTATTTAAATATTCAATACCTACCAAATTTTCTGTAGCAGGACTTGATAAATATTAGTTGAATGAATTAATGAAAATGAATAATGATTTAACTAGGTGGAAAAAATTATTTATTATATATCTTTATTTCTGGTACATATATACTGGCTTTTTTAAAGGGGGTCTGCTATTTTCCCCAACTGGTTAAATTCTTAGAATAAAAATTGCCTTTTTTTCCCCAGTATTTACTCAACAGAAATTTGGATTTTCACTCTGTAACATATTTCCTTATTTGTTGAGTCTCTGGCACATCTCCATGGCTTTTGTTTAACATGAAAAGAGTTCTATTCCACTGGTTTCAAGTTTCCGGATGATCTTGCGTAACTGATACAGGTTTGTGTCTCAGCTGCTATAGAAAATCAAATATCCACTTGGGTTTCTCCTGAATACTTTGTGTCATCCTCATGCAACCCTTGGAGAACCAAAGAAATTTTAAAAATTATTTTCCTTGCTTTCCGACTTATTTCCCTTGTGGCTCTGGCATAGGGAGTATGACTTTTAAAAGTTTCAGTCTGCCTAGAAATGGTACAAGTGGTTTTTGAGAAAAATGTGAAATATATTTAAGTGGCAATGGAATAGCAAGAAATAGTTTCAATTGCAGAGATAGTACTGTCATTAAAAGGCTGTAGTGAGTATTTCATTTAAAAAAATAATCATTGAACGTCTATATGTACAGGACACTGAGCTGTTTGCCATGGAGATACAAAGATAAATGGAGATACTTTTACTGCCCTTAAAGATTGACAATCCATAAGGGTTGAGTGAGTGGCAAAATGAGATGCATGGTAGACTAGATCCAGCTCAGGTTTTGGAATGAGAAGATCTGGGTCTGAGTCTCAGCTCAAGGATCCAGACGTATTTTCTTTTGGGGTAGAAGTGCATTACAGGGAAAGTGAGACTCAGATTTCCCACTGAACCATGGCATTGTTGTAAAGATCTCATCCTTTCCAGGAAAATAGAACTAAAACACAGGCTTAGAGTTCATCCCACCAACAGGGCACCATCACCTCGGGGATGGAAGAAAAATTCATCACAGAAGCCCCAGTCTCTGAGCAAGCCACGAAAATTTATGGTGAACTTACCCTGGACCATTTCTGCGGGTCAGAGCAGAGGCAGCAAGGCAGCCTGTTGGTTAGTTGGCGTATTGCTTGAGAGGGGGAGGGAGGACGAGAAGAGAAAAGAAGAAGATTAAATCGAGCTACATTTTCTTAAGGAAATTAGATTAATCAATCATAAAGTTATGGATGAATTTTTGTCTCATTATATATTTTGAGCTGAAACATATTCATTACAGAAACAGTGAGATTCTAATATACAAGCCAGAAACCATGCATCACATTTTTTATCTCAATCATAAGACTGAAATAAACAAACAGAAACAACCACAAACAGCACAAATATCCTTAATCTGCATACTTTCTGTGTTTGATTGCCTCCTCCTGAAAATGTGAAATGCTATGAGGCCAGTAAAACTCCTTTGTTGGCCTTTTAACACCAGTTCTTGTCTAGGTAATTGACCCAGAGTAGAAACTCAGGAAATGTATTGCACTAACAAATAAATGGCCCAAATGAAAAATAAATGAAGTAATAAATGAATAAATGAAGTGAAAAGGGTTTTGCAAATTTCAAATTGCCACATCAACATTATTAAAAGTGCTAAATAGGAAAGGTTAAATCCAAAAAGCTTTATAAATATTTTTTATGTTTTTTTAAATGTAAAAAGAATTTAGTAGGCACACAAGGAGAGGAAGAAAGATTTTTTTGACAATGAGAACAGAAGGGATACAAAATCATGGTGAGGAATGTGACTTGTTCATGGGAAGGTGTAATAAGAGAGCCCTGAGGACCCTGAGGTTTCCAAATATTTGTTCCCAGAAACGTGAAATTCCATAACTAATGCTCAGTCTCTTAATGCCTCTGACTTGTATTTATCACTAAAAGCAGGAGTGAAGTTTTTATTTACTTTCAGACTAAATATTGCTTTTCAGGGTAAACCATATAAATGTGTCAAATATACATGTCAATAATATATATATGTCAAAAAGACACATCATTTTAAAAGGCTTATAACAGATAAAAAATTATGACAAATCAATTATAAAAATTTATCTACCCCACCCCACAACCGTACTCCCCTAAACCAATTTATTTTTATTTCATTAGTTTACTTTTGTTGTTTCTTCTTGTATTTTCTGCTATTATCTTCTAAATAATGTACTTGCTCTTTAATGTCTTGATTTATCCATTTTAGACATTATCACTTTGACATTGTCCAGAAATTACAGTCTAGTTGGAAGACAGTGGATAAACATTCAGCTCCTTTACCTACCTCCACACTAAATTTCTCTTTCCTCTGTTTTCAAAACAGTTACCCTTCAGCTTTTTTGTTCCATCAAAAATCAGTGGCCATCTTATTACTTTCATTGTTGATCTAAAAAGCATGCCACAAACCCATTTCCTTTCTTGGTTAAAATTTCATATGCTATTTTTTTCCCCATTTGCTTTCTTTGAGGGCATCAATTACCATTTCTTCTATCCAGATGTTTCAATGGCTTTATCCAGTACCTATCAGTAATTTCCTTCTATTCAAAGCATTCGTTGATAGTTTGCTGGGAGACTCCTTCTTAGTGAACTCCTGTTACTGGCTCTCACCTGAACTAGGTGTTTTCTGGGACCTGTTTTACAGCCATTATCCTGAAAGTTCTCTTCATTATTCTCCTATTGTTGAGCCCTAGCTTTCTGAATTTTGTGTCTTTCTATTTGGTAACTAGAAACTTCAGGAGAGTAAGTAGCTTTTAAAAAGTCAGATCAGAGCTCTTGGGTGACCTGGTAAAAAAAATAAAATTAAAATTAACAGTCAAGTTTGTACAAAAGATATGAGAGATGGAAGAGATTTCACAAACAATCGAATCCTATTCTTTCATTCTACTGATGAGAAAACTGAAACTTAGGAACACAAAATGACTTGCTCAAGATGTCCACATTTGTAGCAGCAGAGTAGAAATTCTGACTTGATGCTAGGTGTGGAACTTTTTGAACACTTTTATCACACTGATAATCCATTATGCATGTGAAGAAAAAAACAAATACTCCCTTTCCAGTTTAGAGCATGGAGGTTCTCATCTTTTTCATGAAACTTGTGGCTTATTTTCTGTGTCATATATCACATTCAGTTCTTCAGGGATATTCTGGTAGATACTATTTTTTTAATGGAAGGTTAACAACACTTTATCCCATATTTCTACAGAGAGTCTCCGGCAACACAATGATGGGCCCTCATTTTGAGTGGGTTGGTTGTACATTTCAGGAAACAATCTGTTAATGTTTCTGAACTCAAACACACTTACAGATGGATGAATTGGAACTTTTTATTTCATTTATTCTTTTCTGTGTGCTTTTTATATGATGCTAAGTAAGGAAATACACAATGTGACTTTCTGAATCAACAACTGTTGATACTCATGAATTGGACTCTAGTGCTGCTTCCCGATAAGCATCATTGCAGTCGTGATTAACATAGCTAGAACTGTTACAAACAGCTGTGCAACAATTACAACCACCAATTAAAGTGTAACTCCAGATGTTCTATACTCAAAACTACAGCCCTACAAGGTGGCTGCTGCATGGAGTTGATTACATTAAAGCTGTCAGTTTTAGCATATCTTATAAGTGTTTATACCACGCAACCATTAGCTGTCACATATTTACAATGTTGATGTCCAAGCTAATTGCAATCATAGATCACATAGCCCAAAGAGGAGAAAAAAGGGGCAATCTGAAGTAGATATACCCTTCATTGAGGCTCATGAGGATTTCCAATAAGGACAGTGAGCAGTTGGAAGCAGCCTTTCAACTCCCTCTGTGTGTTTCCTGCACACTGTGCTCTCCTTCTTGGCCAATTAATGTCATCATTTCAGAAAATAAACAAACAACTCATCAGGAGAAGTTTGTCAGCATACTGTTTCCATCTGAATGAATACTTCACCCACAGGGTTTGAGAGATATACCCTCTTCTAAAGTCAGGTGAGAATGCAGTTGTTGACAATGAATTTACATCGCCCAAGAAGTGAAAAATGTAAATTTGAAAATTTTTGTCCAATATCTATCTAAACATTAGTGGACATACATTCTCACACTGGTAAGTCCCAGAGCCCAGCTTTAAATTCAGAAGACTGACAGAGGGTCAGGGGAAAAAGGTGTGTGTTTTTGGCATTGGAAGGGCCCTGGAAGATTTTCAAATATTACAAGGTAACTTCAAAAAGTTCATGAAGGCTGGGTGCAGTGGCTCATGCCTATAATCCTAGCCCTTTGGGAGGCCAAGGCAAGTGGATCAGTTGAGGTCAGGAGTTCGAGACCAACCTGGCCAATGTGATGAAACCCCATCTCTACTAAAAATACAAAAAATTAGCCGGGTGTGGTGGCAGGCATCTATAATCCCAGCTAGTCAGGAGGCTAAGGCAAGAGAATTGCTTGAATCTAGGAGGCAGTGGTTGCAGTGAGCTGAGATCGTGCCACTGTACTCCAGCCTGGGTGAGAGAGTGAAACTTAGCCTCAGGAAAAAAAAAAAGAAAAGAAAAAAAAGAAAAGTTCATGGAAAATGGAATTAAAAAATAAAAATAATAAATATAAATTTTATTTTTTATTTCTCAATATAAGCTCCATCAAATTTAAGACACTTTTAAAAGTGGTAATACCAGCCATTTTGTTCATCCATAAAGAACTAGGGGTCCTGATAATTTAACCATGTCAACACAGTCTTTTTTACATTATTAACTGAAGAAAAGTGTCTGTCTTTTAAAAATTTTTTTGAGATTAGGAAACAAAAAGAAGTCAGAACGAACCAAATCAGGACTATAGGTGGATGCCTAATAATGCCCCATAAAACACTTGCAAAATTGCCCTTGTTTGACAGGCAGAATGAGCAGAAACATTGTCATGGTGGGAAGGACTTTCTAATGAAGCTTTCCCAGGTGTTTTTCTGCTAAAGTTTTGGCTAACTCTCTCAAAACACTCTCATAATAAGCAGATGTTATGATTCTTTTATTCTCCAGGATGTCAATGAAGAAAATGCTTTGAGCATTCCAAAAAACTGTGCTATGACCTTTACGCTTGATGAGTCTGCTTTTGCTTTGATTTTACCACTTCCACCTCTTGGTAGCCATTGCTTTGATTGTGATTTATCTTCAAGATCATACTTGTAAAGCCATGTTTCATCTCCTTTTACAACTACAAAGAAATGCTTTGGGATCTTGATCCCACTTGTTTAAATTTCCATTGAAATCTCTGTTTTTATCTACAGCTGATCTGGGTGCAAGGGTTTTGGCACCCATTGAGTAGAAAGTGTGCTCAAATGTTTCAGTCAGAATTGTGTAAGCTGAATCAGTTGAGATGTTTATGGTGTTGGCTAATGTTTCTGCTGTTAACTGTTGGTCCTTTTCAATTAGGACATGAATAAGATTAATTTTTTCCTTGAAAATTGATATAGATGGTATGCCACTGAGGGTTTTATTTTCAGCATTGTCTTGTTCCTTTAAAAAACAAGTTATCCATTTGTAAACTGCTGATTTCTTTGGGCAATGTCCCCATAAACTTTTTGTAAAGCATCAATGACTTCATCATTCTTCCACCCAAGCTTCACCATAAATTTGTTGTTTTTGCTTCAATTTTGGTAAAATTCATGTTGCTCTGATAAGGGCTCTTTTCAAACTAATGTCTTATCCTTTTTAGTGCCTCAAATTAGACCCCATTCAGACATGTCACAACAAGTTAGTATGAGTTTATTTTGGTGCAAAATTCTTAAAATCGATGCATGGTTTTTTTCATAATTACATTTTCCATTAACTTTTGAAGATCTCTCATAATATAAATAAACTATGATTCCTACTGTGGAAAAGAGTAAGTATATCAATGGCATATATGCCAAATATTATTTTTTCTGGAACTATTTGCATAGTCACCAAGAATTAATACTTGTCATGTGAAAGCTATTTTTATTTGTTTTATGTTTAGTCCAGTATTTACCCATTGTAGAAGCAAAAAGAATCCTCATTCTTCACTTCAAAGGTGGCAGAACTTGGTTTGCTAAAGTCTACTCTTGACTATTATGCTGAAGCTTTGGATTTCCCTCTCTCTCTTACCACATTTCCTGGCATAAGTATTGGCTAAATTTGGTTCCACCCATGCTCTCGAGTGGAGCTGGAGATTGGAGATGGCATGAGTGGGAGAGTAACTAAATTGGGATAGAAATTTCTTCTGTGTTGGTTTGAAAAGGAGAAATGTGCTGTTTTTCTAGAATGAAGGAAAATAAGGCTAAAAACTGGGATTTGCTAATAAAGTGACTTTCATAAGTTAATTAATGGTATTGTGCTTTTTCTTATAACCTTGGGAAGGGTGTAGTTAAGTATTTTGAAATATATTTTTTCTTACTACCTCTTAAAGAAATCTGATATCCTGACACAGCTTTATGTGCTGGTGCTGTAGGAAATAAAATATCTGGGCTGTAAAAAAGAGGAATGATTCATCAATTGTTCTTTGCTCAATTAAACTATTTAAAATTTAATTTTAATTTGGCTTTAGTGTTTTTTTTTTTTTTTTTTTGAGACAGAGTCTCGCTTTGTTGCCAGGCTGGAGTGCAGTGGTGCAATCTCAACTCACCACAACCTCCAACTCCCTGGTTGAAGTGATTCTCCTGCCTCAGCCTCCTGAGTAGCTGGGATTACAGGCGCGCACCACCACACCCAGCTAATTTTTGTGTTTTTAGTAGAGACGGGGTTTCACCTTGTTGGCCATGATGGTCTCTATCTCCTGACCTTGTGATCCACCCGCCTCGGCCTTCCAAAGTGCTGGGATTATAGACGTGAGCCACCGTGACTGGCCGGCTATAGTTTTTATTTTTAAATCAACACAAACAATTCCACATCTCCTCTGCAACAAAGACTGACACTCTAGGACACAAAATAAGTTATGCAGCCCATGTTGAATGCTGTGAGATATTAGCTGGATCTTTCCAGAAAATAGAATGCAAGTTTCTGGAAAGGAGAAGCTTGAAATTTTCTAAATTTTCTATTTCCATTCTTTCAGTGGTGGCTTAAGTTGTCTAAGTTTGATCAATTTATTCCTCTCCTCAAGACAAGAAACTTTAACAACAACAATCCCCCTCCCCCTCCACCTCCCCCTCTCTCTTCTTCCCCTTCCTCTTCCCCTTCTCCTTCTTCTTCTTCTTTTTTTGAGACAGGATCTTGCTCTGTCACCCAGGCTGGATCTCTGCTTACTGTCTCCCCTCACCTCAGCCTTCTGAATAGCTGGGACTACAGGTGCACACCACCACACCTAGCTAATTTTTTATATTTTTTGTAGAGACAAAGTTTCACCATATTACCCAGGCTGGTGTTAAATCCTTCGACACAAGCAATCTGCCCACCTTGGACTCCCAAAGTGCTGGGATTACAGGCATGAGTCAATATCCCTGACCAGAAATTCTTTATCTTGCAGTGCTGAAATGAATCATGCATGATGATAGTGGAGATAAAAATGAACCCTGGAATAAATTCAGATAATTCGTGCTGACTTCCTTTTTGCAAGATTAAGATTCTACACAGCAAATGAACTGATTGGTATACTCCCAAGGTTCTGAATAACTTGGTACAGGAACAAGATATCTCTACACTTATTCTAAGGACTTACAACTTACAACTCCTGCTTTCTCAAAAAGCTGCAGTTTTGTTTCACAGGCCACTTTCAGGAAGTGTTTGGAATCACAATGTTCCTGATTATTATCTTCATCCTGAATATTCCAAAAATCACTATATATTAGTTCATGTTTGCTGCTGTAACACATTAGCACAGATTTAGGGGCTTAAACAACACACATTTATTATCTTAAAGTTTTGTAGTTTAGAGGTCTGCCTGAGTTTCACTGGGCTAAAAATCAAGCTGTTGGCATTTGCATTTCCTTCTGAGAGGGTCTAATAAGTAATCTCTTTCTTTACCATTTCTGAGTTCTAGAAAAGCCACGTTCCTTGTCTTTTGACCCCTTTTCTCATCCTCAAAGCCTGAATGGGCTTGTTAAATCCTTTTCACATCACTTCACTGCAAATTCCTCTTCATCTTTCTCCTTTTTTATTAAGAATTTTTTTTATGATACTGAGCCCAGCTAGATTATCCAGGATAATATCCCTATTTTAAGGTCAACTGATTATTCACCTTAATTATATCTCCAACTTTAATTCCGTTTTGCTCTGTAATCTATTTGTTGGTCTGATATTAGGATGTGATATCACTAAAAGTTCATTATTCTCTTTACCACACCCTCTATCTTGCCACTTCCTCTTTCCTGTGCTCCCAATGCATATAACTAACTGATTGCAGGACAATTCAACCAGGGTGTCTTATCGATTCCTTAAAATCAATATATACAGATCAAAATCATAATACAATTTATCCTTTCCCCAAAAAGGGCTTTTCTTCCTCAAAATTTTGTTTTGTTGATGGTGGCATGATTATTCTCCAAGTCACTCAGGCTTGAGGTCTCAGAATCACTGATGGTTTTTTTTTCCCTCCATTTTAAATCCAAAATAATTGTGAAATTATTTTTATCTGCTTCTGTAGTGTTTCTGAAATGTCTGTCTTTATTTCAGGTCCAAATGCCAGAACTAGAATATGGGTCTTCACTATATTTCAACCAGTTTTAATATTTCCCAGTCTTCTCCTGATCCCTGCCCTATCACACTCCTGTATATCCTATACCTCCTTCTATACTGAGCACTGGATTGAACTTTAGACAATTCTAACCATGCTACTCTTTTATTTACCTTCTCAGAGGTCTTCAATGGCATCTCCTCAGCCTGAAATTCACATCTCTCCATAATAATGTCCTAGCCTATTTTTCACTCAGGCCTAGCTTTAGTTAATAGTAATTTGAACACTTACACTCTCACTTAATCTTTCAAATAAAATATTAGGTGGACTTTTCATTCCCATCTGAGACCCAGAGAGATTAAAGACCTTGACAAAGTTCATCTGGTGCATAAGTAGCAGCATTGAGACTTGGATTTTTTGATCCCACAGTCATTGCTGTGTGTGTGATTGCCAGGATAGGTGTATCTCCTACTATTCCCTTAACATGCAGAACAAGGTGGACGCTGAATTTTACCTGACATTCCGAAGTTCTCAATGTTATGCCATTGATCATGAGGTTTATTCTTCCTAGGTCCCTGTATCTTTAAACGATTCTTGCCTAGTAAAATTAAATTCATCTTTAAGTCTCATTTCATAAATTGTAATGTCCATGTAGTCTTTTGTTATTGCTCCTTAGTTAAAGTTTTCATTGATATTTGTTGTATTATTTTGCCAAAATGTGTTGAGACTTGTTTGAAGGTTATCTGGTGCTTGGCTTAAACCACTGCCATGGTTTTAATGTGTACCCCAAAATTCATGGGTTGGAAATGAAATCCCTAATGCAACAGTGTTTTGGGAGGTAGGGCCTAATAAAAAGTGATTAGGTCATGTTTGCCCTTATGAATAGATTAGTGTCATTATTGGTGGAGTAAGTTATTGCAAGAGTGGGCTTCTTATAAAAGTGAGTTAGACCCTCTCTTGCTCTCTCTCACTCTTTTGCCCTCACGCATTTGGCTGTGGGATGATGCAGCGTGAAGACCCTTGCCCAATGTGGGCTCCTCGATCACAGACTTTCCAGCATCCAGAAATGTAAGAAATAAATTTCTTTTAAAAATATAAATTACCCAGTTTGTGGTGTTCTATTATAGCAATCCAAAACAGAATAACAAAACCACCACCTCCGTGTTGGCATTTAGTGTAGAGGTTAGCACATGGACTCAAGCTAGACTTCCTGGGGTTAAATTATAATTTTGCCTCTTATGGGTTGTGTGACCTTCAGAAAATTAATCAGTATTTCTGTGCCCCATCTGTGAAATGAGATGGGTGAGCGATAGCCACCCATCCATTTTGTGGATTATTATGAGGATCGAGTTAGTTAATATACTTTTTAAATTTTTAGTTTTTATTTTAGATATACCAAGTACATGTGTAGGGTTGTTACACAGGTGTGTTGGACCCAAGTAGTAAGCATAGTATCCAATAGGTAGTATTTCAACCCATTTCCCCCTTCCTCCTTCACCCCTCTAGTAGACCATAGTATCTTTTGTTCCCATATTTATGCCCATGTGTGCTCAATGTTTACCTCCCACACAATATTTGATTTTCTCTTTCCACATTAATTCACTTAGGATTATGGCCTCCAGCTCCATCCATGTTGCTGCAAGTGACATGATTTCATTTTTTTTTATGGTTGCATAGTATTCCATGGTGGATGTATACCATGTTTTCTTTATCCAATCCTCCTATGATGGGCACCTAGATTAATTCCATGTCTTTGCTATTGTGAATAGCATGGTGATAAACATAGAAGTGCATGTGTATTTTTGATATAATGATCTGTATTACTTTGGGTATATACCCAACAAGGCGGTTGCTAGGTCAAATGGTTGCTCTGTTTTAAGTTCCTTGAGAAATCTTCAAACCGCTTTCCATGGTGGCTGAACTAATTTACATTTCCACCAACAGTATATGAGTGTTCCTTTTTCTCTTCAGCTTGCCAGCATCTGTTGTTTTTTGGCTTTTTAATAATAGCCATTCTGACTGGTATGAGGTGCTACCTCACTGTAGTTTTGACTTGCATTTCTCTGATGATTAGTCATGACGAGCATTTTTTAAAAATGTTTGTTTGGCTACTTGTATGTCTTCTTTTGAGAAATGTCTGTTTATGTCCTCTCCCCATTTTTAATGGGGTTATTTGTTCTTTAAGTTCCTTATGGATTCTCGATATTAGACCTTTGTCAGATGCATAGTTTGTGAATATTTCCTCCCATTTTGTAGGTCTGTTTACTCTGTTGATGGTTTCTTTTGTACAATACTTTCTTTAGTTTAATTAGGTCATAGCTATCAATTTTTGTTTTTGTTAAAATTGCTTTTGGGGACTTAGCCAAAATTTATCTGCTAAGTCTGATGTTGAGAAGTATATTTCCTAAATTTTCTTCTAGGATTTTTATAGTTTGAGGCCTTGCATCTAAATCTTTAATCCACCCTGAATTAATTTTTGTATATAACAAAAAAGGGTCCAGTTTCATTCTTCTACATATGACTAGCCAGTTATCCCAGCACCATTTATTAAATAGAGAGGACTTCCCCCATAGCTTGTTTTTGTGAGCTTTGTTGAAGACTTGATGGTCGTAGGTGTGTGGCTTTATTTCTAAATTTTCTACTGCATTCTATTGGTCTGTGTGTCTGTTTTTGCACCAGTACCATGCTGTTTTGGTTACTTTAGCCATATAATATAGTTTGAAGTCAGGTAATGTGATGCCTCTGACTTTCTTCTTTTTGCTTAAGGATTGCTTTGGCTATTTGGGCTCTTCTTTGGTTTAATATACATTTTAGCATAGATTTTCTAATTCTGTGAAGAATGACATTGGTATTTTGATAGAAATGGCATGAACCTGTAAATTGCTTTGCGTATTATGACCATTTTAATGATGTGGAGTCTTCCAATCCATAAGCATGGGATTTTTTTAAAGAAATTTATTTGTGTCATCTCTGATTCCTTTGAGCAGTGTTTTGTAGTTCTCCTTGTACAGATCTTTCATCTCCTTGGTTAGATGTATTCCTAGGTATTTAATTTTTATGTATGGGTGTTGTAAATGAGACTGTGTTCTTTATTTGACTCTCAGACTGGATGTTATTGGTGTATAAAAATACTACTAATTTTTGTACATTGATGTGTAATCTGAAACCTTGCTATAATCGTTTATCAGTTCCAGTAGCATTTTGATGGAGTCTTTAGGGTTTTTTAAGTATAAAATTATATAGTCAGTAAAGAGATAGTTTGACTTCCTTACCCATTTAGATGCCTGTTATTTCTTTCTCTTGCCTGATTGCTCTGGCTAGGAATACCAGTACTATGTTGAATAAGAGTGGTGAGAGTGGGTGTCCTTGCCTTGTTCTAGTTCCCCAAGGGAATGGTTCCAGCTTTTCCCTGTTCAATATGATGTTTGCTGTGGGTTGGTCATAGATGGTCTTATTATATTGAGGTATGTTCTTTTGACAGCTAGTCTATTGAGGGTTTTAATCCTGAAGGGATGTGGAATTTTTTCAAAAGCCTTTTCTGTGTCTATTGAGATGATCATATGGTTTTTGCTTTTAATTCTGTTTATGTGGTGAGTCACACTTATTGATATGCATATGTTGAACCAACATTGCATCCGAGGAATAAGGCTTACTTGATTATGGCGAATTAACTTTTTGATGTGCTGCTAGATTCAGTTTGCTAGTATTTTGTTGAGGACTCTGTGTCTATGTTCATTAGGGATATTGATCTGAAGTTTTCTTTCTTTGTCGTGTATCTGCCAGGTTTTGGTACTAGCTGATGCTGGCTTCATGGAATGATTTAGGAAGGAGTCCCTCCTCCTTGATTTTTTGAACTAGTTTCTGTAGAATTGGTACCGGTTCTTTGTACATCTGGTAGAATTTGGCTATGGATTCATTTGGTCCAGGGCTTTTTCTGGTTGGCATGTTTTCTATTACTTATTCAATTTCAGAGCTTGATATTGGTCTATTCAAGGTTTTAATCCTTTCTGATTCAATCTTGGGAGATTGTGTGCTTCCAGCGATTTATTTCTTCTAGATTTTCTAATATGTGTGCACAGCGTTGTTCACAGTATTCTCTGAAGATCTTTTGCATTTCTGTGGGATCAACTGTAATGTCATCTTTGTCATTTCTGATTGTGCTTATTTAGATCTTCTCTTTTTTTTCTTTGTTAAGCTGGCTAGTGGTCTAAATCTTGTTTATTTTTATTTTTTTCAGAAAAGCAACTCTGGGTTTCATTAATCTTTTTATTCAACCATAGTCTGATAGTGTGCTTGGTATGATTTCAACTTTTTTGAATTTATTGAGGCTTGCTTTAAAACTGTACATGTAGTCAATCTTAGAATATGTTCCATGTGCACTTAGAAGAATGGATATTCTATGGTTGTTGAATGGAGTGTTCTGTAGATGTCTATTAGTTCCAGCTTGTCAATTGTTGGACTTAGTCCAGAGTTTCTTTGTCAGTTTTCTGTCTTGATGACCTGTCTAAAGCTGTGAATGGGATGTTAAAGTCTCCCACTATTATTGTGTGGTTGCCTAAATCTTTTCATGGGCCAAGAGGAACTCGTTTTGTAAATCTGGGTGCTCCTATGTTGGGTGCATATATATTTAGCATAGTTAAGGCTTCTTGTTGGATTGTACCCTTATCAATATGTAATATCTTTCATTGTCTTCCTTAATTCTTATTGGTTTAAAGTCGATTTTATCTGATATAAGAATAATGGCTACTGCTCTTTTTTGTTTTCTGTTTGTACGGTAGATCTTTCTACATCATTTAAATTTGGGCCCATGTGTGTCATTACATGTGAGATGGGTGTGTTGAAGACAAAAGATGGTTGAATTTTGTCTTTTTATACAGACTGCCACTCTTTGTCTTTTAAGTGAGGGCATTTAGCCCATTTATATTCAATGTTAGCATTAATATGTGTGATTTTAATCCTGTCATTGTGTTGTTAGCTAGTTTTATGTAGACTTGACTGTGTAGTTTCTTTATAGTGCCTCTGGGCTGTGGGCTTAAGTATGTTTTTGTGATAGCAGATATCATTCTTTTGATCCCATCTTTAGCATTCTCCAAGGACTTCCTATAAGGCTGGTCTAATTGATATATATTCCCTCAGCATTTGCTTGTCTGAGAAAGACCTCATTTCTCCCTCACTTATGAAGCTTAGTTTGGAGGAATATGAATTCTTGGTTGGAATTTATTTTATTTGAGGATGTTGGAAATGGAACCCTGGTCTCTCTGGCTTGTAATGTTTCTGCTGAGAGGTCTGTTGCTAGCCTGATGAAGTTCCCTCTGTATGTCACATGACCCCTCTGTCTAGCTAACTGTAAGATTTTTCCTTTTGCACTGACCTTGGAGAATCTGATGACTATGTGCCCTGGGGATGGTCATCTTGTACAGCATGAAGTGAGGGTTTTCTTTATTTCTTGGATTTGCATGTCAAGCTCTTTAGTGAGATTAGATAAATTTTTATGAATAGTATCCTCAAAAACATTTTTCAAGTTGCTTATTCTCTCTCCTTCTCTTTCATGGATACCAATGGGATGTATATGTCCTCTCTTTTTATAGTCCTGTATTTCTTGAATTTTTTTTCATTTATTAAAATTCTTTTTTTTCTTTTAATTTTTGTCTGACTGAGTTGATTCAAAGAACCAGTCTTTGAGTGCTGAGATTCTTTCCTCAGCTTGGTCTATTCTGCTGTTAATACTTTCCATTGTATATAAAATTCTTTTAGTGAGTTTTTCAGCTCTAGAAATTCAGTTTGGTTCTTTCTTAGGATGGCTATTTTGCCTTTCAGCTCTTGAACTGTTTTACTAAATTTCTTGGATTGAGTTTCAGCTTTCTCCTGAATCTTGATGAGTTCCTTTGCCACCCAGATTCTGAATTCTATGCCTATTATTTTAATTATTTCCAACTGTTTAAGAACCATTGCTGGGGAGCTAATGTACTCATTTGGAGGTAAGAGGACAACTGGCTTTTTGGATTGCCAGAATACTTGCACTGATTATTTCTCATCTGGGATAGTTGGTGTTCCTTTAACTGTGGTTTAAGTTGAGCATAGTCCATTGGCTTCATTTCCGATTGCTTTCAGAGGACCAGGGCTCTGTACAGGATCTTTATGTTTCAGTGAAATCTTGCACTTTATCTCACAGGTGTATACATTAGCGGGACAAAGTTTTGATGTTATAGTTAGGGTTGTGATCCAGTAGATGGTACATAAGAATAATGGCCTGTAACTAGGTTAATATCCAGCCCATTACTCTTTTGCACTTCCTTGGGTTCACAGGTATGCTCTGTGGTTGGTGAGGCAGAGAGATGGTCCACTTGCCAGGTTCACTACTGGGCCTTAGGGTAAATCCCTCCAATTGCTGGCTCTGTACCTGTGTTTCTTTTGTTAGGTGTTCCCAGCCATGGGGCTCCCTTGGGCAGAAGCTGTGGTTGGAAAGAATACCACACTCTAAATTGGCCCTACGGAGGGAGGTACACCCAGCTCCCACCCCAAGCCAGTAACTCATGCATCTTGCCTCTCTCAGTACTATGGGGATGGAGGCTCCTCCCTGGCTTCAGTGTCAGCCACGGATCTCATCTCAGTACTCCAGAGCTGCACACTCCAGCCTTGGGGCATGGACACATCCTGAGGCTCCTGTTGTGATTCTGGTTATGCTGAAGAATCCAATGTGTTCCTGGGTCACTGATAAGGTACTCAGATGCAGCCCTCAGGATGAGCTTCAGGGGCTGCACTGTGCACCTGCTCCTGCAGACTGCTAAGCATAGACCCTAGGAGAGGCCAGCTGGCAGGATGGCCTGCAGAGCAGACATGCCCCAGTCTTGTGGGGATGCAGTCCCGACTCTCTCCTGGCTTCTAGGTCAGATGTGGCCTGTGCCTCCCAGAAGGGCATAGGGGCCACTTGGGGATGGCAGCTCTCTGCTGGAGCTGCATAGGACACAAAATCTCCTGGGCTCTCTGCTGGCTGAAGGCCTGTCTCTTCCTGCTCCCCAAGGAGATACCCCTGCCAGCTCACAGGTCCATGAGCATGGTCCCCTATAGCTAGGATCCCAGAGGTCCATGGTGAGAGTAAGCTGGCCCTCAGTTCCCTTATTCAACCCTTACCCAGGAGCCACTGGTGGCCAGGAACTAGACCCGGATTTCAGGTACCACGTGCAGGATCCCCAGATTCCTCCCTCTTCAGCCTCAGGTTCAGTGTCATCTGTCCATCCGCTCAGCATTTTCTCTTGAAGATCTGCCTGAGTTTTGGTGGTTTACTGGATAATGTAGTCTCTCTCAGTGGTAGTGGCATTTCCTGACTGTGTCTAGTTGACCAACTTGTCTGAAACCTCTTAGTTAATACTTTATACTTTTTTTTTTTTTGAGACAGTCACGCTCTGTCACCCAGGCTGGAGTGCAGTGGTGCGATCTCAGCTCACTCAATCTCCACCTCTCAGGTTCAAGTGATTCTCCTGCCTCAGTCTCCCAAGTAGCTGGGATTACAGACATGCACCATGCCACCTGGCTAATTTTTGTATTTTTTGTAGAGACAAGGTTTCACCGTGTTGGCCAGGCTGGCCTTGACATCCTGACCTCAAGTGATCCACCCCACTCAGCCTCCCAAAGTGCTAGGATTACAGGCATGAGCCATTGCGCATGGCCAATATTTTTAAGGCACTTAGAACTATGAACCTGGTTGAAAATAAGCATTAAAAAGTTTCAACTTGGCTGGGCGCAGTGGCTCATGTCTGTAATCCAAGCATTTTGGGAGTCTGAGGCAGGCTGATCACCTGAGGTCGGAAATTCAAGACCAGCCTGGCCAATATGGTGAAACCCCATCTCTACTAAAAATACAAAAATTAGCCAGGCCTGGTGGTAGGTGCCTGTAATCCCAGCTACTTGGGAGGCTGAGGCAGGAGAATTGCTTGAACCTTGGAGGCCGAGGTTGTAGTGAGCTGAGATCGCACCACTGCACCCCAGCCTGGGGGAAAGAGTGAGATTTCATCTCAAAAAAAAAAAAAAAAGTTTCAGCTTATAGTTACAATTATTACCATCTTAGTTTTTGCACCACAGTCCTAACACATAGAACAACATCTATATAGCGACCAAAAGGTGAAAACACATTTATGTTCACCTTTCATATGAAGTATGAATGTGTTTTTTTGTAATTTTTTTTCAATCTAATTTGAAGTAGATGGAGGAAAAATAATAAAAAAAGAGATAACATTGTATATATTACATTATTTTCTTTATTTTGATTTCTCTGCAACTGTGCTACTATTGTACTCCAATATTCCTTACTCAATCCTTGTCTGCTATTCCAGTTTCCTTTTTACTAGCACATGACTATGATCCTACCAGAGTTTTAAGATGTTGATAGACATACAAAAGCACTTATTATTTTTGCATGTGATATTAATAGAAAGATAGAAAGGATCTCACTATAGGAGAAAAATCAATCAAGGCTCAAACTTATCATTAAATGAGAATTCTGGCCAGAATCCAATACTTTTTTTTTAATGAAAGAATTCAAAGCCTTACAATTTAAATTTCATCATCAAGCTATATATAGAGAAGATGGGAGGCCTTGGCTCAGCAGAAGATCATGTAAAAATTTCATATCTAGAATATTAAAATGACTGCTGAAGCAGGTATTCTGGTTGATAAGCTCGACACCCATTCCCAATCCTTCCTTGGCCATGTTTTGTCAGCCACCCTCCCTGCTATAGTAGATACACAACCCATTTCTGGTTCATGAAATGTGAATAGATGTTTATGAGGAAGGAGGTTCTTGGTAAAGCTTTTGTTTTCTTAATTAATAAGACAGCTATTGATGGTGGCAACCATTTCTCTCTTCCTTTTTGTTTATGTCTCAATGGTTATAATGCCTGGAATTGCAGCAGTAATCCTGTGAGCATGAGGGAAAAAAAGTTAAGAGAATTAGAGAGATGGAGCTAATATTTTGGAGATGCTGAATCAAAGCTAGCTGCATCTATTTCTAGCCTTCTCATAATATAAGGAGGTGAAATCTTTCTTTTTATTGCCACATTTATTTGGATTTTTCTGTTACTTGCTGCTGGAAATAGCCATAATCAATACAACTATTAAACGCAAGAAAAGCTTATAGTAATCAGCTGTTAAACATCAAATATAACCTTAGATTGTATTGCTGGAAGTATAATATATGGATCCTTGAAATTAATGCTATAATATTCTCCACCTCTTAACATATGCAATGTTAAAATATTAGAATGTGGGTTTACATATCAAGAGAGGTAATGGTAGGAAGTCAGTTACTTCTGTTTGAACTTACAGTATTTCTTTCTGTAGCATATTTTTTTAGAATGAAATGTTCATTAAATGACTTTAATAACCAAATGTGATGTGAGTATATTCTATCATGTGCAAGAAAGAGAGATAATTTATATATTTTTTAATTCTTCTGAGACACTTGTATGCCCAAGGGAACATGTAGAAGCAGTGCAAAGTAATTAAAAGCATCATGTTTGAAGTCATATAGGGTGAAATTGAATATTAATGTCATCGTTTTTTAACTATGTAACTTGGGACAGTTGTCTATTTTCTCTGAGACTCAGTATTCTCACCTGTGAAATGGGAATAATAGTAATTATCTCACACTACTGCTATAGAGGTTAACCAAGATATGACAGCTTGACATTTAGTACAGTAAAATTTTATTGAGGGTTAGTCATGAAGGTGATAATCTCTTCCCTTTCCCATCTCTTAGACAGTAATTCATAGCTCTTCCTCTCTGCTTATACTTCCACAAACCCTCTACCTCACTTTTAGCTGAAGACCTTGCTTCCTACTTCACTGAAATGCTGAATTAATCTGAAGAGAACTTTTTTAGACTCTCATCAGCACAGCTACCCACCTTCCAGCATCTGTTGCCACCTACTCTGTCATCCTGCCTGTTCACATAAATGAACTATTCATGCTCCTATGTAAAGTTAACTGCCCACTCCTTTTATATTTGATGCTATTTCTTTTTGCATCCTCCAGGACATTGCAGTAACAATGTTCCCTTCTCTTCTATTTCCTCAAATTTTCACTCTTTAGTGGACCATTCCCCAAAACATACAAGCATATCACTTTTTCTACCATATTATAAAAACAAAACAAAATTAACTTGCCTCCTCAAGTGCCAGCACACTTATTCCAATTATTTGCTTCTTTTGACAGCTTTAAGCAATACTGCTTACCTTTAAATCCTTTTTCCCATTCTCTCCTAAATCTACTCCAACCAGGTATTTATCCAACTCCACCAAGACGAATGTGGTAACAGCCATCAATGATCTCTGCACTGCCAAATCCAATGATCAATTATTAATTATCATTCCACTCACCTATCAGCAATATCTGAGCCAAAGGCTCACTGTACCTTTTTTGATATATTTTCTTCATTTGACTTGCAGATTGTCACACTTTCCTAGTGTTTCTCCTAACTTTCCTCTTTCCTCTCCCCTCTTCCTCCTCATTCCTGAAACTTGGAATGACCAAGGACCATTCCTCAGTCATTCTTCATCTTTTCTTCTCTCACTCCCTTGGTGTTACCTCGTGGTTTTAAAATAGCATTTATATGTCAGTGACTCTCAAATTTATCTCTCCTACCCAGTTCTTCCTAACTCCAAGATCATATATTCAACTTCCAAATCAATAGCTACTCTTGAAATACATTCAAATCGTAAAAATCTGCACGTCCCAAACTTAACTCTTAGTCTTTTTCTCAAATGCTATTCCAAATGCAACCCTCTCCATCTCAATTGATAGCAACTGCATATTACTTGCTTCAAGCGAAAAAGCTTTTAATTATTCTTTCTCCCTTTCTCCCACAGCTCACATCCTCTCTTTTAGGAAACTTTGTTGTCTTGATTGTTAATATATCTAGAACATATTACTACATACCGCCTGACCTATTATTAACATTTGTGCTAAAGTCTTTCCTGGATAAACTGCAGTAACTTTCATCTGATCTCCTACTTTTAACCTTTTCCACCTATGGCTTATTTTCTACCCAGCATCCAGAATTATCTATTTTGTTTAAAACTTTGGGTAAAATCATGTCACATCCATATTAAAAATCCTGTAAAGCTTTCCTATTTTACTCCAAGTAAAATTCATTAAAACATCCCTTAACCTGGCTTTAATTTCCTTTTTCTTTCATAGAACTTTTCACTGTAAAACATAATCTATAATTTATTTTTATGTCACATTTCTGTTCCGTCTGCTCTTCTCTTCTAAAATGTAAGATCCTTGAGGGCAAGGATCTTTATCTGTTTAATTAACTGATATATCCCAAATGTTAAAAACAATACTAACACACAGTAAGGGATTCAACAAATGTTTGAAAATGAATAAGTATAAAGGCTGCTGCTGCTACCGACTGACCCAGGTAGGTTGCAGAGTTTTAAGAATCTTGCTTTTTTCATTATTTAGTATTAGACGTTGCATCTACCTGCAAGTTTTTAAAGCAAGCTTTTCTGATGTGTGATTTTGTTGATAATTAACTGTAGGGAAAAACTAAGTTATATTACTTTTAAAGACATAGTATTTATATCATAGCCATTGCAATAGAAGAGAGAGATTGAACAGTTCTGCTGAAGATATTTAAATGCTGTCGTGAGCTAACGGAAAACTACAAGAGGACATTGGGATGGGGGAGGTTGGTTAAAATGATTAGGCTATTTGCGTTAGCCGATTGTCACTTATCTAAATTAGGCTATTACGGTCCCTCAGAAACTGGGAGAAAGGAGCCCACTCTTTCTTGATGATTTGATGAGAAAGATATTTCTAGGTTGTAGAAAATTTATATCTCTAATGGGCAGAGGAGGAATTTACAATCGCAAGTTTCTAAAGTTAATGTTTTAAGCAAAGAGAGGGCAGGGACTGAAGTCAGAAAGAAGCTTACTTAAATTTAGTCAAGCTGAGGGAAATGTTAAAGCTGTCTTGGCCAGTAGTAGGACAAAGCTGGAGACTGTTGCACAACATCTACTTAGTTTGGTTTATATTCTATTGTTAATGAACATTAACATTGTCCATGAACTATTTGCATCCTCTATTATTTTTAAAATGGTTTGTGCCTAATCTTGTTTTATTGAAAACAACAAAAAAAGCTGACTTCACAAACATATTGAGGTGATCAACTCAGTAAAGACAGGAATTCTTATGATTAGGAATTCAATTGGTCTTAGGTATATCATTTGAAAGACTTCATGAAATGAAGATATAAATGCAACAGATACAGCATACTCAGGGCTTGGGGATGACCTGTGGCTGTCTCATACTGCAGCTTGGCATGTATCGTAATGCAAATTACAGAGATTTGTTGCAAATTACTGTGATACCAGGAAACATTTCAATCATTTCTCAATCTTCTTTAGCCCTGATGTCCTAAGACTCATATTAAATTGGGCTATTTGGAGTACCCTTTGAAATTTGCATTAATACTACAAAAACCAAATTCAAAGATAGAGGAATAATTGTCCATTTAGTGGTTTGATTGATCTTTCTAAAGCACATTGAAAATACTTTTAAAATTATTATACTACTTATCGTTTCCTTCTCTCTATACAACCAGATTCTAACTCTTAGCACAGGCTATGTCATCTTTCATAATACTGACCTTAAACTTCAAAATAAGCTTCATTCTTCACCACTTCTCTCAATGCCATCTCCAATTCACCCATAAACAATTTATCTCTATGTCATATCTCACCCTCTGCTTTTATGTCTGTACCTTACAAGGGGTTCCTTCTACCCAGGAAACCACCCCATCCAACTCTTTTCTCCCTTAGAAATTCTGCTCATTCCCTATATGTCATAGAATCTGGAAAGCCTTTCAGATCATCAGACAGAATGAATTGCCTTCCTCTGTGCTCTGCAGTCACTTGTGTTTAATCATTACAGCTATTATGTCAGGTTATAATCATGTGTTCCCTTGTCTGTATTTGACATTAGGCTTAGAGCTCCTGGAGGACAAGGATTATACCTGATAGTATGCACTGTGGTACCTGATACACTTATTTAATCAATCCAAATTTATTAATTCAGCACATAGTTGGGTGCCTACTATGTGGCAAATACCATGCTAGGGATATGGAGGTGAACACATACCCTCCACGAATTGCACATTTCCCGGGCAAAGGTGAAAACAAATGTAATTATATGAGTATGTACAAAAAAAAAATAATAAACTGGAAGAACCTTTTCAGAGAAGAGTAACTTCATCTGCAGTCTGAAGAAAAAGGTATGTTACTGGCAGGGAATAGATCAAGTTCAAAGGAGGTCAGGGCATGCTTGACCAGAGAGCTTGATGCATAATATTTAAGCTGTGTGACGTTATACAAACTATTTAATTTCTGTGCCACAGTTTCCTCCTCTATAAATTGGCTTTAATGGTACCCACCCTAAAGGTGGTTGTTATAATTAAAATAGTAAATATTTGTAAACTATTATGAATAGCACCCAGCACTTAAAAAGCACTATGGAGTGTATGCTATGAAAGAGTTCAGGAATGCTACCCAAGATATATTGTTTTGGTATGCAAATTACTTCAAACTAAGCATACTTGGGGAATGGTAAATGCAGGAAGAGGCTTTCTCTGAACTTCTTCTGTCTGCCTAAAGATAGGTCCTTCAAAAGGAACTCAACTGTGTAAATTCTCTTCCCAGGAATCTCATCAACCAGGGAAGATCAGCTTGTATCACAGGAGAGGAAGCTAGAGGTCCACACTATGCCCAGACAGACTTTGTCACAGGCTTTCACGTGTTTTTCTGAGGGCCTATTCATCTTGACAAAATAATTTACTCTGTTCTAAGTTGCCTACTTCTCCCCCTCACACTCCGCTAGGAAGATTTGCACCTAAGCTTCTAGATCTCACTGGGTTTTTGAGTATTTGATTTTTTTCATGTGATGTTTCCTTGCATATAATAAATTTGTATACCTTTTCTCATGTTACTCTGCCTGTTGTCAGTTTATTTCATCGACTTAATTATTGATCCCTCAGAGGGCAGATGGGAAGTTATTCTTCCCCTACATCTGCAATATAGAATTTAATAATTCTGAGAATTGCAAGAAGGTCATCGTGGCTAGGATGCTTGGGACAATTTCTAATGCTGCATAAGTTTAGGCTGGAGAGGTAGGAAGGAACCCATCATATTAGAAATTTTGGTTCTAAACATAAGAAAAATGGGAAATTATTAAAACATTCTAAAGCAGATTTACCCTTTTTGGTACCATATTGAGTATATAACAGGTATTTAATACATTTTTGTTGAAGGAATCAACAACAGTATAGAAAAAGCTGTGAGGTTATAAGCAAATGAACTACTTCCTACAACTATATGAAGGATTCAACAAGAAAATGTATGTTAAAGCCTGATATATCGAAGCTTGCCATTGGAAGATTTCAAGTTAAGCTTAGTATTTTATTATCTAAGTCTAGATTTTTGCCAAAGCAAAATATATATGTTTTTAGACAGGTTCAAGTCAAAACTTGACAACATAGCAGACGGCATGAGTAATTTCTGAGAAAGTCATTTCAATCCCTTCTGTAAAACTGGAATAATAAGGATAAATTTTAGGATCAAATGAGGTAGTGTATGTACAAATATTCAATATTCTCTAATAGTTTATTGTTCATATCTTTTGTTTGTTTGTTTGTTTACTTGTTTTTTGAGACAGAGTCTCACTCTGTTGCCCAAGCTAGAGTGCTGTGGTGGTGTGATCTCAGCTCACTGTAACCTCCACCTCCTGGGTTCAAGCAATTCTCGTGACTCAGCCTCCCAAGTATCTGTGATTACAGGTGTGCACCACCATACCCAGCTAATTTTTTGGACTTTTAGTAGAGATGGGATTTTGCCATGTTGCCCAGGCTTCTCAAGCTCCTGAGCTCAGGTCATCCGCCTGCCTTGGCCTCCCAAAGTGCTAGGATTACAGGTGTGAGCCACTACACCCAGCATCACATTTTTATTTTTATTTTATGTCATCACAGTACAAGGCAATACTCATTAGCCAAGTGTGGTAAGTTCTATTGAAGTGCAGAGGAAGATCAGAGAAGTTGTATTGGAGCTGTAACTTGGAGAATAGGTAGAGTTTTGACTGGGGAAGAATGAAGGGGGTAGTTTTCCAGATAAAGAGGCTATATAGTAGAGTGGAAAAAGAATAGAACGTGAATTCAGATACATATGGTTTGAATCAGGACTCCGCCACTTAGTGTCTGTGTCCCTTTATGCGAAGTTCTTAATGTTGTAGTGCCTTAGTTTTCTCATCTGTAAAATGCTTATTGTAGGGACTCTGCAATATTACAGTGAGATGCTTTTTGTTAATGCCTGAAATGAAGTTGTCCTTCAGAGGAATCTTGGAGGAGTAGGAGGGCGTAAAGGGTAAAGCGTCTGGATTTGAGTTCGACTTGGAATCACATCATAGGTGTATCTCTACAGGATTTCCATACCTTATTCAATCTAACTCTGTTGTCAACGTAAATAATTATCTCCCTTGCCCTCAGGGTTAAATACAATATTTTATGTGAAATACCAAGTACAGCGATTGGCATTCTAAAATAAACTGGACCCTGACAAATACTATTTACATATCACCAGCAGAATATTGAAGATGAGAAATGGCAACAACAAAAACTAGGGCACCAGTGCTCTTCAGGATAGCGATGATTGACTTTTTCCTTGAGGCAATGAGGAACAATGAAACGTTTGGGGCAGCAGAAGTAAGTGATGACTTTTCTTGCCAAAAAATGGAATCTGTGAAGAAAAAGAGAAGAATTAAACTCTGGGGTTCATAAGTCAGGAAGCAACACATAATGTTTTAGCTCTGCAACATCTGACACAAAAGCCATTCATTCAGCTCGAAATGTCTGATTATTTCACCCAGAGCTCACTGTTACACTATGTCATTCCAATTAGTTATCTCTGGAGAGGAAATCTCATCAGACAATATGATTAGATCCAATCAGCATAGGTGCCAAGCACTTGGAACATATTATAAATGACATTTTCATTTATTTTATAGGATAAATGTTTGTCTTTTGGAATTTCTCAAATGTGAACATTCAAAGAAAGTATTTGAAACAGTATTTCAGGATAGAGGGTTAATGATTAAGAGCACAGGGTACTTCATGTAAGAAAACCATATTTTAACAATTACTATTTGATATCTCAAACAGTGACTTATACTTTCCTTTAAAATCTTTTCCAAATACCAATTTTTCTGCCTAAATGAGGCAGAGAGCAGTGAATAAAAGTCTGAAACACCTGGAAAAACTTTGAAAGGGATGTAATTATTGCTACCAAATGTAAAATATACTGTAAAACAAAAAAAAAGAGTTTAGTCAAAAGGTATAGGGAGTACCAACTATGGGCCAAGTTTTAGGGAAACAATGTTGAACTGGACATATGGTTTATTGCAATTTGTTGTTTAATTGTAATTTCTCCCACTAAAACTTGATAAATGACATAATAATTCAAAAGGGTCCCAGAAGAGGAATATTAAAAGAGTTTTCAGCTATCAGGTTTGGCTTCCCATATATGTTCTTAGCATATGTTGATGTCCCACTTTCAGCCCTGCCATACTCTGACTGAGGGATTTCTCTAGCTGTGAAACCTGTCCAATGATCGGGCTGAATAACTGACTCTGTAGGAAATGCTGTCAATCAAGGACAACAGGGGAAAGAAGATGGGTAGCCCAGCTTCCTTGCTTCTTGTATGCGGTTATTCTGGGGTGTGTTCTGTATTATATCCCAAATGTTCCTAGGAGAATCGAGTATCCATTGCCCATAGTGGTAACATGCTCATTAATATACTCTGTATTGTCTCCCTTTCCTTCTATCTCACTCATTTTCCTAACATTTCTCCTGGGATCACCTCGTAAGTAAACCGGTTATACTCAAATAGTTGCCTAGAATACTATGGATGCCCAAGTTAAGGCTTCTTGGTAAAGAGAAGAAACACACACACACACACACACACACACACACACACACACAAATATTTGAGTTGAGGAAAAAGCATGACTAAAATCACAAAGGTAAGAGAAAGCTTAGAGCAACTGAGAAACTTTCAGTATGACTGGATTGTAGAAGATTAAGGGAAAGTAGCTAGAGTGGAAGCCAGAGTGGCAAGTGGGAACAGTATCTGAAGATTCTGAAAATAGTATGAAGAGGTTTGGATTTTAAATTAAAAGAACCAGGACGATGATGACATCTAAATCAGGGGAGTTGCATTAGACATTGAGAGGAGAATGGATTTGTGAGGGATTCGGGAACTGGAGTTGACAGCAATTAGATATGAAGGAAAGATATCAAGGATAACGCATGAGGTTTTGACTCAGGTAATTAGGTAGATTGTCATGCTGTCTAAGTCAAGGGAGGCACTTTTAAAATTGTATTTCATGTAAATTGTCCTCATTTGCCTATTGCAAGATGAATGGTGGCCCCTGGAGTTCTTCACTGCAGGGCTCCATTGGCAGTTCTATTTAATGTTGAGATAAGGGACATAGGAGGATGAGCACTTTAGGATGCAAAAGGACATGGCTTATTATTATTTTTTTAATTATACTTTAAGTTCTAAGGTACATGTGCACAATGTGCAGGTTTGTTACATAGGTAAACGTGTGCCATGTTGGTTTGCTGCACCCGTCAACTCATCATTTACATTAGGTATTTCTCCTAATGCTATCCCTCCCCCAACCCTCCACCCCCTGACAGACCCCAGTGTATGATGTTCCCCACCCTGGGTTCATGTGTTCTCATTGTTCAACTCCCACCTATGAGTGAAAACATGAGGTGTTTGGTTTTCTGTCCTTGTGATAGTTTGCTTAGAATGATGGTTTCCAGCTTCATCCATGTCCCTGCAAAGGACATGAACTCATCCTTTTTTATGCTTGCATAGTATTCCATGGTGTACATGTGCCTCATTTTCTTAATCCAGTCTATCATTGATGGACATTTGGGTTGGTTCCAAGACTTTGCTCTTGTGAATAGTGCCTCAATAAACATACGTGTGCATGTGTCTTTATCGTAGAATGATTTATAATCCTTTGGGTATATGACCAGTAATGGGATTGCTGGGTCAAATGCTATTTCTGGTTCTAGCCACACTGTCTTCCACAATGGTTGACCTAATTTACACTCCCACCAACTGTGTAAAAGCGTTCCTACTTTTCCACATCCTCTCCAGCATCTGTTGTTTCCTGACTTTTTAATGATCACATTCTAACTGGCATGAGATGATATCTCATTGTGGTTTTGATTTGCATTTCTCTAATGACCAGTGATGATAAGCATTTTTCATATGTCTGTTGGCTGCATAAATGTCTTCTTTTGAGAAGTGTCTGTTCATATACTTTGCTCACTTTTTGATGGGGTCGTTCATTTTATTCTTGTAAATTTGTTTAAGTTCTTTGTAGATTCTGGATATTAGCCCTTTGGCAGAGCGGTAGATTGCAAAAATTTTCTCCCATTCTGTAGGTTGCCTGTTCACTCTGATGATAGTTTCTTTTGCTGTGCAGAAGCTCTTTAGTTTAAGTAGATCCCATTTGCCTATTTTGGCTTTTGTTGCCATTGCTTTTGGTGTTTGAGTCATGAAGCCTTTGCCCACGCCTGTGTCCTGAATGGTATTGCCTAGGTTTTCTTCTAGGATTTTTATGGTTTTAGGTCTTACATTTAAGTCTTTAATCCATCTCAAGTTAATTTTTGTATAAAGTGTAAAGAAGGGATCCAGTTTCAGCTTTCTACCTATGGCTAGCCAGTTTTCCCAACACCATTAATTAAATAGGGAATCCTTTCCCCATTTCTTGTTTTTGTCAGGTTTGTCAAAGATCAGATGGTTGTAGATGTTTGGTGTTATTTCTGAGGCCTATTTTCTGTTCCATTAGTCTATATATCTGTTTTGCTAACAGTACCATGCTATTTTGGTTACTGTAGCCTTGTAGTATAGTTTGAAGTCAGATAGTGTGATGCCTCCAGCTTTGTTCTTTTTGCTTAGAATTATTTTGGCTATACAGGCTCTTTTATGGTTCCATATGAATTTTAGTTTTTTCCAATTCTATGAAGAAAGTCAGTGGTAGCTTGATAGGGATAGCATTGAATCTATAAATTACTTTGGGCAGTATGGCCATTTTCACAATATTGATTCTTCCTATCCATGAGCATGGAATGTTCTTTCATTTGTTTGTGTCCTCTTTTATTTTGTTGAGCAGTGGTTTGTACTTCTCCTTGAAGAGGTCCTTTACATCCCTTGTAAGATGGATTCCTAGGTATTTTATTCTCTTTGTAGCAATTATGAATGGGAGTTCACCTGTGATTTGGCTCTCTGTTTGTCTATTATTGGTGTATAGGAATGCTTGTGATTTTTGCACATTGATTTTGTATCCTGAGACTCTGCTGAAGTTGCTTATCAGCTTAAGGAGATTTTGGGCTGAGATGATGGGGTTTTGTAGATGTACAATCATGTCATCTGCAAACAGAGAAAATTTGACTTCCTCTCTTCCTAATTGAATACTCTTTATTTCTTTCTCTTACTTGATTGCCCTAGCCAGAAATTCCAACGCTATGTTGAACAGGAGTGGTGAGAGAGGGCATCCTTGTCTTGTGCTGGTTTTCAAAGGGAATGCTTCCTGTTTTTGTCCATTCAGTCTGATATTGGCTGTGGGTTTGTCATAAATAGCTCTTACTATTTTGAGATACGTTCCATCAATACCTAGTTTATTGAGTGTTTTTAGCATGAAGGGCTGTTGAATTTTGTCAAAGGCTTTTTCTGCATCTATTGAGATAATCATGCAGTTTTTGTCATTGGTTCTGTTTATATGATGGATTACATTTATTGATTTGTGTATGTTGAACAAGCCTTGCATCCAATGGATGAAGCCGAATTGATCGTGTTGGATAAGCTTGTTGATGTGCTGCTGGATTCGGTTTGCCAGTATTTTATTGAGGATTTTCGCATCAATGGTCATCAGGGATATAGGCCTAAAATGATCTTTTTTTTTGTTTTATCTCTACCAGGCTTTGGTATCAGGATGATGCTAGTCTCATAAAATGAGTTATGGATAATTCCCTCTTTTTCTATTGATTGAAATCATTTCAGAAGGAATGGTACCAGCTTCTTGTTGTTCCTCTGGTAGAATTCAGCTGTGAATCTGTCTGGTCCTGGACTTTTTTGGTTGGTAGGCTATTAATTATTGCCTCAATTTCAGAACCTGCTATTGGTCCATTCAGGGATTCAACTTCTTCCTGGTTTAGTCTTGGAAGGGTGTATGTATCCATTAATTTATCCATTTCTTCTAGATTTTCTAGTTTATTTGTGTAGAAGTGTTTATAGTATTCTCTGATGGTAGTTTGTGTTTCTGTGGTGATATCCCCTTTATCATTTTTTATTGCATCTATTTGATTCTTCTCTCTTTTCTTCTTTATTAGTCTTGTCAGCAGTCTATCTATTTTGTTGATCTTTTCTAAAAACCAACTCCTGGATTCACTGATTTTTTGAAGGGTTTTTTTGTGTGTGTCTCTATTTCCTTCAGTTCTGCTCTGATCTTAGTTATTACTTGCCTTCTGCTAGCTTTTGAATGTGTTTGCTCTTGCTTCTCTAATTCTTTTAATTGTGATGTTAGGGTGTCAATTTTAGATCTTTCCTGCTTTCTCTTGTGGGCATTTAGTGCTATAAATTTCCCTCTACACACTGCGTTAAATGTGTCCCAGAGATTCTGTTACATTGTGTCTTTGTTCTCATTGGTTTCAAATAACATCTTTATTTCTGCCTTCATTTTGTTATCCATCCAGCAGTCATTCAGAGCAGGTTGTTCAGTTTCCATGTAGTTGTGCAGTTTTGAGTGAGTTTCTTGATCCTGAGTTATAATTTGATTGCACTGTAGTCTGAGAAACAGTTTGTTGTGATTTCTGCTCTTTCACATTTGCTGAGGAGCATTTTACTACTGATTATGTGGTCAATTTTAGAATAAGTGCAATGTGGTGCCAAGAAGAATGTATATTCTGTTGCTTTGGGGTGTAGAGTTCTGTAGATGTCTATTAGGTCTGCTTGGTCCACAGCTGAGTTCAAGTCCTGGATATTCTTGTTAACCTCCTGTCTTGTTGATCTGTCTAATATTGACAGAGGGGTGTTAAAGTCTCCCATTATTATTGTATGGGAGTCTAAATCTCTTTGTAGGTCTTTAAGGACTTGCTTTATGAATCTGGGTGCTCTGGTATTGGGTGCATATATATTTAGGGTAGTTAGCTCTTCTTGTTGAATTGATCCCTTTACCATTATGTAGTGGCCTTCTTTATCTCTTCTGATCTTTGTCAGTTTAAAGTGTGTTTTATCAGAGACTAGAATTGGAACCCCTGCTTTTTTTGCTTTCCATTTGCTTGGTAGATATTCCTCCATCCCTTTATTTTGAGCCTATGTGTGTCTCTGCAAGTGAGATGGGTCTCCTGAATACAGCACACCAATGAATCTTGACTCTATCCAATTTGACAGTCTGTGTCTTTTAATTGGGGCATTTAGCCCATTAACATTTAAGGTTAATACTGTTATGTGTGAATTTGATCCTGTCATTATGATGTTAGCTGGTTATTTTGCCTGTTAATTGATGCAGGTTCTTCAGAGCATCTGTGGTCTTTACCATTTGGCATGTTTTTGCAGTGGCTGGTACCAATTGTTCCTTTCCATGTTTAGTGCTTCCTTCAGGAGTTCTAATAAGGTGTGGTGGTGACAAAATCAGTCAACATTTGCTTGTCTGTAAAGGATTTTATTTCTCCTTCACTTATGAAGCTTAGTTTAGCTGGATATGAGATTCTGGGTTGAAAATTCTTTCTTTAAGAATGTTGAATATTGGTCCCCTTTCTCTTCTGGCTTGTAGGGTTCCTGCCAAGAGATCTACTGTTAGTCTGATGGGCTTCCCTTTGTGGGTAACTCGACCTTTCTCTCTGGCTGCCCTTAACATGTTTTCCTCATTTCAACCTTGGTGAATCTGACAATTATGTGTCTTGGGGTTGCTCTTCTTGAGAAGTATCTCTGTGGTGTTCTCTGTATTTCCTGAATTTGAATATTGGCCAGCCTTGCTAGGTTGGGGAAGTTCTCCTGGATAATATCCTGAAGAGTGTTTTCCAACTTGGTTCCATTCTCCCCATCACTTTCTGGCACACCAATGAAATGTAGATTTGGTCTTTTCACGTAGTCCAATATTTCTTGGAGGCTTTGTTTATTTCTGTTCACTCTTTTTTCCCTAATCTTGTCTTCTCACTTTATTTCATTAATATGATCTTCAATCACTGATATCCTTTTTTCCACTTGATCAAATCGGCTGTTGAAGCTTGTGCATGTTTCATGAAGTTCTCATGCCATGGTTTTCAGCTCCATGAGGTCATTTAAGGTCTTCTCTACACTATTTATTCTAGTTAGCCATTTGTCTAACCTTTTTTCCAGGTTTTTAGCTTCCTTGTGATGGGTTAGAGCTCAGAGGTGTTTGTTATTACCGACCTTCTGAAGCCTACTTCTGTCAACTCATCAAACTCATTCTCCATCTAGTTTTGTTCCCTTGCTGGCGAGGCGCTGAAATCCTTTGGAGGAGAAGAGGTGCTCTATTTTTTGGAATTTTCAGCTCTTCTGCTCTGTTTTCTCCCCACCTTTGTGGATTTATCTACTTTTGGTCTTTCATGCTGGTGACCTACAGATGGGGTTTTGGTGTGGATGTCCTTTTTGTTGATGTTGATACTATTCCTTTCTGTTTGTTAGTTTTCCTTCTAACAATCAGACCCCTCAGCTGCAGGTATGTTGGAGTTTGCTGGAGTTGCACTCCAGACCCTGTTTGCCAGGATATCATCAGCAGAGGCTGCAGAAGAGCAAATATTGCTGCCTTATCCTTCCTCTGGAAGCTTCATCCCAGAAGAGCACCCACCTGTTTGAGGTGTCTGTTGGCTCCGGCTGGGAGGTTTTTCCCAGTCACCCTACATGGGGATCAGGGTCTTGCTTGAGGAGGTAGTCTGTCCATTATTGGAGGTCGAGCACCATGCTGAGAGAACCACTGCTCTCTTCAGAGCTGTCAGACAGGGACGTTTAAGTCTGCAGAAGGTGTCTGCTGCCTCTTCTTCTCCTATGCCCTGCCCCCAGAGGTGGAATCTATAAAGGCACTAGGCCTTGCTGAGCTGCAGGGGCCTCCACCCGCTTCATGCTTCCAGGCCTCTTTGTTTACACTGTGAGCTACTCAAGCCTCAGCAATGGTGGACACCCCTCCCCCATCCAGCTGCAGCATTTCAGGTTGATGTCAGACTGCCACGCTGGCAGTGAGCAAGGCTCTGTGGGCGTGGGACCCACTGAGCCAGGCATGGGAAGGTATCCCTTGGTCTGCCAGTTGCTAAGACTGTGGGAATAGTGCAGTATTTGGTCAGGAGTGTACCATTTCTCCAGATACAGTCTGTCACAACTTCCCTTGGCTAGAAAAGGGAAATCCCCCAACCCCTTGTGCCTTCTGGGTGAGGCGACACCCCATCCTGCTTCAGCTCATCTTCCATGGGCTGCACCCACCGTCCAACCAGTCTCAATGAGATGAACCAGGTACCTCAGTTGGAAATGTAGAAATCACCCATGTTCTGCGTCAATCTCGCTGTGAGCTGCAGACTGGAGCTGTTCCTATTTGGCCATCTTGGAAGCAACTTAGATGGGTTACATTTTATATGTGTTGAATCTAAGATCCCCATGGAGATTTTAGTAGCTAAATTGATTGGGTGCTCAGGAGATAGATTTTTGCTGAAGACAGAGATTTTTAAAAAAATAATCAGCAAGTATATTGAAAACACCAGGAGAAATGAGATCAGGAACAATGTGTAGAGTGAGAAGAGAATCTAAAAGAGAACTCCGGAAAATCCTGGCATTTAAGACAGTTAACACTTAAAATGAAAGCAAAAAAAGAAAAAGAAGAAAAAAATTGCAAAATATAGTAAGAAGGAACACCCAAAGGGTAGAAGACATCCCAGAGAGAATAATTCCACAGAGATCAGGAAAATGGGATGTTACAGCAACTAGGAAATGATCAGCAATGTGAAATGCTGGCAAAAGTCAGATAAGAAAAACTGAGAAATATCTCTTGGATTTGGCAATGTCTTGGCAAGAACATTTCACTGAACATTTGACACAGCTGCCAGATATCTGAGTGCTGAGTAATAATCAGAAAATAAGAACGACTATATAACTTGTATGAATACTTGTTCCAGAAAATTTCACTTAAACAATAATAATATGTATCACTATATCCAATACTTATTTAGCATTTGATTTTCTAGGCATTTTCAAATGCTTCACATATATTACAATTTAGTCTAAGTTATGAGATAGGTATTAATATTACAGAGGAGGAAATCACATTTAGGCTGGATGAGTTGTTAAAGGTTACATTAATAGTAATCAGCTAGTAAGTGGCAAATCTGGAATATGAACTTGGACAGTCTGGCTGTAGAGATTCTCTATGAGACAGAAAAGAGAAATAGTGTTAGGGGGACCTGATGTCAAGAGAGACTTATGGAAAAATAGATTTGAATATATGTGTTATACATGCTAATGGAAAGAAGCCAGTAGAAGGGGAATCTTTGAAGAGACAGAGAGATCAAGAAAACGGTTCACAGGCCAGACGCGGTCGCTCACACCTGTAATCCCAGCACTTTGGGAGGCTAAGGCGGGCAGATCACGAGGTCAGGAGTTTGAAACCAGCCTGGCCAACATGGTGAAACCCCAACTCTACTAAAAATACAAAAAAGAGCTGGCCGTGGTGGTGCACATCTGTAATCCCAGCTACTCAGGAGGCTGAGGCAGGAGAATTGCTTAAACTCGGGAGGCGAGGTTACAGTGAGCCAAGATTGTGCCACTGCACTCCGGCCTGGATAACAAAGTGAAGCTCCATCTCAAAGAAAAAAGAAAAGTGTTCACAGTCCAGATCATGGGTGGGGTGATGAAACTTTGGCAGGAGAAGGGACACATTACCCATTCCGTTGTTGCAGAAGAGATGGATAAGATGGGTACTGATGTTGATCTGTTTGATTCAAGGAAATAGAAATATTTTTCAAGTAATGACTTCTATTCAAAGAAAGGACATTGGCTGAGTATTCGACAGTGAGTGAAGGTGTCAGGCATTAGAAATAATTAGGTGTATTTGATATATTTAGGTTGGTGCAAACATAATTGTGGTTTTTGCCATTACTTTTGACTTCTCGTGAGATCTAGTTAATGGCAAAAACCGCAACTACATTCGCACCAACGTAATAGTTTCTGTGGTAAACAAAAGAGAAACATGGCTAAAGAAACACGGAAGTTTTATGAAAGTTTAAGTCTCATGGGATGTTGAGAATCACAAATTTTAGTGGCACCAATCTGAGTAGGGTGCTATTTCTGTACTATGTTTAGCATCTTGGTGCAGAGAAGGCAGATAGATGAAAACTGAGTGTCATGTTTTGTTTAGGGGGGTTAGGGGAGGGGAGGGTAAGGTAGAGTATGACAAGTCAAATAAATGAGGTTTCTGAGAATATTAGCAAGAACGTTATTGAAGTGGATACACAGCATAGGAGATTTAGTCAAAAGGAGAGGGTAGAAAGGACATGGATATGTATGTGTGTGCTGGAGGTCCTAAGGAAGTTAAATGATTGAAGACCTGGGGATAGGTTAGCAAATAAATAGGAGGTTGTGGTTGAAGTAGTAGGTGCCTGAATTTATGACATAAGAGATAAAATATATTTCAAGTGATGGCAAACCTGGAGAGAAGTTATAAAAGTGAGTCATAGACCTGAAAACAAATAGAAAGCAACTGTACAAAAACAAATCAGAGAACTGAAGATCAGAATGTTGTATATGTCACCATATGGACCTTGAAGTTTCTTAAGATTTTGATAACACAGAGGGCAAAGAAGAGCCTGCAAACCAGGGGATTTTCTTTTATTTTTTTAAAAATAAATGAGAGTGAAAGATCAGTAAACGAAGAGGTTTGTATGTTTATCAACAAAACGGCCTTGACATAAAGGAAACAAGTATTTGTTGTTGTCGTTGTTTAAACTTTACAAAGGTCCTGAGATAAGTAAAGTGATAAGAAAGAGCAGCTTTAGGACATTATTTTACAGGCATGATGAAGTTCCTGGCTCCACATTGATTCTCCCACAATAAACAACTCCAAATCATGACAAAATGTATAAAGGCCACTGGTTTCAGACATCGGACAGTTAGCATAGGAATGTGATTCCAGAGACAAGGGAAACACATGAAGTGAGCTCTACAGTTGCACTAGTTTTCTTCCTGGAGGCTCTTGGAAGCTCAGCGAAGTAGAATATATGTTGAGTAGAGGATATGGCTAAGCTAAGAAGACAGATATCAGAATTTGGAGTTACTGAGGAAACCTATATTCAGGCTACCAGAAAAAATAAGCTACACAGAGAAGGGGCCTCAGAAATCTGCATAGGAATGGTCTTGATGCTTCTATAAAATATTGAGCATTTAATGCTCAGGGTGATTGATATAGTTTGGCTGTGTCCCTACCCAAATCTCATCTCGAATTGTAATTCCCATAATCCTCACATGTCATGGGAGGGTCCTGGTGGGAAGTAATTTAACCATGGGGGTGGTTACCCTCATGCTGTTCTTGTGATAGTGAGTGAGTTCTCATGAGACCTGATGGTTTTATAAGGGGTTTTTCCTTCTTTTGCTCGGTGCTTCTCCTTCCTGCTGCTACGTGAAGAAGGATGTGTTTTCTTCCCCTTCTGACATGATTGTAAATTTCCTGAGACCTCCCCAGACATGATGAACTGTGAGTCAATTAAGCCTCTTTATTTTAAAAATTGCCCAGTCTTGGGTATGTGATTGTTAGCAGTGTGAGAACAGACTAATACAGTAAATTAATACAACAGAGCATGGGGTGCTGCCATAAAGATACCTGAAAATGTGGAAGTGACTTTGGAACCACATAACAGGCAGAGGTTGGAACAGTTTGGAGGGCTCAGAAGAAGACATGAAGATGTGGGAAAGTCTGGGACTTCTTAGAGATTTGTTGAATGGTTTTGACCCAAATCCTTATAGTGATATGGACAATGAAGTCCAGGCTGAAGTGGTCTCAGATGGAGATGAGGAACTTGTTGGGAACTGGAGGAAAGGTGACTCTTCTTATGCTTTAGCAAAGAGACTGGCAGCATTTTGCCTCTGCCCTAGAGATCTGTGGAAATTTGAACTTGAGAGAGATGATTTAGGGTATCCAGCAGAAGAAATTTCTAAGTGGCAAACCACGGTGGAAATAAATTTGGAAATTTCTCAAAGAACTTAAAACAGAGCTACCATTCGATCCAGCATTATATACCATTACTGGGTATATATCTGATATGGTTTGGATCTGTGTTCCTGCCCAAATCTCATGTTGAATTGTAATTCCAATTATTGGAAGTGGTGCCTTGTGGGAGGTGATTTGTTAATGGGGGGGAATTTCCCATGAATGATTTTGCACCAATCCTTTGGTGCTGTTCTCATGATAGTGAGTGACTTCTCATGAGATCTAGTTTTATAAAAGTGCATAGCACCTCCCCCACTTCTCTCTGTCTTGCTCCTGCTTCTGCCATATAAAATGTCTGCTCTCCCTTCTCCTTACTCCATGTTTGGACGCTTCCTCAGGCCTCCCAGAAGCAGAAACCACTACACTTTCTATACAGCCTGCAGAACTGTGAGCCAATTAATCTTCCTTTCTTATACATTACCCAGTCTCAGGTATTTCTTTATAGCAATGTGAAAACAGACTAATTTAATATGCAAATGGAAACAAACTGTTCTACCAAAAAGACATGTGCTCTCATGGTCATCAGAGCACTATTTACAAGAGCAAAAACATAGAATCAACCTAAGTGCCTATGAATGGTGAAGTGGATGAAGAAAATATAGTACATACGCACAATGAAATACTACACAGCCATTAAAAAAATAAAGTTATGTTCTTTGCAGCCACATGAATGAAACTGGAGGCCATTTTCCTAAGCAAATTAATGCAGAAACAGAAAATCAAATAATTCATGTTCTCACTTGTAAATAGGGTCTAAATATTGAATGCTCATGGACATAAAGATGGCAACAATAGACACTGGCGACTACTAAAAAGGGAGGGATGGAGTAGGAAAAGGGTCAAACAGCTAACTATTGGGTACTAGGCTCAGTCAGTACCTGGGTGATGGGATCCTTTGTACTCCAAACCTCAGCATGATGCAATTTATCCAGGTAACAAACCTGCACATGTACCCACTGAATTTAACACAAAAGTTGAAAATAAAATAAAATAAAATAAAACACATCAAAAATATATTTACAAATTTTACAGAAAGCATGAATATAATAAATAATTGGATAGGAAATATCAGCAGAGAAATAAAATCTCTAGACCTGAAAAATGTAAAATCTAAAATGAACAGTTTACCAGCTGGCCTTAACAATAGATGGGAGACCAGAGAATAAAAGATTATTAAACTTAAAGAATTTGAACTTGAAAATAAGTAATATAGACTATCCAAACCAATGTTTTAGAAATACAAAAGACTGAAAAAAACCTGAATAGTCTTCAGGAACATATCAAATATTATATGTATAATTGGAGTTAGAAGAAAAGTAAAAGAAATTGGGACACAAAATATTTAAAAAATAATTGAAAACAAATTTTCAAATTGTGATGAAAAGTATTAGCTCACGAAACTAAGAAGTCAAGCAAAATCAAGCAGAATAAGCAAACACACACAATACTTAGACACATCATAGTTTTTTTTGAGAACTAAAAATAAAGCAATACATTTTAAAGCCTAAGAGGAAAAAGAACACTAAGATTCCAACTAAGACATTGGAGTTCCAACTAATACATCTAAACAATAAGATTAAGAAATGAAGCTAATAAATTATAACTAAAAACCAGAATAAAAATCAATATAAACATTCACATTATACTCTGGGGAAAGTGATAAGAATGTCCAATGGTTTCTCATCAGAATGCAAGCTATTATTCAACACATCAATATTTTTTAATATGTTGAAAGAAAAAAATTACAATTTTTAATCTAGAATTCTATATACATTATTGACATCCTCCAAAAATAAAAGTGAAATGAAGACATTTGCAGGTGAATGCTATGAGCCTTTATTACCAACATATCTGGACCATACGGAATGTTTAAGAAAATCTTTGAGAAAAATGATTTACACATAGAAATGAAGAGATCCAGAACTGGAGAATTTGTAGCTAAATAGAAAGGATGTATATTTTTCTCTTCTTCATTTATTTTAGATAATTATTTAAACTAAAAAAATATACTTTTGGGTTTAAAACATGTGTACAAGGTAAGTGTATTCCAAAATGGCAAAAAAATGGAATTGAATTCATATTTAATTAAATTATACCATTATAATATTCACAAATTATTGATAGTATACATTGATATGCTACAGATTAATATATCCAGTGAAATCTGGAATTTGTATATTACAGAAAGCAAAGCATAATTAAAATAACCTATTCCTAGAATGTTAGCTCATTCACGTTGCCTTCTTCTATAAGGTGACAAGTTTGTCACTCATACCGAAACTCTCTAATTTATTGCATATGATGATAAGTTACAAGAACATATTGCCATCTTCAGAGCAAATACTAACAAAAAAGTCAATTGGAGAGCTAAAATGGAATCCTAATCAAATACACATTTAATCCAAAAGATGGCAAGAAAGGAAGAAAACTTGAAACAAGGATAGGTGTTTCAAATAGAAAATAATTAGCAATAAGGTAGTCTTATATCCAACCAGAACACTATTTATATCAAGTATAAATAGATAAAACACTTTAATTAAAAGGAAGAGATTATCAGCCTGTGAACAAGGCAAGACCCAACTATATGCTCTTTACAAAAAAATGATCATTATGTATAACACGACAGATAGGTTAAAAATACAGAAAAATATTGTCATGAAAAAACTAATGATGACTTTTAAGTATTACATCAACTTGTCTTTCAAGATTTAAGCAGGAGTGTTTTGAACCAGAATATCATCTATGGCAGAGCATGAGCCTCACTCCAAGGAAGTCCAGGGACAAATAGAGGACTTGTCACCTCACTAACTCATGTTCGGAAATTGATTGATTGATTGATTGATTTTTGTTCTGTTAAATTCTTTGCTCTCTCTCAAGTCTCTTGTCTTATGGATCTTCTGTTCTCTGTCCCAGCTTTAACCTCATCCCAACCTGCTCTAGAAATAAAATGTCATCCCTCCCGCATGTTTCTGAGCTTCTCTCTCCCAGTGCACTCCTCTCTTCTCTTCCTATCAGTTGTCCTCAATCCTCTCACATCATATCTGAAATCTCAACCACCGTAAACCATCAATATATGTCTTTAAACATTGCTCTATCAACTCAGGAGAAAATTTATATGATTTTTCTTATGGACAGAAGTGGCTGGCATGAGTTTTAAATAGGAATTGATTTTGTTTTCCCCTATATTAATAAAATAATTTTGTAAGACTATATTTCCTCTGTTTTTTGCCCCTCATTTTCCATTTTGATCCCTCTGCCTTTGAAAGTGCTTACCACCTGTGGAATATTTAATTTGCAATACGAATCAGGGTCTTAATTTAAAAGATAAAACAGATGAATGGACATAGATGGGGGTGGTGGTAGAGCTGTTTAAAGGTCTGGAATACTCTATGGTTCAAAGTTTGTAATATGTATGTAATATGTATATTTGTTATAATATATTATTCCTAAACGACAATTTCTCAATCTTAGTAATCTATCCACTTTATCAGAAATGACTCTGATAGAAGATCAAGTGTTGTCTATGGTCAGATTAATAAAAAATATAAAGTTGAATTTCTTATTGGGATTAAATCTTCTTGTAAGAGTAAATTTGCATCTTAAGTTATAAATATGGTAGATAATTTAAAAATATTCTTCAGCTTCAGTGATTTTCAAGATTTATCCCATTGTAATGTAACAAGTCCTCATCTATAACCCTGTGGCTATGATAAATTCTGCCTACAATTCGACTGTGTCATTGCTGCGTGATCTTAGGCAACCCATTTAACCTATTAAGACAAAGATTTCCTCATTTGTCAAATTAAAGATTGCATGAAATTCCTTCTTACAACAGTTATAGCTATTTACATTTCATGACTGTAAATGATTTGTGATTTTTGAGGGAGTTACACTGTTAATAATGATAACTTTAAGGTTTTGTACTTGCAAATCTATTGAAAACTTTTTATATGTTCAGCATTTTATAGTTAAAAATCTGCAGACACTAATATTTGCAGTAATTATGTGAAACAGAGAATACTTTAAATTTTTAAAACAAAAAATAGAGTTCTGAAGCATTGGTTGACTTGCAAGAGCTTGTGGGACAAGCTAGTAAGTGGCAAAGCTGGAACTCAAAGGCTTGTCTGCTGATGCATCCAGTGTAACTTACAAAATCTCGTGATTTGCTTTCCAATCTAAGCAGACTATCATGAACATAAAAGCTGCCTCCAAAATCCAGGGAGGGACAGAGACAGAAGAAGAAATTTCTACTGTGTACTGCAGTGGATACTATCATGGACTTATGCTACTAGAGCTCTAAGGATGTAGAGGAGACGGGTTATTTTGGGAGTTGACCGAGATATCAATGGGAGAAGGGTGTTTGAATAGGAATTCAAGAGGCTGACAAGATGAAGAAGGGCTTTCTTGGCCCAGAGATCAGCAAATTCCATAGGCATAAGATCTATAACTGGGAAGATAGGTGTTTTACTAAGTCTGAAGGGCAGAGGGTATGTACAGCATGATGGCATAGTGTAACTTCAGAGAGATCCTCTGGAATGTGATGATTAAAAAGCTGTTTACAGGCATACCTAAGAGATATTGTTAGTTCAGTTCCATGCCACTGCAATAAAGTAAATATTGCAATAAAGCAAGTTACATGTATTATTTTGTTTCACAGTGCATACAGAAGTTATGTTTAAGTTTATTGTAGTCTACTAAATGTGTAATGGGATTATGTAAAACATGTACATACCTTACTTTAGTTAAAAATACTTTATTGCTAAAAAAAAAGTTAATGATCCTCTGAGCCTTTAGTGAGGTGAAATCCTTTTGCTGGTGAAAGGTCTTGTCTTAAGGTTGATGGCTACTGATTGATCAGAGGGGTGATTGCTGAATGTCTAGGCAACTATGAGTAGCAATTTCTTCTTCCTTTCTTCCTTCCTTCCTTCCTTCCTTCCTTTCACTCTCTCTCTCTCTCTCTCACTCCCCTCCCCTCCCCTCCCCTCCCCTCCCCTCCCTTCTCCTTTCCTCTCCTTTCCTTTCTTTTTTTTTTTTTTTTTGGATTCTCGCTTTGTCCCCCAGGCTGGAGTGCAGTGGTGCGATCTTGACTCACTGCAATCTCTGCCTCCCAAGTTCAAACAATTCTCCTGCCTCAGCCTCCTGAGTAGCTGGGATTATAGGCATGCACCACCACACCCAGCTAATTTTTGTATTTTTAGTAGAGACGGGGTTTCACCATGTTGACCAGGCTGGTCTCATACTCCTGACCTCAGGTGATCCACCTGCCTTGGCCTCCCAAAGTGCTGGTATTACAGGCATAAGCCACCATGTCTGGCCTGGCATTTTCTTAAAATAAGACAACAATGAAGTTTGCTTCATCGATAGTAACTCTCCCTTTTACTAAAAGTTTCTTCGTAGGATGCAAACTTCTTTCAAAATTGGAGCCAGTCTCCTCAAACCCTACTGCTGCTTCGTCAACTAAATTATATAATATTTCAATTTTTGTGGTTGTCATTTAAACAATGTTCACAGCATCTTCACCAGCAGATTTCATCTCAAGAAATCACATTCTTTGTTCATTCATAAGACGTAAGTTCTCATCTTTTCAAGGTTTATTATAAAATTGCAGTGATTCAGTCATATCTTCAGGCTCCATTTGTTATTCTAGTAATCTTAATATTTCTACCATATCTGCAGTTACTTCCTCCAGTAAAGTCTTGAACGCCTCACAAAATCATTCACCATAATGGTTGAAATCAACTTCTAAACTCTATTTAATGTTGATATTTTGACCTCCTCTCATGAATCATGAATGTTCTTAATGTCATTTAGAAGGATGAATCATTTCTAGAAGATTTTCAGTTTACTTTGCCCAGATTCATCTGCAGAATCATTATCTATGACACCTATAGCCTTACAAAATATATTTCTTAAATTAAAAAACTTGAAAGTTAAAATTACTGCTTGATTCATGGACTTCAGAATGAATGCTGTGTTACTAGGCATGAAAACAACATTAATCTCCTTGTACATCTTCATCAGAGCACCTTTGGGTGACTAGGTGTATTGACAATGAGCTGTAATATTTTGAAAGGAATCTTCTTTTCATAGTAGCAGGTATCAACTACTTTTAAGCCAGTGGGCTTAAAATGTTCAGTAAATCGTGCTGTAAACATGTGCTATCATCTGGGCTTTGTTGTTCCGTTTATAGAGCACAAGAAGAGTAGGCTTCTGCATAATTCTTAAGGACATAGGATTTTTAGAATAGTAGGTGAGCATGGGCTTCAACTTAGAGTGACCAGCTGCATTAGCCCCAAACAAGAAAGTTAGCCTATCCTTTGGGGGAAGCCAGGCATCGACTTCTTCTATCTAGCTACAAAAGTCCTAGATGTTTTGTCTACATTGAAAATCTATTGTTTAGTGTAGCCACCTTCATCACCTACAGAAGATCTTAGTAGACCTTCTGTATAACTTCCTACAACTTCTATATTAGTACTTGCTGCTTCACCTTGCACTTTTATGTTATGGAGATAGCTTGTTTCCTTAAACCTTAGGAAACAACTTCTGCTAGCTTCAAACTTTTCTTTGGCCGCTTCCTCATCTCTCTCAGCCTTTGTAGAATTAAAGAGAGTTAGGGTCTTGCTGTGGATTAGACTTTCTCTTAAGGAAATGTGGCTGGTTTTTCTTTTATCCAGAGTACTAAAACTTTCTCCACATCAGCAATAAGACTGTTTTTACTTTTTTATCATTTGTGTATTCACTGGAACACACTTAGAAGCCATAGTAGGGTTATTAATTGGCATAATTTCAATATTATTGTATCTCAAGGAATAGAGAGGCCCAAGAATAAGGAGAGAGATGGGGAACAGCCTGTTGGTGGAACAGTTAGGATACACACAACGCTCATCGATTAATTTTGCTTTTTATATGGGCAAGGGTCATGGTGCCCCAAAACAATTACAGTAGTAACATCAAAGACCACTGGTCACAGATCACTGTAATAGATATAATAATAATGAAAAATTTGAAATATTGTGACAATTACCAAATTGTGACACAGAAACAAAGTAAGCACATGCTGTTACAAAAAATGGCACCACAAACTTCCTGGACACAGGATTGCCACAAACCTTCAATTTACAAAAACATAGAGTGAACCACAATAAAATGACGAATTCCTGTATGTCACGTTAATATTTGAACTTAACTGAGTACATCCTTAAGGCTTTCAGCAGAATGGTGACAGCAACAGGTTTATATCTCTGAGACATCACCTTGGAACAAATGAATAATTGTAATTGTTCAAACAATGGACACAGGAAGCCTAATTAGAAAACAATAGTAACTTACAATAAATATATACAAAATACAAACCTGCACACAAATGTTTAGAGGAGCTTTATTCATAAATTCTAAAAGCTGGAAACAAACAAGGTGTCCTTTAAGGAATCAATAAACTCAAGGAATTAATAAACTCAGGGTACATCTATCCAATGGAACATTATTCAGAAGTAAAAAGAAGTGAGCTATCAAGCCACCAAAAGACATAGAGGAAACTTAATTGTTAAATGAAATAAACTAGTTTGAAAAGGCTACATACTATATGATTTCAACTAAATAAAATTATGAAAAAGGCATAGCTATCAAGACAATAAAAAGATTGGTGGTTGCCAGGTGTTTGGAAAGGATCTGGGGAGGAATGAACAAGTGAAGCACAGGGAGTTTTTAGGGTGACTAAACTAATCTGTATGCCACTATAAAGGTGGATACATGACATTATGTATTGGTCAAAAATCCATAGAATTTAAAACACACACAGTATGAATCTTAATGTAAACTGTGAACTTTAGTTAATAATAATGGATCAATATTAGTTCATTAATTTTAACAAATGTACAACACAAATACAGAATATTAATAATAGGATAAACTATATTTGGGGGTGAGTTTATACGGAAACTCTCTGTACTGTCTGATCAATTATATATACACATATACACACACACATATATATGCCAAATACAGGGGAGTAGCAATAAAGCCTAGAATATTATACTCAATTTGAGAGGAATATAAAAGTAAGAACTAGATTTAAGTAAAAAGAGAAAGAGAATTGTTGAACTAAAGATAGGAATCATTTTTTAATTCATAGTATCAATTATAACTGCAGGAAAATTAATATAAAAGCATAGATGAATCAGTAGTGACACTAGAAGAGACATAGTGAAATTTTCTTTATTAGTTATATTTTCCTGTGATAATTTATCCTAATTCAATAAAAATAGGTATTACTAATTCTATCAGGAATTCATTATATAGCATTTTCTAGATTGCAATATATTGTCTCATACTATTGTTTTATAAGAAAATGGTCATATGTATAAAGAAAGTACTGTCACAATGTCCACAGTACACTTGCTTTGGAATAACCTGGGTTAAATGTTAGAAATTCAAAGTACAGGTCACTTCCAAGATGGCTGAATAAGAAGAGCTCTAGTCTACAGCTCCCAGCAAGATCAATGCAGAAGACGGGTGATTTCTGCATTTCCAACTGAGGCACCCGGTTCATCTCATTGGGATGGGTTGGAGAGTGGGTGCAGCCCACGGAGGGTGAGCCAAAGCATGGTGGGACATCGCCTCATGCAGGAAGCACAAAGATTCAGGGGATTTCTCTTTCGTAGCCTAAGGAAGCCATGAGTGAATGTACCTGGAGGAACAGTACACCTCTGCCCAAATACTGCACTTTTCCCACGGTCTTCGCAACCAGCAGACCAGGAGATTCCCTCCCATGCCTGGCTCAGCAGGTCCCACGCCCAAGGAGCCTTGCTCACTGCTAGCACAGCAGTCGGAGATCAACCTGGGATGCTGGAGCTTGGTGGGGGGAGGGGCGTCCACCATTGCTGAGGCTTGAGTAGGTGGTTCTATGCTCACAGTGTAAACAAAGCAGCAGGAAAGCTCGAATTTGGTGGACCCCACTGCAGCTCAGCAAGGCCTATTTCCTCTCTAGATTCCACCTCTGGGGGCAGAGCATATCTGTACAAAAGGCAGCAGACAGCTTCTGCAGACTTAAACTTCCCTGTCTGACAGCTCTGGAGAAAGCTGTGGTTCTCTCAGCATGGCATTCAAGCTCCAGTAATGGACAGACTGCCTCCTCAAGTGGGTCCCTGACCCCCATGTAGCCTGACTGGGAGACACCTCCCAGTAGGGGCCGACAGACACATCACACAGGCAGGTGCCCCTCCAGGATGAAGCTTCCAGAGGAAGGATCAGGCAGCAATGTTTTCTGTTCTACAGCCTCCATTGCTGATACCCAGGCAAACAAGGACTGAAGTGGACCTCCAGCAAACTCCAACAGACCTGCAGATGAGGTGCTTGTCTGTTAGAACAAAAACTAACAAAGAGAAAAGAATAGCATCAACATCAACAAAAAGGATATCCACACCAAAACCCCATCCATAGGTCACCAACATCAAAGACCAAAGGTAGATAAAACCACAAAGATGGGGAGAAACCAGAGCAGAAAGGCTGAAAATTCCAAAAACCAGAGCACCTTTTCTCCTCCAAAGGAACTCAACTCCTCGCCAGCAGGGAATAAAACTGGACGGATAATGAGTTTGATGAGTTGACAGAAGTAGGCTTCAGAAGGTCGGTAATAACCAACTTCTCCAAGCTAAAGGAGCATGTTCTAACTCATCACAAGGAAGCTAAAAACCTTGAAAAAAGGTTAGACAAATGGCTAACTAGAATAATTAGTGTAGAAAAGAGCTTAAATGACCCGATGGATCTGATAACCTTAGTACAAGAACATTGGGAAGCATACACAAGCTTCAACAGCTGACTTGATCAAGCAGAAGAAAGGACGTCAGTGATTGAAGATCAAATTAATGAAATAAAGTGAGAAGACAAGATTAGAGAAAAAAGAGTGAAAAGAAATGAACAAAGCCTCCAAGAAATATGGGACTATGTGAAAAGACCAAATATACGTTTGATTGGTGTACCGGAAAGTGATGGGGAGAATGGAACCAAGATAAAAAAATACTCTTCAGGATATTATCCAGGAGAACTTCCCTAACCTAGCAAGGCAGGCCAACATTCAAATTCAGAAAATACAGAGGACACCACAGAGATACTCCTCAAGAAGAACAACCTCAAGACATATAACTGACAGATTCACCCAGGCCGAAATGAAGGAAAAAATGTTAAGGGCAGCCAGAAAGGAAAGTCAGGTTACCCACAAAGGGAAGCCCATCAGACTAACAGCAGATCTCTCAGCAGAAACCCTACAAGCCGGAAGAGAGTGGTGGTCAATATTCGACATTCTTAAAGAAAAGAATTTTCAACCCAGAATTTCATATCCAGCCAAACTAAGCTTCATAAATGAAGAAGAAATAATATGCAAATGCTGAGAGATTTTGTTACCACCAGGCCCCCCTTACAAGAGCTCTTGAAGGAAGCACTAAACATGGAAAGGAACAACTGGTACCAGCCCCTGCAAAAGCATGCTAAATGGTAAAGACCATCAATGCTATGAAGAAACTGAATCAATTAACGGGTGAAATAACCAGCTAGTACCGTAATGACAGGTTTAAATTCACACATAACAATATTAACCTTAAATGTAAATGGGTTAAATACCCTAATTAAATGACACAGACCAGCAAATTGGATAGAATTAAGACCCATCAGTGTGCTGTATTCAAGGGATCCATGTCATGTGCAAAGACACATATAGGCTCAAAATAAAGGGATGGAGGAATATCTACCAAGCAAATGGAAAGCTAAAAAAAGCAGGGGTTGCAATCCTTGTCTCTAATAAAGCAGACATTAAACCAACAAAGATCAAAAGAGACAAAGAAGGCCATTACATAATGGTAAAGGGATCAATTCAACAAGAAGAGCTAACTGTCCTAAATATATATGCACCCAATACTGGAGCACCCAGATTCATAAAGCTAGTTCTTAGAGACCTACAAAGAGACTTAGACTCCCACACAATAATAATTAGAAACTTTAACACCCCACTGTCAATATTAGACAGATTAATGAGACAGAAAATTAACAAGGATATCCAAGATTTGAATTCAGCTCTGGACCAAGCAGACCTAATAGACATCTACAGAACTCTACACCCCAAATCAACAGAATATACATTCTTCTCAGCACCACATCACACTTATTCTATAATTGACCGTATGATTAGAAGTAAAACACTCCTCAGAAAAAGTAAAAGAACAGAAATTATAACAAACTGTCTCTCAGATCACAGTGCAATCAATTAGAACTCAGGATTAAGAAACTCATTCAAAACCACACAACTACAGGGAATCTGTGTAATCTGCTCTTGAATGGCTACTGGGTAATTAAAGAAATGAAGGCAGAAATAAAGATGTCTTTGAAGCCACTGAGAATGAAGACACAATGTACCAGAATTTCTGGGACACATTTAAAGCAGTATGTAGAGGGAAATTTACAGCACCAAATTCCCACAAGAGAAAGCAGGAAAGATCTAAAGTTGACACCCTAACACCACAATTAAAAGAACTAGAGAAGCAAGAGCAAACAAATTCAAAAGCTAGCAGCAGGCAAAAAATAACTAACATCAGAGCAAAACTGAAGGAGATAGAGACACAAAAAACCCTTCAAAAAATCAATGAATCCAGGAGCTGGTTTTCTGAAAAGATCAACAAAATAGATTGCTGGCAAGACTAATAAAGAAGAAAAGAGGGAAGAATCCAATAGATGCAATAAAAAATGATAAAGGGGATATCATCACTGATCCCACAGAAATACAAACTACCATCAGAGGATACTATAAACACCTCTATACAAAGAAACTAGAAAATCTGGAAGATATGGATAATTCCTAGACATATACACCCTCCCAAGACTAAACTAGGAAGAAGTTGAATCTCTGAATAGACCAATAACAGATTCTGAAATTGAGGCAATAATTAGTAGCCTACCAACCAAAAAAAGTTCAGGACCAGATGGATTCACGGCCGAATTTTTCCAGAGGTACAAAGAGGAGCTGGTACCATTCCTTCTGAAACTATTCCAGTCAATAGAAATAGAGGGAATCCTCCCTAACTGATTTTATGAGGCCAGCATCACCCTAATACCAAAGCCTGGCAGAGACACAACAAAAAAAGAGAATTTTAGGCCAATATCCCTGATGACCATCGATAAGAAAATCCTCAATAAAATGCTGGCAACCTGAATCCAGCAGCACATCAAAAAACTTATCCACCATGATCACATCGGCTTCATCCCTGGGATGCAAGGCTGGGTCAACATACACAAATCAATAAGCGTAATCCATCACATAAACAGAACCAATGACAGAAACCACATGATTATCTCAATAGATGCAGAAAAGGCCTTAGACAAAATTCAACAGACTTTCATGCTAAAAACTCTCAATAAACTAGGTATTGATGGAACATAACTCAAAATAATAAGAGCTATTTATGATAAACCCACAGCTAATATCATACTGAATGGGCAAAAACTGGAAGCATTCCCTTTGAAAACCGGCAAAAGACAACTGGCCAGGGCAATCAGACAAGAGAAAGAAATAAAGGGTATTTGATTAGGAAAACAGGAAGTGAAATTGTCTTTGTTTGCAGAGGACATGATTGTATATTTAGAAAACCCCATTGTCTCAGCCCCAAATCTCCTTAAGCTGATAAGCAACTTCAGCAAAGTCTCAAATATAAAGTTAATGTGCAAAAATCACAAGCATTCCTATACACCAAGAACAGACACAGCCAAATTATGAGTGAACTGTCATTCACAATTGCTAGAAAGAGAATAAAATACCTAGGAATCCAACTTACAAGGGATGTGAAGGACCTCTTCAAGGAGAACTACAAACCACTGCTCAACGAAATAAAAGAGGACACAAACAAATGAAAGAACATTCTATGCTCATGGATAGGAAGAACCAATATCTTGAAAATGGCCTACCTGCCCAAGGTAATTTATAGATTCAATGCTATCCCCATCAAGCTGCCACTGACTTTCTTCATAGAATTGGAAAATACTACTTTAAGGTTCATATGGAACCAAAAAGAGCCTACATAGCCAAGATAATCCTAAGCAAAAAGAGCAAAGCTAGAGGCATCATGCTACCTGACTTCAAACTACACTACAAGGCTACAGTAACCAAAACAGCATGGTACTGGTACCAAAATAGACATATAGACCAGTGGAACAGTACAGAGCCCTCAGAAATAACACCACACAGCTACAACCATCTGATCTTTGACAAACCTGGCAAAAACAAGCAATGGGGAAATGATTCCCTATTTAATAAATGGTGTTGGGAAAACTGGCTAGCCATACGTAGAAAGCTGAAACTGGATCCCTTCCTTACACCATATACAAAAATTAACTCAAGATGGATTAAAGACTTAAATGTAAGACCTAAGACCATAAAAACACTAGAAGAAAACCTAGGCAATACCATTCAGGACACAGGCATGGGCAAAGCCTTCATGACTAAAACACCAAAAGCAATGGCAACAAAAGCCAAAATAGACAAATGGGATCTAATTAAACTAAAGAGCTTCTACACAGCAAAAGAAACTATCATCAGAGTGAACAGGCAACCTACAGAATCGCAGAAAATTTTTGCAATCTATCCATCTGACAAAGGGCTAATACCCAGAATCTACAAAGCACTTAAACAAATTTACAAGGAAAAAACAAACAACCCCATCAAAAAGTGGGCAAAGGATATGGACAGATGCTTTTCAAAAGAAGTTCATTTATGCAGCCAACAGACAGATGAAAAAATGCTCATCATCACTGCTCATTAGAGAAATGCAAATCAAAACTACAATGAGATACCATCTCACAGCAGTTAGAATGGCAATGATTAAAAAGTCAGGACACAACAGATGCTGGAGAGGATGTGGAGAAATAGGAATGCTTTTACACTGTTGGTGGGAGTGTAAATTAGGTCAACCATTGTGGAAGACAGTGTGGCAATTCCTAAAGGATCTAGAACTAGAAATACCATTTGACCTAGCAATCCCATTACTAATATACCCAAAGGATTATAAATCATGCTACTATAAAGACACTTGCACATACGTTTATCGTGGCACTATTCACAATAGCAAAGACTTGGAACCAATACAAATGTCTATCAATACTAGACTGGATAAAGAAAATGTGGCACATATACATTATGGAACACTATGCAGCCATAAAAAAGGATGAGTTGATGTTCTTTGCAGGGACATGGATGAAACTGGAAATCATCATTCTCAGCAAAATATCACAAGGACAGAAAACCAAACACCACATGTTCTCACTCATAAGTGGGAGCTGAACAATTACAACACATGGACACAGGGAGGGGAACATCACACTCTGGAGCCTGTTGATGGGTGAGGGGCTAGGGGAAGGATAGCTTTAGGAGAAATACCTAATGTAAATGATGAGTTGATGGGTGCAGCAAACCAACATGGGACATGTATACCTATGTAACAAACCTGTACATTGTGCACATGTACTCTAGAACTTAAAGTATAATAAAAATAAAATAAAATAAAATAAAATAAAATAAAAGCTTGCCTTTTTTGCAACAGCAACAACAACAAAGAAAATCAAAGTACAGATCTCATTAAAGACTTTTAAAATTGAATTTCAGTTTTGGGCCTAAGAATATACGTTTTAAGCCTCTATCAAACATATGCTTATGTTCATTATGTTTTATTATTCTCTAAGTGTCTTTCAGGTGCTGTGTATGTGACTGTGAATAAGATAGAAGAAAGTGTCTGCTCACATGGCAGATACTATAGGAGCAAGACGTAATAAACACACAGACAGATAATAAAGATAATTTTAGACTGCTAAAAACATTTTGGATGGTGTGTAGGGAGGTTATTTTGGGCAGGGTGGTTAGAAAATGAATTTCTCTTACAAGGAGCTATTTAGCTAAACCATCAAAGATTACAAGTAGACAACCACACATTAATGGAAGGAAAAAGTGCTTGGTAAAGGGCACAGTAAGCACAAACGTGCCAGATAGGAGAATCCTTTCATAGACAAGAGACTAAGAGAATCCAGCATATCTAGAAGAGATGAATGAGGGAGAGGGTGAGAGAGGTGTGTTGATCTGGTAACTTGTAGATATATAACCAAGCCCCACCCAAAGTCACTGGTGTAAAACAAGTATTTTGTTATGCTCACAGGTCATTGGGTCAAGGTTTTGGCCAGAGAATAGCAAGGATGACTTATCTCTGCTCCACTATGTCTGGAACCTCTTGGAATCATTTGGAGTCTTCTTCACTCTCTTGCCTGGCACCTGGACTGGGAAAACTTGGAACCCACTGGGACTGTTGACCAAAGCACAAACATGTGGCCTCTTCATGTGGCTTGGGCTTTCCACAGCATGGAGGCTGATTTCTGAGGAGAGGCCCAAAAATAATATACACAAAGTAAGTATTTCACAAGATCTAAGCATAAGCAACATGATCTTTGATAACCTAGTCTATGAGGTCCCATAGGATCACTTCACCCATATTTTATTGGTTAAAGAAGTCATTCAGATTCATAGGGTAGAGATATAGAACACTGTCTCTCAGTGGGACAAATACCAAGAAATTTGGGATCACTTTTTAAAAACCTACACATAGACAGAAGCAAAGTAATAAAGGGTCTTTTAAACCATCATACAGAGTTTAATTTTAATCTAATTGCAATAAGAAGCCATTGCAAACTTTCAAGTAGGACATTATGATGTACGAACAACTGACTTAAGGGACTTTAACTTTATTCCATTGCATAATAAACACTTAAAAAAATACCAAGAAGGAATTTCATAAAATCTTGCTAATGACCATCAATTAAAGGAGAGGAGGCTCATGTTACTTCCTATTTTTTTTCAAACAACATGCCATAACCAATATTTTGAAAAAATATATTGTGTTAGGCCAGGCATGGTAGCTCATGGCTGTAATTCCAGCACTTTGAGAAGCCAACGTGGGAGAATATTTTCAGTTTAGGAGTTCAAGACCACCTGGGCAACATAGTGAGAACTCATCTTTAATTAAAATGGAAAAAAAATTACCCAGATGTGGTGGCACATGCTTGTAGTCTCAGCTACTCAGGAGGTTGAGGCAAGAGGATCACTAGAGCCTGCAGGATCAAGGCTGCAATGAGCTATGATTATGATACTTCACTCCAGCCTGGGTGACAGAGTGAGACCGTATGTCAACAAATTAAAATAAATAAATAAAATAGATGATCTTAGAATTTTAAAATATGGAAAAGCCCTCCTTGATATTATCTAGTAAATCTCCCCCATTTTCATGATGAGAAAAATGTGATCCAGAGAGGTGAATGACTTGACAAAGATTTCAGAGCTAATTAGTGGAATATTGCGTGGTCTAGGTAATAAATGAGAAATTTGAGTAGAGAGAAAAAAAACATACTTAGATATTATGCTATGATCATACACTAGTGCAATTACCCCTTCCATTTTCCAAGTTATAAAACATTTTCATGTGCATTATTTGATTTGGTCATCATTACTCTATAAAGTAGCAAGGGTGGGCATTAATGTCCCTGTTTTATAGACTGGGCAACAAAGGCTTAGATGAGTCACATAGCTAATTATGTGTAAAAGCCTGAATTAGAAATGCATATCACCTGCTTTCCATTTCGGGATTCTTAGTCAAATGAAGAAAAATAGGATATATTTATCAAAATAAAGAAAAGTATATATCAAAGCTATAACTATTCAATACTAAACACACCACCATGTAAAGGAAAGCAATTTTCCAAGACTTCAAATGTTTCCAAACATCCATAAGATGGATATTTATATATAAAGTATGGAGAAAATTAGCTAATGTTCCCTTTTCAAACAGGCTTTCTGGTATTTTTTAAGATCTTTATGCCAGGATGCAATAAAAAATTAGAAAACACTGATATCCACATGGAGAAAGTTTACACTTCTTTGCAGAGGGTTACTGCTTGACCTTCTGTTTTGCTTCGGACATTCTGTATTTGTTTTGGTGGAGATACAGCAGCTGCTCCATTCTAGATACTCAGTAGATGTCAGAAGCGAGTGAAGCAAAAATTTTGCTGAGAAAAAAAATGACACATCCGATACAAATGTTTATTGAAAGTATATTTTGGTTACTAATTCCATATCTGTCAACATCTGGCCAACTTCCACATCTTGCAAATTTTTCATTCTCTACTCTTTCAAGCTACCTAATCTATTATCTTTATTCTCTTGGGCTCCTTAGTTGTAAATTGAAACAGGGAAAATGGTCAATTATTTTGGGATAAACAAAAAGTTAATATGTATCTCATTTTACATATTTCTCATAACTAAAACCATAAACATATAGTTTATAAAATGAAATAATACCTTAATTTTACATGTATTTAAGGACTTAAAGACAGTCTACTGAGGGGTAAAACATAAAAGAAATAGCTTTGGTCCTTAAGAGGCTTGCTTTCTGGTGAGGGAGACAAAATAGACATTTAAGAAGTGGTTATAAAATCCAAATAAGTTTAACAGTAAGAGCAAAAATATGTGCTGCAGGGAATAGGCACTGTTCTGAGTTTAGGAAACTATAGTAAGCAACTCCCTTAAAGGCAATTTGAATATAAGCAGTTTCGTCTGGAGCCATAAAGTCATTCTTATTCAGAGTAATGAGAAAAATCAGAACATTAATATAGAGTTATGCTAAATCTTAAAGGATGAGCAAATCTCATTGGCAGAAGTGGATTTAAAGGTCAATTTGTAGAACTTTCTGGCTGAAGTTTTAATAGTAGGCAGTGGTGGAGAACAAGATAAAAATGGAAAAGAACAGGGGAAGAACTTTAATAGTCAATATTAATAATTAAAAATTGGTTCTAAGTCAGGAAGAAGTTGAAAACTTTCATCACGAAAGCAGTTCTGTGACAGCAAGGTTGCCCACACCATCTTCAATAAAGTGCAGTGGCGAATATTTTTGTACCTCCACCTAGCAATAGAAGGAGTCTATTTCTCTACCCTTTGAATCTGAGCGTGGCCATATTGCTTGCTTTGGGGCATTGGAAAATTTGATATAAGCAGAGGCTTAAATAGTTCTTGCAAATTTGGTCCTGCTCTCTCTTGCTGTTGAAAAGCCTTAGGCCAGCATAAGAACAAGCCCAAGCTTGCCTATTGGAAGAAAGAGACTAGTCATTCTGGACATTCCAACAATCCTAACAGATTGTCCAGACATGTGAATAAGGCCATCTGAGAATTTTTAGACCCAGACAAAATGACAGTTGACAGCAGAGATGAGCCAAGTTGCTCAAGACCAATAGAACCACCTATTGACCCATAGAATTGTGAGCAAATAAATAGTTGTTTTAAGTCCCTGTATCTTAGTGTAGTATGTTACATGGCAAAAGTTAACTGACATAAAAAAACTATAGAAATGGCAAACATATGAAAACTTCATGTATACTCTGGCAAAGTCAAGTTTAAACAAGCACCAGCAGAATTATTAACCAAAGCTTCTTCATTCCTAAGACTAAATAAAGTCTCAGTCCTCTATACATTCATTGCACAAATCTTACTATAATGCTGTTTCCTTTGGATAATGTCACCCACTTAGCCATTAACTCTGAGGGTCAGAGATCATGTATACTTTGATTGCTGTTGTATCCCTATTATTTTTTGTAGTGCCTAGTATATAGTATGCTTTCAATAAATGTTTGTCGGATAAAATGGCTACTAAGATAAGCCACCATACATGATAGCAAAAAACATACATGTATGTTTCTCAAGACATACATGAATTCCTCAAAGTTAGCCCAGAATCTTATCTATATAGAAGACTTTTCCAGGGCCATTGAGTAGGACTGGCATCCTGCCATATAATAATTTATTTGATGCTTGTTATTGTCTTTCCAGCTACATATAATTTTGACTCCTCAACCAAGATGAATCCAGTGCTCTATCCTGGTTAAATTATCTCAGGCGTTCCCAGGTAACTTTGCTTCAGGTTTGACCCACCCTGACACTACTAGTGTGCCATGACCTCATAGATGAAAACTGAATATTACTTTTTATGCCATTTAATCACATTAACATGAATATCACTATTTTTATTTAAGTATTTCCTAAATTTATGCCTTCGCTCCATAATCAAATAGGAGAGTTTCTATTATTTTCGACAAATCATGTGAATGGCAATATGTTGGGCTTAATTTTCTCGTCAATTATAATTAATACCTTTTCAAAACAAACAGGAAAGTATCTCATCTCACTCAATAACAACATAACACCAAAAATAAATCTATCAGATTTAATTTGACTGAAAATTAATGTCTACCACTTTGCTTTTTTCCATGGTAGATTAATTTCTGGCTCTCGATTATGTATCCTTCCTAAGAAAATATCTGTAATTAAACTTAAGACCATGTTCCTACTTGAAGACATGCATAAACTGTATATTAAAACTATAGACCAGGGCGTGAAGACATTGGAGTCATTTCCTTATCTCACATCAACCCACTTCCCAACCTATTTCTAAAGAAGGACTTGCATATTATGTGACTGGAATCTAGGTTATACCTGTTTTTTTTGTTGTTGTTGTTATTTTTTTGTTTGTGAAAGAAGAATCTTTAGCGAGTTAAAGGTAAGAAACATGGAAGTGGAAAATACATTTTCTCATTTTTGTGGCATGTAATTTCATTTGTTCTCTGTGATCTCCAGTTTCTCATAACAATGAACTGATTTTGAGTGTATCCACGATGTAATTGTCCTGCTTTGGCTTCTACTAGATGAAGCTGAACTTCAGCAATGTTTCAGGAAAAAATCTACAACATCTTTCTTTTCAGGGGCAAACCTTAACCTGAAGACAACATGGATGCTTCCTTTTTATTTGTATGCAGAGCTTCTGTTAGGTGGCAGAAGTAAAGGATCCTATCCAAATAACTTATGGGCTTTTTTTAAAAAAAATAGCTACAGAACATTTGATTTACAGCTACTTCAACAAACTGTTGTACTCATTATTGTTGTAAGTTGAGGCGCTTAGATTGTTTTGCTTCTCAAATGCTCTGTGCAATTGCAACTGTTAAGGAACCATAGTGATACATCATAGACAAAATCAGAACAGTATTAAAATTTTTAGTTCACAATTATTCCAAACTGTATATAGAAGATGTTGTGTCTTAATGCTGCCAAGGTACTCAGACTGCACTGAATAACGTTCTTATGAATTAATTTAAACAAAAGTTAAAGAACTCTTATTCTAACAAATTGAATGCAAAGGCCTCATTGTCTACAATATTTCATGTACTAACACTAGGAATAAAAAGTGCTACCTAAAACTTTAAATATTCTGAATGCTTTCTACAAAAACTTTGATCTATGATTTAGAAGTATATCAATATTCAGGAGAGAAATGGCTTTATTAATTATATGACATGCATTTCATTAACTAAAAGGGTGAAAGTTAAGCAACTAGCATATCCAGAGATGAATTAATTCACATACTAAATGATCTGTGAGTAAAGCTTAGAAAAATCCGATTGACTACTTTTAATTATCTCACCTGGCCTACTCAGTTTATAAACAAAATCACAAATTCACTGAATAAATGTATTGATTGTTCCATTGTGTGTTCAGACAAAAGAGCATCCATTCCAACAAGTCTGTGTGTGTCTGAATTGAAAATGTTTCTAAAAGTTGCACTGGTAAAGATTCCAACTTCAGCATTTAAATCTCATTAATTTAATTTGACAACATGTTATCGATTTTTTACTGTGTTATTGCATGGTACTATATTTTATAGTGAACACTAAAGAGAGAGCTCTTGTTATTTGGGGAGCAAACTGTAGAATTCTTTTGTGGAATAGGGTTCTTTAGAAGCACATCTTAGCATGGTTGTTTGGTTGTATGCACCCTGGGGTATCCATAATGAGCTTGGGACTTGACATGCTCATATGGTGATCTATATAAAAAATACCTGCACTGGGAGAATGAGAACAGCCAGAGAAGAAGGAGTAAGGAGGACCTGGTGGGACAGGGTTTCAGCAGGAGGCCAGCAGAATTTAGAAGAAAATCTGCCAAAGACATTTGACTAGGGAGATTTTTACAAGAATCTCTCATATTGTGCTGCAATGAAATATCCCCTTCTCTACTCCAGTGCTGTTGTCCTCAAATTGTATTTAAAAGTTATATATGCCTAAATGGCTTGTACATGTCATTAAAAGCAGGGGGAGAGGAATAAAGGAAGACAGTCTGGGTCACACTGTTTAGTTATGTTAGAGGAGACAGGAAGAAAGACCAGCTACAAGTGATTCTTTTTAAAAATCGTTAGAAAAAAATCCTAACCTTTTAGAAATGTAAATATAATACCAGGAACTTTATTTTTTGGAATGATTTAAAGATAAGTTACCATGTTCTCTCAACACTCTGGAATATTTAGTGCTTATTTCCTGTAAACACAAATTCTCTCACATTTCTTAATTAATACACATTTGTATTAATATCAAAATAAAGAGACTAACTCAGATGTACTGTCACCATGTAGTTCTCAGACCTCATCTAAGTTTTGACAGATTTCCTAATAAGAGCCCTTTATAGCAAAAAAGATCGGCTTTGGCAACACATTTTGCACTTAGTCACAAGGTCCCTTTTGTCTTCTTCAACTTCAATGGGAACAGTTCTTCAATCTTTCCTTGACTTTTATATCATTAAAATTCTTGAAGGGTAGAAGCTGTTATTTTGTAGCTTGTCCCTCACTTTGGTTTGTCTGTCTGCTTTTTTAAAATAGTTATATTCATATTCTACCATGGCAGAAATATCACTGAAGTGATGCTGTTTATTCATTTTGTTTTGTTTTAGATCCTATCGTGTGTTACAGAATTTAATTTTGTCCTGTTCCATTACTGGTGATATTAACTTTGATTATTTGACAATCTTCCCTAGAGTCTGCCAAGCTTTTATACTATAAAGACACTCATTTTTTCCTTAAAATTAATTACTTTCCAGGAGGTACTTTGAGGCTGTATAAACATGCTGTTTTTTACCAAAATTGTGATATATTAATATATTTATTTATATCAGCATGAAGTCATAGGATTCCTATTTTAATCACTGGATTACAATCTTATTTATGTTGTTTATTTATATTTTATTTTTGATAATGCCACAGCCATTATACCAATTATTTATTTTGATGTAAATACGCCTTACATTTGCTCAATAGGAGACTTTTCCTTCTGGCACCTCGTTTCTTGGACATGTAAAAAACAATATTTTAGAACCTTGTGGTTTGGCAAACTAAGATGTTTCAAGATCATTTAATATTGTCTTCATCCCCGACCTGAGATCAGCCATTATCTGCAAGGAGCCCTGGTTCCTTTTAGGTAGGTAATGATATTTAGAAAACAATATCTGGTGCTGGATGTGCTTATCTACCTGGGGATATCACTGTACCTAGGCCCTGTCAGTGTACAGATACATATATTTACCCATTTATCTATCATCTATCTACCTTCCTTCATCTACTTATCTACCTACTATTTAATCTTTCTTTCATCTATGTATCTATTTATCCATCTATTATCTATCTATTAAAACCATGAATTCACACTCTTATATTTGATTTAAACACAACACCACATTTCTAGTGGTGTATTCTAGTTTTTTAGCTTTTGATGTTCACAACTTCCTTCAACAGTGAGACAGTTAGCTCCCATTATCCCTAATTTATTTACTTATTTGTTCAATTTACCCGAATACAATCAATCTCTTATTCTTTCTATCCCATGTCTCTGTAAGCACCCCCAGTATGGACCCCCTCTCACCCACTCTAGCTCTAATACCTTATTCTAAGCTACTGTGGCTCCATCTTCCTCCTTTGCTGTGGTCTTACCTAATAGCTTTAAGACTTAATTGAAAAAAAAAGAGGGGGAGGAGATAAGGAAGAGAAGGAAGAGAAAGTGGAAGAGAGAAAAAAATTCTAAATAATGAGGTGGAAAGTTAACTGGAATAGTAAATCATCATGAGAGAAGATCAGTTAAACAGAAGCTTTTTGGTAATTCCTCTCAAGATATGAGGTAAGTGGAAATAAAAAACATAGTATTTAGCCATCAAAGTAGAGGCAATCCCAGTTAATATATAAATGAAAATTAGAACTAAAAAGAATTCTATAAATAAGCACTCTCTAGAGCAATAGAACAATTAGATATTATTCCCAGGAGATTTCTAGACACAAGTATGAATGAGACAATGGTTATCTTAGGCAAGTATAAATTACATATACATGTGTTCATTTAATCACTTATATTCATATGAATATTTGAGTTCTTACGATTTGCCAGACATATCACAAGACATGAGGAATACAAAGATAATGATTGGTTTTCTGACCTTTTTTCCCTCTCTAATTATTTTCCCTTCAGTCTATTCCCATCCCAATAATTTATTGTTGGTATATCTTTCTCGTCAAAAAGAAAACAAGATTTAATGAATTGCTCATATCATAGTGAACATAATTTTAGTGATTTATCTATCCCAGTTACATTTGAATTTTGTGCTATAATGGCAGAAGCAGGATCCAGAGAAATTGTGAAATTTCAGCTACTGTTACATTATACGTATGTGGCTATTGTTGAAAATATTTGATAATCAGTACAGCAGAGGACCAATAAAAAGAGATAGTAGGCCGGGCGCGGTGGCTCATGCCTGTAATCCCAGCACTCTGGGAGGCTAAGGCAGGCGGATCACGAGGTCAGGATACGAGACCATCCTGGTTAACATGGTGAAACCCTGTCGCTACTAAAATAACAAAAAATTAGCCGGGCGTGGTGGTGTGCACCGGTAGTCCTGGCTACTCGGGAGGCTGAGGCAGGAGAATGGCGTGAACCCGGGAGGCGGAGCTTGCAGTGAGCTGAGATCGCGCCACTGCACTCCAGCCCAGGAGACAGAGCGAGACTTCGTCTCAAAAAAAAAAAAAAAAAAAAAAAAGACATTGGTCAATGTTATTGGGCCACTTGGGTGTGTTAATTGGCCCTTATAGAAGTTAAGCTTCTACCTTCCCACAGATACTGGGAGATAGGGGCACTAGCTTTCTCAATGATTACATTTCAAAGAGATGGCTTCCAGGTCCTTAGGAAAGACCATTCCTCGGTCGTAAAACTAACAAGTGACTGGGAGAATATCTACATCTCAAAGTGACAGAAATGCTCAAAACAACAAAACAAAACAAAACAAAACACAGGAGGTCAGGAGCCTATGTTCAAGAAGAAACTGTTTAAAGTTTAGTGAAGCAGTGGGGGAATAATATGGACCTCTTACTCATTATGATCTACACTATAATTAAGAATATTCACATTTAGTGATGTTAAATAATAACAATAGGGAGCTTATGAAACATCACAAACGTAAGTGGTCTTGGGGTCTCTTCCTTTTCTTTCTAGGCCCTGCTTAATTCATTCCCTCCAGGCAGCCTTCCTAGTTTCACATTGTAAAATCCTCTAGGAATGGGCTCACTACTTTCAAAATGCTTATCACATTTGCAATTAGTTGTTTAATGACTATCATCTTGTTAGGTTACCAGCTCTCAAAGTATGCACCTGGCAAGATCTTGCACACTGCTCTATCCCTATTACTTAGAACAATGCTTGGCACCTATTAACTGAGCCAATAAATGTTTTAGTGAACAGAGGAGCAATGGAGTCAGAGAGGGATAAATATGAGAAGAACTAGGAAGGAAATTCTTAAGGATCAAGTTGTCTTTTAAATCCATTAAGGATTTATTTTGGCCCAAACTTAATTCTTTCCATAAACCCGTGCTCTTGCTCTGTGCCCTATTGTCACTAGCTGATTGAGAGTTCCACAGAGGTAGGAACAACTCCTTTTCTATTAGATTATAGGTTTGTGAAGGAAAGGGGCCTTTTGTCCCTTTATCAGACTCTGGATAGGTAGCCTGTAAATATGGAAAAGGCTTATTAACTAATACCCCTGAATGGATTTTTTTTAAGAATGATGAGTGAATGATATAGCTATTGGCATAATGTGTAAGGTTGCCCATGCACCCATTTTGGAAAACTTAGTTCTTTATGAAAATTGTTTTCAGTGAGAATGTAATAAACATTAGGATGTTTGTGTTGAGATCATTCTATTTTATTTATTTATTTATTTATTTGAGACCGAGTCTCGCTCTGTCACCCAGGCTGGAGGTGCAGTGGCCCAACCTCTGCTCACTGCAACCCCTGCCTCCCAGGTTCAAGCAATTCTCCTTGCCTCAGCCTCCTGAGTAGCAGGGATTACAAGCACGCCCCACCACTCCCGGCTTATTTTTGTATTTTTAATAGTGACAGGGTTTTGCCATGTTGGCCAGGCTGGTCTCAAACTCCTGACCTCAGGTAATCCACCCGCCTTGGCCTCCCAAAGTGCTGGGATTACAGGTGTGAGCCACTGTGCCCTGCTGAGATCATTCTATACATAAAACTTCTGAAGAGCCAAACTCTTAAAGAGTAGAAATCAAGATATCTCTGTTGTGTGTCTTATTTGATACAGGTTAATGCAGTGACATGATTATTAGTGATAGACAAAGCCATATAAAAATTCAGGATTCTTAACCACAACAACAAATATTGATTTACCTTACAGAATGTTCAAAGTGGTTCACTGTTGTTGAAAGGGTGTATAGAGTAATAAGATTGGGTCTCATTTAAAAGTCTGATTTTTAAAACGTTCCACTGAATCTGTATGGCATTTAAGAACTTCTTCAGATATTTTTCCTGTGAGCCTGGCACTGGAGTGGTGCCTTGGTTCAAGCAGTTCACAGCTGGGAGTACTTCACTTTTTTCATTCTCCTTCCGTTCCCCACCCACAACACTCAACAGTTCATAGAGTCAGCGGAACATATCAACACCTCTTCATAGCCACAGAACTTTCTCAGGATGTAGACATAATAGAAATTTTAATAAAATAAACACAGCTAATTAAGTAAAAACTATGACAAAACCCACCACACAGCAACTGACATCTAGTATTTTAATAGTTGTCAGGTGTCAGCTAAGGTAAAAGAGTTTTGTATTCCAGTTTTAAAAATAGCTATAGTAAAGGTATCTCTTATTAGTTCTGAAAAAATATTTTTCACAAATTCACTTAATATCTTCTTCTCTTTATTTCAACATTAAATTAACCCAGTATTGCTCTTTATCAAGAAATAGCAGGTAACCATAGCTAAGAAACATAAGGGTGGCTCCTATGTACTGTATGTTCAATCCAGGATAATCAGGATAATCAGGTTAAATCAGGTTGAATACCCCCAGATTCAAATTGAGATGACTGAAAGTAATATATCTTCAATTAGTATTGTATCTCCTTAAGTATTATGAGGGTTCTCAGTATACAATAGAATATTTTGGAGTAAATACCCAACTGACTTTAGCGTTAGGACTATGGATACTTATTATCTCCTATAACAATCAGTCTGGTAGCAAATATTTCCAGAATTCACGGATTTAGTAGTGTCAATGTTGAGGCTACTAGTCAGCTTCCTTCCAATTTCACTGGTTTTTCTATCCATGATCTCAAGATAGCAGTTACAGCATCCACCATCACTGGCTCTGTGCAAGGGCCAAAGGCAAGAATATTTGTGTCATCTTTTCCAATTTTATTTACTAGGGACAATAACATGCTTATTCTATAGTAGTCTCCAGGATGTTTCCTCTCCTTTCGTTTATCAGGTTTGTGGCACATACCCATGGATAACACATTTGCTGTAGAGAAGGAGAAGGACCATGATTGGCTTAGATTAGCCATCATCATTCACCTGTTGGGACTGTGGAAGGACTACCTTCCTTAATCATATAGAACTAAATTGAGATTTTATTACAAAGAAAGAGGAATGATGTATAAAATCTGTTAGGCAAGCAAAACAGGTGTTGGGAGTATCAAGTGTAATGATACATGTGGAGATATATGTTAAAATGTAAATCCACTTACAAATTTATAGTCATATTATCAGTACTTGAACCAACTAACAGATAGTCAGAATCAGTGTTTACTAGGAATGTGTATACAAATAACTAAGTTACATAGAACTAAAGTGTCCCGATCTCACATGAAAGGAAAAAAAAGTGTTTTTAATGAGAATCCTTTGCTGAAAACCATTGATTCAGATAATAGGGATAGAAAACGAAACAGAGAGGACTGAGAGGGCATGGATTCTAGCAATATACAGTAGATTAAATTATATATTTTCTTTGTTCCCTTCTAAATCTCCCAAGAAAACAAACATGTATAAACAGACACGTAAAAAAGAGAAGCATTTAGTTGATTAGTAATGTCCACAGCATTTGGTACAATGAAAAGCGGATTTTAAAAAAAGTGCAGGAAGCATTGAAAGTACAATGCCTACTGGTTAGCTATGTAAAACCACAAAGATAAAAGTGGATTTACAGTACAGGAGCGTGAAAATCAAAAATTAGAAATACCATGCAGTGCTGAAGTAAGTGGGGAGAAATGGGTCCAAACAGTGAGAAATTAGATGCAGGTTAATATAAAAAATAATTAGGTGCCTAAATCATTTCCCATTGAAGCCAAATAATTCTTCCTCCCTCAACCTGATAAAGGAATGGATGAGTTAACTCTGGTTAACCATAAAGGCTCTGGGCAAAGATTAAGAAGTAAAACAATATATTACTGGAAACATTCAGGTCAATTGAAAATCGAAATAATGAACAATGATATCCCCAGTTCTCCTTATCTTGTCTGCCACCAAAATGTTACTTTCCATGTTATTTCCTTCCACAAACACCTCACCTCAGGCAGGAGATGGCAGATTGGTCTTTGGGGAGACAGGCCAGCATAAGAGATAATAACCAGAGACGCTGACAATATGAGTTCGGTGCCCACTCTATGGTGCAGTGGACCTGTTGACCAAGTTCACTCCAAAACATACAAAACTGCAAAGCAGAGTTTTTGTTTCGTACTCTTTAAAGTTCATTCTTAGTTATGATCTGGAACCAATGATCATCACATATTTAAAGATAGATTTTTACATGAAAGAGATCAAAGCAAACACACAATGAAACAGAAAAATAATGAACTCAGAAGAAACAGTCATTGTAATATAATAATGCAACTAAAAATGTAATAGTGGAAAGATTAAAGAGAATGTTGAGAACATATAACAGAAAGTTGAAAAATAAATGCTAACTGGACAAGAAACGGGGAAAACAAAGCCTCCTCCAAAAGGTCCAATATCAAAATAAGTAAAATTTCCCAAAATAGAAGAATGTCCAAAATTGAAGAATGAGGGGAGAAGAATGTTCAAAATATAATACAGGAAAATTTCACTGGCCTGAAAACCAACAGTTACCAGATTGAATGATTGAACGTTTCTACCAAATGCCTAGCATATTGAGTGCAAACTGCTCCACACAAATTTACATCAAAATAAATGCAAAACATCAGGGATAAAGAGCATATCCTAAAAGTGTCCTAAGAGATCATCACCATCACTACCACCACAATAAGAACAAATAATATGTAAAGGATCTCAAGACAAATGAATATCAGCTTTTTCAATTACGTAGTATTGGAAGTTAGAATGAAACATTGCATTTAAAAATCTAATGGGGCCAGGCATGGTGACTCATGCCTGTAATCCCAGCACTTTGAGATGCTGAGCCAGGCAGATCACTTGAGGCCAGGAGTTTGAGACTAGCCTGGCCAACATGGTGAAACCCCATCTCTACCAAAAATAGAAAAATTAGTTGGGAGTGGTGGAGTATGCCTGTAGTCCCAGCTACTCTGGAGGCTAAGGCACGAGAATCACTTGAACCCATGAGGTCGAAGATACAGTGAGACACTGCACTCCAGCCTGGATGACAGAGCGAGACTCCATCTCAAAAAAAAAAAAAAATCTAGTGGAAGATAATATTTAACCTATACATTCCATAAGCAAATTATCCAGCAATTATGATGGATAAAATGAAGATTCAGCCAGCTATAATAAAATAGCCAGCTTAACTGTAGCTAGCTTAAATAATGGTACCTCTAATAGATACTTTACCCAAAAGTTTTTGGTGGATTTTCTTCATTAAAGTGAGGTAATAAATCAATAGAGAAGAGATAGGCTCCAGAAAGCAGGGGTTCCAAAAGGTAGGGTTTGGAACAGTGTTCCAAAAATCATTCCACAATGATTGTGAAATAATATCCAGAATTGCAGACATGTATTAGGCTAAAGAAAACAGATCAGATTGGAACGGTATGATACAGAGATTCAATAGAGTTATCTCATGTAAAAAATGTATTCTGTAAGACACCTGATTTATTTGATTATACTAATTTTTAGACTTATTTTAATGTTCTGTTGGAGAGCTTAGGGAAAGAAGTAATGATAGGTACCAAGTAAAGTAAAAAAAACACAACAAAAATTTTTAAAGGGTAGTGTGTTTAAAAATCTGTATGATACTTCTGTAAGGAATATGGAAGAAATAATAAAATATAAAAGGGAAAAACCCAATGATTTCATTTTAGGTTTATTTTACCTTTAGCCGATTAACTGTAAGTGCAGTTAGCTGTCAATCTCTCCTACTCTACTTACACTTTATGACTTTGCTCAATTTTCTAAAGCATATTTTAGTAACTTGGCCTCCGTATGAACTTAGATGTTTATGTTTCAGGAAGGTAATAGTAGGCTGTAAAGTAAAACAATTTGACAACAATCGTTTTTCAAAATTACACATATATATTATATATATATATATATATCTAAAGTGAGAAAACTGTCACTTATTCCAGAGAAAAGAGAAGAGTCAAATTTAACTTTGATAATTGTAACTTATTTAATGCCTTTTCTATGACTTTAAATGGGTGTTTTCTTAGCTCACAAGCCATAAATTTAGTTTTCTTGTTAATGCTAAATAGAATATATATAGCTTACTACTAAAGCTGATATGCTTTTTTTAAAAAAAAAAATCACATCTCTGATTTTGTACATATCTTTTTGTAAGAATGTCATATATTGTTCAATACATAGTATTCATTATATAACAATGTCTAAAATTAAAAATAATGAAACAAGGTATTAGCATGTTATTTGGAAATATGCAGATAAATACATACATAAAATAATATAATCCTAGAATACAGAGATAGTATCTTTATGTATTTTACCATTTTGTATTTGTATATTTTTTTACAAAAATGAGAGCATAATACATAGTTAATTTTGGTTTTTAGATTGTTATATTTTGAATATTTTCCTTGACATTATTGATAAAACATGTGAAAATGCACAGAAATTAGCTCCTTGCAACTTGTAAAAGCATAGCTTGCTTCTCCATATATTCATTCAACAAATATTTTTTGAGCACTGATATGGTTTGGTTGTGTCCCCACCCAAATCTCATCTTGAATTGTAGCTCCCATAATTCCCATGTTTCATGAGAGGGACCCAGTGGGAGGTAACTGAATCAGGGGGCCGGTCTTCCTCATGTTATTCTCATGATAGTGAATAAGTCTCATGAGATATTATGATTTTATTAAGGAGAGTTTCCCTGCACACATTTTCTCTTGCCTGCCATCATGTAAGATGTGGTTTTGCTCCTCCTTTGCCTTCTGCCATGATTGTGAGGCCTCCCCAGCCATGAGGAACTGTGAGTCAATTAAACCTTTTTCCTTTATAAATTACCCTGTCTTGGGTATGTCTTTATTAGCAGTATGAGAACAGACTAATACAGTAAATTGGTACCAGTAGAGTGGGGTGCTACTGTAAAGATACCCAAAAATGTGGAACTGCTTTGGAACTGGGTAATAGGCAGAAGTTGGAACAGTTTGGAGGGTCAGAAGAAGACAGAAAGATGTGGGAAAGTTTGGAACTTCCTAGAGATTTGTTGAATGGCTTTGACCAAAATGCTGATAATAATATGGACAATAAAGTCCAGGCTGAGATGGTCTCAGATAGAGATGAGGAACTTGTTGGGAACTGGAGCCCAGGTGACTCTTGCTATATTTTAGCAAAGAGACTGCTGGCATTTTGCCCAGCCCTGGAGATCTCTGAAACTTTAAACTTGAGAGAGATGATATAAGGCATCTGGCAAAAAAATTTCTAAGCAACAAAGCATTCAAGAGGTGACTTGGGTACTGTTAAAAGCATTGTTTTATGTATTTACAAAGATAGAGCTTGGAATCAAAACTTATGTTTAAAAGGGAAGCAGAGGTTAAAGTTTGGAAAATTTGCAGCCTGATGATGCGATAGAAAGGAAAAGCCTATTTTCTGAGGAGAAATTCAAGCCTGCTGCAGGAATTTGCATAAGTAATGAGGAGCCAAATGTTAATCACCAAGACAATGGGGAAAATGTATTCAGGGCATATTGGAGGTCTTCATGGCTGCCCCTCCCATCACAGGCCCAGAAGCCTAGGAGGAAAAATTGGTTTCGTGAGCTAGGCCCAGGGCCTTGCTGGTTTGTGCAGTGCTTTGGATGCCCTGCATCCCAGCTGTGGCTAAAAGGGGACAACTTAGAGCTCAGGTCATTGCTTCAGAGGGTACAAGCCCTAAGCCTTGGAGGCTTACATGTGGTATTGGGCTTGCAGGTACACAGAAGTCAAAAATTGAGGTTTGCGAACCTCCATCTAGATTTCAGAGGATGTATGGAAATGTCTAGATGTCCAGGCAGAAGTCTGCTTCAGGGATGGAGCCCTCATGGAGAACCTCTGCTAGGGCAGTGCAGAAAAAAATCGCGGGGTGGAAGTTTCCACATAGAGTCCCAAATGGGGCATTGCCTAGTGGAGCTTTGAGATAAGGGCCACCATCCTCCAGACCCCAGAATGGTAGATCCACTGACAGCTTGCACTGTACACCTGGAAAAGCCACAGACACTCAACACCATCCTGTGAAAGCAGCCAGGAGGTGGGCTGTACTCTGCAAAGCCACAGGGGCAGAGCTGTCCAAGACCATGGGAACCCACCTCTTGCATGAGCTTAACTTGGATGTGAGACATGGAGTCAAAGGATATCTTGTTGGAGATATAAGATTTGACTGCCTTCCTGGATTTTGGACTTGCCTGGGGCCTGCAGACGCTTCTTTTTGGCCAATTTCTCCCATTTGGAATGGGTGTATTTACCTAATGCTTGTACCCCATTGTATCTAGGAAGTAACTCAATCATTGCTTTTGATTTTGCAGGCTCATAAATGGAAGGGAATTGCCTTGTCTCAAATGAAACTTTGGACTGTGGACTTTTTAGTTAATGCTGAAATGAGTTAAGACTTTGGGGGACTGGTGCGAAGGTATGATTGGTTCTAAAATGTGAGGATATGAGATTTGAGAGGGGCCAGGTGAGAAATGATATGGTTTGGCTGTGTCCCCACTCAAATCACATTTTGAATTATAGCTCCCATAATTCCCATGTGTCATGGGAGAGAACTGGTAGGAGGTAATTCAGTCATAGGGCAGGTCCCATGTTGTTCTTATAATAGTGACTAAGTCTCATGAGATCTGATGGTTTTATAAAGGTGCGTTCCCCTGAACATGCTGCTGTCTCTTGCCTGCCACCATGTAAGATGTGACTTTGCTCCTCCTTTGCCTTTTGCCATGATTGTGAGGCCTCCCCAGCCATGTGGGACTGTGAGTCAAGCAAACCTTTTTCCTTTATAAATGACCCGGTCTTGGGTATGTCTTTATTAGCAGCATGAGAACAGACTAATACAAGCACTGAGGATAGATCAATAAACAAGAAAAATGTGGTCTTTGCTCTGGAATGCGTACATTCTAATGAAGAAAGCATATTACATAAATAAATACTCAAGTACAATTGACATTTGTGTTTATTCAAAGTAAGTATATGATACTGATAAGATTTAATCTAGTTAGAGAGATCAGAGAAGATTTCCTAAGGAAATGACATTTAACCAGAGGTTTGAAAGAAGATTCTGGATCAAGGAAACAGCATAATATAGTCTTTATGATCCAAATATTTTCAGCAAAGCAAGTGTTCTGAAAAAGCAAAGATTCAAAAACTGTAATAAATTATATAGATTTGATTTTAAATATGTCTGAGTTGCACTTGCAATTTAATTGATATGTCATTTGCTACTACAGTCTTGCCTCAGATTCTTATGGAGTAATTAGTAATCTAAATTGTTATCAGACTAAGTAATTTCATAAATACCTAATTATAGATTCAATTAAACTCATAAAAACTTACATATTACTCTACATTGCAAGCCATTGGGTTAAGCAAGGTGGGGGATTAAGATTTAAATAGGCTATGTTCCCTGACTTTGAAGAGCTTGAAATATTTTCTAACCAAATACAGATTGTCCACAATTTACAGTGGTTCAGCTTATGATTTTTTTACTTTACAATGGTGCAAAAGTCATAAGCATTCAGTAGAAAACATACTTTAAAATCTGAATTTTAATCTTTTTGCAGGCTAATGATAGGTGTATTAAATGCATTTTTGACTTATGATCTTTTTGATTAACAAAATTTATTGAGATGTAACCCCATCATAAGTTGGGAAGCATATGTAATCTAATAGAGTCATACCAGTGTTTAAATCAGATATAATAGTTTATGAATTTTTATTTTACTCTTATTATTGTATTGATTATTATAAAAAGGCAACATATTTTCCCATGTTGAGAACATTTTGTCACAATCATATTTCTCCTACTTTCTTACATATTCAGATGAATTTACACTGTTTTAAAGACTAATTAATAACTGAGATTTACAAATGATATTCAGATATGTGTTTGTCATGATCAAGCAAATTAGTCCACTACAGCAGAAAACATAATAATGAAACTAATCTTGCTTATTGAAGTTTCAGTGCTAAATATTAAAGGAAGAAATATAAAGTATTAATTTAACTGATTTTCTGCTGTTTGGATCTTTCGAAATGTTTTCCCATAGATAAGAAACTTTAATTAGCATTCTGACAATATCTGTAAATTAATATTTTAAAAATGCATAATTTCACTTAGTTCAGGCTGATGGATGGCCCAATTACTTTACAAACATACATTGTATGGGCTGTTAGAAACAAACTATTATTTGCTATATTGAAGAGAAATGTTTGTAAGTTTCCAGAATGCAGGGACCAAGTCTTCTGCCTCCTTCTTATACAGCTTAGTAACTTGAACAGTGGAGTTGTTCGAATGGAAAACTCAAGACAATGCAGTCCTGGTAGAATATTTAATAATGGGCACATAATATAAACATTAGGTAACCAAGAATGCATCTGCTTCCTCTTCCTCCTTTTCTCTTTCTTTTCTTCCTACTTTTCTGCTATTCTCCTTCTTCTTCTAATAATAATGATAATAATAATAATAATATAGTAGTGGTGGAACTTTTGGAAAATATTTTGAGGTAGCCCTCAGCCTAAATTTGTCCCCTTCCTCCTAAAAGCCATGTCTGCTGCTGTAATTGCAGGAATTGGAGGAAAGGGTGAGAGAAGAACAGACAGAAAAGTTATTCTTGAGCATTAGATGTCATTGCAACAAGGCATTTTGTGTTGTACAATTTTAAAGATAGTAAAACATGATAGCTTCTAGCAATACATGTATCTGAAATAGAACAAAGTAAATATAGCAGGCAAAGTGCTCAATTTAGACAAACTCAAGTTTGCTGTAAAATAAATTGTTATTATTTTCCAGAGATATACTGCATCCATAGTGACACTTTTCTTCTGCTTCAGAAAGACTGACTAAAAATGACTGAAATGATGATTAACTTACTATCTACCATATCAAGAAGTACAGAGGTAGATGGTTTCAGAGTTGATTAATTCAGAAGATGTATAATTTCTTCGGGTTGTTTGTTGTTTTCATTCTTTTTGTTCTATTGTGTTTAGAGTTGGCTTTTGTCCTCCGGCATGCTCATGATCATAGTTCTAAGCAGAAAATCCTTCAATAAAAAGCGAAGTTTCTTCATACATGTTGTTTCTCAGCAGGGTGGTTAATGGTTCCCAGATATTATAAACATTTGTGTGCATTTTTAGTACATAAATTAGTATTAGGTTGGTGCAAAAATAATTGTGGTTTCTGCTTCTAAAAGTAATAGTGAAACCACAATTACTTTTCTACCAATCCTAATGTATTATTATAATCTTAAGGAAGGAGTCTTAAATGGGTGCCTACTTTGTGCACTTAGACTCTCTTTGTCTTTAATTTATGTCCTTTTCAATAAAGAGTAGCATCAAACTCACTTTACATGGAAGGATCAGTGTGCTGTGTCTTCCCTTAACCAGTTACATCCTGCCTAGTTTAATACTACTGACTCATCACATTCTCAATAATAAATTGGAGTAGTGATCATCTATATTGCATTTCTGTTAGTTACAATAATTACAATGGTCCAAATGCCCAGAAGAGTACAAACGCAATGATCTATAAATTAGGTTCTTCCTACATATCATCTTGCTTTAATGTGTAACATCAAGCTGGGGATAAAGAAAATGTAAGGCAATCAGATAAGAAAAGAGCATAATTTGTTGATATTTGAAGAAATAAGCTTAATAATTTTCTCTGTAAAACATATTGAAAACTAAAAAGAACCTGGTAGAAACACCTTCCTATAATAGTTTAAATGTGACTTCAGATATTATTTCCCATTAATGCTGGTTTTGTTTTCCAACCATTAAGAGATTAAAATGTTATCTATAGTTTCAATATTTCTATGAACTGTGAATTACTATACAAGTATGTTATTACTATATTAAATAATATATTAAAATCACTCACTTTTTAAAGCTTCCTCTTCTTGTAGCATGAAATGAGGTCTTTTTTCCATCTCAATAAGATTTAAGCCTTTTCTTATGGAATAAATTATCTCTTCAGTATTTGTAAACCTTTATTATTGAGAGTTTCTATCTGCTGTATACCTGAAGAGTAGCTGAGGTCTAATGAAAATTACCCAACCATGTTCACTTTCCTGATTAGTGCTATTAACTCGACTAGATCCAGATACAAATTGCATTTCTGATGAGAATTTAGAGACAACTACTTTTCACATCTAAGGAATAGTGTTGGGGACTTGGTAAATGTTGTGAAAAAGAGAATAAAAAAATGATGAGCAAAGAAAGTATATTGTATAAATTTGGGGACTGGGTATGAAGAGTAGCAATGTAGTCCTTCCTTGTATCAATAGGGAATTGATTCCAGAAACCTGCGGATACCAAAATCTGTGAGTGCTCAAGACCCTCCTATAAAATTTTGAAGTGTTCACATATAACTTATGCACATCCTCCTGTATACTTTAAATCATCTTTATATTACTTATAATATTTAATATAATGTAAATGCTATATAAAGTTGTTATACTATATTTTAAAAATTTGTATTTGAATTTTTAATATTTTCACTGTGGTTGGTTGAATCTGCAGATATGAAGGGCTAACTGTACACTGGAACAAAAGGGCAGGAGAGGTGGAAGATGTGGCAATATACCAATGCTGATTATTCCCTTTACTACCTGAATGATATTGGGGATATTAGTAAACTACTTGAGCTTCCTTTTAAAAAAATTGATAAAATAAATGTAATCTCAACTGCTTTGCAAAGTTGTCATTAGGATTAGATATAAAATTGCAAGGAGCACAATGGGCTTTTAATACATGGGGACTATTATTATTCAAAATTCATCAGTCTTCTATTATTTCAGTTTGGATTACTGAATTTTATTCTATCAAATGGATATCAGAGACAGATGGAGTTGTGGATTAGAATCAAAGATTGGTAGTGCCAGAAGGGATCTGAAAGCACCCAGTCTATTAAGTCTAAGATCTTTAAGCAGATAAAAAAACTGAAGCTCAAGCTCATTGTGTCTTATCCTAGATACTATGTAGAAAAATATTACTTACACATGATATTTCATACAAGACATACATTGTAGTAAAATAAAATGAAATAATTATTATAATGTTAACAATATTTAACATTTTAAAAGTGATAATTGTATTTTTATTATCATAGTGATGATCAATGGGAGACCTAGGAATGGAAATTAGCCCTTATATCTTCCATTTCAAATTTCTTTCCATATGAGCAAAAGTTCTTAAATGGGAATAATGATGTAACATTCCAAAATCAAATCAATCAAATCAAAATGAACAGGGGTAGTATTCACCTACTCTTTTTCATACAGCTTTTTCTGAATTTAAATACACGGGAAGTAAATGTGGTTAAAGTTGCTTAAATTTCATATCTATCTAAAGAGTATATCTTTCCCTAGGAATGTGTTCTACAAAAAGAGGAAAACTAGTGTTAACTCTATGATTTTAGCAAATTTGGGAAGAAAATATGTGCCTACAATTTTTATAGCATACATTTGTGGAATTATAAATGTATTTGGTAGGCTTGAAATCACAAATTCATACTTTTGGGTCCCTAACAAGACTTCGCTATAATAAAGTGAAAATGATTAGACTAAGCATCTTGTTTGCATGATCTTTAATTTGAATTCAGTGTTCTCTTAATTCTGCATTACAAGTCAGGGATGAGTGTTTGGAGATGAAAATAAATCACACACACAACTGAGGTCCACATTTTTTTTATAATCATGTCTTTAGGCAACTGACATTGTTTCATCTTAGGTGCATCTTGAGTGCAGTCAACAGTTTAGAATGTTAAGTGAGGAGGGACTGGGACTTTTCCCTTTGTCAACTGGTAGAAATTTTCCATAGGTTGTCAATTGCTAATGTATTTGCCACTACCTAAATAACGAGAAAGACAGAAGAGAAGGCCCCTTCCAATATAGCCTGGTTGCTCTTGATGTATTCCAGTTTTTTTTTTTTTTTTCAAATAAACCTGCTAATAGAAAAGTATAATGAATAAAAATGAGGAGCAAGAATGTTAATTTGTATGTAAGTTCTCATGCTCTGTGAAAATTGGAGATGCTTAAAGAGAGTTCACTTATCAGACAAACACGTATGTAAGAGTGGCTTGAATTAAAAAATTGTCAAAGAAGGGGAAGTTGGGAAAGATATATTATTCTTTTATTTAATATGAAATTCATTTTGTGTGTGAGGAAAAGAAATATTTAAAAAGAATGAAGAATAATATTTTTAAAACTATTTATGAAGCATTAACTAATGAATATTGTATATTTCCATGGATGCATATAAATGGAGTAAAAGTATAAGTAAGATACATAGAAAATTCATGATAGTGAGTACATCTAGAGAAAGAGAAGGGACTAGAAAAGAGAGTAAAGAAGAATTCAACTTAATGTGTATTTTACAATTTATTTAATGTTAAAAAATGAGGCGAATATATTTATATCAGCTAGTTTCTAGAAAAGTTGACAAAGTTTATCTTATTACTTTTGTGGTCCTTTAAACATTTTTGGAAGATTCAAAGTTACTTTTTGTTTTTGGAGAATGGCGTGAACCCGGGAGGCGGAGCTTGCAGTGAGCCGAGTTCGCGCCACTGCACTCCAGCCTTGGCGACAGAGCCAGACTCCGTCTCAAAAAACAAACAAACAAAACAAACAAACGAACAAAAGTTACTTTTTGTTTTTAGTTCTTAGTAGGAAATTTTTGCAATTCATTCTCTTTTGCTTTTAATTCTTGGCACTATCCAACCAGATATAGACAAAAAACAGGTATGTCTTGTCGGTCTATCTATCTGTCATTTATTTTTATCTATTTTCTTATTTACTTTAGTACAGTTTTTACATGCATTCTTTTATTCTTTTAAATCTTTAGCTGCCTTTCCTCTTTTGGGGCACAGAGAAGCTCTTCACTCACTAGAGAAGCAAAACTAATTCAGCTTTGTAGAGGGAGAAAACAGGCCCAAAGGGATGTTGAAGTGGCTATCACCTTTACTTCAGCCTCATACCAATGGATGAGCTGAGGAGTAAGGCCTAATGTATTACCTTCTATTGTCACTTAGAAGCACTGCTGAAAATTGGTTCTTACTGGGTTATCTGTATCAATAGTAAGTGGGAAGTGTTTGTATTTTCCCCTCCCACCCAAAAAAGAGCTTCTCCAGACAAAATTGAGAGGATAAAGAGATCAGTTGGATTTCAGAAAGGCTTCCTGCTCTTAATAATCTAGTTGGCTAAAACTTATGATTGAAGGATCAATCCATTTAACAAGCTGCTCTTTAACAAGTGAATGTGCTTAATGCACTTCATACAGCTCCAAGTCAGCCATTTACATTGTAGTGTGAATTTTCTTTTAGATTACATATCCTTAATAGGCTAGAATTAGCTGTCTTGGAGGTGGAGAGGAGGGTGGACAAAAAAAAAAAAGAATGAGAAAGAAAGAAGAAAGTAACTTTGTTCATTTTTATGTCTTATCCTTATTTTATGAACCTCCACCATCCCAACACTTCAGCATCTAATAAGAAATAATAATCTTACAGGGTAATTTGATGAGAATATTTGAGATAAGGCCTACCTCCTCAAACTCAGGATAGTTAAGTATAGGGCAGTGGTTCTCAAAGTGTGGCCCCTGGACCGGCAGCATCAGCATTGCTGGAAACCTGTTAAAAATGTGAATTGTTGATCCAAAACTCTAAAGTAATGGCAGACATTTGTGTTTTAATGAAGTGATTCAGATGTAAGCTCAAATTTGAAAGCCACTGGTATAGGGTGCTTTTCTTTGGGTGGGAAGACCTGAGTTCGGACACTTAGTGCACCATAAATAATAAAAGGAACTCAGTGCTGAGTTTAAGAGAGAGAGAACATATTGGAATATACACGGTTGGCAGTAAGGGAGGTGGGTATGTAAACATTTTCTTTTTAACTGCAAATGGACCAAAGTAAGTAGTACTTGTGCATATTTTAAATCTGCTGTTTCTCTTGCATTATCAGGCAATCTATCTCAATTCTTCACTTTGTTTACATGTGCATCATATATTTTGCTTACAAATGTAATAATTAAATCATCATTTTTAAGTTCTTGAATTATTTCAATTTTTTGTAATTTGAGACAAATATTAGAATGCCATTGATGTCTTTTGAGGGCTTTCCTTTTCTTTTCTTCATTTTTTAGCCCTGCAAACACACATTAATGCATTTTTACTGAGGAAACCAACATTTTGAAAGTTACCAGGTATGAATAGCTGTGAATGTTAAGCTAGATGTGCAATTTGACATTATGAAGTAAAGTGAAGGAAACTGACACATCACAATCAGTAATATGAACTCATTAGTAACATGCTTTAATCAACAAAGATGGCTTAGAAATCTACTTATGGGCTACAAGTAGATTGCTATATTTTTGGAAAGTGCATATAGAAGGAATAGGAATCCTACCAGACTCATTTCTTTTGCTACACGTCTATCTAATGAAAATAACAGATTTGGATTTTTGCCATCGAAATACCTACCTTCCTTGCCAATACCAAAAGCAAAACTCAGAACAAATATGAAAAAAAGAGGATATTTCATAAATTAATGTCCTATAATATCTTTTTTGCCAAGTCAGTTGTGTTTTTTGAAGATTGTAAAGATTCATTTTCAAAATTTTCTGAGTAAGTCTACTGCAACCAGGGATGTATAGTTGTGAAGGCTCAGTTAGGAGTGCCATTTGACATTACTGAGCAAAGAAAACTGTCAACAGTTGATGTCGTTTGGATATTTGTCCTTGCTTGAATTTCATGTTGAAATGTAATCCCCAGGGATGGAGGTGGGGCCTGGTAAGAGGTGTTTGAATCATGGGGGTGGTTTCTTCATGAATGGCTGGTGATAAGTGAATTCTCTTGGTGATAAGTGAGCTCTCGCTATGAGCTCATACAAGAGCTGGTAGTTTAAAAATGTGTGGCACCTCCCTCCCTCTCTCTTTCTTGCTTTTGTCATGTGACATACCTGCAGCCCCTTTGCCTTCCACCATAATTATAAGCCTTCCTGAGGCCTCCTAGAAGCTGAGCTGATGCCAGCACCGTACTTCCTGTAAAGGCTGAAGAACTGTGAGCCAATTATATTTCTTTTCTTTATAACTTACACAGTCTCGGGTATTTCTTTATAGCAATGCAAGAACAGCCTAATATAAACAGTTGAACACAACCCATATCCCTGTATACATGGGCTGTTTATGCTAATGTAGGAATTACATTTTATGTATTTGCAAAGTTTTTGAGATTTCCTCATGACTGAGTCCTGCTCTGAGTTCTCTGTGTGACTAGGACAGCTGTGTTAATAGGTTAGATGATTGAAAATGCAAAGAGCTTAATTTACAAAGGTAAACATATTTCCCACATTAATTCTAATATATTTTAGACTTCAAGTTGATTTGTTTTTTGTAAATAAATATTTTACTTTCATTTATTTTAACTGCTAATGAAACGTAAAAGCTAAATTGTTAAAATGTCTGCTATGGAACCATTTACAATTTTTTTCACATTAAAAGGAGCTATTTCATTACATTATTCAATGGAATAAGTAATATGTTATGACCAAGAATAACTGCATTTGACCATCTCCTCCATTAGCAAAATACCATGTGTCAAGACAAATAAGACTGTTTGATATACTGAGATACAATTGGTGTAGTATTTTATATTATAATAACTCAAGTTCCGTTTATTAGCATTTAAGAATATTAGTCTTCATGCAAAAATATAAAGCTGCTTTTTTTCCCCAGGGGTAATGATAGGAAAGAAACAGGGTGAGTCTGGTGAATTATGAGAATGGTTGATGAAAAGTCATATAGAAAATACTCATGTTTGGTAAATAGCAGGAAGCAAGAAGGATGAAACCAAGCTTCAGTAATGACTTTCAATATTTCTTGGCTAGCAATATTACCTGTATCATTCTCTATTTGGTTTTGAAATGGGTGATATTATGGAAACGTATTTGCCCACTGATAGGTATTTTTTAATCTACCTGCAAGGTCAATCCAAGTATTTCACAGGTATCCAGGAGTTTTCAGATTCTTGGATTCAGGTACAATATGAAAAAGTAATATATTTCCTTTTAAGATTTTAGCATTTAATCTTCCCATTCTCATCAAAATCAGATAGAATAAAAAAGTTATAGGGTAGAAAACTTGAACATTTAAAGTTCTATAAAACTGATTCAAAAACCATGGGTAGAAATTAGAGCCAACTCCAACTTCCTCTTATGTAATTAATCTGTCTTCAGAGTAATTTTTTTGAGACAAAACATTTTTTTTTCTTCCTTACTTCAGCACTTTAAAATGTATCATGATCTGTCACTGCCTTGGTTCTTACAATATTGACTAGAGTGTCAAACTATTAACTAGTAGGCAAACTGTCAAATACTTAGTAAAAAAGTTATAATGTATAAGAATTTATTAGGTTGATTATATGCAAATTTCACTCTAGTGTCATAGAAAACCATTTATGTTTTTGCTAAAGTCCTGTTTTTAAATGATTAAAGAAACCCTCAGTACCATGTAGGACTTGATTATAATTTCAGTCTGATTCCTTGGGCCATGAAGCTTTAGGATAGTCAGAAGTATCTGGAATAGCCCCAGGCCTCCAAAAGCAGCAACTCTTCAGAAGAAATAGCCTATTCTAGATTCACCACTGTTAAAATATTTAGCTAAATTGCTGACAGTTTCTTTAGCAAAGGTAAGCATAATAAAAGCATGGTTGAAAATTACCATATAAGAGGAGTGAAAGCATATCCAACAACAAGCCCAAAGAACTTTACTTTATCAACTTCTCAGAGTGATTTATTTGAAGAGCAAAGCCAGAAAAACCTTTTGTTTGCTTGAAGACAATGAAAGGTCAGGCTCAGAGAAGAAATGGTTAAATTAGACAAGCTCCCTCATCACAGGAAGATTAAGAGAGTAATTGGTGTTTGTCTGGAAACAAGTGATTTGCAATAGTGAAATTTCTGGTATGAGAGTTGAAGAAGTGTCAAATGAAAAAGAAGTTACAGAAATAGCCGAAATAGCCATGGGGTCTTTGAGCCTCATTGCTTTGTTAGTGGTACCGTACTTGTTATCAAGTTCTGTGAACTGCTAAAATCTGGTTTGGGATTTGGAGTCATGCGCAGCAATACACATGAGTACAGAAAATGTTCCCAAATAAACGTGGGCTTCTGATCAGGAGAAACTGAGGCTGCTCACTAGACTCAATTATTGCTTTCCAGTCCTGCTTCTGTATCAGTCCCCTGTTAGTCGCTATTGGCTTTAACCTAGAACCCACCTGCATATTTCCTTTATCCCACTTTTGTCCTTTTTGGAACAGGCATTTCCTGTTTTGTTGTCCTGTCTAAATCCATAGGTCTGCTTTTGTCATAGGAATTAAGCTTTGGATTCCTGTCTGCAGTCTCTTAGCACCCTAACCCTTAGCCACCAAGTTTTTACCTTTGTCTTCCTTTTCCCATTTCCATCCTTATTGTTCCACGTAAGCCTTTTCTCACTAGGTAGGTGAGGATAATAAGCATGAAGGAGATTCCTTTAATGCCATATAATGCAACCTTAAATTAAAGAGATTGATTGATGAGAAAAGCTTTACGGAACTGGGTCTCATTACCTAACAGAATTGTTCTAATCCTCTCTTCTCAACTTGTTAAAATGACTGCAGCTTTGTATAGAAATAAAAATGAGATGTTGGGGAAACAAATGGCTTTAAGTGTTCTATTAGTCTCTGAATTGACAGTGTTTCTCATGGGGACAGGGTCAGTCTTTCTAAGACAAGTCTTGTGACAAGACAGTTCTCCTAATGTACTGAACTAGAAATGGATAGATGTGATGGTGTTTTTCTTTGGAACTCATATCTAAAGAAAACATTTATCTTCCCTGAAACACAAATCAGGTACATCATAAAATTATTCTGAATGCTAATTGTATGTTTTCAAGGTATTGGGGTCTGTAAATTCTGATTTTCAGCAGTAATTACTTGAAATTCCTGCTATTTTGTTTAATTGTTTTATTCCCTTTGAATCTATCACATTAAATTATTGGGCCTAATAATACACTGAGATAATTCACAGGCAAAAAGTAAAGGGGCAGAAAATGTCAATAGAAATAATGCTATCCATTATATATGGAAATACATGGAGTGGGAGCACTGTCTGTAGCTCTGGTTTCCTCTTTACATCACTTCTCAATACAAGCATCAAGAGGAAATAACGCTATCCATTATATATGGAAATACATGGAGTGGGAGCACTGTCTCTAGCTCTGGTTTCCTCTTTAGATCACTTCTCAATACAAGCATCAAGAGGGAAACTTCCATATAATTTAAGGGAAACAGCCCAGGATATTTACAACCACAAAATCAATCAATTCCTCAGTAATTTCTATGACTGCATGTTTGCTAAGAAAGAGGAATCAACATCACATGTGATTTGAGAATGGCTGGCAATCAATACGTCTCAGCCAGAAAGAAGAAAAACCAATAAATAGAGTAACAGAAAAAGACAAGATCATCTCTAATGCCATGTACATCCTAGAAGAAAGACACTTTTATCTTGAGGAGTAAAAGGGTGAGAGATTCTCTAATGCTGTTCTCACACTGGCCATACTTTTCTCAAGACTCTAGATGCCTTGCTAAACCTAACTTAGATGCAATTCAGCTTAGTTCAACACACACTCACTAAAAAACAATTAATGCAGTAGGCGAGAGGTGAGATGCTAATTAAATAAGTATAAAGAAGGTATAATTTTTATCCCACAGAAGCTTGCAATGGAAACATAGATACTTAATATCCATCAAATGCAGAGATCGTCACAGATTTCATGGGGATGTAGGAACAAGGAAGGGGCACTCAACATGAAAGGTTATTCTAGGCAGCTTTAATTAATATATTGCCTATTGCAGTATTCAGGGTCCATTCAGGCTTCCAAGAAGCCAGTGGTAAAAGGAAGCTGTTGTGCCTTTTGTCCAGCATCATCGTCAATAAGCCATGAAATTCTCACCACTGTATGGGGTTAGAGGCCAATGCCCCAAAGTGAACATGCAATGTGCTCCAAAGGAAACAACCATCATCAACACAACTTCTTTCACTCTAGCAATCAATCCAAGTGTAGTGGGTCAAATGGTGCCCTCCCGCAACAAAAATATATTTAAGTCTTAATCCTCAGAGCATGTAACTATTACCTTATAGGGCAAAATAGTGAGGATTATCTTGTATGTCAAAAGATGAGATGAAGTTAAGGATCTTGAGCTCCTTCTGGAATTTACCCTGAATTATCTGAGTGAGCCCTAAATGCAATCACGTGTATCCTTCTAGGAGAGAAGCAGATGGAATTTTGAGAGAGAAAAGGAGGAGGTAAAATGAAGACAGGCAGAGATGGGAGTGGTGCAGCCAAGAGCCAAGCAACACCTGGCGCCACCAGCAGCTGGAAGAGGAAAAGAAGAGATTTATCTCCAGAGTCTTAGGAGGAAGCACAGCAGTGCTTTAATTTTGGACTTCTGGCTTCCACAATAAGAAGAGAATAAATCGATGTTGCCTTAGTCCATCCAGTTTATGGTAATTTGTTACAGCACTCTAGGAAACTAATACAACAAACAAGGCCTGACTGAACAGAGTGGAAAGTTAGCAGAGAGGAAGGAGAGGTGAGACCCTTCTCTTGGCCTAGTGAGATCTGTTCCCTTATTGTAGAAGAAATGTGGGACTCTCTTCTTTTGTGACATATGACAAAGTTTTGGCAGGTGGGAAGGAGTGGAGGGCTTTTCAACCTTTTGGGCTAGATTTCATCAGTGATTCCATGGCAAAGGCTAAATGTGTTTCAGCACTATGTTTAAAGTCTGCTGGTTTTACACATTCAAATTCTACCCCAACTCATATTTCCTGCCTGCTTCTATCTGTATTCTCCAGACACAGCATCATCTCTCACATTCTGAAATAAAAGTGACTAATATAATTCACAGTGAGAATTTTTTTTATCTCTTACCAGAATTCTTATAAATTACATAGTATTTCTTTTCAAATCAAGTCTTGGACTGCAGTGTAGCAAAACTTTGTAATTTCCATTAAAACTAGATCAATTCTAGGAACTGTGCTATGTGAATATCATATATTAATTAATTATCTCTGAATTTAATTAATGCTACCAAATGATTTTATAAAACAGCTTTCAATTTAAGCAAAAGACTCCTCGATTGCATTAAAAGAGTAAAAAATTTTCTCTGTGCCTCATAAACCGAGTTTAATCTGTAGCAACGGAATCTCAGGTGGATTTTATCTATTTATTTTATAAATAAAATCCCCATTTTCAATCCTACTCAGGTAGGGGATTTTATTTATAACTCATTTGTACATAAGGAGGACTTTTGCTAAAACTCTCAAAAGAATATTATGTTACAACCACCACAATGCATTAACAGCTTTGTGACATATCATATCCTTTTCTAGAGGTCAGAGTTCTATGCATATGTTGGATTCTGATCTAATTTTCTTTCACCTGTTCATTCAGGCATCCATATTTATTAAGCATCTTCTTAAATACCAAAATTGTATTCACTGTGCTTAGAGAACTCATAGTTTTAAAGTGAGATAAAGTTGTAAATGATTTTAATACTTGATGAGAATGTGTAGGAACATGCTCAGCAAACCTGAATATATGAAAAAAGGAGTTCTTCAGTTTGATTAAGGAGATGTTTTAGGGACTAGAAGAGGTGGTTATAGTTTGTTATGAATATGAATGAAGAGTAAAAGATTAATAGTTTGACAAGTGAGATTGACCATTTTAGTTGGAAGGAATAGAATTTCCAAAACACAGTCGTAGAAGAAAAAATTACTCACTTGTCAGAAATCCAGTAGGGCTAAAATAAAATGTAGGAGATACAGTGATGGGAAGTGATCTAACCTTATAGGCAATAGTGGAGGCAGAGGAAAATGAAAATTACAGTAATTTGTTACAACAATTTAGGAAACTAATATACTAAGCAAAGGCTGACTGAGTAAGAAGTTTCAGGCGAAGAGTTTCTATGATCATATTTGATTTTTAAAAGATTGTTCTGTAAAGTATTGATAAATATTTGTGTAATCATATAATTTTTTAAATCCCTAGATCTAGTATAGTGTCTGGCATGTAGCAGAGACACATGCATTTGTTGACTTAATAAAAATAAAGGGGAAGAGCCTGGAGGTGGAAAGAAAAAGAAGACAAAAGAAGGAATGATTAGAACATAGTTTATGAGGATGAATGAAGAGGATGACATTGATGTGGAAGAGGAAAGAGAGTGTGATTCTCCAGATTATTGGTATTTAAAACTAAAAGCATTCATAGATGACTAACTGTAAGAGTAATATTGCCCTTGAATTTTTAATGTACTTCATGTTTACGACTTATCTCATCTTCTGGCAACATTGCAACCCTTCAAAGGCAGTGGTCATGTTTTGTATTACTCTGAATCTCTAACGTAGCAAACACAAACACAAACACACAGTCCATTTTACTTTCACAAATGAATGAGTCAGTGAATAAATTGACTCTAGGCACTGAGATATGATTGACTATGGAGGGACAGGCACCTAGGCTGAACTTGAACATTTCAGCATCTTTAAATTTAAATGATAATACAAGATATTGAATAATAAAAGGAATAGTAATTTACATTGCCTTTTTAATGGATTAATATGGGTACATAGTAGGTGTATACATTTATGAGGCACATGAGATATTTTGATACAACCATACAATGTGTAATAATCCCATAAAGATAAATGGGTATCTGTCACCTTAGGCATTTATAATTTTTTTGTGTTACAAATATTCAAATTATACTCTTTTAACTTTTTTTTTTTTGAGACAGAGTCTTGCTCTGTTACCCAGGCTGGAGTGCAGTGGTGCAATCTCCGCTCACTGCAACCTCTGCCTCCCAGGATCAAACGATTCTCATGCCTCAGCCTCCCTAGTAGCTGGCACTACAAGTACACACCATCGTGCTTGGCTAATTTTTTGTATTTTTGGTAGAAATGGAGTTTCACTACCTTGGCCAGGCTGGTCTCGAACTCCTGACCTCAAGTGATATACCTGACTCGGCTTCCCAAAGTCTTTTAGCTATTTTTAAACATACACTAAATTATTGTTGACTGCACTCACTCAGTTGTGCTATCAAATACTATATCTTATTCATTCTACATAACTATATTTTTATACCTATTAAGCATTCCCGTTCCCCCCTCTCCACCACTACCTTTCTCAGCTTCTGGTAACCATCATTCTACTCTCCAAGAGTTCAATTGTTTTAATTTTCAGCTCCCACAAATGAGTGAGAACATGAGAACAATTTTGTCTTTCTGTGCCTGGCTTATTTCAGTTAACAAAATGTCCTCCAGTTCTATTCATGGTGTTCCAAATTATAAGATCATATTCTTTTTATGGCTGAATAGTACTCTATTGTGTATATGTACCATATTTTCTTTATCCATTCATTTGATGATGAACACTTAGGTTGCTTCCACATCTTGGCTATTGTAAATAGTGTTGCAATAAACACAGAAGGGTAGATATCTCTTTGATATACCGAGTTCCTTTCTTTTGGGTGTATACCTAGCAGTGAGTTTGCTGGATCATATGAGAGTTCTATTTTTAGTTTTTCAGGGTGCCTCTGGACTGTTCTTCATAGTGGCTGCACTCATTTACATTTTCACCAATAGTCTATGAGGGTTCCCTTTTCTTCATATCTTTGTCAGCACTTATGATTATTTATTTTTGGATAAAGCCATTTTAACTGGGGTGAGATGTTATCTCATTGCAGTTCTGATTTGCATTTCTCTGTTGATCAATGATGTTGATCACCTTCTCATATACCTGTTTTCCATTTGCATATCTTCTTTTGAGAAATGTCTATTCACATCTTTTGCCTATTTTTTAATGAGATTATTAGAGTTTTTCCTGTTGAGGTGTTTGAGCCCTTTACATATTCTGGTTATTAGACACTTGTCACATGAATAGATTGCAAATATTTTCTGCCATTCTGTGGGAAGTCTCTCTATATTGTTGAATTTTTCCTTTGTTGTTCAGAAGCTTTGAAACTTGATGTGATGCCATTTGTCCATTTTTCCTTTGGTTGCCTGTGCTTGTGGGCTATTACTCAAGAAATTGTTGCTCAGACCAATGTCCTGGAGAGTTTCTGTAATGTTTTCTTGTAGTAGTTTCATAGTTTGAAGTCTTAAATTTAAATCTTTAATCCATTTTGATTTGGGTTTTGTACCAGGCGAGAGATAGGGGTCCAGTTTTTTCTTCTGCATGTGGATATTTGGTATTCCCAGCATCATTTATTGAAGAGACTGTCCTTTCTTGCAGTTGAATATCGATATATTTTTCTAGGTTTGTGAAATTTGTTGTTGTTGTTGTTTTTGAGATGGAGTCTCACTCTGTCACCCAGGCTGGAGTGCAGTGGTGCAATCTTGGCTCGCTGCAACATCCATCACCCGGGTTCAAGCAATTCTCCTGCCTCAGCCTCCTGAGTAGCTGGGATTACAGGTGCCCGCCACCACACCCGGCCAAATTTTGTATTTTTAGTAGAGACGGGGTTTCACCATCTTGGCCAGGCTGGTCTTGAACTCCTGACCTCATGATCCACCTGCCTCAGTCTCCCAATGTGCTGGGATTACAGGCGTGAGCCATCGTGCCTGGCCAGTGAAGTATTTTGTTATTATCCCTTTGAATAAACTTTCTACCTCACCTATCTCCACCTTCTCTTTAAAACCAATAACTCTTAGATTTGTCCTTTTGAGGCTATTTTCTAGATCTTGTAAACATGTTTCATTTTTTTCTGTTGTCTTCTCTGACATTTGGTTTTCAAATAACCTGTCTTCAAGCTCACAAATTCTTTCTTCTGCCTCATCAATTCTGCTGTTGAATCACATGCATTCTTCAATATATCAATTGAATTTTTCTGTTTCACAATTTCTGCTTGTTTTAAAAAATATTTCAATCTCTTTGTTAACTTTATCTGATAGGATTCTGAATTTTTTCTGTGTTATCTTGAATTTCATGTGCTTTCTCAAAACAGCTATTGTGAATTCTCTGTCTAAAATGTGGCATATCTCTATCACTCTGGGATTGGTCACTAGTACCTTATTTAGTTCATTTCATGAAGTCATGTTTTCCTGAATGATCTTGATGGCTTCTGAAAGTCTGTCCATGCCTGGGCATCGAAGCGTAGCTATTTATTGTAGTCTTCGCAGTCTAGGCTTGTTTGTACCTGTCCTTGTTGAGAAGGCTTTCCGAGTGTTCAAAGGGAATTGAATGTTGTGATCTAAGTTTTTGTTCACTGAAGCCATATCTGCATGAGGGTCAGCCCAAGTCCTGGAATGCTGTCACTCTTGCAGACTCATAGAGGTACCTCTTTAGTGGTCTTGGGTAAGATCCAGGAGAATTCCCTGGATTACCAGGCAGAGTCTCTTGTTCTCTTCCCTTACTTTCCCCTAAACAATGGAGCTGCCTGGAGCTAGGGGAGGGGTAACATAAACCACACTTTGCTCATCACCAATGGGACTGTGCTGGGTCAGACCTGATGCCAGCACAGCCCTGGGTCTTGCCCAAGGCCCACGACAACTACCTTCTAGCTGTGGCTGATATTCACTCAGTGCCCAGGTGCTCTTTAGTTAGCTGGTGGCAAATCTAGCCAGGCGTGCGTTTTTTTCTTCAGAGTGGTGAGCTCCCCTGTGGCCCAGGGCAGGTCCTGAGATGTCTGGGAGCTAGGGCCTGGAGTCAAGAAACTTAGGAATCTATTCGGTGCTCTATTCTATTGCAGTTGAGCTGACACCCAAGCCACGAGACTAAGTCCTTTCTCCTTTCCATTCTTTCCTTTCCTTTCATCAAACAGAAGGAATCTCCCCCCATGCCCACTACTACCCCATGGCCCCAAGAAATACTACCTGGCTACCGCAATGTTCACCCAAGTTCCCAGGGCTCTTTAGTCAGCTTATGGTGAATGTTGCTAGGCCTAGGTCTTTCTCTTAAGGGCAGTGGGCATCCCTCTGCCCAGCGTGGGTCCAGAAATGTGGTTCAAGTGCCAAGGCTGGAATCGGGAATCTCAGAAGCCTGTTTGGTGCTCTATCCTGCTATGTCCAAGCTGGTACTCAAGCTGCAAGACAAAGTCTCCTTTACTTTTTTTTTTTTTTTTGAGACAGGCTTTGTTGCCCAGGCTGAAGTGCAATGGTGTGATCTCGGCTGACTGCAACCTCTGCCTCCTGGGTTCAAGCAATTCTCCTGCCTCAGCCTCCTGAGTACCTAAGATCACACAGATGTGTGCCACCCCACCCGGCTAATTTTTGTATTTTTAATAGAGACGAGGTTTCGCTATGTTGCTCAGGCTGGTCTCTAACTCCTGACCTCAAGTGATCCACCTGCCTTGGCCTCCCAAAGTGCTGGGATTACAGGTGTGAGCCACTGCACCCAGCCTCCTTTATTCTTCCCTCTTCTTTCCTTAAGCACAAGAAGTCTCTCAATGGCCACCACAGCAGAGAATATGCTGGGTCACACTTGAAGCCAGCACTGCACTGGGGCTCACCAAGGCCTATAGTGAGTACTGTTTGGCTACTGTTGTTTATCCAAGACCTAAGGGCTCTTGCGTCTGCAGGTGATGGATCCGGCTAGACCTTCAAGGCAGGATCCTTCATTACCTTCAAGGCAGCAGATTACTTTCTGGCCCAGTGTGTGTCTAGAAATGTTGTCCAAGAGCTAGAGCCTGAACTGGGACCTGAGGACTCTGCCTGGTGCCCTATTCTACTATGGCCGAGCTGGTATCCAAGTTGTAAGACAAAGTCCTCTTTTCTCTCCCCTCTCCTCATCTCAAGCAGAAGGAAGGAGTCTCTCCTAGAGCTGCGAGCTGTGCTGTCTAAGATTAGGGGACCGGTAATGCAAGTATTCCTCTGGCTGCCCAGGCTGATGTCTTAATATAATAGATTGAGTGCACTCCAAGTCCACTGGCTCTGAGCCCAGCACAGCACAAAGAGTTGCCCAGCAATTGCAGTCCTCACAGCCTATACAGCCTTTCAAGTTTTTTTAGGCTCCCTGAGTGCTGTAGCCTATGGTGGTGGGGCTAGCTGGAACTCAGGTCTGTCCACTGGGATGGATGTTTGCGCTCTGGTTAGGGCTGGTCTAAATGCTCCCTCCTTGGGTGTCGCTGAATTCTGCCTTATGTTGCTTTCTGCTATGACAGGCGGTAATGAGCTGCAATGCAAAATCCCACAATCACTGTGCTCTCTCTCTTCTGAGAACACATATTTTCTCTGCACCACAGGGCCACTGCCAGGTAGTCGGGAGGGGTGGCATCAGCAATTCAAGACTATCTTTTCTACCTTCCTCAGTGCCTCTTTCTTTGCTGTGATGTTAAAACTAGGCACTGTGATGGCGCAGCTGATTTTTGGTTCCTATGAAGGTGATGTCTTGCACGGATAGTTGTTCACTTCATTGTTCCAGTCGAGGGGGCAATTACTGGCAGCTTCTATCAGGCCATCTTGCTCCACTTCCTTCTATTGCAATGAAGTCTTTCATTTTCCTCCTACTAAAGATGCCTTTTGATATTTATTTATTTATTTATTTTGCTATCACATGCCCCAAGTAAACATGTTTGAGAACTGAAGGCAAAAGAGGGTGCTTAGGAGTAGAAGACATATGGTGGGTTTTCCAGCTTCACAGATTCCATTCTTTTACAGCCTAAAGTATGAGGCTTCCCCAAACTTAGTTTCTGTTAACACAATGTAAGGAACAGATGTTTACCTAGAGTTAGCCATATGGGCAAATGTGATTCATTTTCACAAATCTACATTTTTTCCCATTCACAATAGGCATCTTAGACATGCCACTGAAGTTCCCACATGAAACTGCCTAATTCCAAAGAAAATTTCAATGAATTCTCTTATTGAAAGAGTCCAAGGGCAGAGCTCCATTCTCCATGCTATTTAGGTGCACACATACAGAACTGGAAGGGAATTGCTAGAGATAGAAGTGCTGTGTGGGACCTTATGTAGTTCCTGTTGCTAAGGCAACAACTTCCTTTGTTTCCTTTAAAAGCTGCAGCTTTATTTGAAGCCTGGTTCTCAGGTACACTAGAAGCAGTTACAATATCAGAAAGGAATGAAAGCAGCTGGACTTTTAGAAAATATTTTTTAAAAAACCCACTATGACTTAAAGGGCATTTTCACTTGTTTTGATGTCTTTACTAAGAAATTTTAGATCTCTTTTCCCTTCAAATATATTTAGAATAAAAAAGCTAGATTATTTTTTGCAAATTTTTTACAGAAAACTTCTAAAAAATCTCTGTTATTTCCATTACTGAATAATCCTATCAATACATCATGACAATTTCAGGGAAGATTTTGAGCATTTTCTGAAACTTCAAGGTATTGCCCACAGGTAAAAATGCGGGGTTTTAAGATTTAAGGGAAGATGAAACCCATAATGGCTGACTGACTACGTATAAAATATAGAAAAATATATATGCAGAAATATTCTTTAGTCTAGAGATCACCTAGTTAAAATGTAGAATGCCACTGTGAAACAGGATTGGATAGGGATGAAGGAGAACTAAGTTCTAGTTCTACCTGTTAGTTACTCCCTGTCAACACCTGTCAATGTAATTTGGCCTTTGTGAGTGTTGTTTTTCTTTTCTTAAAATGAGCTTGGGCTGGGCACAATGGCTCACGCCTGTAAGCCCAGCACTTTGAGAGGCTGAGGTGGGTGGATCGCCTGAGGTCGGGAGTTCGAGACCAGCCTGGCCAGCATGGTGAAACCCAGTCTCTACTAAAAATACAAAAATTAGCCAGGAGTGGTGGTGCAGGCCTGTAATACCAGCTACTCAGGAAACTGAGGCAGGAGAATTGCTTGAACCTGGGAGGCAGAGGTTACAGTGAGCCAAGATCCTGCCATTGTACTCCAGCCTGGGCAATGTAGCAAGACTCCATCTAAAAAAAAATGAGCTTGGACAAAGTCATGTTCTTTGGGCTATTAAGAGGTGTACACACACAAATGGTCAGTTATATTTGAGAAGTGCCAACTAAAATGTTCTATAATAGTTATTATGATGTGCCCGATACTATATTTTTTCTCTATATTGACTTGTTTAAATTATTCCAAGAATATTGTTTGAAATAGGCATTTTTTGGTCTTTATTTAAGCAAACAGATACAGTGAGGTTAAATAAGTAGCTTAAGCTCACAGAACTACTAAGAAGCAAAACCGGGCTTTAAACCCACCCAGTCTAGTTCTAGCATCCATGATCTTTTGAACTATCATGCTATATTTTCTTTCAAAGTTAAATAGCTTTTCATACTACAAGATTTCTCATTACTTTGATATGTTGACTATTGTATAAATCTCTATAGGAGATGTATATTATTCCGAGTTTCACAAATGTATTAGCCAGTGAATATTTTTTTTCAGAGTGTGACTGAGAGCTATGGAATGAACTTTGAGAAATGTTGGACATGACGGTCCATGTCTCTTGCATTTCTAACATAATGATCCTGAGGTCATAAGCAGAGAATTTCATATCTTACAGTGCTCTAAAACAGCTATCTCTAATATTGACATTTCTTTAAAAAATTTAAAGAATACTAAATTAAGAATTTGCAATTTGTGAATGATTTATAGCTGTCTCACTCCCAAATTTATTAAATTTTTGTTTTCTAGAGTTTGTGCATGTTGTCTAGAACATTTTTTATGACTTTAAAATTTCCACATTAGTTTTACTATGAATCAATAAAAATAAAGACTATCACTTTGCTGTTTCTATAAAAATGTACCCTATAGATAAATATAACTACATTTATTTATTTATTTATTTAGAGACAGGGTCTCTCTCTGTTACCTGTCACTCCACTGTCTGGAGTGCAGTGGCATGATCTTGGCTCACTGTAGCCTCAACCTCCAAGGGCTCAAGCTATCCTCCCACCTCAACCTCCTGAGTAGCTAGGACCACAGGCACATGCTATCATGCCAGGCTGATTTTTGTATTTTTGGTAGAGATGAGGTTTACCATGTTGCCTAGGCTGGTCTTAAACTCCTGGCTTCAAGCAATCCCACTTTGGCCTCCCAAACTGTTGGGGTTACAGGCATGATCCACCGTGCATGGCTTAACTATTTAGATTATCCATTCTTCCCTATTTATGACTGAATTGTTTACCAGCATTGTGCCAGGTAAGTGAGATGTGACCATTGTTAGCCTAAATCAAACTGATCTGAGAAGAGTATATAGAATAATAAAGCCATTAAAAATTTCCTTCTTTAATAAAAAAATAATGCCCATAGTCTTGAGATGCTGTCCTTCTTGATCTCCAGCATTGCATTTGACCTTTTACTATCAAAGACAACCTTTCTCCTAAAGGATAACTAGAATTTGCCAAATATTTTAATGTTTTAAATTTTGTTTTGTTTTAGATTCAAGGGATATATGTGCAGATTTGTTCACTAAGGCTGAGGTTTGAGTTTCTGTTGAACCCATCACCCATATAGTGAATGTAGCATCCAAGAGGTAATTTTTCAACCTTGTTCCCCTCCCTTCTCTACCTCCCCCCTTTTGGAGTCCCCAGTGCCTATCATTGTCATCTTTATGTCTGTGTGTATCTACTATTTAACTCTCACTTATAAATGAGAACATGTGGTATTTGGTTTTGTTTCTGGATTAATAATTCACTTAGGATAGTGGCCTCCAGCTGCCTCCACGTTGCTGCAAAGGACAAGATTTCATTCCTTCTTTATGGCTTCTTAATATTCCATGGGGTATATATGCTACATTTTCTTTATCCAATTCACTGTTGATGGGCACATATAAACAAGTGAGTGCAGGTATTATTTTGATATATACTTTTTCTTTTTGCCAATTATTTCTTAAAAATTCAACAATAACAAGCATTACCTACCAGATATTTCCTGCATGAGCACTGCTAGTCACAGAATGTAGGAAACAAGGGGAAGGAGGCTTGAGTTAGGGAGACCAATAGAAAAGCAATTCCTATAAGTGCCCATGACAAATGCACAAGATCTGATTGTTGCTGTGAAAGCACGTACTTCTGAGGCAACATGTCTTGGTCCAGGATTCCTGTCTTTACTCTGTGTAAGGCTCTACAAAAGTTAAATTCACCATAACCGATTTGTTGACATTTTCACTTAGTAACTCATTAAGCTCATCATAATTCTAAGGCAGTCAAATTTTAAATGAAATCTAATATTGGATTTCTGGTTTAGTGTCAATTGACTTTATAGCAAAAACACTTGGACCTTGATGTGATCGATTAAGATCTTTCAGTCTTTTACTTTTCTTTCATTGATTCCCATTAGTAACATATCTGAGGCATGCTTGTCTTACAGGATTAGACGTTGAATCTGAGTGTAGTGCTTTTCTAAATTCAATACATGATTAAAGAGAAGAAATAAAACCTTTTCCTAAAAATTCACTGGAATGATATGCAAGACCCTAGTTCAGGTTCTAACTATACAGTTGTTAAAACCTATGGTCCTGGCATAAGTCAATTTTTGTTTAATAAAGATTCAATAAATTACCAGGTCTACACCATAACATTTCTTATTCTACATTTTTTTCTTAACATTGCTCAAAAATTCAAAAGCAATAGTTTGAAAAAAAGAGTAAATATTTTTGAAAAGTAAAACTCACTGAGTTTTTTTTCTTTAAAGATGAGCAATAAAAGTGTCAGAAAAGCCATATAAACATATTGCCTTTGGTTTATGTCTAAATCAAAAGCAGCCAAATAAATGAGTTCAAAGTTTGGTAAGAAAATTGCTTTAACATGGAAATGGAATAATTGAAATGGAACCAGAAAAGAAGATATTCTCAGAAAAATGACCACTTTTGCCTAATGATTGAGAGTGTGAAGTGTCTCTGCTACAGACCTCTCTAATTAAAGAAGTAGCATGTCATATCACAGTGATCGTTGAAAAACATAAACTCTTCCCAGTTAAAAGATATATCTTGCAGAAAGAGAAACTGACTGTGATTCTGCAATAGTGTTGAATTAAAAGAAGCCTTGTGAAAATTCTTTTAAGATTCTAATCCCATATCACTCCAGTTGACTTAATTTGTCCTGTTCAGGTGGTGTGTGAGTCATGAGTCTTGAGTCTTTCAATCTGTAGACTGAAGTCTCTAATCAGTCATAATTTTTTTGTATTTTAAATATTGATTTGTTCCATAATATCATTTCCTTCATAAAGCACACTGATTATTCATTTGTTCCCACTGTATTAGCTTTCCTTTTACATATTTGTGTTATGGTCTACATCTTTTCACTTATTGTTCTCCACATTTTAAAAATGTTTCTCATCCGTTTCTCTTATTTGATTTTCTTTAGAGTCAGCTTAAATCTTTGCTCTTTAGAGTCTCATTTTGATTTTAATATGGCACTTTTTCTTTCTCCCTTCTTTTCATTTACTCTGTCATTCTACTTTATGTCTCTATTGCATGGCTGTATTAGTTCGTTTTCACACTGCTGATAAAGACATACCTGAGACTGGGTAATTTATAAAGAAAAGAGGTTTAATGGGCTTACAGTTCCACGTGGCTGGGGAGGCCTCACAATCATGGCAGAGAGCAAAAGTCACATCTTACATGGCAGCAGGCAAGACAGAGAATGAGAATCAAGAGAAAGGGATTTCCCCTTACAAAGGCATCAGATCTCCTGAGACTTATTCACTATCACCAGCACAGTATAGGAGAAGCCGCTCCCATGATTCAGTTATCTCCCACTGGGTCCCTCCCACAACATGTGGGAATTGTAATGGCTACAATTCAAGATGAGATTTAGGTGGGCACACAGCCAAACCATATCAATGGCCATCCCATATTTCCTGCTTATTTTAGATAATCCATGTTATTTTGTATTTGTTTACTTGCATGCTTCTTCATGAGAGAAAAATAAAAGACACTAAGTTTCATTATAATTTTTTATGGTGTGCAGTATTTAGAAACATACCTTTTAAACATTTATTTATTTATTTGACAAATAAAAATTGTATACAACTTGTTTTAAAATATGTTTACATTGTGGAATTTCTAAATTGAGCTAATTAACGTATGCATTACTTTGCATATTTATTATTATTTTTATTTATTTTTTTTTGAGACGGAGTCTTGCTCTGTCACCCAGGCTGGAGTGCAGTGGTGGATCTCGGCTCACTGCAAGCTCTGCCTCCCTGGTTCACGCCATTCTCCTGCCTCAGTCTCCCAAGAAGCTGGGACTACAGGCGCCTGCCACCACGCCTGGCTAATTTTTTGTTTTGTTTTGTTTTGTTTTGTTTTTCAGTAGAGACGGGGTTTCACCATGTTAGCCAGGATGGTCTCAATCTCCTGACCTCATGATCCGCCTGCCTTGGCCTCCCAAAGTGCTGGGATTACAGGTGTGAGCCACCATGACCGGCCATTACTTTGCATATTTTTTCGTGGTGAGAACACTTAAAGTCTACTCTCAGCAATTTTCAAGAATACATAATACACTGTTATTAACTATAGTTACCATGTTGTATAATAGATCTCTTGAACTTATTTCTCCTAACAAATTTTGTATCCTCTGATCAACATCTCCTCAGGTCCTTTTTAAACTTGTAAGAAAACTCCTCTGTTTATTTTCTTCTATAATGCTACTGAATCTTTTGGTAGGACCAATTATTTGCTTAACAATTTTTTTTATCCTTTATTGACAAGAAGCCTAGCCTGACTTAATTTTTCTTTAATGGGGGTACTATTTGTACCACGTACATCCTGGTTGTTCATATTTGTTTACGTTTTAAGAAATGTAAAGTGTTTTTGAAACATTACTATAGCTCTAAGGGTCAGATATATACAAATATATCTAAGAGTCAGATATATTCCCTTCTCATCTCTGCTACCCTGAGACCATTCTGCATTTCTTTCTCTCTTTCTTTCCTACCTATTTGTACAGGTAAACAGGTTTTTTTTGTTGTTGTTTGTCTTTAGTTTCTGATTAATCAGAAACAAAAATGTGTTTTTACAAATAAGCAGCTACATCAGTATCTTCTTATGTCCCCTTATTTCTTATATGAAAACAGCATGCTATAGGTATTTTTTCTGCTTTGCTTTTTCACTTAACAGTATGTCAGATGAAATTATCCCATATCAGTTCATAGAGATTTTTCTCATTATTTTTTATAGCTACATAGTTCTCATTATGTGAATGTATCATAGTTTATTCAGCCACTCTGCCATATATATAGGCATTTAGGTTGTTTCCAATATTTTGCATATATAAACAACACTGCAATAAATAACCTTGTGCTATGTATTTTTATAGTGTTGGAGGAATAAAAATACATATGCAAGATAGATTTTTAGAAGTGAGATTGCTGAATCAAAATGTTAGGGCATATGTAGTTTCATTAGGTATGCCAAGTTTCCCACCAAAAGGGTTGTACAATTTGCATTCTTTGTGTGGGGAAACATGAAGTGCATGTTTCTCCACAGTGTCACCTACAGGAGCTATTGTCTTATATTTTTGAAAGTTTACCAGTGTGATAGGTGAGAAGTGATACATCAGATTAAATAAAGATTTCAGATACAACATCTGCATCTATTTTCCTTCCCCCACAAAATTATGTAGGAAAAAATAAACTTAACAGTACAAGTAGTAACAGTAGTAAAAAATTTTTTAAAAAGGACATGATCAATAGTTCATGAATTTTGAAAAATTCCTGGAAGATAGAAAACAAATCAGAATGAATTGATAGATATATAAGGATAAAGAAAACTTAAACATAAACAGGAAAGAAGAGGTCGTCCATACAAAGGGTCAAAAAATATTCAAAGCTGCATGTGGTTTTGGGGCAACTGTCAGAGCAGCTGATTAAAGCAAATCATTCTGAGCAACTGAGTCATATGGGCTACTCTCCCTCTGACATAGTCACTACTACACAGTGAAGAGATGTACTTTTTCAACCCATTGATTACACTTAGTATGAGTTTGGGACTGGAAACAAGGCAAAGAGAACCATAAAAAACAACAAAACACTATGAAGAAAGAAGACAGAAAAAGAAGGTGATTTCAGGCTTTATCCCCAGAATAAAGCTTAAATTCTGACCTGGGAGTTGCAAAAGAGGAGACTCCTAATGTTGTAGTTCATGCTAGAGAAGCAAGGCAGTGCTCCAGATCACTTGCCAGCCATAGAAATACAGAGAACACATAAATTATGAAGATAAACCCTCCTCACATCCCATTGCACAGTTCCTTCTGCCACTCAGTGCAGGTATACAGGGTATTCTTATTTTAAAACATGAATAGAATCCAAAGTTGAGGAAAATACACACATGAAAGTAGAATATTAAATACAGAAAGAAAACAATAAATACTAAGAAAACCATGAAGAATGGAATCAAAAGGTAACTGAAACAATAAATCTAACTAAATTCTCAGATATATTTAGAAGACCATCACATTCATAAAACAAAATAGACTACTATAAAGTAAGTTAATTGGTGTTCTTTAATGTAAATGTAAACATGATAAAGTGAAAAAAAATTAACCAATCTTCTGGTCTCTGCTTCCATAAGTTCAACTTTTTTAGATTTTACATATAAATGAGATTGTGCAATATTTGTCTTTCTGTGCCTGGCTTATTTCACTTAGTATAATGTTTTTCAGGTTCCTCTATATTGTCATAGATGATTGGCTCTCCTTATTTTTTAAGGATGAATAAAATTTCATACAATGAGCCATTGTTAGTCTGTGTGCGTATGTGTATGTATGTGATATATATATGTTTTTCTGATAATAGCCATTCTAACAGTTGTGAGGTGACATCTCATCATAGTTTTAATTTGCATTTTCCTGATGATTAGTGACTTGAGCCTTTTATTCATATACCTGTTGGCCCTTTGTATTTCTTCTCTTAACAGATCTCTATTCAGATTCTTTGACCATTTTTAATTGTTATTTGTTTTCTTGCTGTTGCGTTGAGTTCCTTATATATTTTGCATATTAGCCTGTTATCAGATGGTTTATAAATGGTGGTTACTAGGAGCTGATGGGGTGAAGATGGGGAAGTGTTGATCAAAGTGTACAAATTTCCATTAGACAGGATAAACAAGTTCTGTAAATCTATTGTACATGACTGTAGTTAATAATAATGTATCGCATATTTGAAAATTGCCAAGAGAATAGATCTTAAACGTTATCACAAAAAAATGACAAGTGAAGTATTGGATATGTTGATTAGCTTGACTTGATCATTTCACAATATATACAATATTGAAACATCACATCCTGCATTGTAAATATGTAAAAATTTTATCTGTCAATTATATTTTAATAAGTCTTGAAAAATAAAATTTACAAAGAAAGTAAAGAGCTCAATCGAAGTTTGAATTCGGTGGAAGTCTGAATTATTTAAGAGTTAGATTAATCCAAGATATTCCAACAAAATAACATAAAAACAAAAAAAAAATTACAAAAGATTAAAGAAGAGACAGTGAGGTAAATGAAGATCCAATAACCATATAACTGAATGTCAGAAGAAATGAACAAAGAGAATGGACAGGAATAAATAAGTAACAGTATAATTTCCTGCAGATGATAAAAGTATACATTTCTAGGCTGAAAGTGTCAGTGCTAGATAAAATTAATGGCAAAAACCTATACCTAGATACCTTAAAGGGAATATTTAGAACTCCATGGAAATAAGACAACCTCAAAAGGGATATTCTAAATTGCATTCTAAGTAAAATGGAAATTAGACGATAATGAGGACACAAATTTTAATTTTTTAAGCTACGAGAAAAATAATTTGGATATAGAATTGAATAAGTATCCAAGCTAGAAATCAAGTGGAACAGAAAAAAAAAATAATTCTTAGACATAAAAAGCACCAAGAAAGTTAATCTTCATAGACCATTTTTGAAAGACTGATTGAAAGAGGTGTTCTAAAAAAAAAAGAAAGGCATATATATTTTAATTTCTGAAAGTTTTATGCCAGAACTGACTTTGTTTTATTTGTAAATATCTCAGGCTTTTCTTTTGGACACTATCAGTATTTTTCTTTATCCTTGGAATTCAAGAAATTTACCCAGATATGTTTAGGGTTTCTTTTTTTTTTTCTCATTAATTCTGCCTGGAATTTGGTGTGTAGTTTAAATTTGCAGATGTATATATTCTTCAACTGGGGGAAATTTTCTCTTATATTTGTTTAATAATATTATTTTGCTCACATAGTTTTTTTTTCTTCTGCAATACTATCTTTCAATTAGGTTTTCTTCACATGCACCCAATTATCTTATCTTTTTTCAATTATTTCCATTATCTTGCATTTATGCTTCATTCTTTGAGGTATTTCTTCTCGTTTGTCTTCTAGGCTAGTAACTCAGGTTTTACTAGTGAATAGTCTCTCTTTTGTATCATCAACTGTGTTTTGTTATAAATAAATATTCCCAGAAATTGATTTTATTCTCTGATTGAATCTTCATAATTTTCCAAATGGCTCTACTAATTTACATTCCCACCAACAATGTGTTAAGTGTTCCCTTTTCTCTACATCCTCACCAACACTTTTTGTCTTTCATCTTTGTGGTCTTACTTTGTGTTTCTCTGATGATTTGAGATGTTGAACATTATGTATGCAATCTGTTGGTCCTCCTATGTCTTCTTTTGAGAAACACCTATTCAAGTTTTTTGCCCATTTTTAAATACAGTAGTTTTCTTGTTATTGAGCAATTTGAGTTTCTGATATAATTTTTATGTTAGTTCCTTATCCAGTGTATGGTGTGCAATTGTTTTCTCTCATTCTGTAGGTTGTTCTTCACTCTGTTGATTGTTTCTTTTGCTGTGCAGAAGCTTTCTAGTTTGATGTAATCTCATTTGTCTATTTTTGTTTCCGTTGCTGGTGCTTTTGAGGTCGTATCCAAAATTTTTAGCCTAAACCTATATCGACAAGATTTTCTCCTATGTTTTCTTCTAGAAGTTTTATACTTTCAGGTCTTACACTTAAGTCTAATCAATTTTAATTGATTTTTGTATGTGGTGAGATATAATGGTCTAATGTCATTCTTCTGTATGTGGATATCCAGTTTTCCAATATCATTTATTGAAGAAACTGTCTTTTCTCCACTGTATGTTCTTGGTGCCTCTATTGAAAAAAATTGGCTATAAATGGGGAGTATTTCTGGGCTTTTTATTCTCTTCCATTTGTCTATGAGTCTGTTTTTATGCTAGTACTATGTATTTTGGTTACTATAGCTTTGTAGTTTGTCTTCAAATTAGATAGCATGATTCCTCCAACTTTGTTCTTTTTGCTCAAGATTGCTTTTGCTTTTGGGAGTCTTTTATGGTTTGATACAAAATTTAGAATTGCTTTTATATGTTTCTGTGAAGAATGTCATTGGTAGTTCGATGAAGATTGCATTGAATCTGTAGATCACTTTGGGTAGTATTGACATGTTAACTATATTAATTCTTTCCATCCATCAATATGGGATATCTTTTTATTTATTTGTGTCTTTTTTGGTTTCTTGCATCCATGTTTTATAGTTTTCAGTGTAGAGGTCTTTTACCTCTTTGTTTATATTTATTCTTATTTTATTTTTTAAATAACTTTGTAAATAGAGTTGTTTCTTGATTTTTTTTCAGATAGTTTGCTACTAGTGTATAGAAATGTTACTGATTTGCATACACTAATTTTGTATCCTGCAACTGTACTGTTTGTTTATTATTTCTGACAGTTTTTTGGTAGTTTTAAAAAATATATATATGGTTACATCATCATCAAACAGAGACAATTTAACTTCATCCTTTCCCATTTGGATGACTTTTATTTCTTTATTTTGCCTACTTGCTCTGGCTAAGACTTCCAGGGCTTTATTGAATAGAAATAATGAAAGAGATAATCCTTGTCTTTTTTTAGATCTCAGGGAAAAGCTTTCAAGTTTTCTCCATTCAGTATGATATTAGCTGTGGGTTTGTCATATATGACCTTTATTGTGTTAATCTACTTTCTTCTATACCTGATTTGTTGATAGTTTTTAATCATGTTGGAATATTGAGATTTGTCAAGTGATTTTTCTGCATCTACTGAAATACTAATACACGTTTTGTCCTTTCCTCTGTAAAGTGATTTATCACATTTATTGATTTGCATATCTTGAATTCTCCTTGCATTACCACACTCCGTAATTCTACCTCATGGTTTCTAGCAGGCGTGTCCAATTAACATATTTGAAAACACCTTCCAAGATGTTTTCTCCCAATTTTCTCCATTTACTAAGTAGTATCACCATCCACTTAGTTTTTCAGACCAATAATCTAGAAAACATTTAATACCATTTCCCTTCTCACATCCGTAAATAAATCACATTCTGATTTAAACTCTACCTTTAGATTATTTTTCTAATCTGACCAGTTGAAGTGGCATTCTTGTCTGGGGTAAATACCCAGGGTTGGTCATCTTGCTCCACGAAAATTTAGGACAGAAACACACACAAGGAGTTTAGGATGGGAGGTTTAATAGGCAAAAGAAAGAGAAAGAAAAAGAAAGGAAAACAGCTCTCTCTCTAGTGAGAGAGAGGGGCTTCCCAGAGGAAAAGGCTGGCTTGAGGAGGCAGTGTCTGATTTATGTAGGACACACAGATTGGTTCAATCAGGTGTGACGTTGACACAGTCTGGGGAAGGCTGGCCACTCCACCCTAATCTTATTATTCAAATGGGCTTCCAGTTGACCAACACCATCTTGTCCACTCCTTGCTGTACATGTGGCTGGCAAAGGGAAGGGAAGATGGAGCCGCCATTTTGAACATGCCTGGTCACAGGTAGTATTCCTCTTCTGGCAACTATGTCTGCAGCTCAATTTTACAGGCTGCTCTTTGTTAGAAAGGAAAATGATTTTGGGCTGCTTTTTATTAAAAGGAAAATCATTACCGAGGATTTCCGTACCCTCTCTATCTGCCTAAGTAATTTCTTTTTAACTCCTGTATCACAGTTTTCACCCATTTTTCAGGTAACACACTAAGCTAAGCCTTTCTTATCTTTCATCTCGACTAATATAGTAGCCACTTTACTAATCTCTTTGTTTTTACTAACCCCTTAAAAACAGTATTAAACCAAAAATCATATTGATCTTGTAAAACTATAAATAAAATCACATAACTCTCCAGCTCAAAACCCTCTAATGGCTTCATATTACATGTAAATCAGTCCCAAGTATCTTACCACTGACTCTAAGACTGAATGACTTGGCTGTGACCACCTGTCTGACCTTACCTTCTAACCTCCACTGTACTTCCCATTACTCTCTGCTATGTAGTCCTTGCTTTTTCTCTAACTTGCCAAACTCATTCCTCTATGAAAAACAAGTTCCTTGTGATTGTTCTTCTTTTGTCTAGATCAATCATCCCCCAGATTTTTCCAGGGCTGGCCCCCTTTATCTAGGTCTCTATTCAATGTTATGTCTCCAGACATTTCACCAGTCTCTCTTTGCTAAACCAGAAGTCATCCCCTAATCCATTCCCTTACCCCAGAATGTTCCAGTCTATGAGCCATTAATTACCAAGCCTTGATCCCCTGCTCCTTAGAATGGCAAGGCAAGGCCTAGGGCTACTGTACCCTCTTATTCTCCGCCCACCACCAGTTCTCCCTGACCACAAACGGCCTTAGCCTGCTTAACTCAATGTGCTCTTTAAATGTTAAGTATTATTTATTGTTTGTCATTGCATGAATAAGTTTGGAAAGCACACTGTTTTATCTTTCTCTGTTTGTTTCTTATTGTACTCATTAATATAAATGACTTGGCCAAGTAACATTATATCAATTAGTCAAATGAAATTATATTATATATTTATATGCTTACTTGTTATTGTCGGCCTTCCCTAGTAGAATTTGTACACCAAATGACAGGATTTCATTCTGTGTATACCCCTGTAGTTCATATCCCGTGTATACCTGTATACCCCCGTAGTTCAATTGAGAATTTCTTTTTAACTTGGATTTATTGGCGTGATAGTTAATGAGTGTCAACATGATTGATTTAAGGATGCAAAGTATTGTTCCTGGGTGTGTCTGTGAGGTTGTTGCCAAAGGAGATTAAAATTTGAGTCAGTGGACTGGAGAGGCAGACCCACCCTTAATTCAGGCGGGCACCATCTAATCAGCTGCCAACACAGCTAGGATAAAAGCAGGCAGAGGAACATGGAAGGACTAGACTTGCTGAGTCTTCTGGCCTTCATGCTTCTCCTGTGCTAGATGCTTCCTGCCCTCAAACACCAGACTCTAAGCTCTTCAGCTTTTGGACTCTTGGACCTACACCAGTGGTTTGCCAGGTTCTCTCTGGCCTTTGGCCACAGACTGAAGGCTGCATTGTCAGCTTCCCCACTTTTAAGGTTTTAGGACTCGGACTGGCTCCCTTGCTCCTCAGCTTGCAGATGATCTATTGTGGGACTTCACCTTGTGATCCTGTGAATCAATACTCCTTAATAAACTCCCTTTCATATATGCATCTATCCTATTAGTCCTGTCCCTCTGACAAATACAATTGTATTATAATTTAAATATAGTAGAATTCACCACATTTGGTGTAAAGTTCTGTGAGTTTTGGTAAATGCATACAGTAGTGTAACAAATGCCACAGTCAACCTATGAAGGAGATTGTAGTCAGCTCTCTCCAGTTCAAGCATCCAGCAGCAACTAAATTCGTTTCTGTCCCTATAGTTCTGTCTTTTACAAAATATTATGTAAATGGAATCATATCAGATATGTGATTTGCAAATATTCCCTCCTGCCCTGTTTTGTGTTTTAATTCTCTTCACGTCTTTTGAAGAGCAGAAATTTTTAATTTTGAAGAAGTTCAATTTATGATGTATTTCTATTATGAATTACGCTTTTGGTGTTGCAGCTAAGAAATCTAACCAAATGCCACAAAATATTTTTCCTAAATTTTCTTTAGAAGTTTTCACGTCTTCCTCTCTCTGACTCTGACCTTCCTTCTCTCTCATAAAGATCCTGTGATTACATTGGGCTCAACCAGATAATCCAGGATAATCTCCCCATATCAAGACCCTTGATTTATTTATATGTGCAATTTATTTTCCGGTATAAGGTGATGTATTTAAGGGTTCTGGTTGTTCACATGTTAGTATCTTCAGAGAGTTATTATTCAGTCTGCCATGCCCCTCAAAGTAAATAGCTCTAAGACTCTGTAAAGGGTATGATCCAACTATATTCACATGTCAGGTGACAAGATTAAGATCTATGAGAGAAGGAAATCATATTAAGTGGCCCTAATATTGCCCCAGGTTTCTGCCTCAGTGTACTTTCTGGGCTGTGGCATAGGAAGAGAGAATCCAAGCAGAGATGAACTAAAGAAATTGGGAACAGAATTTAGCAAGGCCGAGGTCTCTCTCCCTTTTGTTTCTTTTCCATCTTCCATCTTTTCCATCTTCTTTCTTTTACCTGTTCCCTTTTCTTTATTTCTTAATATCTCTTTGCCTAATTGTATGTGTTTCTATCTCAACCTGTCTCCACTTCCCTGACATCTCTTTTCATTACAGACTTTATATGAACCAAAGCATATATTTGAGGACTTGTTGCCTTTATAATACAGAGCATTTGATCTCATGTTCTAAATATTCAGTTCAAAGTAAGCACACTGAAGGCTTTTTATTTCTATAAGCTTAAATTGAATCCAAATGAATCTACTTTTTAACTTTGTTGTAGTGTTGAATTGATATTCTTTTCCTTAGATCTGCGACACTTAGAAGCAAAAACAGAAACTACTTGGTACAAAAGGTTTCAAACATACAAGTGAGACCAATCTGGTTTCCACAAATGGTTAATTTTTGCCAGATATGATAAAATCAATTTCATCAGATCAAGCTGTGTTTAATGTGCTGTGTGTAAAACTACACATAAATATAGACTATAATTAATATCAAATGTAAATTAAAGAATATAAAATCCATTAACTAAATATATTCTGTCAGCAATTAAAATATAAAAACAATTATTTCAGGATTTGCTTAATTACTTAAATTATACTGCTACTTTATAATACTCATGTAACGACGTGACTTCTGTAACACTATTTCTGTGTTCCCATAAAAAGGAGTGATTTTGAATTATCCTTTCCTCAGCAAATTTTTCCTACCTAAGCAAGAAGTACCAGATAGAAATCATTCACAGGCCTTATAGCTGTCATTTGCTTTTCATCAATGGAGATTTCATTAACATACTCAATTTTCTGTGGATCTTTGCTTCCCCATAAAAATAGTTACCATTCCCTTAACACCTATAGTAATTCGTAAGTATGCAGGCTCTGGAGTCAGACTTCCTGAGTTTTATTTACCACTTCATACCTTTCTAGCTCTGTAATCTTGAGCAAGTTAAATTCATTCTGCCTCATTATCTTCAACTATCTTACAAAATACATATGTTTATGCAATGACTATAAGGGTTAAATGCCTAATACTTGTAAAGCATGTAGAACCATACTTGATGTATAACAAACAGTAAATAAATGTTACATGTTGCCATTGCAACTCTTAGTACTACCATGACCACCACAACTATCTAGACTCTCTTTCATCATTATTCCTAACTACCACTACAATTTTATCAAATATTGTTTATTTCCACTTGGAAAAGATGTAACTAAGGATCAAAGCTGTTAAAGTAACTTTATTTAACTACAAGTGAATGGTCAAGTGGAGTTTTGAATATATATCCCATTTTTTCTACCAAGACTTGCTGTCACTTCAATGTTAATGAAAGGATAGATGAACTGGAAAGGTTACATATCTTTTTCATTCCCAGGATTTTAAAGAAAGATGTGAAAAGGCGCCCCTAGTGCTCCAAAGGCAGTAAGTGTGGCCTCCAACCCAGGAGAATGAACTATACAGGTTCTTCTCTAAGCTGGGATACTCTTGGCAGAGCTTTGTAACTGCAGGTGGGGGAAAGTGCACAGCAGCTGTTTTGACAGCCTGGTGAGGGAATCTGGTGCCACATGCCAAGACTAGGGGTACAAGTGCAGCCTCTCTGGTTGCCTGTATTCATATCCATCTGTTTAAATGGCATTTTTCCGAGTCATAATGAAGGAACCAACCAAAAAGAATTTTCTGATAAAGATGCTTTATTCCCCCTCAAAATGTGACCATCTGCCTAGGGTCTGGAGATACCCTAGTTTCATAGAACCTACTAACAAAGTCACAGTGAACTCATTTCACAGAAGTGTCTTATTGATTGCATATTTCTGGAGTATATGGCTTCAATTAGTTTTCATATGTTTCAAAACATTTGCCTTAAAAATAGAAAGAAAAGGAATTAACATATTTAAAGTCTACTGTTAGTATACTTTAGTATACTAGTATTCTAGTAATAGAATAAATATTAAGTTATTTGCACATATTGTCTTATTTAATATCCACGAAGATTTTAAGTGTCAGAAATCATCTTGTTTGATGGATAAGGAATCTCAGACTCAGAGAGGTTCATTAACATGGCCAGTGTCATTACACCTAGTAAGTGGTAGAACTGGGACTGGAATCCAGTCACTTATGACTCTTACAAATATACAAATTACCTTAGTTGAGATGTCTCTCTATAGCCGCATGCACAAGAAACCATAATGCATATTTTTCCAAAGCCTTTCTTACTTTTTCTTCTGTAGCTTTCCTCACAAGCTCAATTTCTCATATGCTTTTCTAGTATTTATAGCTATTTTAGAAGATAAGTTTTCTGAATAAAAGTTGTTCCTGACTGTAATAATGTTGGTCACAATGAAACAGGAAGAAAAGCTCTACCTGCCTAGGTACCATGAAACATCTTTGAAGTTTATGCTTTTTTTTTTTTTTTACATTAAGCACTAAGCCTGTGTTTTTATGTGCACGGTTTGGGAAATAAGATGGAGGTGTGTGTGTGTGTAGGTGTGTGTGTGTGTGTAGGGGTGTGTGTGTGTGTGTGTGTGTTTGTTTATGGGTATAATGTAGATATTTTTCAAATAAGAATCAAAAGTGAAATAAAGCCATTATGGTCTGATATTCTAATTGAGTTAATAAGCCAGCATAATGATGAGGTGGCCTGAAACATACCTTGTTTGGCTCAAATAATTCAAAAGTCTCTGTAAAGAGGTAAGAGACAAGATGCTGAAACTATAAAACTGTCACTGTCCAATATGGTAGCCAGTAGTCATAAATTGCTGTTTACATTTAAATTAACTGAAATTAAACAAAAATTTAAAACTGATTTCTTTAGTTGCACTAACCACATTTCAAGTGCCTAATAGTCATCTATTGAACAGTACACATATATATAGGGAATGTTTTTGGCATTACAGAAAGTTCTTTTTGACACTGCTGCTAGAAATTGTAAGGTTGTTTAGACTTTATGCAATAAGTGCATTAGCTTATTGATGATGGTTGGGTGGAGGTAATATTGGAGCAGTGGATTATTCTCAGTGCTATAAGTAGAGAAGCCACTTAAAAGTCATTCTGCCTTAGCAATTGTCAAGGGTGATTCTGTTCCATTGTTACTGTTCCACATTAAGAAAAAAAGACTGAAATAATATTAAAGACTGCATTACTCTTCCTCTATTAGATACGTCAAATAAAAATGATTATAAAGTATAAGTGATATGACAATATGAACAGATTTATCTGTTTTATAGTATATCCTTTAAATGAGTCCAACAAACCAATGGAATCTAATAAATTACCACACAGAAACCCTTTGGAAATGTCTGACTTACTTCTAGAATTATTCCAGGTGACTTTTCATGTGCATGCTTGACCACATCTGTCTCTAAGCTTTTCTAATATCTGGACCCTATACGTTGGTTCCTACAATTTTCAGACTGACTGTTTGCCTTGGCAAGAAAATTTGTGTTTTACCAGGTAAACTTTGACAACGTTAATGCTACTTGGGCTTAAATTGAGAATCCATAACCAAAAGGAAGAACTTTACTTTCTTAAGCCTACTGAACCCACTATGAGATGTCTCAGCCTTGTTCACTCTTCTAGGCCCCGCTTGACACAAAATATGAATGAAACATATTCGTTAATCTCTGTAACTATGAGGAAAAGAATAAAAGAGAAAAGTAACTAACTTTTGGGAGAGAAAATTGAATGTTAGCAATGGAAGTAAACTTAAAGATTGCTGATTTCACCCATAATGATTGATGGGCATAATTGCAGTGACTCTGAATGAAGAAAATGATGTGAGCAAAGTTATAACATGGAGCTAAATATTTTTTCTGAGGTCTTTTCCCTGAAGTTCACCTGAGGAAGCTCCTTTTCCTTCACATTTCTACTTTTGCATCTGCTAAATTAGAAAATTAACCACCAAGCCTCTTTACACATAAGTGAAGGAAGGAGATGCTAGAGACATTTCATCTGACCAGGAATGACACATGAATATCTTGCCTGTGCAAAACCCAGCAGGAAAGGGTGTCTGATGCAGTTAACTTTTAGGTTGTTATTTCCAAGGATGATTTCTCTCAACTGTATTTCAGAGATTGGTTGAACACTTAAACTATAAATTTTCTTGAGAGCATTGAATCTAATAAGTAAGCTGGAATTCAAAATAGTCCTGGTTCAAGAGTGAGAGCAGTGAGGGCCTCAACTGAAATGACTTCTTTATATATTACCATTAAGTAATGTTTCTCACATACAAATAAGGATCACTGAAAAGCCCAAGAAAGACGTGTAGTCCTGCTAGACGGTTGCTCTACTGTTCAGTAGTCCTATGGAGTCTCTACCATATGCTACGCACTTTTCTAGGGTCTCTGTGCTTCTGGTAGCTTCTGGTCTGATGCACCATCACAGCCCAGAAAACTTTTAATGATTAAAAACAAACAAGCAAACAAACAGCAAGCCATTAGTTATAATGTTGTTCACTTAAAGTTATTTTTTCTAGCAATGTTATCTTCTGAGAATAAGTAATAAAAGAAGCAATGATAGATTAGTCTTTCTGGTAAATCTTACGGTATTTACTTTCATGACTGTCATTTATTTTGACACAGAAAAATATCATTGCCAACCCAGTGAATATAGTGAAAAAGTAACTTGTGAAAAATTAAATAATTCAGTGGGTTGATTACAAAAAAAAGCATGATCAGATGAGATATCATACACAAACTTTGAATACAAATTTTTCTTAAACATACATTCAGTGTTCATTAGTATAAGAAAAGTCTGGAACAGTGAGTAGTTTGGCATTTTTTATACCTTGAAAACTTTGCTTCTTTGAATAAAACCTCCCTATTTCCCCTGGCCTTGAGCCTACTCTAACTTTGGCAGAAGTGATTAGCAACCAATGAAACAATATCTGTTTATGAAAACAACGCTGGAGAGCTACATGAATAACTCACAGGCAAGGAAGCTCTAGAATCGCAATCAGTTGCAAGGGTGGTTTACTATTTCTGCAAAATGCTCTAACTGCATTAATCTTTGCTTGGAACTGAGTTATTGCAGAAAATGACACAAGCTATAAGTAGCTTCAGTCACACACCGGAATAGAGTTCTGTCAGACAACTTCCAGAGGCTACGATGAATCATCCTGCTACTTATTTTGGGCAGCCCCACAAAAACAAAAGGAAGGTAAGAGGCAATTCTGTGCCTTGGTGGCAGGTTTTGGACTGATTTTTTTTTTTTTTTTTTTTTTTTGCTTATGCCTGTAAAACTGTCATCTCTAAAATAAGAAAGATCAAGGAGAGAAGAAGATATATAGTGACTGGGGTCATCTAAGGGCTCTGCTAAGACCACTGCATTCCACGACTACAGGGGGAACCACTCCTTACTGGGTTGGGCAGCGTGAAGTTGTGCAACAGGATGGCCCTATGGATGTGGCATTCTGGTACTTCAATACACCGTGACTGTCAACTTACCTATTTGTCTTGCAATACAGACCTACTTGTATATCCCAAATCTGTCCTATCTTTTTGTATTTCTCTACCCTTCATTGGTGCATGTGTATGCATGTGCATGCACACATGCATGTGTGCAAGGGTGAGGAGCAATAGTTAACTCTCTCTCCATACATTTCCACTCTTGATGGAGGGAAAAATACAGAATAAATACCTCGGATGGATCTTTAGGATCTCACTTATTTGTCTGTGTTTTTCTGGGGGAAAGAAGGTCCAAGTGGTCGGAATGAAGTCCACAACTTAAAATAGAGCATAGATTATAAAGCAAACTATATTGGAAAAAAGGAAACCCCGAGCCAGAGACAAAAAGACAGAGCCATATGCAGTTCTCAAGCTCTCAGTTATTCCAAGGAATAACAGCCACGTGAGTGAGCTTGAGAGTCAATCCTTTCTGAATCAAGCCTTGTGAGCACTGTAGCTGAAAATCTAGATGTGGACATCTACTAAACCTAGCATGGGTCCTGCTCTGGTGGGGGAACTCGTCTTCCCACTCCATTGGTGCTCCTTCTTATAGAATAAGCAAGAGAAAATGGCCTTTTCAGTGAAGAAATGAACAGAATACTTGCCACTGAGCAGTCTGTATTTGCAGTACTTGCAATTTGCAATATTGCCTGGACAAGACAGCTTTGTACTTGGAACTTGACGTCTTTTTACTTGGAACTTGGGATGATGCAGTCTCCTTGACCACAAGAAAGATGGTCTCAGTCCCATGGAAACTTAAACTCGAAGGCTGCCCCTTCAGCTAGGAGGAAAGTGAGCTCACAGACCTTAACCTAGTTTGTTGTCTAAGCAACACAGGGTCATGTTTGCATAATTCTGCTCCTTGAATAACACTCCCAAGGGAAGAAGAAGTATTTATCTAACTGGTGAATTTTTGAAATTGAAGGAGGAATGTGTTGGTTAGCATCTTCTGGTTTTCATGCTGCTATAGACCTAATCTCGTTTTGGACATAGGGATTTTCTCTTCAATACATGCATCTTATTTTGGGGGAGGAGAGTGCGTTCTCTAGGAGAGGTTTATTAGTTACCTATTGCTGCATAACAAATTACCCTAAAAGTTATTGACTTAAAACATTTATTAGCTCACAGCTTTATGGGTCACCAATCCTGATTTGATTTATATGGCATATCCTGTGCTTTGTGGTCTCTTAAGGCCGAAATCTAGATGTTGTTCAAAGCTGCAGTGATCACAAGGCTTGATTCAGAAAGGATTGACTCTCAAGCCCACTCATGTGGCTGTTTTTCAGAGGCCACCCACAGGTTCTTTCCATGCAGGGCACTCCAGAGGGCAGCACTCAACAGGGCAGCTTGTTCATCAGAGCGAGCAAGCTGAGAAGAACCAGAAAGAGAAAGAGAGAGTGCAAGCAAAATGGAAGACAAAGCTTCTTGATAATCCAATCTTGGAAGTGACATCCTATAACTCTTTCTGTATTCTGTTTATTGTTGGCAAGTCACTAGGTCCTGTCTGTACTCAAGAACAGGGGATTCATAAAAGTGAATACTAGGAGTGTACTAGAGTATCAAGCATCACCAGGAGCCACATCAGAAGTTGTCTACTGGCCGGGCGCGGTGGCTCACACCTGTAATCCCAGCACTTTGAGAGGCTGAGGCAGGCAGATCATGTGAGGTCTGGAGTTTAAGACCAGCCTGGCCAACATGGTGAAACCCAGTCTCTACTAAAAATAGAAAAATTAGCCAGGCTTGGTGGTGGGCGCCTGTAATCCCAGCTACTCAGGAGGCTCAGGCATGAGGGTAGCTTGAACCTGGGAGGTGGAGGCTGCAGTGAGCCGAAATCACACCACTGCACTCCAGCCTGGGTGACAGAGCAAGACTCGGTATCAAAAAACAAACAAACAAACAAACAAACAAAAAGTTGTCTACTACAGGAAATTATCAGAAAGTAGTCATGGCCATACATTTACATCATGTATTGCAGTATAATTTTCATCAGGAATAAAGCTGATATTTTTATCTTCATCTGCCTCTCTCCAAGTCTTTCTCTCAGTTGAATTTGAATTCAGATTAGGTGACAACGTTTTCGTTCTTATAGATGAGAACACTTCTGTTCTTACCTTTTCCTCTTCTCATATTTTTTTCTTTCTCACTCACGTTAATAAACCTTGCTAGTTTTTCAAGATTCAGCCTCAGTATGATAGCCCTTAAGAAACTCTTAGCTCCAAGGAGCCAATACTAACACACACATCAATTGCTGGAGGTATTATCTAAGTATGAAAGGAAAGATAACTAGAATTATTTTTCTTCAATAGGAAAACAGAGTTTGGAGGAGGGCATTCTTTCAGTAAACTCTACTCCTAACCCAGGCTCTGAAGGTGAAGCTGGAGGCACTCACTTATTCACCTCTTTTTTGATCAAACTTCATGCCTTTCCTACAGAATAACTTCATTTCTTTAAGATAAAGTTCATAAATTTCTCATGCCCTTCTTCTTACCTCCATGCAATGGAATCTTACAGTTTAGCAGAGCATTTTAGACTTTGTGGGGTGAATAGTGATGCCTGTCACCCCACCTGCACCCATTTTGGAGATGTGTAGAGACTAACATGGTCGCTAATCAATGTGCAAGATTTTTTTAGGCATCATACATCTTACACCTATACTGAGGAAATAGTGTTTTGTTTATTGAACAAAAGCTACTCAGGTTTTTAGGAGTCAGCGGGTTCTCTACTATTCTGTAGCATGATTGGTTTCTTATCTCCTCTAGTTATAGCCAATTGGAATAATAAAAAAGCTCATTAGCTTTCTAATATTTGTTCCTGTTATTTCCAGGAATATGTATCAGTCTTAATATAATCTTCGATTCAGCAGTCCCATTCTGATGGATGATGTGTATGTGTGTGTGTGTATATGTGTGTGTGTGTGCGTGAAATGTTGCCAATATTTTCTACTGTATTAGCAAACAAAAAGAAATAATAAACTAAGTATTCAATACAGTAAGATAGGTGAAGAGGGAACATGACAGAGAAAAGAAGGAAGGGATTTATAAAGGGGAAGAAGCCTTTAATACTGTAGGCAAGAAAACAAAAATAAATGTGGAAAATAAAATGAAGTGCTTGTCTGGCAATACGGCTATAAAATGATGCTTTTGTCACTTTACACAGACAAATTTAGATATCTAGATTAAATAGTCAATATAAAGAAATCATAACTAAACAAAATTACTCAAAATATTTGATTAAATCAATAACCAAAAACTCCCCTGGAAATTTCTACTTCTAAATATCACTTTACTTACAGTTTCATAGGTGCATTTCTATCAGGCCTACAAGGAACCATAGATTTTTATGATGAAACAATTCTAGAGCATAGGAAAAAAATAAAGCTCCTCATATTATTTACTGTAGATTATATTGTAAACACACCAAAATCAGGCATGATTAAAATACATACAGAAGAAGATGAGGGGAAGGAAGTTTCTAAATTCACATGAGCACCAGTTATGAATAATAACTTGTTACTATGATGCTATGCCTAAAATCCAGGGGCTTTAAGAAAATAAGAAGTCTCTTTAGACTCTGGCTGAGGAGAAGATTTTAATTCAAATTTTGATTGTGACAGTGAAAAAGAAAGTGCTATACAATTATATGAATAAATATCCTCTGGCAGTTAGTATGTTTTATGAAAGACAATAGGTACTTTTGATTCAGAACTGCCAACTCTTCCACATAAAAAAGAAAAGTTGTTATTAATCAACAATGCATCTTACAATAGAGGGCATCTTAAAATCTAAGAAAAATGGCAGCCAAAGTAGTGGAGTCAAAGAGGAAGTTCAAAAGAAGCAGCCTTGGAGGGCTAATTAAATTCTTATAAATATAAGTGAAGTAAAACTTCAAGTGAGGATGTTTGCTTGAAGAAGGCTTGAAGGATTAATTAAAATATCACAAACTGGGTTAAGTATAACTTCAATTAGGAAGGAATGGCATAGATTACAAGGATGTAGAGGGCCAGGGCTTTAGCTCAAGAGGCATTGAAAGGAAAGAACCAAGAGGAACATTCACAGAAGAAACAAAGATCAATTTGAGGAGGAATAATTATTTCATGTGAAAGAACTGAGTTTCAGTCCTTCATATTAGTCAAATGAAGAAAGGCATGTTGGGACGGATTGGTGCATAACACGTAAGGTACATGGAGAAATATGAGATTGGGAATGGTGTCATGAATATAATTAAGGTTACAATAATTATCACATCTGGGCTGTGACTGTCTTCCAAAAGAAATGTTATGGGGGCCGGGCGCGGTGGCTCATGCCTATAATCCCAGCACTTTGGGAGGCCGAGGCGGGTGGATTACGAGGTCAGGAGATCGAGACCATCCTGGCTAACATGGTGAAACCTCATCTCTACTAAAAATACAAACAAAAATTAGCCGGGTGTGGTGGCGGGCACCTGTAGTCCCAGCTACTCGGGAGGCTGAGGCAGGAGAATGGCATGAAACTGGGAGGCAGAGCTTGTGGTGAGCCGAGATCGTGCCACTGCACTCCAGCTTGGGCGACTGAGCAAGACTGTCTCAAAAAAAAAAAAAAAAGGAAATATTATGGGAAGTATGTTTCAGCCATACACTTATCTCCTGAATACAAGAAGAGTGTTCAAAGACTTTTACCTGAAAGCAAGGAAATAGATTTAGGGAAATGTGATGGTAATCTTGTATGTCAAATTCGTGGGTCACCAGGAACCTAGATATTGGTCAACCATTATTCTCTGTGTTTCTGCAAGGATGCTTTTAGATAAGATTAATATTTAAATTAGTGGTCTTCAAGTAAAGTATATGTTCTCTATAATGTGGGTAGGCCTCATCCAGTCAGTTGAAGGCTTGAAAAGAACAAAATGAATGCCCTTCCCTGAGGAAGAGAGACTTCTCCAGCAGATTGCCTCTGCACTTCATCAACAGCATAAGCTCTTCTCAGTTCTATAGAAGATGGCCCTTAGACTCAAATTGGAACACTGACTCTTCTGTGTCTTCAGCCTATCTGTCCACCCTCCAGGTTTTGGGCTTCCCAGCCTCCATAATTGTGTGAGCCAATTTCCTGTAATAAATCTCTTTCTATAAATATTAATATTCTATTTTTTCCTGTTTCTCTGGACAACCTTGGTTAAAACAATAAATAAGCAAAAATGTATTTATGATGTCAGAAATTTACATGTAGCTACTAAGATTAAAGGAGTGAAGGATTTTTTTTCCTTTGTCCAGACATGTTAAAACATAGGTCTATAAATGGAAGGCAGTGGTAAAAAATTACTACTTTTTTCCTATTTAATTTAATGTATGAGATATTTGTAATACACGCAGTGGTATATGCTGTTCATATATTCAAACATATACCTTAAATGTTAAAGAACATGCATGAGAATGATACACTCTGACTTTGGGACATTAGCCCCTAAAAAAGAGAAAGGAAGGAGAGGGGCCTGAGAGAGTGAAACTTCACTTGTATTTATGAATATGTGAAAATCAAATAGGGCTAACTCTCTAATCTCATAGGTAGGTACTTTATTGATTTTAACATTTTCTGTACTTTTGTGTGTGATTAAAATATTTTATAATCAAAATGGAAATATTAAATAAAATGAAAAATAAATCATCTAAGATAGAATATAGATGTAAGTTTCTTTTTTATTCTGTGGGACAGTTGCAGAGGAAGGCATTCATTGACCATCCATAAACTACTATTAGTTGTGCCAAGTGTTGTAGATATGACTAACCCACAAGACCAGCCTCCTTCACTTAGAAGCTCAGTCTAGAGATTGACACAAAGAAATGCAAGAGATGTCTTTCAACCAGAGGCATCACAGACAATGGAGGAAAAGATTCTGCTTCAGAGAAAGCACAGAGAAGGCCTCTTAGAAGAACCCATATCTGAACAGTTTCAAAAATGAATGGGAATTTCCTATAGTCAAAGGTTAGAAAAGGTTTATTGGACATCAGTGGTTTAAAGGCAAGAAATGACAATATGATCAATGGAATAAAATACAGATTAAACTACAGTAATAACAAAAATTAATTTATCAAAGGTTTTAAAACTTGAAAGAGGTAAAACCTATATAATTTGGTGCTAAAAGCAGGGGGGAAAAGGCAAAAATGGATGTCTAATAGGAGAGAAGTATTACTTTCCTTCTGGATATCCGAGAAGGATCAGTCTGTCAATGAATCTTATGTAAGATAAGCTTAAGTATACAGAATGAAGACAAAAGCTAAAACAAAATAATTATAAATAACAAAGTCATTCATCGACAAAGAAAAGGAGTAGGAAAAGTTAAAAGACAAATTAAAAAAAAAAAACCCACCAACTTAAAAGACAAACCAAAATAATGAAGAGAAAACTAAAAGGTCAAACTGAAATGAATTCACTACTAAAGAAAGTGTCAATTATTAGGAAATTTACTAAATACATTCTGATACATCCACTTCTTGTACTATTATGAAACACACATAAAAAGGGCTATGAAATCTTTGCATCATAAAGCAAATATTTATGGTATAGTGGGAGACACAATTATTTGTATGTCATGCTTATTATATGTTACTAATATAAGCAGGGACACCCCTAGGGTGTACAGACACTGAACAATTTTCTGCGGGTTATTGTCTATATAAATAATTTTATTTGTTAGCAATGTATTACAAGATTAATTGGTCCATATAATACACAGTGATTAAGTGGTGAAGATTTAGAATAATGGATAGAGAAAAAGTTAGGTATTTGCAATTGTATGATTAGTACATGTATAGATTCTTCACAGTATCCAGGCATCACATTTCTTCTTTTTCAGGTCCAGAAGCTATATCTTTGAGTTCTTTCTTATCACATGTCCCATTTTGCCTACTTTTCTATTCCTATTGTGAGAAGAAAGTAGCAATGCTGTTATTTCTTTTTTTTTTTTTTTTTTTGAGACAGAGTCTTGCTCTGTCTCCCAGGCTGGAGTGCAGTGGCGCAATCTCGGCTTACTGCAAGCTCCACCTCCCAGGTTCATGCCATTCTCCTGCCTCAGTCTCCTGAGTAGCTGGGAGCAATGCTGTTATTTCTAACAATGCCTCATGGTGGACCATCAGTAGTCCAAAGCCCTGACCTCATCTAGTGTCAGAAAGTCACTCAAAATCAGCATATCACCAACCATTCTGATGGCTCGATCTCATGCAATCACACAAAAGAAATGCCATGCTGCCCAGTGGAAGCAATCTGCTTGTTATGCTGCCCTCATGCACTGAAGCCATTTGCAGAACCCCAGGACAATTCCATCTATGGAAATCCAAGAGATCCCCAGGGCATCTGGTAGATCCTACTAGAAAGAGGTATGGTAGGCAGAATGCCCTCTTCCCAATGTTTCCACTCTTATTCCTGAAATCTGTGAGGATATTACATTCCATGACCAAAGAGGCTTTGCAGATGTAATTACGATTATAGATGTTAAAATAGATAGATTAACCTGGAGTATTTAGGTGAACACAACCTGATCACGTGTGCCTTTAAAAACAGAAAACTTTATGGAGTCACAAAGACAGAAGGGGAAGTTAGAGAGAACTGAAGTGATGATTGATGAAGGTTAGAAGGGACCTGACCCACTGTGGCTGGAGGGAGGCTACATGGAAAGCATGAAGAGGAATGTGGGTAGCCTCTAGGAGCAAGGGTCAGCCCTAAATGACAAGTAATACAAAAATGGGGTCCTCAGTAGCACAATTGAAAGCCACTAGATTATACCGACAACCTGAATGAATTGATTCTTCCACAGTGTCCAATAAGGGACGTAGCCTAGCCTGACACTGATTTCAATATTCTGAGACCCTAAGCAGAGGACCAGCTGAGCTCACTTAGACTTCTGATCTACAGAACTGTGAAATGGCAAATGCGCACTGTTTTAAGATGCTAAGTTTAGGGTAATTTGTTACAACGTGATAGAGAACAAATACAGCGTACGGGTCAATAGAGAAGGTTTGGTTGGAAAGTGCCCTCATTGGGGAAAACTGGAACCATCAAGGCCCATAGAGGTTCCAGTTTAGGAGGAGTCCCACCAATGTGGCACTGTTAGCCCCCATCTGCTTCCAAGCACTGGAGCCAGGAAGTTACTCTAAAACGCAAGAGTTCCTTGTGGTGAAACCCGAGGCAAGACATAAAGGCTGTGATGAGCTTAAAGATTCTTCTTCAGTCTTTCTGCTTCCCAGAGTCATTGCAGGTAGCTAGATGGTTTTACAAAAACTTGGTGGGGTGTACATAATTTAAAGAACCAATAGTCAAAACTGAGAGAATGACACATTTCACCCTACTTAAATGGAATCTCTTTCATCAAAGGCTATTAAAAGCTGCAAAACCAACTTCATCCATCGCAACATTTGATAATCTTATCCCTACTTCAATCCATTACATCACCCTAAAATCTGGCATCCAATGCTAATAAGTGGGTAGCTGTGGAATATTTACCAGAAAAAATATTGGTATGTGCAGGTTGCCAAAGCAATTTTGTTTATACTTTATTGCAATTGTATTTCTTTATGTTTTTCTTTCTTTTTCAGCCTTGCAAGCCTTTGGCATTTTCTGTGATATAGTACATATGACCATTGGACAGTTCTCCATTACCTCCAAACCAAGGGAGTTTCTTGATATTCTCCATGTGTAACATGAACACAATAATAAATATTAAAATTATATGGGACCTATATATTATCTAGGAGAAAAGATTCATTCATTCAGTCTATACTCACTGTTCTAGAAATGGTGGATACATCAATCAAATATGAAATAAACAAATCCCTGCCCTCTTGAAGCTTACATTTCTCAGGGGGAGAGATGGGTTATTAATACAAAAAGTAATTGGCATGAAAATTCTTTGTAATTAGGGGACATGTGAGAACCGTTCCCTAATTGTTTATTTTTGACTTGAGGTTTCTGAAGGTGAGAAGCTTAATGAATAACACAGAGAAAAGGGTTCATGGATAATTGTTCCTGGGAAGAATATATGAGCAAAACTCTTTCTCTTTCAAAGTCTCGGTCATTGTAGGCCAAGGAAAAGAACCTGAGCAGTTTGTGTGACTCCATGTATAGGTACACTGCTCTGCCCAGGGAATCATTAGGCAAGATAGAGGATGTCTAGCCCAAAGGATTATTAGTGAGGGAGAGATATAGCATCCCTCCTGATGGACCCCCAATGATGGAGGGAGCAAGGGTGAGGCTAAACCCTACTTAATGAGAATCACAAAACAAGAAGACCCTCCTTGCCATGGACATACTACCAGTTTCATAAGAAGAACCCTGTATCCATCTAATACCACTCTTTCCTACTGAAGAAGGATGACAAGCACCTTTGATATTTAGGGCAGACCATCACATTATTCCACTCTAGGAAGCCAGCATCGTAGGTCCAGTTTGGAAGCTGGTGAGTGGAAGCTGATATAAGAATAAAATAGATTTTACAATTGAGGTTTCAAACTAGGCTGAATATTTAATACCCCAAATTACTGGAAAATTGAGGACTATATCAATATGCTTTTAAACAAGAGGGAAGGGAAATCCAACATTGAATATTGGCAGGCAATTAGAGAAAATTAAACCTTTTAAAAATTTTTTTGAGGCTGGGTGCAGTAGCTCACTCCTGTAATTCTAATGCTTTGGGAGGCTGAGGCAGGTGGATCGCCTAAACCCAGGAGTTCAAGACCGGCTTGGGCAACATGGTGAAACTCCATCTCTAATAAAAATCCAAAAATTAGCCAGGCTTGGTGGCATGCTGTAGGGAGCCGAAGGCCTGAGAGTTGTGACTAACACGGCATTCCACTGAAGGCTATATGATCAAACAGCAAACTGTTTATCATGAGCGCAGAATGTGAGCAAACTCGCTTCTGTGCCTGTTGCCAGAAGGTTTGCTGGGGGCAGTCACTCCCTGGCACTGTTCTCCTTGAGGAACACCTGGAGACTACTGTTCAAAGAATGAAGTCATGCAGGCCTGCATTAAGTCAAGCAGCTGACCAGAATACCCCCTTCTCCCTATCTCCTTTACTCAAAAATGCGAAGGGCTATAAAGGCTCGGGCCCTCATTCACTAGAAGCAAGGACCCCCCTGACTTCTTATTGCAAATATACTCTTTTGTCTTTGTCCTTATTCCTGCATTCGTCCTCCTTTGTCACAACTACTCAGGAGTCTGAGGTGGGAGGATCACCTGAACCCAAGGAGGTCAAACCTTCAGCAAACCATGATCATGCCACTACATTCCCGCCTGGTCAACAGAGTGAGGCTCTATCTTAAAGGAAAAAAGGAAAAAAAAAATGTTTTGACACTTGTAAACATGGCTGATGCCTACATGCATTTTATAATTTTAAAACTTCCATGTTTCACTTCCATGTGAAAACTCAGATCTTGAATGCGTTTTGTAAAGGGTGAAGTTCTTTTGCTGATAATAGTCTTGAATATGGCTGTGTGAGTGTGTGAGTGTATGGATGTCTATGAGGTAGAGTGTGTATGTGCATGCTACAAGAGTAGGCAAGTTGAGAGTTACATTGCACAGGACCTGCACTCTCTAGAACGGATCAGTGAGGCAGTATATAGGGAGGCTGTACCCTGGGAGGTCATTACATCTTATTACTAACATAAACAAAGTCTAGAAATTCAAAGTTGGATTATGAATTACAAGAGATCCAAAGTTTTCTGCCTTCTAATCTTATTTACAGTGATACATTTCTGAGTAAAGTATTATGAATTCTGTTTAATGTAGCCTCATTCAATTCAGTCAACATTCAATAGACATATATTGAGCTTCTATTAATTAAAATATAAGAAGGAAAAGAGATAAGTAACCTGTCAATTATAATAGAGTGCCACAAATTGCTAAAGATTTTTATAACTTTAAACTATATTACTTGAAATTTCCCAACATCTCACAAGGTTTGGAATTCTACCATAAGACATAGAGACATGAATTTGCGTCCTGATTTTAAGCAAATTAATGGTAGAAGTATTTAAAAAAAAACTCTGATTCCCAAGTTTACCATTAGGCAGCAGGATAAACTGGTGTCAGAATTCTTTCTATGTTCTGAAACCTGGACACAAAGATAAGCTGAGAAACAAGTGAACAAATAAACAGCAACAATAACAGTAATAAAAACTTCCACTTGCTCCCATCTTTGAAAAATGTCTCAGAAAGGAAACAAAAGCATAACCTAAATTTAAATTGTATTTATTGCTGATGTTCAGGATATTAATCAAATTTGAATCAAAATGCATTATACTTTCCGTTGTATAAAGAATGACTACAGTAATACAGCTGATTAAAAAAATTACTAGAACTTATATGATTAATTGACTGTTTACCCAACCAAATCGTGTTTTGCAAGTGTTGTTCCTGAAACCCAGATAATTTTGAAGTTGCATGTTGGAAGTCCCTCCAGGGTCTGAAGCAAATTTTTCTACAAATTTTACTTGGGGGAAGCAGTTAAAAGTGATTTTGAGTCGCATCGTTGAAGAGGTCAATAATCAAGGCAAGTATACTGTCTTCAAAGGCTGCTTCCTTGGGAAACAATAATAGTGGTGATGATGATAACAGCTTCAAAAATAATAACAGCCACTATTCACTCATATTACTGCTTCCCAGAAGCCAGGCTCTGTGCTAAACTCTTCATATACATATTTTCTCATTTAATACATTGAATAAGATCTAGGTTAGGCATTATTATCATTATACCTAGTTTGTTGCAAGTAAAACTGAATCCTAAGAAGGTCAGTGTGGCTGGACTGAGAGTATAAGGGACAAACTTGTAGAAGATAATGAAGGGTTGGGGATACAGACTTTATAGGGCATTGTAGCTCAGTGAAGAATTTGACTTTGACTCCCAGTAGAAACATAAGCTTGACTTATGTTTTTAATGAAATAACTCTGGCTGCTGGTTTGAGGACACACCGCAAGACAGCAATGACAGGAGTAGGGAGACCAGGAAGACCCTATTGGCATAATCATGTCAAGATAGTGGCTGATACCAGAATGACAGTAGTAGGGACAGTGGAAAGTGGTCACATTGTAAGCATTTTGAAAACAGAGAAAACAAAATTTGCTGATGAACTAGTTCTAGAGTTGATAGTAAATGAGGGATTAGATATGACATCAAATGTTAGGCATAAGTAACTAGAAGAATGGAGTTAGACTTAATAAACATGGAACTGTCCATAAAAGCCTGTATTTATAGGGGATGAACTCATGTGGAGCTTATTCTTGGATATGTTGAGTCTGCCAAGTCTACTAGATGTCCAAATGAAAATGTCAAGCAGACAACTGGATATACAGAACTGTAGTTCAGGGCTAAAAACATAAAACTGTGAATCATCAGTGCATGGATTATATGTATTTTTATTTTAGATGTTAAATAACCAGCCCAAGGCTCAAGTGGCAGAGTTGCCTGACTCCAAAGCTCATAACCTATTAATAAACCATCCTGCTAGTATAATCTTAATTTTTTATTTGCAAGTTTACCCACACCATTAAATAGCTTGTTTAACAAATATTTATTGGACCCTGTTATGTGCTGGACACTTTGCAAATTGTTGGAGATAGAGAGATTGGATTAAGACATATTGTGTGTGATTTCTTATTGCAAAAATTGTACAGTCGAGTTGAGAGACTGTCTCAGTCCTGAGAAAATCACAGCTTAAAGAGTCAATAAACCCCTATGGTCCCAATGACAAAGAAGGTAGCCAGGAAATGACTTTAGGCCAGCTTTTAAATTTTTGAGTTAAGATGTAAAATTAAGATAAAGCAATTGTGTTGATTGAATCATATTAATACATTCCTAGTTCTGAATTGCTTTTGGAAACTAGCCAGGTGACCATTACATTTTATGTCAACTATTTAGCATGATAGCCATTCTTGAATGAGAGCTCTAACAAATAATAATATCAATATATCAATATTTATTAGGTTAATATAAGCATTTTTATACAGGAGAAGAAAAAATATTCTTTTAGATTAATGCTGAATCTTGGCATTGAGCCAAAGTCTGTTTTCTCTCATGTCCATCTATTAGTTCTCTTCTCTGCTTTCTTTCTATTTTCCATCAGGGACACTATTAAATTCGCATTGTCTCTGGCTATCCTCTTTCTATCAAAATCTATTCCAAAGAAACAATGAAAATTTATAATAAATACTTTAATATGCATTTAAGTCTGCTCTATCCTTCTCGGGGTTGTGTGTTTAGTTTATATTGTGACATCGCTGCCCTATTGAACAATGTCTATGTGCAATTGTGTGGTGGATTTGTTATGTGCCAGCTTGGCTATGCTGAACCACATTTTCTACAATTTCACTTCTCTTTTCCTTTTGCATGGGTTAACTGCAGATTCTTGTGTGAGATTTGAAGTGTAGAGGTGAAGCAGCAGCCCTGTGGAAGCTCATACACGCCAGTTACCTACTGACCCACTTCATGGGCACAGAGCCGAGAAAGGGCGTGCAATAGTTCCTTCTTCCCTAGGATCCTCCTTCAGATTCTCTGACTCTTGTGCCAGGTGTGGGTGTTTAGCTCCAAGGGGAAGGGCCCTAGCTTCTGCAGGACACCCATGCCATCAAGGTCAAGGGAAACAAGAACTGACACAAGTCATAGTCCATCTTTCTCAGCCTAGTTAATACTTATGAGTTCCAACTGGTCATTTAGTTTTTTAAATAAGCCTTTTATTATAGAACAGTTTTAGATTTACAACATTATTGTGAAGATAGGGTTTTCATATGCCCCATACCTATTTATGCCTATTATTAACATCTTATATTAGTATGATATATTGGTTATAAGTAATAAATATTTGTACATTATATTATAAAGTTCATACTTTTTCTTTAATTTTTTTCCAGTATTTTCTTTTTGTTTTAGAGTCTCATCTAGAATTACCAAATTACACATAATAGTCCCACCTCCTTAGGCTCCTCTTGGTTGTCACAGTTTCACAGACTTCCGTTGTTTTTGATGACTTTGACAGCTTTGAAAATTACTGGTCATGTATCTTGTAGAATGTCCCTCTGTTGTGATTTGTCTGATTATCTTTCTCTTTCCTAGTTACACTGCGATAATATGTTTTTGGGAGGAAGAACACCAAAGTAAACTGCCATATTTTCATATCTTATCAAGGTACTTACTATCAATATGATTAATCACTGTTGATGCTAACTTTGATCACCTGGTTTGAGGTAGTGTTGGTCAGGTTTCCCCATTGTGAAGTAACTCTTTTTTCTTCCTCTTTCCATACAGCACTCTTTGGAAGAAAGCCCCTTACAGTCAGCTCACATTTATGAATGGGAAATTATGCTCTACCTTCTTAAGGGCAGAATATCTATTTCTATTATTCAGAATTCTTCTGCATGAGAGATTTGTCTATTCTGCCCCATTTACTTATTTCTTTTGTTCAATCATTTACTTGTGTCAATATAAACTCATGAATATTTATGTTCTTATTAGGGTTATAATCCTATACTACTTCATTTTGTTGCTTAAATTGTTCTAATATTGGCCATTAGGAGCCCTTTCAGTTGGCTCCTATCTCTCTGACATCCCTATCATAGTGGTTGGTTTGTTTTTGAGCACTTTCTTACTTTCCGGCACTACAAGATGTTGTAGGCTCATCTCATATATTTCTCATTTCACTTCTAGAATCAGCCATTTTCCCAGTAGTTTTGTTTCCTTTTATTAAAAAATGATATTAGAAACCACAATCTAGACACCCAGGTATGCTTATTGCTACAGGAGTTTCTTTACTTGTTGGCCCTCTCAGCTGTTTGGGCCAGAAGATATTTGTGTGTATACTAACCAGTGTATACAGACATATCTATAAATATTTCTATATGTAACCATCTGTATCTATGTTTAGCTAAACATGAGTCCATATTGCTGTCTCCAGGGATACAGCTTGTTCTTGCTTTTACCCGGTTTACATTCATCTTTCCTTTTCCAACTTCTTGCCCTGTGCACTTCAAGATCCAGCATTGTATTAGCAGATAACATCGTGACAAGAGACTGTTTAAGCAATTTTCACAATTTGTGTAAGGTTAAATCCCTGTAATAAAAATAAAGCCAATATATGTGTGTAAGTGTGTGTGCATGTGTAGGTATATATGTATATATTATATATAAGCATATATATTTACATGTATGTGAACATATATTTATATAAATCTATGTATATATGCATATATGTGGATGTACATACATATATATGCATATTTTATTTATATATACACCCATATATACACATATATATACATATATTAAAAATATATATATATTTTATGGTATATATACCATAGATATATATATATATATATATCTATGGTATATATGGTAAACCCAACTTGTTCACAACTTGTTCAACTTCAGGTATCTTCAGTGCAGCAAAGGCAATCGTACACCATGGGGAAATGTTGGGTATCTCAGTAAGAGGGGATTAGAAAAAGCTGTTATAGTATTTGAGCTTTGGTTGAGTAATTTTGGGGAGGTTCTAAGAAAACAGAGGTTTGCTCTAGATTGGACGTTATCAGAAAGTAGAGGTAATTTTGTGATTGAATATTTTAATAAATCTTATCTATAAGTGGGGATAAGTAGGAATAAAGCTACAAATGGCAAAACATAGAAGTCTCTCATTTAAAGAGAGAGAGGACTGTTTGCTATTTTGGGTTGCACAGTGACCTTGTCTGAGGTACGTGTTTAGTGAGATTGGTTTTGTCTAATGAGAGAACTGTGTCATATAGTTGTAAGCATCAGATCAGTCTTTAATAACATTGAGGCTTAGCTAAGGATGTCAGATCTGTCTTCAGACATCAGCATCTTTTTTGAAAATTGATATATCTATTGGTTGATCTATCTCACTCTCTATCTATCTATCTGCCTACTTACCTATCCACCCAACTGTGGCATAATAAAAATAAGAAACATATATTGGGTCTTTGCCCCTGTATCCTGTCATATAACTCCTAAAATCCTTGGGATCTCAGATGTGATAAGTGTCTTTCTGTATGCTAACAGGATGACTGGTGCCTGTGGGCTCCCGAGTAGCCTCAAGATGGGGACTGGTTGCCAGAAAAAGCACCCATATGATTAGAGGGTTAGAACTTTCAGCTCCAACTTCTGGCCTCCAAGGAGAGAGGGGCTGATGGTTGATCCAATCACCAATGGCAATGGTTTAATCAATAATGGCTACATAATAAAGTCTCCATAAAAATCCAAAACAACAGAGTTCAGAGAGCTTCCGGGTTGTAGAACACTTGGAGAACTGAGCGTGCAGCTTCCTCAGAGGGCACAGATGTTCCATGCCCCTTTTTGCATACCTTGCCTGTGGGTCTCTTCCATCTGGCTGTTCCTGGGTTGTATCCTTTTATAAGACACCACTTGTAATTATTTTAATTTACTTTATAATAAATAAATTGTTTTCCTGAGTTCTGTGAGCCATTCTAGCAAATAATTGAGCCTCAAGAGGGAGTCATGAGAACCTCTAATTTATAACCACTTTGTTAGATGCAGTGGTCACAGACTGGACTTAAAATTAGAATAAAAAGTGGAATGGTGGTTTTGTGGGATTTGACCCCTCAACTTGTGGGATCTGATGCTACCTCCAGGTAGATAGTGTTGGAATTAAGTTAAATGGTGGTATAATCATTTGGTGTCTGCTTCGTGTGTGAAAAAACAAACATTCAACTGTCCGAAGTGAGGTAATGAGAGTGGTCTAAGTATAGAAGAAAAAAACAGTTTATTTATTTGCTGTGCATTTGGTGTCAGATAAGTGGGATTTGCTAGAACAGCACTAGCTCACAGAGGCATGTGGTTTGGGAAGAGAAAGAATGAAAGGGCAGAGGATAAGGAACCTTAGATTTCTAGGTGGTCACATGGTCACCCACGGTATGGAACAGCAGCCGTGCTGTGCTCAGTTACTAAAGGTAAAAGCTACCAATGGGATGTAGAGATGGATATGACTCCCAGAAAGCTGGTTCACTGAATGTGTAAGAAAAGCAAACTAATAAGGAAAATGAAAATTAATATGAAAAAGGCAAAATATGCCATCCCTTGGTTATTGTTATTTGTAACAGTTAAAATGAAATTAAAAGAGAGTGCTAGGTAGGACCTTGATGCTAGACCAAGCTCAGATTCCAGTGCATCTGAGCTTCTGACTCTATCCTCAAAGCTGATTCCTATGGGAAAAATTATTCAAGGACAACAGAAAGTACCTCTTCGACCTCTGGTCACCAAGGAGACAGTCAAAGTGGAAGAAGGGGAAAACAAAGAATTTCCTGAAACCAGGGAATGTAATCTGAAGGAATTGTTTCATTTTCTGCATCAGTATCATCAGCTTCTTAAAGAACCTTTACTAAAACGGATGTGAGAGTAATTAATTTGGGGGCAGTATCTTTGGCTTCAAACGCTGCAAATTCAAAGAGGATGTTTGGGTTGATACAGGATCCACAGCTCACTGTGGAAAAATCAAACATAACTGTACATGATCCAGACACACAACAGATTATTTCCAAGTGAACAGCTAGCCTGGTGGACTGGATAAAGGCCACTATAAAGTCTCTTTACTTTGAGGAGGGGGACTGCCCACCTTCCTCTATAAATGCCAAATGGAATAGCCCCAGATGAAGTAACAGATATGCTTTGTGTACAAGCCATGTGAGACTGACTTTATGATAGCTGGGCTATTCACCCACTGATTATGCCTGTAACCCAGGTCCTGCTGAGTGCCATGGTTAAAGGGTCCCTGTTTACATGGGCATCCCATATAACCATATCACTCCAAAACCAAACAACAGTTCAGGAGACTTGTGGAATTTGCTGTCTTAGCTCCCCCTCATGGGTCTTACAGACGCTAATAAAAATATTAGATTAGTTAACGAGAGAATGGGGAAAAGCTAAGGTGAGTCAAGGGACTGGTCTTAGCAGGGTAGAGATGGCTAAATGATTATTAAAAAATAGATGAATACAGTAAATATTGATAGAAGCAAAAAAAAAGAGGAAAATGAGGCAGGGAGGAGTGGGGAGAGTAACAAAACTTATCCCAGCAGTGAGAAAATCTTTGGATGGTTATTAAGAAGCAGGATGAATAAAACAGACATTGATGAGGTTAAAACTATAGTTTAAATAGAACACTCCCAAAAGTTGAATGAGCCAAAGGAAGCCCTAGCTGCTCCTCCAACATTAAAGGGATTCAAATAAGTTCACACTATTTACACATGTTAGAAGAAATTTTAAAAGCTGAAAGACAAATATTACAATGAAAACTCTGGCCTGTAATCATTTTGGCCAATGGTCAGGCAGATTAATCTAAATAAAAATTAACAAAATGGCAAGAGTCTCTTGGCTTAACACTTTATTAGGGACCCAAACGCTTTGCACTGGGTGAAATGGTTAGAAGATAAGTTTCTGAGACTCCTTGATATGGGAACACAGGCACTGTGGTGTCAGAACTCATTGGTGAAACCCCGATGTGGGCTGTGATCAGATTGAAAGGACATAAAAATATAAGTGTTGAGAGGATTCTGGAAGTTGGAAAGCTTAAACAGGCTTTCTATAAAGAAGTCGTGTCTCCTTTTTCTGAATGCTTTATGGGAATGGATATGATGTCTGGCTGGGGAACACTTCCCCGATCTAGTATTGTAAAATTGAAACCTGCTAATAAAGTCCTAATGGAAGCTACAGTACGGGTTGATGGAATTCAGGTAAAAGTTTGCAGGAGAACTGGTATGGTTAAATAGGCTTTATGTGAAGTGACAGTAGCTCTCATACCTGATTGTATTATGGGGATGGACTTTGCATCTCACTGAAGAATGTTTCTCCTGCCTAGTACTGTAAAGCAGAAGGCATGTAAATCTACTCTTCAAGCAATATTAATTGGCCATGCTAAATGGGAACCCAGTGAGATTGCCCAAGCCCATAAAGTGTAGAATTCAAGCTGGAGTGCTAATAGCAACAAACTCTCTGTGTGATGCTCTATGTGGAATGTAGCCTGAGGCTTGTGGCAAAAGCCTGTGAGTGGATGCCAGTGATGACTACTGGGACTCTGAACTAGAGAATTTCTGCTTGAGAGACTAACATGCTACTGGACATTAAAGGAAACTGGCTCAATGACTAAAGAACATAAAAATTATCTTGAAACCTGAAATACCTATGATGTCTTCAGAGACATCATAGAAATACTCTAATGGGAATGGCAGTGCTCAGAAGAGTTTCATAATACAATGGAAATGGTTCATGCAGGATGATTCTACGTGGGTAATACAAGGTGGAGATACTCATGTGCAGGTCACCTCATTTTCCCTAGGACAGATTCTGGAACTGTGTGAGGAATTTATTATTTTTTGTTGCCTGGATAGTGCCCTATAAACAGCTCTCAACTGAACAACAAAGAGCTTTCTGGTTTGTGGACAGCAGTTCCAAGGTGAACAGACAACATCTTGTTTGGAAGGTCGCCACATTGATGAAGGGAGGTAGAAACAAATCAGCTCAGTGGGGCAAATTGCTTGCTGGTTTCCTAGCAGTAATGGAAGATTTGAAGTGGTAAAATCTCCTGTGTTTACGTTTATAACAACTCATGAGTAATGACCAATGTCCCGGCCATATGATCAGGCAGGAGGGCAGTGGAAACCTGGCTTGTTAAAGGGATGTTGATATGGTGTGCACAGCCCTATGGAAATTCGAAGGGCACATTAAAGTTGAACTTGTCAGTGCCCATAAGAAGAACTCCTCTTCAGATTTGGAAGGTGATTGGAAAAACCAGGTGAACCTTTGGTGTATACCCTTAAAGGGGCCACCTGAATCCATGAGATGATGGATATAGGAGGACAGCATCAATGCAGGGACAGGCCGAATGTAGACATTGTCCTTTTGCACCCTCTGAGGCACAAAATGCCAGAAAGAACTGTTCTATTTGTCAGCCAAAGAGACAGAGACAAAGTGGAAGAAGGGGAAAACAAAGAATTTCCTGAAACCAGGGAATGTAATCTGAAGGAATTGTTTCATTTTCTGCATCAGTATCATGACGCAGATATGCTATGTAGAATGCAGAATGGCTATGTAGCAGATTCCCCAGGAAGAAGGCCTTACCTGTAACTGACAAATCAGACTAATGTCTATAGCCCCAGAGGCTGCACGTGGGTCACGACAGGAATAGACACTGACTTGGAACCCAGGTTTCTTACTTGCAGGTAGGTACAAATGCTCAGAATACTATTAAAGAACTGGACAGAAGCTATTTCATCCCTTTGGATGGCCAACCAGCGTTGCTTCAGACCAAAGAAAACCCTTTACAGCCTATAATATTCAACAATGAGCAGATAACCCTCCTCAGAGTAATAGCTTGATAGAGAATTGGAACAGGCTATTAAAACTTTGGTTGCCTAAAATGAGGTGGGTGGGTAGAGGTCTGAAGGGTTGGCTTAGCACCTGAATGAGTCTGTGCTTACACTCAACATGAGTAGTGCTAAAGGAGTGTCCACACTCTATTTCTCCGTTTTTCTGATGGATCTTGGGAAGAGGAAGTGGGGAAGGATGCTGGCATGACTATGCAATCTTTCCCAAGATGGTTAGATGCTGGTGTACTGACTGTACTTTTTTTCTTTCTTCCTCACACTGCCTCACTATCTGTCTACTCTAGTGATTCTACTTCTTTAATTGAACACTGACTAATACAGTGTGAAAAGGAAAATCCCTGAACTCCTACCCATCATGCCTCTTTAGCATTCCTCAGCCCCTGTGTTCACCTAATGAAGGACAAAGTCAATCACAGAACTATCTGGAGAAAAACTCCATGAGGGCAACAACTTATAGCAGGGAGTTTTATGTATGCAACCCAGCTCAAAGCGTATCAACCGTGGCCAGGATTGGAAGGGGAGCCCAGCAATCTTTCCTTGGCTGGCACAATGTGACACTGTATTAGCATGGCATGTTCTTCACAGAGCCAATTTGAAAACATTTGTTCTGTTGCTTGTTGGGATAGGACAACTAAAAGTATTGTTTTTGTAGCTCTGAAAGCTTTGGTCTTGAGATATCTGCTGAGTACCATTTGACAGGTTTTGTCCATGCAATGAGGAAATTTGTCTGTTTTTGATTAGCGTCGGCAATATGCAGCAACTCAAGTTATCTTGAGGATGTAGTATCATTTAGCAGAAAGAGGGCTAGGGTGGGAATTGAGAGAAGTAAAGATTAACCTTCACTCCCCCCCAGCAAACTGTGTGAGCTTGGACAAATTGCTTAACCTCTCTGCACTTGTTTTCCTCATCTTCACAACAATGGGAATTAACTCATTTATTTCTCATGGCCCTTTTGACTCTAATTTTTTGTGTGTGCTTTTTATGTTGCAACAACTTATCAAGTATAAAAAGAAAGTGACTATTCTAGATTTTATTATTTCTGTGGATGCAGAAGCAGAATTTTTAACAAAAATATGAAAATAAGGGTTAATCTGAAAAATTTGGTTTAAAACTCAAAATTCCTGTATTTTTGAAAAAGGACATTTGGGATTCATAGCTACATCTCTATCATATTAAACAGATTTCATCGATGCTTTTGGTCCTTACAGGAAAGTGAAAATAAAAGGGTGGGACTTAAAAGGAAATAATTACTTATCATGATTTTTTGTTTACGATTAATGCACATGTCTTTTTGAATAATTAGAATATAATCATAAGTTGTGAATCCATTTTTAGTCAGTCTGTAATGCCTACCATCTCGTTAGTGTATATCTTACACATATGTACACACTGACAATATAGTCATTTTCACATGTAAATAAATACTTTTTCCAAAATTTAAACTGCATAAGCAATGTGTTTGCCTGCTTTTTTCTTTAGATTTTTTGTAGCTCTGTCTACACATCAATACATATAGATTGCATTGTCTTCTTAATGTTTACCTAGCATTCAATTACATGGATGTGTGTGGAAACTGAGATTCACATCTTATCTTCATCTCTTACTGTCTGTGATATCTTGGACAAATTTGTTAACATCTCTGAGTTTCAGTATTTCATCTGCTAAAATGGGAAGAACTACTTTCATGAAGAACTGTTGTGAACATTAAAAGAGTTCTTGTCAAATAATTGTACTTCCCTAACTTCTGTTTAGAAAAACATTAGGGGAAAACTGTTAGGGATTTGAGTGGATATACTGAGGCAAAACAAACAAATGAGGCTATCCATGTACAAATAAGTTTAACTAGACTTTAACTGTGTATAATTCACTGTAGGATTTTTCAGAATTTTTATTATGCAAATGTATTTTAGTAATGAGTTCTTCTAAATTTACTTATCATGGAGTGTTTTTCTTTTTCTTTTCAAAATAGCTTTGTTGAGATAAAACTCACACATTGTACAATTCACCCACTTAAATGAACTGCTTTTAGAATATTTATAGATATGTAACTATCACCGGAATAATTAGAATACTTTCAATATCCTCAAAAGAAACTGACATCTCTTATTCATCACCACCAACTGTGCCTCCATCTCCAACCAACCCTTAGAAACCACTTATCTAATTCCTGTCTCTATAAATTCATTTGTTCTGACCATCTCATATGAATAGAATTGTACAATATGTGGGTCAGGGAATCTTTTGATCACTGAGCACAAATTGAAGCCTATAAGAATAGTGATAGGCAGAATATGCTTTACTAAATATTACCTTGGAATATCCAATGTCTGATATGTAGGTGGCATTCTATAAATATTCCTTTCCTGTATGTGTTAAAACTCAAATGGTTAGATAGTGATCGATGCTGAGGATTCCACATTATTTTTGTCTCTAAAATATGGGAAAAAGCCTCTTTGTAAAAGGGAAAGGAGGGAGGAAGGAAGGATGGTTAACTAACCTTGTTAGGAATTTACTAGGCGGGTGGCTAGAAGCTGACAAAGGGGCATCTGAACTGGTGCCTTTGGAGTTATGCAACACCCTCAATTTTCATGAGGAAGAGCTCTTTCTAGTGAAGCATTAACATTCCTTATGACCTGGCCATCCTGGCATATTTTACACTTTGACAGGCATAAGAATATACAATATGGAAAATGGGCAAGAGGAATATTTGTGGATAGAACCTTGGACTAGAAAGTGTATTCACTCAGTGCTATGGTTTGAATGTTTGTGTCCTCCTAAAATTCATATGTTGAAACCTAACCCCCAATATGATTGTTTTAAAATGTGGGGTCCTTGGAAGGTGATTAGATCATATGGGCAAGATTAAAAAGTGGTCTGAGGAAGCTTGTTCTCCCTTTTCACCATGGGAAAATGCAGCGAGGATGCACTATGGGGAGTAGGCCCTCACCAGACACTAAATCTGCTGGTGCCTTAATCTTGGACTGCCAAGCCTCTAGAACTGTAAGAAATAAATTTTCATTGTGTATAAGCCACCCAGTTTATGGTATTTTTGTTACACAGCCTGTACACAGCAGCCTGTGTACAGAAGCGATACACAGCAATAACAATTCAGAACAACATCAATTCTATTGGCTTTGTGGACTGTCTTCCCAAAGGATGGTACAACTGTGAAAATCAATGGCAGTTTATACAATTATTTATTTCTCTCTGCCTAGGATTTGGATGCAGCACTACACTGAAAAGTGACAAAAGGGAGAGTTTGGGCAATTTGCCAATATAAGCATATATATTATATATATATATATATATATATAATCAATTAATAGAAGAATTAAAAAGATTTAATTGTTATGCCATAATTTGATGGTCACCATGCTAAATTCTTTGTATTAATTATCTCATTTTTGAGTTAAATCATTTATTTATCAACAAATTATTATAGATTACCTACTACTCTGTGGTAGGCACTGTGGTACTGTTCTGGACATTTGGAATATATCAGTGAACAAAAGAGACACAAATTTCTACCTTAATGGAAATTATATTTCAGCAAAGTTTTCTTGGATTTCCTCCTTCTTCACTCCACATTAAAACTTTAGATACATCATGTATTTGTTAGCAAAAACTTCAAGACAAATGAAGATGTCTTTACCCTGGTGATGCATGATAATGATGTCTGAGGCTTTAACAAGTGCATATGCCAAGCCCTTGCTTGGTGATGTTGATTGAATAGGTGAGGCTGGGATGAATTTAAGCATCTGCATCTTTTCAAACCCCAGCAATTCTGAATTTCAGCCAAGGGTGGTATTTCTATAATAAATATCTACCATTGGCTCACCAGTGTAATGAAAAGAAAAAAAAAAAAAGAATGTAGCTGTTACCTTCTGCTTCTATGCCTGCTGGGAATAGGCCCCCAAATCTGGCCATAAACAGACCATGAGAAACTGGCCATAAACAAAATCTCTGCAGCACTGTGACATGCTCGTGATGGCTATGACCCAGGCTAGAGGTTGTTGGTTTACTGGAATAAGGGCAAGGAACACCCAGGGCGGAAAACTGCTCAAGGCATTCCTAAACCACAAGCAATAGCATGAGCGATCTGTGCCTTAAGGACGTGTTCCTGCTGCAGATAACAAGTCAGAGCCTGTCCCTTTGTTTCCCCTAAGGAATGCTTTTAGCTAATCTATAATCTATAGAAAAAATGCTTATCACTGGCTTGCTGTCAATAACTATGTGGGTCAAACTCTGTTCGTGGCTCTCAGCTCTGAAGGCTGTCAGTCCCCTGATTCCCACTTTGCACTCTATTTCTATGCCTTTGTCTTAATTCCTCTAGCACCACTGGGTTAGGGTCTCCATGACCAAGCTGGTCTCAGCATATGACTCCCTAATATTTTGGGTATTGACTTTAAAACCCAATTATGCTGCTCTATACCAACATGTATTCAACAAACATATACTCTGTAGGTTACCTGCTACTTTAAATATTGTATACAAGTCATTTCTAAACTATTTGACTCAGATTTGGGTTTAATGATTATTAGAAATTCTTGGAAAATTCTATCTACTTTGCCAGTGTAATAAGTAATGCAGCTTTTCTACTGAAAGATAAGTATTATTTTTTATTTTCCATCAAATTTTCTAATTTCTGATGAAAATAGGGTTATTATCTCAAGATAACATACCATGTATTCTCTCCACCTAGTAGACAATTGTGCTGAATATCATCTTTTATCCCCTCTAGATCTGTCATTTTTACTCTTCTGTGTCCTGGGAGGCTGACCCTCTGTGGAATGTGTCAGTAGACTACCCTGACCTCTGGCATTTGATTCAATTTGGCCAATTAAGAAGCAGGGAAATGGGAAAAGAGAGGGTGAGATATTCCACGGCCAATCTCTGTGGATTCACCCAGGCTGGCTTTGTTCTTGAACTGAAAATAATGGCTCCTATCATGTGACCACACGGTCATTTCTGAATCTGGATTCTAGTAACCACTCATTTCCTTTGCCTATTTGGGCCTAGGATTGGTTATACTCTTTTCTGATTTTACTAGTTCTTGGAACTTCATGAATCCTTTGTAAATTGTCACTTTATTAACCTCTCCACAAATTACCCAATTTAAGTGTGCCATCTATTTTATGGCAGTGCTCTGACTGATACAGCAATTCATGTGGCTCTAGAATCTGCTAACTTTCATGTAATACACACAAGCAGGCTAGAGAAAGGACTCTGGAATAGACAGAGGTGTCTTTGATTCTTGGATCTGGCATTCACTATATGTTACCTCTGCAAAATTATTAAATCTTTCAAATCATCAGTTACTTTGTAAAAATGAGATGATAAACTCATTTCACAGGGTTCTTGTGAATATTAAAAAAGGATAATAGGGTGAAGGGCAGTATAGGTAAACTATATATGGATATTAATAATTGTTTATGCTAGGTGATAGGGGCATAAGGGTTTATTATTACTGTTGTTTCTATGTTTGTATATTTCTGAAATTGTTTATATACTTACAAAGGGGCAATACATCCTTATTTTATAGAGTACTAGAGAGGGAACTTTAAAAGTTGAGATTGGCCAAGTATAGAAAAGTTGTCACTACAAAGCTTTGGTTCAGTCTCTGTGTAGCTAGAAGATGACCATCAAAAGACAAATGGCTTGAACATACATGTTAGAGAGCATAACATTCTTCTGGATCGTAGATGTCTGGCTAATATTTGGCGGCAATAAGCTGAATAAACCCATGGCAAGTTTTGGTCAACATGTGGTGCAACTCTCCACTTAAATAGCATGAATGGTTCTATTCATGATTTTGATGGGGACTCTGTGTGGCTTATACTGTACTTAGATAAATGTTTCTTCTTCATAATATAGCATTAGCATAAACCATCTTTGGTATTCCAAATCTTGCAAGTTTTGCTAGTGTAAATTATCATCCTTAATTAACTCCAGAACTTTAGGAATGACTGGGTCTACGTCTGATGAACCGAGGGCATGATCTTGGAAAAGGTGAATTCATTTCCCCATGTGGCCAGCCAGTCTCCCCCAGGTGATTCTCTTTGGTTTTTTGCTATGCTATTCTTCCATTTGAAACTTCCCATTTTATAGAACATACAAGTAAGCATCAGAAAATTTAAGTACCATTTAAGCCCTTTAACTGTTAAGTGTGGAAGCCAAAAATGCTTCTTCTATCTTATATTTTAGTGGAGAATATCCTTAGTTAGTAAAATGAGTTGTTTAACCTGATGGATCAACAATAATGGTAAAAGAATAAGTGCTTCACAGTTTAGACTCACTTCAATCTTGGAATCGCTAAATCTGCCAATTATAATTTCATGTGATCAATGTAATAATAATAGTAATGATACTAGTGGAATAGATGGGGCAGCAATATTAAAAGACATAATTTATTTATACAGATCCAAGTTTAGAGTATGTTAATATTTTCACTGTAGTATCAGAATCTTGGAAGAATGAAAAATTTGAATGACCTGGAATGGATAGTTTTGCTGAAGGATAATAGGGAAAGTGAAGCTTTCCTGTTGACAAGTAAAGTGTGATTCTTAGTACTGTCATTTTTTATTGCAAATTACATTATGAAAATTTAAGCAGAGAATTGCCCATGAGCTACAAATGATTGCTTCTTATTTACACTCAACCTGTTTGACTATGAAGTGATATTTTAGAGTGAAGTCCCTCATATTGTTATTAACATCACGGTAATTATGTCATTATTGATAATATTACCATAACATAATTTTAGTGGGAGTTTTTCCTTCAGATTCAGTGATGTTCTAGTATAACAAAGAATAATAGCTCGGCATAATGACTTTGGAACATAATTTTTGTTAATATGCTTCATTAAAACGTCAAGAATGTGCTGAAGACAATGACCTCATTTTTTTCATGAGATTTAAAAATCTACACCTGTATGTTAATTTAGGTTCGCGTGCCTTCAAAATGATAGTACTTTTGAAATGGAAAGACTAGCTTATACCACATGTAAGGATAGACAATAGAAATCACCCTATCTTCTCCAACCTCCTACCACTCTCAGTTGACAACATAATACTGAGAAAGGGGAAACATGCTACGCTAATTGAAAAAGTGATGAACCATAAGGCAGTAGACCAAGTAGACTTACATAGTGCTATGCCACTTCCCAATTATGTGGCTGCAAACCGTTCTCTGTGCTTCATCCGAGGCAACTGGCCATCAAGAGTCACAGTCTGGCCCGGCACGGTGGCTGATGCCTATAATCCCAGCACTTCAGCAGGCCAACCTGGGTGGATCACCTGAGGTCAGGAGTTTGAGACCAGCCTGGTCAGCATGGCAAAACCCCATCTCTACTAAAAGTACAAAAATTAGCTGGATGTGGTGGTGTGCACCTGTAGGCCCAGCTACTCAGGAGGCTGAGGCAGGAGAATTGCTTGAACCTGGAAGGTGGAGGTTGCCAAGATTGTGCCACTGCACTGTAGCCTAGGTGACAAAGCAGGACTCCATCTCAAAAAAAAAAAAAAAAAAAAAAAAAAAAAAAAAAACAAAAAAGATCACAGTCTATTGGCCTGAAGATGGAATTGAATTGAGGAGGAGGGATACCTGTATTACTTATTTTCCAAAATTGACTTTGAGTACATGTATGTAATGTGGGTTCTCTTCATTTTATCACATTTCCCACCACTGCTTTTCCTCAGACCTCTGAATGCATTTAAGATGTATAAGCTCTAGACTGCTTTTGGATGGACGTCTTCAGCAGCTACAGGAACATAAGAATTTTGGTTCATGCTTGAAAAACTTATATTTCTCATCATTTCTACATCTAAATTTCAAAGATTTGAACACTCTTTGCTTTCCTGTATTGGATTTTTGGTGGAGTTTTCCTCAATAAAAGATTGCACTCTTTGTATCACAATATTTACCTATTTTTTCTTATGCTCACTACCTAACCACCTCTGCTTTTATGTAACATGCATTAATATAAAAATATGCTTTTAGATTGTAAATGCATTTTAGGGCTTATAATCTTCAAATGGTCTAATTCACTACATCTTGCACTGCTGTCTGTTACATAAGTGTTGCTTCATCTCAGACACATTCTTAAACCTTCCTACAACAGACAGATAATTTCCCAGTCACATTTAATTTTGTTGATTTTAGTCCTTGTTTCAGCTTAAACACAATCATCCCCAGAAACTATTGTTCACAAAAGCCCATGTTCAGGCATGTGTTACCTCCCTATTTTTCTCTAAACACACACATATTAATTACTTAAGGTCTTTCGCTCTCACAATGATTCTGATTATTCATTTAATGTTTTATAATGACCTCAGCCTAAATTAGTATCACTAGGAAGTACAAACATTTTTCTTATGATATCCTTCCTATCTTTCTCCACAATTCCAAATCCCTATTTTTTTATTTTTACGTAAATGACATTTTCATTACAAGATCTTTCTTAGTTCAGTCTTTCAAAAATAAAAATTGTATGTATTTGAACTGTGAACCCCCAAAATTTGAGACAGATCTCAGTTAACTTAGAAAGTTTATTTTGCCAAGGTTGAGGACTTGCACCTGTGACACAGCCTCAGGAAGTCTTGACGACATGTGCCCAAGACGGTCGGGGGACAGCTTGGTTTTATACATTTCAGGGAGACATGGAACATCAATCAATATACATAAGAAGTACATTGGTTCAGTCTGGAAAGGCAGGACAACTTGAAGCAAAGGCAGGAAGACTTGAAGTGGGCAGAGGACTTTCAGATCACACAATGGTGAGAGAAAAAGACAAAGGGTCGCATTCTTTTGAGTTACTGATTAGCCTTTCCAAAGAAAGTATCAGATACGCATTTATTTCCTGTGAGCAGTGAGACAACTTTGAATAGAATAGGAGGCAGATTTGCCCTAAGAAGTTTCCAGCTTGAGTTTTCCTTTTAGCTTAGTGATTTTGGGGGTCCAAGATATTTTCCTTTCACAAAACAATCTCTTACATATAGAGGAATATTTGTGACATGTAAGCATTTTAAAAGACAATTGTAGGGCCTTGAATCAACATCAGTAATATCCAGGCAGTATTCACCATGGGCCTTGGGTGAGACCCTGTAGCATGCTGGCCTCAGGTGTGACCCAACATATTACCAGCTATGGTGGCCATGGGGGAGACTCTTTCTGCTTGTGGAAAGGCAAGTGAAGAGTAAAAAGGATTTTTTTTTTTTACTCTTCCTTAGCCACAATAAAGTAACACCTTAGCCACAGTAAAATAAAACATCAAGCAGAATACTAAAGTCTTTTATCCAGGCCTTGGCTCTTGGATGGCATTTCTAGACTTCCCCTGGGCCAGAAGAGAGCCCATTTCCTTGAAGGGAGAGACTCAGGCCCAGCAAGATTCACCATAAGCTGACTAAAGAGCCCTTGGCCCTTGAATAAACATCAGAGGTAGCAAGCAGTACCTGTAACCATACTGGGGCAGGGGTGGCCATGGGGAGAGACTTCGCTGCTTGAGAAAAGGAAAAGGAAGAGTAAAAAGGACTTTGTCTTGCAACTTGGACACCAGTTCAGCCACAGTAAAATAAACTACCAAGTAGATTCCTAAAGTTTTCAACTCCTGGACCTAATTCCTAGATAACATTTCTAAACCTACCCTGAACTAGAAGGGAACTCACCACCCTGAAGGGAAGGACACAAGCCTGGCTGAATTCATCAACTGCTCACCAAAGATCCTTTGGGCCTTGAATAAATATTAGTGGTAGCCAGGCAATAGTTGCCACAGGCCTTGGGATTAATAACTGGAATATATAAGGAGCTCAGATAACTCAACAGGAAAAACATCTAACACTCTAATTAAAAATGGGCAAAAGATCTGAATAGATATTTCTCAAAAGAAGAACACATTAATGGCAATTGAGTATAAGAAAAAGTGCTCAAAATCATTGATCATCAGAGAAATGCAAATTACAACTGCAATAAGATGTCATCTCACCCCAGTTAAAATGGCTTTATCCAAAAGACAGGCAATAATAAAGCTGGTGAGGTTATGGAGAAAAAGGGAATACTCATACACTGATGGTGGAAAAGAGAACAGTATGGAGGTTCTTCAAAAAACTAAAAATAGAACTACCATATGAACAAGCAATCCCACTGCAAGGTATATGCCCAGAAGAACGGAAGTCATTATATCGAGGAGATGTTTGCACTCTCATCATTTCAGCACTATTCACAATAGCCAAGATTAGGAAGCATCCCAAGTGTCCATCAACAGATGAATGGATAAAGAAAGTGTGGTACATATACACCATGAAATACCATTCAGCCATAAAAAGAATGAGATCCTGTCATTTACAACAACATGGATGGAACTGGAGGTCATTATGTTAAGTGAAATAAGCCAGGCACAGAAAGACAATCTTTGCATGTTCTCATTTGTGGGGGCTAAAAATTAAAATAATTAAACTCATGGAGAGTAAAATAATAGTTACCAGAGGCTGGGAAGGGCAGTGGGGTAGGGGGAGTGGATATGGTTAATTGATACAAAAATATAGTTATACAGAATGAATAAGATCTAGTATTTAATAACACAACAGGGTAATATAGTCAACATTAATTTATTAGACATCTTACAATAACTAAAAGAGTATAATTGGAATGTTTATAATACAAAGAAATGATAAATGCTTGAAGCGATGGATACCCCATTATATGGTTTGGCTCTGTTTCCACCCAGATCCCATGTTGAATTGTAATTCCCAATGTTGGAGGAGGGACCTGGTGGGAGGTGATTGGACCTTGGGATTGCATTTCTCCCATGCTGTTCTCATAAGAGGAGAGAGTTCTCTTGAGATCTGGTGTTTTAACAGTGTGTTACACTTGTCCCCTCAATCTCTCTCCTGTCAACATAAAAAGAAGGCACTCGCTTCCCCTTCGCCTTCCGCCATGATTGTAAGTTTCCTGAGGCCTCCCAGTCATGCTTCCTGTTAAGCCTGAAGAACTGTGAGTCAATTAAACCTCTTCTATTCATAAATTACCCAGTCACAGGTAGTTCTTTATAGCAGTGTGAGAACGGACTAATACACACCCCATTTACCCTGTTGTAATTATTGCACTCTGCATGACTGTATCAAAATATCTCATGTACCCCATAATTATATAGACCTTCTATGTATCTATAAAAAATTTAAAAAGCAACAAAAAAGATAATAGTAAAGTATAAAGACTAACTGAAAATCACTCATGTAACTCCCACCTATCTTAAGAGATAGACTATTGCCAGTAGCAATGTAAGCCCTCTGCGTGCACAAGGGACTGCCTCTGCAATACAGACCATCAATAGTCTGACCTTTGCGGTAATCATTCTCCTGGTTTTACTTACAGTTTTATCACCTATATGTTTATCCTTTAAGAAATAGCTCAACATTGCCTCTTTTAAAAATTGCTACAGTAGGAATCATTTCCACTTATATGATTTTATCTGCTTTCATTTAACATTGCTTGTGAGATGCCCTGATGTTAATGCATTTAGTTATGGTCTATTTATTTTAATTGCTATATAATATCCTATCACATACATCATAATTTTTCTTTTAGTCAGATCTATTATTGATGGACATTTAGGTTATCCAATTTTGGCTTTTTATAAACAATGCTTCAATGAAACATACTGTGTGTCTCTCCTGGTACAGTTGTACAAGAGTATCTGTGAGGGGCCGGGTGCGGTGGCTCACGCCTGTAATCCCAGCACTTTGGGAGGCCGAGGCGGACGGATCACGAGGTCAGGAGATCGAGACCATCCTGGCTAACAAGGAGAAACCCCGTCTCTACTAAAAATACAAAAAATTAGCCAGGTGTGGTGGCAGGCGCCTGCAGTCCCAGCTACTGGGGAGGCTGAGTCAGGAGAATGGCGTGAACCCAGGAGGCGGAGCTTTCAGTGAGCCGAGATTGCACCCCTGCACTCCAGCCTGGGTGACAGAGCGAGACTCCATCTCAAAAAAATAAATAAATTAATTAATTAAATAAATAAATAAATAAATAAAAGAGTATCTGTAAGGGATATCCTAGGAGAGGAACTGCTGTACCCTAGAATATGTGCACTTTCAGGTATTCTAGATTACGAAAAATCGATTCTACATTAATTCATTTTGCTCTACATCCTCTTTAACACTATTGGTAGTTTTTAAAATGTTTGCCAATCTGGTCAGTATGTAAGGATTTTTTTTCTTTTCTTTTCTCTTTCTTTCTTCTTTCTTTCTTTCTTTCTTCTTTCTTTCTTTTTTTCTTTTTTTTTTTGAGATGGAGTCACTCTGTCGTCCAGGCTGGCGTACAGTGGCATGATCTCTGCTCACTGCAACCTCCAGGTTCAAGTGATTCTTGTGCCTCAACCTCCCAAGTAGCTGGGACTCCAGGCATACACCACCACACCGGACTAATTTCTATATTTTTAGTAGAGACAGAGTTTCACCGTGTTGACCAGGCTGGTCTTGACCTCCTGGTCTCAAGTGATCCACCCAACTTGGCCTCCCAAAGTGCTGGGATTACAAGGGAGAGTCAACACGGCTGGCAGAATTTTTAATCGTAGTTTCAGTTGTATTTCCTGGATTATTAGTGAGACCATACTTTTAAGAGCTCTTCCATCATCCAGCTGGGAAATGTCCTCTTTCTTGGAATTTAGATAACACATGCTGTACATTGTGCTCTTTCAGTGTTTTCTTTTTCTATGTCCTATTATACTTATTTTTATTCTATATTGTATGATTCCTGAGAGCAGAATCCAGGTTTTAATTCCTCTTTGTATCCTTGCAGTTTGTAATACATGGTCTCATTAAGAATGAGCTATCCATTATCATTTGCTGAATGAAATCAATGAATCCCTGAAGGTATGGATTGCAAAGCAGACATCGGGTGGGGCTAACACAACAGGTTTTAAAGTCAGAGAGATTGGGGATGAACACTATCTCTTGTACTTACTAGCTGCCTGGGAAAATTTATTCAATCTAAATAAATACTGTTTTCTCCTCTGCAAATTGGAGATAATATTAACGACAGCCTTATAAGATTGTTATAAAAGTTAAATGTGATACTTCATGCAAGTCATATGTAAGTCATAACAGTCACTTCTCAGTCACTGATAGCCATTATTATTGTTGTTGTAATTATTACTACTCCTACTACTCAGATACTGTTTTAAATAGTCTAGGCCAGGCACTTTGGGAGGCCAAGGCGGGCGGATCACGAGGTCAGGAGTTCGAGACGAGCCTGACCAAAATGGTGAAACCCCATCTCTCCTAAAAATACAAAAATTAGCCTGGCGTGGTGGCACGCACCTGTAATCCCAGTTACTTAGGAGGCTGAGGCAGGAGAATCACTTGAACCCAGGAGGTGGAGGTTGCAGTGAGCTGAGATTTCGCCACTGCATTCCAGCCTGGGTGACAGAGCAAGACTCTATCTCAAAAAAATAAAAATAAAAATAAAGTCCATTGTCTAGAACAGTGTGATGTTTGTGTGTTGCCGGTCTTTCAGTGTTAAAGATCAGAGCCGAAATACATTCCTTCTCTGCTGAGATAGCCTTAAATGGAAATAGGAAAAAAAATCAGAACTCATTATGTAGAAATGAAATGGAGAAAATAATTTGGATCACTCTTCTTTTACATTATTCAAAAGTATGTGGAAAAGGGGGTGGCAAGGAGAAATAAAGAACATAAAAGGACAGGGGCAAGAAGAACTAGGCTAGACTTTTATCATCTCCTTCCTACTAATACACCCAAGAGGATACTGAAGATGCCACCAATTCAACCTCCAAGTGCAGAGAATCCAAAAATTCCAAACTGCCTCATAAAAGATAGCCAACTGTCACATTTTAAATCTAGTTTAGAGAAATATCACAAATGTGTAAGAGGACCTCAGAACACTTTGAAGCCGATAATATGTTGAAAAAAAAGAATCGAAACACTCAAATGAGTACGGAAAAAATAATTAGGTAGAGCAATGGCAGCCGCAGGAACAGACCTGCATAATTGTAACAGCATTTTATGGAGAAATGTAAGCTAAAGCCTCTAGTGCCTTGTTAAGCCAGTGTCAGTAAAATGTAAGCCTCAATAAATGAGCTATGTGTTTGCCAAGATGGAATCATTGCAAACATTCAGAGATAGGTTAACATTTAGGAATCTGGATTTCAATGTAAACATATATGCTTTAACATATTCCACAGCAGTAATTGCAAAATGTTTTCAGAGTAGTTACATTTACAGCACTGGTCTCATATAATTTACATGTACTTTTCCATTAAAAATATCTTTTGATGTGCAAATGTAAATAGCAAATTAGAAGCAGAGGTTTACCCAAACAAACCATTTCAAGACATATGTAAAACTAAGCAGAATTTGTGGAAGTAGATCACGTCTCTGCTTAAAACGCTTCAAGGGTTGTCTTATAACTTACTGAATAAAGTCCAAAAGCTTTAACGTTAGCACAAACTCCTTCCAAGACACTTTCTTGTTCTTCAACCATGTTTTCAGTCATTCTGCACAGACTTTACATATTATGCGTTAGTAATAACAAACTGTAGTTTTGCCTGCTTTATAGTTGATGCTCTTTTCTCAGTGGATAAAACCCTTCCCAATTCTCTTTATTTGGCTAAGTCTTATTTAGTTTTCATGAATAAACATATGTTTCCATGATACTACCTGGAGCATACAAATTAGATAAGGATGCCCCATGCTACATAACACACCATACAGACCTTTATCTTTCTATTGACTGCATTGCATCTATACTAATCTTATACATCTGACTTCTTCATGAGTTACCATGCCAATCAAGGCCAATCACTGTTTATCTATGTAACCTCTGACTCTAATGCAAGTAGGCACATTATGAATTAAGTTCTAGTTGAACTGTGTCATTACTAATTCATGTGTGGGAATTATTAGTGTGAAATGGCTAGATTCAAAATTCAGCATTTTCATGTTGAGAACCTTCAGGAGTGACACATTTATGGGTATGTGAATAAGGTGTGAGAAGGGCAAGTTGAGCTAGATTCTGAAGAGACCCAACTGTCAAGACAAAACTATTTGCTCAGCTATGTTATTCAAGGAAGTGCTGCCTGCCATAGATTCAATTTTGAGCAGAGGTTAAGATGGTTAATATGGAAACTCAGAAATCTTCCTTGAATGTCCATATTCTAAGGTTGACACGTGGCTATTCCTAGGCACTGCCAGATGGAAAAGGAGAGAGAAGAGGGTTACTACAAACACGTGCTCTACTTCTGCTGAAATTGGCTGATGTCTGCATTTGGCTGGAAGCAGAGAATCTGGTGAAAGGGTGTGATCAGGAAAGAAGGGTCAATTTATGAGCAGCATAAGGGTGCAAGGGCAAGAGGAATTAAGCTAATACTGACAATAAAAAGAAAGTATGGAGGTAGTCCATTTAGGAAGCTCAGGAAATTTTAGCTTATAATATAAAACTTTCAAGGCAATTCAGCTTGATAGCTTTTCATTTTACAAGCCAAACTAACAAACATTATCTAATTTGAGCTCTATAATCTTGGGAATTAGATTCAAAGAATTTTGAGCTGATATGACCTCAGAGATTATTTTGATTGGTGCTTTAAGATATATATGGCTGAAAAAGAACCTCACATAAATATCCAGTATGAAAACATATGACACTGTGGCTTCTGTGGGGGAAGAGGATTAGAGATCTTATTTCTTGTTACATGTTACATTCCATTTCCCCAGGTTACTTCACCCCTGGGGTCTCGACTCAGAATAGAGATTGAGAATCACAGATCTAGTTGAACCATCCAACTTTTGAACATGAATAAACTGAGGACCCAGAGGTGAAGTGATTTTTCCACAGTCCCACGACAGATATGGCCAAACCAGGGATCCTTTTGCATTGTGGTAAGTATGAGAAATAGAGGCAACATAAGTAATTCCATTTTGTCAATGAAGAACCTAAATCTTGGGGTGACTCTATGATGACCCAAGGTCAGAATTCTGACTAATAAGTTCTAGGATCAGAACTCCAACCCAGGTCATCTGAAGTTACATGTAATAGGCCTACATGGCCATCAATATTTATAAATATATAATGTTAATTATACTACCCGAAATTCACAACCAATCTATCAGAATAAGCTGGACGTTTTGTACTTAACACATGCATATTAAGATTCCATCTTATTTCTACAAAATCAATTTACTAGCATAGGAACTTATGAATGTGTATATTAGAAAGCTCACTGAATTATTCTCATACACCCCATGTTAAGGAGATGCAGTACAGAAGTTTAGTATATATTATATTATGACACCATTGCTTCCAGAGAAAACTTTATCAGGTAGTATGAACCAACACATACAGACTAATAGTGGCCATCTGGAACACTGTATTGAGAAGAGTTTTTTGTTTGTTTGTTTGTTTGTTTGTTTGTTTTGAGACACAGTCTCGCTCTGTTGCCCAGGCTGGAGTGCAGTGGCACTATCTCAGCTCACTGCACACTCCGCCTCCTGGGTTCACGCCATTCTCCTGCCTCAGCCTCCCGAGTAGCTGGAACTACGGGCGCCCGCCACCACGACTGGCTAATTTTTTTTTTGTATTTTTAGTAGAGACGAGGTTTCACCATGTTAGCCAGGATGGTCTCAATCTCCTGACCTCGTGATCTGCCCGCGTCGGCCTCCCAAAGTGCTGAGATTATAGGCGTGAGCCACCACGCCCGGCCCGAGAAGGGTTTTGAAAGTATGTGCAAGTTCAGAGATGTCTATCTTGGGCATAGAAATGGAGAGTTCTTTACCCTCCTCTTACTCCCTCCATTGATAAGCAAAGTTATAAAATCAATAATTCAATATCTAGTCTTTTGTGTTAGTAGACCCAGAATAATATATTTCTGACTAGAATCAATCATAATAGGTTAGGAGCATTCCCATTCTGAAAGAGAGGGGATCGCCTTTGCATCGGCAAGGTTTCCAACAATGGAGTCTTTATTTTACAATATATTCTATAGAATGCTTCTTAAATGTTTTAAATGTTAACCATGCATTAAATTCACATTAGTTTTTTAAATAAAATTAAAATATCATAAAGTATAAATTAATTACACAAAATACTATAGAACAACTAAAGATCACTTTAATCTCCAAACTTAATCTCACTTTCCCAGAGATAACCACTATTATCAGTTAGGTACATTATCTTTTCAGATTTTTCCATGCATTTACATAGATCTGAAAATTTAATACTGATAATAAACTCTGAAAGATAGATAACTCCCTGTTAGAAAGTATTACCTATCCTGCATACTCAGTTTTCAACACTTCCTCACTCATTGATTAATGCTAAAATTCTGTTGCAGGTTTTGGGAATCACCTGTAAACAGTAAGAACAAAGTAGCAAGGCTGGGGCTCAGCTGTAGACAATAAAGCCTTTGCCTGAGGGTTGCAGGAATGAGAGGCCTCTCTGAGAGGCCCCAAGTCGATTTTGCCCTTCTCCAGAGACAGAGAGCTGGTCTACCTGAGGCTGACATGGGGAGGAAAGGCAAAGAGAAGTAAGTAACAAGCTGATTGTTCCCATTGAAGAATTAGAATAAAAACTTGATCTTTAGCTTGCTGCATTTCAGCTGGGAGGTAAAAAGTATGAAGAATGGCAAAAGTAGAAATGTGAAATGATTTCTCTTTCAATTGTTGGAAATCCTACCAGCTCTCCAGTTTTCTGAATTTTCTTAAAACGAAGGATATTAATTGCTATATTAGTTAGCCTGAGTGTCTATGATGAGACATGAAATAAAACCTTTTTTGTGAAATGGAGAAAAAAATAAAAACATTTATTCTTGCTCACTGAACCATCAATCTAGAGAAATAGATTTCAGAAAAAAAAAATCAGTGTACTCTATAGCATCTTGCATTATTTTTTTGGTCACGCATAATTCACCTAGTTCAATTCATATTTAATCCTATTCAAACCTATTTTTCAGGGATTGCCTGAATGTCAATGGTGATTTTGCACATTTTACAGTCACTTTTATAAAAAGGTAAGTGGAAAAAAATTCTATTTTCCATTTCCTGCCAGGTTTTATATTTTACCCTTCACTTGCAAAAAATGTCCAAATCCAATGCTTACACTTTAGAGGTGTAATTTGGTTCTAATTTTATTTTAAAAAATTTGCAGATAGAGTTAGTGGCTCACTGTATCGTTTTATTTTTTCTAAAGCAGTATAATTTCTGGAGTGCAAATGAGAAAGATTCAAGATGCCTGGTATAAGATATAAATTTAGTTAAAATTGTTCCTCTAGAGTGTAAATTATACATTGTGATCCTGATATTCTAGTAATATTAACAAAACTGATGCATAATCTTAAAGTTTATGTGCCTCTACCCTTTCATTTTTAAACCTTCTGGAGGATTAACATGCTGTTCAATAGTCTACAGACCTGCAGGTCTCTACTCTGGTTGCTTATCAAATTTTGCAATGCAGCTTTTAAAACATATGGATGTGTGGATGCCAGTCTCCATCTACACATTTTTGGCTTGGGCATCTCATGTTTAAAAAAGTTGTCAAGTGATTCTGATACACAAATGATGATTGCTTTTTATAACAAGGGTAAGTAAAAGTATCAGCTCCACCAAACCATTGGTAGATGTGATATTTCATGGAACTCTTCAATAATAAAGCACATAATACCTAAACTGGGGTATTTTGCATTTCTTTGTAATAGTTATAGACTAGAATAAATATAACTCAAAATACCCTCTAAATCTAACATTTGTAACTTTCCTCTGTTTAATGACAGCATTTGTGCCAATCAGCTACAATACTGTTTATGAGAAATCCTGGAATTGTGGATTAATTATCCTCTTTAATTGAATTGCTTTCAAGGTGCTTGGGATATATAAGAGACTTTCAATGAATCACTAAGAATATTCAAAATGGAAAATAAATCTACCTTGTTTCCCTCCCCTAAATAATGCCTTTGGATATATATTAATTCATCAAGTTGCATAAACATGACAAAGTTATTATAATTATTTTCTTACTTATATCAAGACTCTTCCTTTATGAATATATTGCATGATAGTAATTCTATTTAATAGTAACCTAGCAACAACATGCCTGAAGGAGGATGCTATTTCACTTAAGATGGGAAGCTTTGCAATAGATAGACTGCAGAAGACTCATATTCTCCATGGGCTAGGAAATCTTATGGAAAAAATCATCACCTCTTTCCCCCATGAAAAAGTTAGGCTAACTATGAAAGAGATCTCAATTTTCTCTCTTTTACGCTTTTGTTCATAATATTAGACATTTGTGATAAAATGCCTATAGAAAAAAGACAGCAATGAACAACTAAATTGTGTAAATTTTGTTTTTATTTGTTAAAAACAAGATTTATATATACAGATGTACAAATTTAATGTGTAGATTTTGATTACTTTCTTGGGTCAGTTTACCCACTTTGACTCAAGCTCTGACTGACATGATACATGAAAAGTCAATAAACTTACTTGAGATTTTGACTTTCTATCCTAAGTCATTGAACTATGTGGCTGGGTGGGTTTAAAGATAGTTATCGTCTTCTCTCCCTGAGACAATTTCTTAAAACAGGAGGTTGAATAACTCCTGAATTTATGATTAGTTGGAACATTCTGTTGATCTTTAGGATGAAATGTGCAACAAGAATGTAAAATGTTATTGAGATCGTGCATCATTTTTCCTTCTAAGACTTTATTTTTGAGCTTGTATATTATTCCTCTTGCTACACCAAAGTTGCTTTATTTTCTCACATGATAAACGTAACTTGATATCATCTTTAAAATATAGTGCCCCTGGCAGGAAAGCATCTCCAGAGAAACTTTGTTATTAGCATACATATGGTTATGCAAATACAAAAAAAAAATTTACACAAAACTTTCTCTAAGGATTTTAAGGGTCTTTATACCTATTATCTTCTGAGTCTTTAACACAATTCTGGGATGTGAATAGAGAATCAACATTATTACAGTACGTGCTTTCTTTTTTCATTAAAATGGTCCTGATTTTCTAGAGTTCCAATTGAGAGACCTATTAGTATTAAGCATTATTAATTGCTTATCAGTTTTAAGAGGAGTTTATCCAATTGCATCCATATATAAATATATATGCACATCATGTATGTAATATGCATACAAGTGTATAACATAGCATGTGTATATAAGCATGCATCTCATGTATTCTGTTTATGTGTGTTGATATTTGTTCCAGAATTATTTTTTGTGGCTTATTAAATTATTTCTAGATCATCTGGACAGTTTAAAAGAATTAAGAAACCTTTAATGCAAGACATTTAAAAGAGAAGGAACTTTTAATTTTAGTTTGTAGACCAAAAGGAAAGAATATGAACCCAAATTATAGGTTAAAACAATGCTGAGCCCACATAAAAGGCTCTTTGAATGTGAATATCATTGCTCTCAAAAGAGATGTGTTTTGTGGCAGTCAATAACCACTTTTCCACTTTTGGTCACTTGATTGGATTTTCTTCTTTCCTTCCCCAGAGAGGGCTGGAGGAAAGGGTTGGAACTCAGGGTGTCATCTTAATGAGATGAAAAGGATGTCAACCACAGCAGCCCTACTTTGTAGATACAGTTTTACCTGAAAAACAAAACAAAAAAGCAACGCAGATGGCACGGTGGCTCATGCCTGTAATCCCAACACTTTGGGAGGCCAAGGCGGGTGGATCACCTGAGGGTCAGGAGTTTGAGACCAGCCTGGCCAACATGGTGAAACCCTGCCTCTACTAAAAATACAAAAATTAGCTGGGCATAGTGGTAGGCACCTGTAATCCCAGTTTCTCGGGAGGCTGAGGCAGGGAGAATTGCTTGAACCTGGGAGGTGGAGGTTGCAGTGAGCCAAGATTGCACCACTGCAGTCCAGCCTGGCAACAGAGCAAGACTCTGTCTCAAAAACAAACAAACAAACAAACAACAACCAACTGCTTACTGGGATCTTTTACACAGGCTGGTACACCAAAAGTGGCTAGCTTATTAAAAAGTATCTGAATGCTTTCCCTTTAAGGTTGAGGAGATGGCAAAAATACTCGTTTTCACCACTCCTCTTCAACATAGTACCAGTGGTCTTAGCTAGTGCAATCAGGCAAGGAAAACAAATAATAAACATAAAAATTAGGAAGGCAGAAAGAAAACTATTTATTCTGCAATCAACATGACTATATATATAGAGAGAGAAAATCCCAAAGAATTTATAGGAAAAAAAAACCTCCTACAACTAATAAGTGTGTTGAGCAAAGTCACAGGATGCAAAATTAACACACAACAACCAATTGTATGTTTAGATACTAGCAATGTACAATTAGAACCTAACATTTAAAAGAAAAAGCCAAGCCAATTACAATAAAAGATGAAATCCTTAAGTATATATCTAACAAAACATGTACAGAATGTGTATGCTGAAAATTACAAAATTGTGATGAAAGGAATCAAAGGAAACCTAATGGCAACCTACTATGTTAGTGGATGTGTATAATCAATATAGTAAACATGTTAATTCTCTTCAGATTGATTTATACATTTAACCTAATACTAATCAAAATCCTATCAGGTATTTCTGTATATATTCATAAGAGGTAGAATGATTAGATAACCAAAATTATAGTTCATAAAAATGATAAATTGAATCTCACTGAAATTAACTTTACTTTGCAGAAAACATTTTAAAAGAATTGAAAGGCACACTACCAGATGAAAGAAAATATTTGCAAATTACATAACTACCAAAAAAGACTTGTACAAACAATATAAAAATAGTAAAACTCAAAGGTAAGAAAATAAACAACAAAATTGAAAAATAGGCAAAGGATTTGAGCAAACATTTTAAGACAAATAATATAAGAATAGTAAATAAGCAAAGGAAAGGGCTTTCAACATTATTCACCTTTAGGAAAATACTAAATAAAACTAGGATGAGGCCGGGCGCGGTGGCTCACACCTGTAATCCCAGCACTTCAGGAGGCCGAGGTGGGCGGATCACCTGAGATTGGGAGCTTGAGACCAGCCTGACCAACATAGAGAAACACTGTATCTACAAAAAATACAGTTTTAGTTGGACATGGTGGTACATGCCTGTAATCCCAGCTACTAGGGAGGCTGAGGCAGGAGAATTGTTTGAACCCGGGAGGCAGAGGTGGCAGTGAGCCGAGATCATACCATTGCAGTCCAGCCTGGGCAACAAGAGCTAAATTCGGTCTCAAAAAAACACAAACAAACAAACAAACAAAAAAAAACAAACTAGGATGAGTAACTATTGTGCTTATCATTAGAATGATTAAAGTGAAAAAAAATACTGACAGTAAGTTCCAGTGAGGATGTAAAACAGCTGGAACTCTAAGACATTGCTGATGAGAATGGAATATTACATAGCCACTCTAAAAAATAATTTGGTAGATTCTTATAAATTTAAATATACATCTATCATATGAGCCAGAAATCTCATTCTTAGGCATTTATCTTAGATAAATGAACTTTTGCTTTACAAAAAATCTGCATAGGAATGTTTATAGCAAGTCTATTCATAATTGCCAAAAACTGAAAACAAGCAAACGTCCTTCAATGGGAGAATGAATAAAAAAACTTTAGTAAATCTATAAAATATAATATTATGCAGCAATAAAAGTGAAAGAACTATGGATACATGCAACAACTTGGATGGATCTCACAGGCATTATGCTGAATAAAGGATCCAATCTCAAAAAGCTAAATAGTATATGTTTACATTTACATTACATTGTCAAAAAGGCAAAACTATAGTGGAGGATCATTGTATGCCAGGAGTTGGGTTGGAGGGAAGGGTGTAAATATAAAGGGATAACACTAGGGAGGTTTGTTAGGGTGATGGAACTGGTTTTAATCTCATTATGGGCATGTTTAAATGTATCTATACATTTGTTAAAAATCATAAAACTGCACATCAGAAGAAAAAAGTGAATTGTATTATATAGTAGTTTAAAAATAAAAAGAGCATTGAAATAATCAAAATTCATAGTAGTTACACTTTCAAAAGGTCTCTTTTCTTATGTGTCACAAAAATATGTAAATGCTTTGCTAGCATAAAAACAAGTCAAAATTGAAGAGAACAAAATAACAATGAAAAGAAGAACAGTAGTGGCAACAAAGCACTTACAGGTAAACTGCATTGACACAACTAAAGTACTGTGGAATTCTGCAATTATGAAGCACAATATCTCTTTTATTAAAATATCTTTCTCTTGAGTTTATTGTTAAATTCGGCTCCACGTAATCACTTGACCTTCTTTTCTTTTATGCTGATATTCATTTGAATGTTTTGATTAATAAGTTTTTACTCCAGGAAGGTATTCACCTCTTATTTCTGAAATACCTCTTTAAGTTCTGCAGACTACTCATATGCTAGTAATATTTGAATTTTAATGTACTCTCTAAAGATTATCCAAAAGCACTTAATGAATACTCTGGTTTGTGTAATAAGATATTGCTATTCACACCTCGGGATTCCAGACTACATACATATTAAATAGGAATTAATATTTATGGTTATTCCCATAATTATTCTAAAACAGGGACAAAGCTATGAAGAAATCTCATTTCTGATGTGCAGTTCTGTGAATTTTAATACATGTATAGATACATTTAACTATGCCCATAACGAGATTATCTGATTATCTTCTGATTATTGAACTAACAAAAGCCAAATCTAAATGTGTCTACTTCATAGATTTTAAGAGGAATGACTTAATTTATAAGTAAAATGCTTTTTTTTTTTTTTCTGGAGATGGAGTCTCACTCTGTTGCCCAAGCTGGAGTGCAATGGCACAATCTCGGCTCACTGCAACCTCTGCCTCCTGGGTACAAGTGATTCTTCTGCCTCAGCCTCCCGAGTAGCTGAAATTACAGGTGCACACCACCACGCCCACCTAATTTTGTATATTTAGTAGAGATGGGGTTTCACTATGTTAGCCAGGATGATCTCGAATTCTCGGCCTCTGAAAGTGCTGGGATTACAGGTGTGAGCCACCACGCCCGGCCTAAGATGCATTTTAAAAACTCTTCACATGCCTGATAAAACAAATACTAAACATTGTACTTTAAAAACATCTGATTCTTTGAAATCATGCATAGATTTTAGCCTCAAGATCAATCTCTTTCTCCTCTGGCTGAAAATTTTATTGGATTATCCCTTATTGAGGTGTTTATATAACAGAAACCTACCTGAATCTTTCAGAGAAAACTTTACTGTTTAATATTTAAGGTATTATAAAAGACATGATCTTTTATACAATCAAAGTAGTTTGTTTCCTACTCCTTCTAATTTAACAAAGAAACACTGCACTAAATTAGATATTTCTTTTATAAATATATCTTTTGTAATAGCACCTACTGTGTGCCGAGCTCTGAGGAAGGCGTTGAGACTATAATGGTTTTATGGGCTCAATTACGTCTACCTCTCTACTTCTCATAAATTCATCTGTTGAAATCCTAACACTTAGTGCCACATAATGCAATTATATTTAGAGACAGGGTCTTTAAAGGGGCAATTAAATTAAACCAAGGTCAACAGAATGGGCTCTAGTCCAATATTATTGGTGTCCTTATAAGAAAGGAGATTAGGATATAGACACACACAGAGAGAGGACCATGTGCCCACTTGAAGAGAAGAAGGCCACCTGCAAGCCAAGGAGAGAGGCCTCAGAAGAAACCTACGTGTTGACACCTTGATTTTGGACTTCTAGCTCCAGGATTGTGAGAAAATATATGCAAATGTGTACCCAACTGGTACTAAAGTCAAGTAGCGAGACAGAAACAAAAACACTACATGAGTAAAAATTACCATAGATTCTGTCTAAGAAAATTATGGGGGCTGCAGCAGAATAAAACAAAGGTACCTGATTTATTTTTCTAAAGGTGATGTTTTAAAGTGAGGATTATATGGTATGACAGTCACCTGGCTAAATAAAAGGAAAATTCTTCCAGGTAGAGAAAATGATAAAAAACAAATTTGAGACAGAGTTTGTCCCCCTGAAATGACTGAGAAAATGCTCTTGTAGGAGGAATTCAGTGAGTGAAGGGGAGAGAGTAGGCTGTGGGTAGAGAAACAGGCAGGGCTGGAACAAAGAGAATATTTTAGAATTCATTTTCTGTTTTTCAGCTCATTCTCTGTTACTTTTAATCTCACCTTTGGCCTTTGAACACCCTTCTGGGAGATAACTCCTAGTCCTTCTCTTCTGAATTTTTTTTAGGACTGCTGCATAGAGGCACATATTCTTGTGTTTTATTTAAGCCAGAATGTTGCCAGGAGCCACCTTCTTCTAGGCTCTAGTAAAGAGTAAAAGATTAGGCTCCAGTAAAGAGGAAAAGGTTAGACTGAGACATTTCAAGCGCCTTTCTACCTTAATATTCTGTGACTCTCTGCCCTTTTTCGCCTCCCTTAATTATTATATATTGCTTTAGGCTTGGATACACACGCAGGAACAAGACAAATAAAAAAATTGTTATAAAATCTTTAAATCATGGCTCATTACAGAAGAGCCCTTGAGGTGCCCTCTCATTAGTGTGGGTTGTTTGCGTGTTTTTATTTATTTATATAAATAAATATAGGAATCACCTATAGGTGAAGGAATCATGTAGGTGAAGTAGAAACAAAAACATTCCCAGTACAGGAAACTGCAAATTCAAATACCTTGAATCTGGAAGGAATTGTGTATTTTAGGAGCTAGTAACCATACAGCATGGTGAGGGTGTATTGTAACATGGCATCAGATGAAATTAGAAAGAAATGCATGGCTGATGAACATAGGTGAAGCTGAAAGCCATCATTCTCAGCAAACTAACACAGGAATAGAAAATCAAACACTATATGTCCTCACTCATAAGTGGGAGTTGAACAATGAGATCATATGAACATAGGGAGGGGAACATCACACACCAGAGCCTGTTTAGGGGATAGGGGGTAAAGGAGGGAGAGCATTAGGACAAATTCCTAAAGCCTGTGGGGCTTAAAACCTAGATGACGGGTTGACAGGTACAGCAAACCACCATGGCACATGTATACCTATGTAACAAACCTGCACGTTCTGCACATGTATCCCAGAACTTAAAGTTAAAAAAAAAAAAAAAAAGAAATGCATGAACCACATCTTGGCTTTATAGGGTATGGCCAGGAGTGGGTGGTTAGTGGATTAAATAACAACAATTATAAGCAGAAAAGTTTCGAAAATATTCAGTGGTCAGGGCCCCTTGTTTGTTGTCCTTAATAAAACCAAGTCTTCTAAGTTTGTTTGTATTTATTTCTATTTTCTGAACTTTAACTGTATATGGATAATTAATTTAATTCTCTATGCCAGTTTATATTTAAGCTGCCACATTTATTTTATCTTATTTAAGAGATTTTAGAGCAATATTCTATGATATAGGAGAATAAGGAATATATCCCCTTTCACAGAAATAACTTCAATGGAAGAATAAGAATAAAAATAGGACGTGTGTGTGTGTTATTATCTTTAAAAAAAAAAAAGTAGTGGCTGACCTCCATCATAGCAGATCTGGTTCAAAGAGCTTGAACTGAAACTTTGCAGTAGAACAAGGTTTAATAAAACTCAGCTCTACCTTTTTTTAAGCTGGTAGCTAAAGAAATCTTCTTTAACAAGTAAAATTAAACTGAAAAAGAATAAATCCATTGTGTTGAGGCTTTCTTTTGAAGTTCCAGCAGTGGTATAATTAAAGTAGGATTTCTGTAGGCAGCATGCGGGAAAAAGAGGAGCAAATCAGCTAATATGAAAAGGAGTACCTTAAAAAAAAAAAGTAAAAAGTATTAAGATTAAAGTTATTTAAGAACCACAAACTTTTATTGCGTATAGGGAGGTTGACTTCTTTGAGCTTTTGAAATTACATTTCAAAGACCATGGGAAGACATTAATAAAAGAAATATGTGGAATGAAGAATAGAAATGCTTTCTTGATGTCAGGATCTTTAAAAAAACAAACAAAACACTGGAAACTCTTGCACATAAAACAATGAAAGTTCTGTTTTTGAGACATGGAAAATAGATTGAAATGACCGTAGGACATAAGATATCCTGTAGATCTAGAGCAATCTTTTCCCCCAGAAAATACCCAATCTCAGTTATACACACATTTTTGGTCAAATTAAATGTAGTGTACACTCATTTGGGTAACTTGGAAATTTTCAAAAGGTAGAAAGAATTGGCTTGGACATTTTTACCATCCAAAGGCAGCAACCAATGACGGTCTAGTATTCCCCCTTCTGTCCACTTTATAATGTTGAGTTGTTTGGTTGGGATTGTGTTCCATCCTCCGTTCAGTGTTCTGCAGTCTCGTTATAAAAATGAACACTCACCCAATAATCAGAAACTTCTGGCAAGCCGATGCCAGAGTTACACGATAGTCTGTGTAGTAGACACAAGGCCATTTGCTTAAAAGGAACTTTATTGTGGACACTCAAGGTATTAATAATTTTTAATTTTTTTTAAGTAGAAGTAACAAAAAATAGATGATTCCTAATCCCAACATCCAGGGATAATCACTGATAACCTCCCTACATATTTCTTTTTGTTGTTTTTCTAAACCATTGCTAAATTGCTCTCCGAAATGTCTATCAGTTTACATTCCCACCAACAACAGCTGAGAGAGTCTGTTTCACTATAGTTCCATTAAGAGAATTATTTTGAAAGATTATTTATTCCTTCTCAATTTAATACATAAAATGGCATCTTGTTGATTTTTTAATGTACATTTTCTTGATTGTTATCCAAGTTTAAGTCTTTTTATTTGATGATTGTTAATTGCTTTTCTCCTTTGAAAATATCTTGTGCCTTCTACCTTAATATTTTTTAATCCTTTTCTCCTGTTTTCTAAGAAATGTTTATGTATAAAAGATGCTAATTCCACCCCTATGACAATGCTTTTTAAAGATGCCAATGGACTCTCAATACATTTTCAGTGTTTTATTGCATGGAGAAATGTTAAATTCTTACATATTCAGATTTATTCACCTCTTCCTTATATGAATTTTTTCTTGTTTTAAACCCTCTTTGAACAGCTGGAGATAGACTAAAATATACTAAATATTCATGTATTGGTCTTTTAGATCGTTTTGAAGTTTCATTTATTACAAGTCCTTTTACTTGTGAATACATTTATCACAGAAGTATTAAATAAATGCGCTTTTATTGAAGAAGATCAAGAAATATCTCTTTTGAGAAAACATGACTTTTCCCTTGCTTTCATCCCCCTACCAATTTTTCTATCCCAAAGTAATAAACAAAGCTAACATGTTGACGTATGCAATAAATCATTTTTCTTTGTATTTATACATGTGCTTGCCCACACTTATATACAAAACTACACATTTACATAAATAATATTATATTATATGCCTTCTTTCCTGGATCTTTTACTTAACAAGAGTCTTAGATATATTTCTCTGTCACAGAATATAAGTTATTTTTATTAGTTTTAACAGCTGTGTAATACTCCATAATATGGATGTACTACAAATTTAAATAATTATTTAAATAATTTATAATATATCCATATTATGAAATACATACCCTACATTTAAAGGTAATGATATTGTTTTTCATTTGGTTTTGTTAAGAAATTTTTTTTTTGCAATGAACATTGTTTTATTTCCCTCTTAGTATATACATGTATGTCTTTCATTCATGTCTTAGAATCAGAATTGCTATGCCAAATGAAACACATTTTATTTCAGTAGTTGTTTTAGTAGTTTTAATACATAATATTCATACATATTTATGGGATACATATGATATTTAATTACATGCATAAATTGTGTAATAATCAAGTCAGGGTATTTGGCGTATTCATAATCTCAAATATTTATCATTTCTCTGTGTTGGAAATATTTCAAATTCTCCCTTCTAATTATTGTGAAATATACAACACACTGCTGTTAACTATAGATGCCTTACTCTGTTATCAAACACTAGAATTTATTCATTCTATTTAATCGTATGTTCATGCTTATTAACAAACCTCTTCATCTACCATCATCATGCACAATCCTTCTCAGCCTCTGGTATGTATAATTCTACTCTCTACCTCCATGAAATCAACTTTTTAAATTTCCACATATGAGTGAGAACATATGACATTTATTTTTTTGTGCCTGGCTTATTTCACTTAATGTAATCACCTCCACTTGCATCTATGTTGCTACAAATAAAATGATTTCATTCCGTTTTATGGTCAAATAGTATTCCATTGTGTATATATACCACATTTTTGTATTCAGCTATCTGTTAATGAGCACAGTTTGATTCTGTATCTTTGCTATGGTGAGTAGTGCTGTGGTAATCATGGGGGTGCATGTATCCCTTTAATATACTGATTTCTTTTTCTTTCAGTAAATACTCAGTAGTGGGATTGCTGAATTGTACAGTAATTCTATTTTTAGCTTTTTAAGGAATCTCCATACTGTTTTCCAGGGGGGCTGTACTAATTTACATTCCCACCAACGATATATTAGTTCCTTTTTCTTTGCATTCTTGCCAGGATACATCTTTTTTTTGTCTTTTTATGATAATCATTCCAATTTGAGTAATATGATATCTCATTGTGGGTTTCACATGCATTTCCCTGATGATTGGGGATGCTGAGTATTTTTTAATATACCCATTGGTCATTTGTATGTATTATTTTGAGAAATATCTATCTATTCACATCCTTTGACAATTTTTTTAGATGAGATTATTTACTTTTTTCCTGTTGAGTTGTTTGAGTTCCTTGTGTATTCTGGATATTACTTGCCAGATGAGTGGTTTGCAGATATTTTCTTCCATTCAATAGATTTTCTTTCCATTCTGTTGTTTCCTTTGCTCTGCAGAAGCTTTTTAGTTTAATATGGTCCCATTTGTCTATTTTTGGTGTTGTTGCCTGTGTTTTTGAGGTCTTAGCTGTGACTTCAAAATCTTTGCCTAGTCCAATGTGTTTCCTCTATGTTTGCTTCTAGTAGTATTATAGTTTATTATATATGTTTAATGTTTTAATCCATCTCACATTCATTTTTATATATGGTGAAAGATAAGGTTTCAGTTCTATTTTGCACATGGATATGCAATTTTCCCAGCACCATTTTTTTGAACAGACTGTCCTTATCCCAATTAATGCTTTTGGTACTTTGTCAAAAATCGGTTGGGTCTAAAATGTGGGTTCATTTCTGGTTTCTCTATTCTGTTCCTTTAGTCTGTGTGTCGGTTTCTATACTAATACCATGCTGTTTTGTTTACTATGGCCTTGTAACATATTTTGAAGTCAGACAGTGTAATACCTTCAGCTGTGTTCTTTTTGCTTAGTGTTGCTTTGATTATTTTGGCTCTTTTTTGGTTCCATATAAACTATAGAATTCCTTTATTCTATTTCTATGAAAAATGACATTGGTATTTTAACAGGCTTTCCATTAAATCTTTAGATTGCTTTGGGTAGTATGGTCAATTTAATGATATTACTTCTGACCCATGAGTATGGGATGTCTTTCCATTTGCTTGTATCATCTTTAAAATTTTCAACAGAATTTTGTGGTTTTTTTTGTAGTAGTAGTGTTTTACCTTTTAGGTTAAATCTATTCCTAGGTACTTTATATGTTTTTGGAGCTATTGAGAATGAAATTGCACTCCTAATTTCTTTTTCAGCTAGTTTACTGTTAGTGTGTAAACATGCTACTGATCTTTGTATGTTGATTCTGTATCCTGCATCTTTACTAAATTTATTCATCAGATCTCAGAGTTTTCAGGATTATTATTGATATTTGAGAACTTGTGCCTGCCATTTTATTGATTTCTGGGGTTTTTTTTTTTTTTTGCATATCCTTTATTCCTTTGTTTCTCTCTTATTGTTTTATTGTGGTTTGGCGGGTTTCTGTAGTGGTAACATTTGAGTCTTTTCTCGTCCTTATTTGTGTTTTTACTCTACCAGTGGGTTTTATGCTTTTGTGGATTTTCTTTTTTTTTTTTTATGGTTAAGTACAGAATTTACTTAAACACAAAGCTTGGAAATAGCCACCTGGAAACATCAACTCTAAATGAATGGGATCAGTGTTCCAAAGTGGAGACATTAGGGTTTCACACACAGAGGGAAAGACAGAGACGCCTTAGCAAAATCACGACATTTTCCATTTAAGAGTAGTGCATAGGTTGCAGCAACTTGGTTGGTTACAGATTGATACACTTCAAGAAGGTTACTTTATCACTCCATGAGAAGGGACAATGATCCAAGGAGGTCTTATCTTTGGGGCTGCTTAGTCTTCCTAATTACTTACAGGAAAATACTTAGAAGTTGCCCCTGCATACCACTGGACTCAGGTTATATGGCCACATTCCTCTCAAGGCTCAGAATTACCTAAAGGTCAATAGCTTTAAATTGGATTTATTTGATGTTTGAATTATTTAATTTCCTACTGAGATAAAGTTACTATCTCCCTTGCTGTTTGCCTTTCAAAGAGAGCTCCCAAGTTTTTCAGAAATACATCCCTGGATCATTAAGCTGAAAAAAGGTTTAATTAGTTTCTAAAAAATGCAAAGTTAGCTGGGCATGGTGGCTCATGCCTGTAATCCCAGTTACTCAGGAGGCCGAGGCAGGAGAATCGCTTGAACCCAGGAGACAGAGGTTGCGGTGAGGTGAGATCATGCCTTGCACTCCAGCCTGTGTAACAAGAGAAAAACTCCGTAAAAAAAAAAAAAAAAAAAAAAAACCTCAGAAGACACAGAAAATGCATTTACAAATTTTCTAAATAAATGTCCTAAGAAAAGAGACAAAAAGAAAGAAAATATCTTCCTTTCTTTTTAAAAAAGGAATTATACTATACCTCCTATTTATTTGGTTGTTTGTTTGAGACAGGGTCTAGCTTTGTCATCCAGGCTGGAGTGTGGTGGTGAGATCAGAGTTCACTGCAGCCTCCAACTTTCTGGCTCAAGTGATCCTCTGACCTCAGCACCCGAAGCAGCTGGGACCACAGGTGTGCACCACCACAACTGGCTGATTTTTTTATTTTTATTTTTAGTAGAGATGAGGTCTCACTATCTTGCCCAGGCTGATCTCAAACTCCTGGGCTCGAGCAATCCTCCTGCCTTGGCCTCTCAAAGTGCTGGGATTACAGGTGTGAGCCACTGCTCTGGGCCCTGACTTTATTTCCATGAAAAATGAAATATTTCTTCACCCCCTTTGTGTAGTAGGCAGTTTTTTATGTCACCTTTCAGTTTCCATTAACCACTCAAACAACCCAGGACTTTGCCTAGTTTAATAAGCTGTTCTAATTGTCAGTCCCTGCTGCAACCAGTGCCCCACTCCACTCCTTTACTGAGGTCCCTGCCCCTCTCCGCCACCCTGCCCCAGATGGAGAGGAGCTCGCCCTGCCTGCAGGACGCATGACTCTGCCTGCTCAAACAAGGTGCTTTGCATGAAAATCATTTTCAACTTAAGAGGAAAAATGATTCAGTGTTCAGCACAGGTAACCCACTACAATATGTTGTTTTGCCTTCGATTGTTTGAAATATTAACTTAAAACATACAGGAAATGCCTGTCTTTACTGCAATCTCTGAACATAAATTGTGAAGATTTCATGGACATTTATCAGTTCCTAAATAATACTCTTATAATTTCTTATGCCTGTCTTTGCTTTAATCTCATAATCCTGTTATCTTCCTAAGCTGAGAATGTACGTCACCTCAGGACCACTGTTGTACAAACTGATTGTAAAACATATGTGTTTGAACAATACGAAATCAGTGCACCTTGAAAAAGAACAGAATAGCAGCGATTTTCTGGGAACAAGGGAAGACAACCATAAGGTCTGACTGCCTGTGGGGTTGGGCAGAATAGAGCCATATTTTTCTTCTTGCAGAGAGCCTATAAATGAACATGCAAGTAGAAGACATATCACTGAATTCTTTTCCCAGCAAGGAATATTAATAATTGATACCCTGGGAAAGGAATGCATTCCTGGGGGGAGGTTTATAAAAGGCCACTCTGGGAGTGTCTGTCTTATGCAGTTGAGATAAGGACTGAAATATGCCCTGGTCTCCTGCAGTACCCTCAGGCTCACTAGGGTGGGGAAAAACCCCACCCCAGTGAAATTGAGGTCAGACCAGTTCTCTGCTCTCGAACCCTGTTTTCTGTTGTTTAAGATGTTTATCAAGACAATACGTACACAGCTGAACATAGACCCTCATCAGTAATTCTAATTTTGCCCTTTGCCTTGTGATCTTTGCTTTGCCCTTTGCCTTGTGATCTTTATTGGCCTCAGAAGCATGGGATCTTTGTGATCTACTCCCTGTTCATACACCCCCTCCCCTTTTGAAGTCCTTAATAGAAACCTGCTGGTTTTGCGGCTCAGGTGGGCATCACGGACCCACCGATATGTGATGTCACCTCTGGCAGCCCAGCTGTAAAATTCCCCTCTTTGTAGTCTTTCTCTTTATTTCTCAGACTGGCTGACACTTAGAAAGAACCTACATTGAAATATTGGGGGCTGGTTACCCCCATACTTAACATAAACATTTTAATGTCAATTATGTTTGAACTCAATGTTAAGTCAACTCAATCTCAAGTCAATGCTGAAGGCTCTAATGTCAATTAAAGCTTTATGATTTGCTATAGTCATTGTATTTAGAACAATTATCTCAAAAATGAATTTTCTGATGTTCTGCAAGGATTAACCTCGGACTGAAGACCTTGCCATATGTATGACATTTGTAAGATTTCTGTCCAGTATAGATTCTCTGATGTGTAATACTGTGTGAATGTGAAGTCAAGACTTTGCTACAATCATCACACTTGAGGTTTCTCTCCTGTGTGAATTCTCCTATGTTTTGCATAAGATGAAGCTTGACTGAAGACCTTGCCACAATCTTGACATTTGTAGTGTTTCTCTCCAGCATGAGTTCACCAATGAACTGCAAGCTATGAACGATGTCTGAAAAATTTGCCACATTTACTATACTTGTAAGATGTCTCTTCATTATGGATTCTCTAATGATTTGCAAAGGTTGTAGCATTACTGAAGGCTTTGTGAGAATTATTACATTTGTAAAGTTTCCCTATACCATGGATTGCTTGATGATGAATAAGTGTAGACTGCCCACTAAAGGCTTTACCACACTCATTACACTTGTAAGGTTTCTCTCTAGTATGAACTCTCTAATGTTGTGCAAGATTTGATTGTTGATTAAAAGCTTTCCCACATTCATTATACTTGTAAGACTTGTCTCCAGTATAAATTGCCTTATGAATTACCAGGGCTGAATTTCAAGTGAAGATCTTGCCACACTCATTACACTTGTAATGTTTCTCTCCAGTATGAAGTCTACAATGGCCTATAAGAAATGAGTTCTGACTGAAGTCTTGCCACACTCATTATACTTGTAAAGTTTCTCTCCGGTATGACGTCTATAATGACATGCAAGGTTTCCTTTTTGACTGAAAACCTTGCCACATTCATTACATCTGTAAGATTTCTCTCCAGTATGAACTCTCCAGTATGAACCTCTCTGATGTTGTGCAAGGCATGAATCCCTCCGGAAAGCCTTGTCACAAACCTTACATTTGTATGGGTTTTCTCCAGTATGAATTCATTTATGTCTTTCAAGGTGTGACCTGCGACTGTAAACTTTGTCACATTCTTCACATTTGTAAGGTTTCTCTCCAGTATGAAGTCTATGATAAAGTGCAAGGTTTGCTTTTCTACTAAAAGCCTTGCCACATTCATTACATGTGTAAGGTTTCTCTCCAGTGTGAATTGCCTTATGCATTACAAGGGCTGAATTTCAAGTGAAGGCCTTGACACACTCATTACACTTGTAAGGTTTCTCTCCAGTATGAAGTCTCTGATGTTGTACAAGACATGAGTCATGCCAAAAAACCTTGTCACAAACCTTAAGGTTTCTCTCCAGTATGAAGTCTATGATGAAGTGCAAGGTGTGCTTTTCTACTAAAAGCCTTGTCACATTCATTACCTGTGTAAGGTTTCTCTCCAATGTGAACTCTCTTTTGGCATGAAAGGCATGAATTATCCCAGAAAGCCTTCTCACAAACCTTACATTTGTATGCTTTTTCCTCCAGTATGAATTCTCCTATGTGTTTTAAGTTGTGATCTGCAACTGTAAACTTTGTCACATTATTCTCATTTGTAAGGTTTCTGTCCAGTATGAAGTCTATGATGGCATTGAAGGTAAGACTTCTGACTGAAGGTCTTGCCACACTCATTACACTTCTGAGGTTTTTCTCCAGTATGAACTCTATGGTGGCATGGAAGGTATTGCTTCTGATGAAAGGCTTTGCCACATATATGACATTTATATTGTTTCTCTCCTGAATGGATTATGTGATGTCTCCTTAAGTGTGAGCTATAATTAAAGGCTTTGCCACACTCATTACATTGGAAAGGTTTTTCGTTCATATGTACTTCCTGTATTTGTGTGAATAATGAAGAATGCAGGAAATTATTCCTATACTTATTAGAAATATGGGTTTTGAGCCTACAAAAAATTATTTGGGATGTTGAAGCTGAGGAAGCATCATTGATAGACTGGTCCACTTGATTACCAATTTTCCCTTTAGTCTGAAATATGTGCAGTTCAGGTAGATGCAAATGAAAGCTTAATCCAAGCTTAATCCAAGCTGATCTTTCATGGGCTTGTTTCCAGTGTGCTTTTGATCATGTCAGTCTGTACTACCAGTTAACTCTTTGATTTCTGTCATGGGTGCTTCATGGCCATTTCTTTCAATTTCTTGCCACTGAAACTCAAAGTCCTGAATATCTTTCTTGATTTCTGGGAAGCAAAAATCATGTCTTTCCAATGTCCCTGTGTGGAACACTTCTGTATTGCCTTGCTCTGTTGATGAGAACTCCATCATGGATTTTAAAGAGCTATCCACAGACTCCAGGTTCCTGTAGTTCTCCAACATCATTTCCCTGTATAAAGCCCTCTGCTCAGGGTTCAGGCATTTCCACTCCTCCACAGAGAATTTTATAGCCACATCACTGAAAATCAAGTGTCCCTGAGGAAAAGCCATCCCTGGCTCCTTTTCTTTGCTCTTCTTGGTGGCTTCCTTACATAACATGAGTTTTTGGAAATCAACTGAACTCTCATCCGGACGTCTCAATTTGCTCTGGGTTGAGAAAGAGGTGCTGGAATTTCTAGGTCTGTGGGGACCCCATGTCGCCAGTATAGCAACACCAGAGAACTGGGAAGCATACAGCTGTGGTGTAGCCTTCAGTCCACCGCTTTTGTGGATTTTCATGATAGTAGTTATTGTCCTTTTGCTTCCAGGTGTAGAACCTCTTTCTTTTTATTCCAAGTGTAGAACTCCCTTCAGCATTTCTTGTCAGGCTGGTATAGTGCTGATTAATTCCCACAGCTTTTGCTTATCTGAGAAAGACTTTATTTCTCCTTCATTTATAAAGGATAATGTTTCTGGGTATAGTATCTTTGGCTAAATTTTTTTACATCACTTTGAAAATATAATTCCTTCATCACCTGGTCTGCAAAGTTTCTGCTGAGAAATTTGCTGTTACTTTGATGGGGGTCCCTAATGAGTGACTAGATGCTTTTCTATTGCTGTTTTTAGAATTCTCTCTTTGTCTATGACATTTGACATTTTGACTGTAGTATACTGTGGAGAAGATGTTTTTGCATTGTGCTGACTTGAGGATCTCTGAGTTTCCTGTATCTGGATGTGTAAATCTCTTGCTAGACTTGGAAAATTTTCATGTATTATTTTATAGAATAGATTTTCAATCCCTTTCATTTTTCTCTCTGCCTTCTGGGGCACTGAAAATTCAAATGTTTGGTCACTTTGTAGTGTCCCATATGTCATGTAGGCCTTGCTTATTTTTTATAAATATCTTTTTCTTTATTTTTGTCTGACCGACTTATTTGAAAAGACCATTCTTCAAGTTCTGAAATTCTTTCTTCTGCTTGGTCTAGTCTAATCTTGAAGCTTTTTCATGTATTTTGTATTTCAACACCAATTTTTCAATTCCAGAATTTCTCTTTTGTTCTTTTAATGATATATATATATATCTTTGATAAATTTCTTATTCATATCCTGATTTGTTTTTCTGATTTTTATTGTTTTTCTGAGTTCTCTTTTATCTCTTTCAGCTTCTTAAATATAATTTTTTAAATTATTTTCTAGAAATTTATAAATTTCTTTTTCGTTGGAAATTGTTGCCAGAGAATTATTGTGTTCCTTTGAAGTTTTCTTATTTCCTCACTTTTTAAAATATATTTCCTGGGTCCTTACATTGATATCTGTACATCTGGAATAGCTATCACTTCTTCCAATTTTTAAAATTTGCTTTTATAGGGGAGGATATTTTTCTGAAGATGTATCCATGGTGTTCGTTGTATAGGGCACTTTGGCTTTGCATCTGGATGTGTGCAGCAGTGTAGTCTCTGTTTATTTATTGAGGTATAAACAGTGTTATCTGTGATTTCCTCTGTGGCTTAGGGCACTGTTGTTAGTGGGGTCTGTTATAATGTTCTGCTGGGATAAAGCATCAGTTGGGCCAGTCCTTGGGGCCCAGTGGTGGCAGTGGCAGGCCAAGCATGCCCATCCTTGGGCTTCAGGACACTGTATGCTGGCCCTGCTGTTAATGGGTCCAGGTGTGCCAATTCTTAGGTTTCCAGGCAGCTTGGTTGGTACCAGCAGTGGCAACAATAGGTCGGGTTGGTTGGTGTGTTCTTGGAACCCTGGGAAGTGGGACTGGCATGGACAGTGGTGGTAGCAGTCACAGGACAATCCTCTGTCTTGCATGCATTTCACATTGTTGTTTGTTTGTAGTGGATTTAGTGGGGTTGGTGGGGCAATCCCCAGGCTGCAGGTGATACATGCAGGTTGGTGCAAGTTGTGGCATGGCAGGTTGAGTCAGCTTGTCCTCAGGCCCCAGTCAGAGTGTTCAGGTCCTACCAGTGGTTTACAGGTTAGGGTGATCCCTAGGCTTCAGGAATGTTCTAGGGAACTGGGCAGTGGTTGGGAGGTAGTAGAGCTAAACCAGGTGGAACTATCCTTAGGCCTTCTGGTGATACACATAGGTGCTGGCTGTGGTAGGCAGGAACAAGGTGATCTCCACACCCCCAGTGAAATACTTAGGTGGGAGTGGCAGGAGCTATGGTGTGCCCCTTTTGCTGGAGAGTATAAGGTTGCTTTCAGTAGCAGCAGCCATAAACAAGCAGCTGAGGAGTACATGCTTTGGCCCTAGGTGGCAGCTGCAAGTAGGGTAGACTTTCCTCAGGGCACATATAAACACATGGTGGCCCTGCTGCCAGGGGTGGTGGGGCTTGCTGCCAATGGCTTATACTTTGGCCCTGGCAGCAATAGCCATCATTGGCATGCAGGCATCTAGGAATGTAGAAGTGCAGAGGCTGTTGGGACACAAGACGGGACGTACTCTGGTGTGGGCTACACTCTGAAAATGATGCATTGCTGTAGATGCTTACAACTCAGGGAGTGTGTGAGCTCCAGGCTCCCTACATTTTTCTTAGGGCGTGCAGGGGTTAAGGGGCTTTCTGGTGGTTAAGATTGCAGCAGTCCATGGTGGGAATGTGTACCGCTAGGGGTCACTCACTTACTTTATCACCTCATTAGGTAGCCTTTCTAGGCTCCCACCTGACTTTGGCTGAGCAGTCTGCGTCAGAATGCATATTTTAAATGTTTATATATTGTCTATTTGCCTTCCAGGAAAAAACATAACAAGCTATAGTCCCACTATTGTATTCATTTCTCTGGGCTATGTTGCATATTTTTAAATGTAAAGTATTTGCCAATATAATGAGTGAGAAAAACTGTATCATTATTGATTGAGTTTACATTGTCCTGGTTACTAATACATTTAAATACTTTCTGCATTTTTTGTGTAAATTCCTTTTATGCAATCAATTGCCCCCGTGAATCAGTTATCTATTGCAACAATCGTGTTGCATAACAAACAACCACAAAACCCGGTGGCTTAATAAAATAATTAAGTATTTACCTCGCAGTAGTGGATTGGCAGAGTGATTACCTAGTCTGGGTTTACTCATGTATTTGCAGTCAGCTGCGGTTTGGTAAAGTAGGCTTTGTTAATTTTGCCTGTGCTATCTCACATGTTTGAGGATTGGTTGGCTGTTACCTGCTCAGAGAGATCATCGGCTGTGATGACTACACTGACATAGCACTGCTCCTCATATATCATCCTCCAGAAGGCAAACCCAGGCATGTTTTTAGGAAGGAATCAGTGAAAAGAGAGAAAGGAGAAACTTGTAAGCAATTTTTTAAACCTCTAGTTACGTCATATTTGCTAATATCCCATTAACCAAAATAAATTATGTAGCTGAGCATAGAAACAAGGACAAGAGTCACGGAGTGTGAGTGCAGACTCTATACGGGAGAGCATAGCAAAATTACATAACATAGGATACAAATACAGGGGAAAAATGTAGCTGTTTTATAACCCATATACCATACTATTTTTCTAATGATGTGTCAAATTTTTAAAAAAATTATTTTCTTGTTCTTAAAAATTTATTTTTAGAGATATTTTATTATGTATATTTAAGGTATGCAACATGACATTATATGCACTTCTTTTATGTGTAAAACAGTTAATGTAGTGAAACAACATATTCCTCATCTCACTGGAAACCCAGATTTTAAGGATTTCTCTGTGTTTTTGCATCCAGAGTAAAGCAACAGTTGCAAATCTATAAGAAAATGACAAACTCCACCCTCTCCTTTCCAAAATAATTTAAAAAGTCAAAATACTGAAATGAATACTTCATCAGTGAAGATATCCAAATGGCCAATAGATATTTGAAAAAGTTTTCAGCACCATTATTTCTTTGGGAATTACAACTACAATAAGATACTATTATAAGGCCACTAGAATATTAACTAGAATGTGAAGCAAAAGCAACTTTCATGTATTGCTATCCTAAAATGGTATACCACTTTGGAAAAGTGTTTAGTCACTTCTTACTAAGTTAAATAGATGCCTCTTCTGTAATCCAGCAATAACACTCCTAGGCATATATCCAAGATAAATTAGTGCACATGTCCACAAAAAAACTGTACAGAATGTTCATCACAGTGGTATTCATATTAGCCCAAAACTGAAAACAACCAAGATGCGATGTTAATTAACAGGGGAACTGGTCAACATATGATGGTATATTCACACAATTAATACTACCTGGTAGTAGTATTATTAACTTCTAGTAGTGTTACAAACTAACACAAAAAATGAACTACTGGCATGCAACATAATGAATAAATTTTATTGTGTTTAAGAAAGGAATATAAACATAAAAGAAATGTATTTATTTTGCTGAGATCATATAGCCTTAATATTAAAAAAATTACAAAGACAGTACAAAATAAGGAAAATTATATAACCATTTATTTTACAAATACAGATGTAAAACGTTTGCATTCAAATTTCAAGAAATCAAAGCTCAGCAAAATAAAGCCAGAAAATAATTAAAACAATACAACACTATGATCAAGGAATTCTAAAAATGTACATATAGTTTAATTTTTGAAAATAATACATTTTATTAATGATAAAAATTATCAATGGTTTTTAAAAGTATGTAATTTTACCTGAAGTTCAAAAAAAAAAACCAAAAAATAATATATTGTGATAGAAGTCAGAATAGTAGTTACCTAGGTAGTGTCCTGGAACATGAGGAAAAGTTCTGGAGCGATGGGAAAACTCAAGTCATAATTTAGGAGATGACTACCTGATTGTAGTTGAACAACTCTCAAACTTTTTAGCCTGAAGGCCACATTTTTATATCCTTAACAATTATTGAAGATACCTAAGATCTTTTTCTTAATATTGGTTATATTCATCAATATTTACCACAATAAAAATTAAAGCTGAGATTTTTAAAATGTTAATTTTAAAATAATGAAAAACCCATTGAACATAAATATAAACAATACTTTTATTAAACAAAATAACAATATTTTCCAAACTAAAGAATAGTTAACAAGAGTTAACAAGAAGAGTGATGTTATTTCTCCCTTTTTACACTTAACCTTTGGCTATTATCTGAAGACTGACATGAAGACATTTTTGTTTTCCTCATTCTAGGAGTAATTATCAAAAATAGTTATGCTAGTTTTACATGATACCCTTTCAGCCTTTACAAAATAATTATTTTTGCCACTAATCCATTGATCTAATGCATGATTTTCAAATATTCAATTATATCATATTTTGGAAATAACTTCACATGGTCATGGTGTTTTATTATTTTAATTAATTTCTGCTTTATTTTGCTGAGTTTTAATTTTGTGAGTTTGGGTGCGAACACTTTTTCATCTTTATTTATGAAATAAATGGTTTCATAATTTTCTTTATTTTGTACTACCTTTGTAATTTTTTTTTTTTTACCTCAGGGCCATATGATCTCAGCAAAATGAATTAGAAACATTTTAATTTTTAAGTGTTCTGAAATAGTTTATGTAGCAAGAAAATTTTCTGTTCCTTAAAAATGTGAAAGGAAATATTTATATGATAACTTCCACCTAGTGTCTTTATTGAAGGTATATATTTTTCCATTTGTTTAATGATAATGGGTTATTTTTCATTTTCTAGTTTATTGCTACGTATATACAGATCTTCATGTAGTCACATTCTATATTTCTTCCTCTACGTATTGTTTACTTGCCAATGTGTTTTATATTTAGTTGTGGGATATACAACTCAATTTATTTTTGTCTTAATATTAAAAAGCAAACATGGATTAAATTTTAACTTGTTACTAGTATCATGTTTTAACACAAATACCTGTTTTTTCTTATCATGTGCTCTCAAGGAAGATCTGCATCTCATCTAACTTCTTATAATAACTTTTTCTGAAAATATTACTAGGTTTGGATTAAATGGAATTTTACTATACACATTATCTGTCTCTCTTTCCATATATCTTTGGTTTATTACCAAAAGGATCTTCCATTTCACTTTTTTTACTTCTTTTTCTTACTATGCTCTAATCTTTAAATTTCAAATAACAGTATTATAGTATAATTCTTGGAATATGTCCAATATTAAAAAATGCAATTGTTTGAAACTTGTGCTTTATACAGTCTTAATACTATGAACCTTATTTTTTGTTTATTGCTGAAGTAAACACACGGCATATCGGATATTGAATTTGGCAGATTTCTAACTAAATTACCCTGTCACCGTGTTGCTAGAGATCCCATATTCATTGAGTCGGTCCACTGCTACATAAAGTAATATAGTTATATAGCAAAAAGAATGACAGAATAACAGATGGATAATCTATTAGCAGGAACATCAGAGACTAAAATAGGAGTGCCAGTGGTGCAGTGGTGCCAATCCTGTAGTCAGAACAATGCTGGAGAAAATATAACTTCAAATGCTGGAGTTAAGCAAGTAGAATATTAATTATTCAAAAGGGGGAAAAACTCAGAACATATTCCAGTATTTTAGCAGAAGCTACAGATTTGTAGAGGTTAATTATTAAATTAAAATAATTGAGTATGAAGTACTTGCCCACCCATGAACAAATGAAGCAGAATGGGTAATATTGCTAGCAGAGATATTTAGAGTGAGACTTTGGAGTGAGACAGACAGCTTGATGATGATTGATTCCCATCTTTTGCTAGCTGTGTAACTCTGGACATTACCTATTCTCAGTTTGCACATTTTACTAATATCTACTTCATAGGGATATGGGGAGGAGCTAGATAATAGATATAAAACATTCAGCAGAGTGTTGTTGGTTAGTAAGTGTCAACTCAGTGGTAGTTTTATTATTCTAATAGAAACGTTTAAACTAGAAAGCTATGAAGCTATGAAATTAGAAGTCTTACTCATATCCTTGAATTCCTTTTAAAAGACATTATGTAGCCTGGTATAAAATTATATAAAATGGTTCTTTTTTTTTTTTTTTTTTGAGGCAGGGTCTTGCTTCATTACCCAGGCTGGAGTGCAGTGGCATGATCAGGGCTTGAACTCTTGGCATCAAGTGATCCTCCTGCCTCAGCTTCTCAAGTAGCTATGACCACAGGCATGCCTCACCATGCTGAGCTATTTAAAAATTTTTTTGTAGAGACGGGTCTCGCTATGTTGCCCAGGCTGGTCTCAAACTCCAAGTTTCAACCAATCCTCTTGACTCCCATAGCACTGGGATTACACGTGTGAGCCAACACACCCAACATAAAATGGGATTACACGTGTGAGCCAACACACCCAACATAAAATGGTTCTTATAGAATTTTTAGTATTTGATGTATGTACGTACACCTTTGACACTACTCTTAAGAGTAAGACTCATTGCACATTTTATCTTAAAATTGTTTTTTAACAGGCTTTATTTTTAGAGCAGTTTTAGGTTCACAGCAAAATTGAGCAGAAACTACAGAGATTTCCCTTGTACCCCTTGACACCCTCTTCCAACACACATGCATAGCCTCTCCCACATAGAATCTCTCACCATAGTGGTACATTTCTTAAATTTGACCTACACTGACATATTATTATTGCCCGAAGTCCAGAGTTTACATTAGAGTTCACGCTTAGTGGGTACATTCAGTAAGTTTTGACAAATGTATAATGACACGTATACACCACTGTGGTGTCATACAGAATATTTGCACTACTCTAAAAACCTTCTATGCTTTTTTTTTGCCTGTTATTCCATATTTTCCCTATCTCTTGGAGCCCCTTTTTTCTGTTGTCATGGTTTTGCCTTTCCCAAAATGTCAAATTGGTAGGATCATACATATGTTAGCCTTTTTGAGTTTGTTTCTTTCACTTAGTGATATGCATTTAGGTTTCCTCTAGATCTTTTCATGAACTGACAGCTAACTTCTTTTTAGTACTCAATAATACTCCATTGTCTGGATATATCATAGTTTGTTTTTCCATTCATTCACTGAACCACATCTTGGTTGCTTTCAAGTTTAGATAATTATGAGTAAAGCTGCTATAAACATCCCTGTGAAAGCTTTTGTGTGGACAGAAGTTTTCAACTAATTTGGGTAAATATCAAGGAACATGATTCATGGATTGTATAGCGAGAGTATGTTTAGTTTTGTAAGAAACTGGCAAACTGTCTTCAGAAGAAGTTGTACCATTTTTCATTCTCATTAATAATAAATGAGAGTTCCTGTTGCTCCACATCCTCACCAGTATTTAATATTGTCAATGTTTTGGATTTTGGTCATTCTATTAGGTGTATAGTGATAGCCAATTATTGTTTTAATTTATAATTCCCTAATGAGATATGATGTTAAACATATATGCATATATTTTTTTCCAACTGTGTATCGTCTTTGTGAGGTGTCTGCTCAGGTCTTTGCCCATTTCTTAATCAGGTTGTTCAATTTTGATTATGTATATTTAAGAGTTCTTTGTATATTTTGAAAAACAGTTTCTTATCAGAAATGATTTTCTTCAAATATTTTCTCCCAGGCTGTGGCTTGTCTTTCCATTCTATTCACAGTATCTCTTAGAAACCAGAAAATTTTAATTGTAATAAAGTCTGGCTTATAGATTCTTTATTTCATAGGTCATTCCTGTGGTATTACATCTAAAAAGTCATTATCAAACCCAAGGTCATCTAGATTTTCTCCTGTTATCCTCTAGGAATTTTATAGTTTTGTGTTTTACATATCGGTCTATGATTCATTTTGAATTTTTTATTTTGTGAGGAGAGTAAGGTTTGTCTACAATCTTTTTTACTTCTTTTGCATGTAGATGCCCAGTTGTTTCAGAAAATTTGTTGCAAAGACTATTGTTGATTTGTTTGAGATGATGGAATAAGAGTGACTAAGTAAAAATGAATTTATAAAGATCTGATGACTGTGATTTTTCACTGAAAATGAGAAAAATCCAATCAAAGGTACTTCAAGAAAGAATTTTACTGATGAAGCTAAAGCTATTCTACATAAGATTCTGGATTCTTACCATATTAATACAATGCTTAGGGAATAGACTTTTTCCCAGCATAAATAATATAATATTTACTATTGTGCTATTGGGATAGGAAATGTTGAATAAATGATTTTTCTTTGTTTGTTTGATTGATTGAATAAATGAATAAATAACTTTCTAGGGTGTACAGTTTATGTGGCATGAAAAAGCTGTGAAAGCTAAGACTGGAGATTATTGTGTTTTGAGGACGTTTCTATTAGTTGTATTTTAAAGGGAAGTTAAGCCCCAGATAACTTGATGCTTACTGGGTTTAGGGACTGTTCGAAGATAGATGTTTTGCAGTTTTTCCATAGGCATCTTTTCTGGCAGACCTATACTTAGTATAATGTGTGGGCTTCAGTGAAACAAATTTTGAAGTTGTCTTGAGTCCTCACAATAATAAAAACCTTTGCAAATACCGAATTCAGAATTCCATAGTGGAAATGTGAAAACCCTCCTTTCCTTCTTCTTGCCTTCCTACACACCTAACTACCTATTTTATTTGGCATATAAACATTTTCCCATAGCCCCAGAGACTCCCATTGACAAATTTATTAAACTTGTCTTATCCAGAATGTTAATGTTTCTGTAAATATTCACCATCTGTTGTACCATCTAATTGCAAATGTGGAGTGAACATAATTCATGATTTTATCGTAATAAATTTAGATGAGTGATTTAAATGCACTTGAATATTTTTTATTCAAAGCTACATGGATTTTTCAGCCTTTCCTTCTCTCCTAGGAACTGTTGCGAAGCTGTTATTTCCCAGTGCCCCTGTGTCACAAAGGGATTTTCTTGAAAAAGTCACTCGCTTCTTTGGGCTTGCCACACCACCTCCAAGTGTAACAGACAGTAAATGAGATGCCATTAGGTTAAACCTGAGCTGCCTCCTAAGAAACATGAATAATTGAAATCCTTCACATACATATTTATCTCTCAGTCTCTCTCTCTCTGCTTGTCAGTCACTCATCAATAGCTACCACTCCAAACATACCTGTCTATTACCCATATGCATTACTTGACCTCTACCTTACTCCTTTATTTCAATCTATAAGAGGATTTAACACTGCCTATTTTTTAAATATAAATTTTCTTATTATCCTTATAAAAATCACTTTTAAGCTAGTTGTCAAAATATTTCCATGGTGCTGTTATTAAAACCACAAGGTTGTATTTTTTACATTTCTGAAGTTTCTTCTGTATGTGTTCTGATATATGTGTTTTTTAATAGGTAGAATATAAAAAAGATTGTTTTCATGAAGTGAGCTGTTCATTGGGAAATAAGTGGACAGATGGTCTAAACCTTTAAATGAAAATATATTCATAGCAGTGTAGTGCTACTAAGCCCTTTTGAAATCCAACACAAAATTCGTGAGCCAGATCCTGCTGTTCTCTTATGCTTCAAGAGAGTCTATTTGACTGAACTGCAAAGTAGATCATCTGATGTCACAGTTGAATCTATGCATGGACCATATCATTTGAGTGATATTATAACCAGTCATCAGGCCTCTCCAGTTCTCTGGGTTCTACACACACCCTCTATGCCAGTATCACAGAAGTAATGGCACTCTATGAGATTACAACTCTATCTTATTCCCTAAAGGTGAGCAACCAGAGGTGGGTTTGTGCTTTTCCTTCCTGTGTTCTCAGGAGCTAGCATAGGGAGTGACAGAGGAGAATGCACAGAAATTGCTTGTTGAATTAGTACCAGGAGCATAAAGAATATATAATATGTTGAATGATAAAAAAATTGAAAATGTCTTTGGGAAGAAAAGAAAGCATAAGTTTTCCAAGTGTGTTTTCTTTTTCTCTGATAAATGCTAAGAGAATGTCAGCTAATTTAGCCAGAAAGTGTAAAAACTTACCTGTTGAAAGAGTTTGCTGAAAATACTGGTAGGGAGGAGACATCTGACACGTTTGGTAAATTTCTTCCCAATATCTTCACTTTACTTTGGGAGGACATTCCAACAGTGTCCTGTGGCTATGATACTGTACTGCAAAAAGCACTGCACAAAGGTAAAGCAAAGGCCATTTAGAGGTGCTAGGAATTTTGCCATACATTGAACCATCGGTTCCTAGGCAATTAATGTAGTAGGATTAGATTTTCCCTCAACTTTGAAAACATTTCGTCAAAAACACTCCAAGTCAGTTGATTTGTCTAGATATTTTCAGAGAAATTTATATACAACCCACTGCCTATTTCAATAAAATCAGGGTTAAAAAATATCTCTAAATGGAGCAGAGAGAGAAAGTGAGATTAAAATTTTAAACAAATAGCCCCACATTCAAATGCATGTGTAGCTTATTACCATCTTGATATGTGAGCATGGAAACTAGTTATACCTAGTAATTATTTTTTTCAATTTCCACTAAGTTATTCTATTTCATTTAAATATTTATATGAATAATATTTAATATTCATATTTCATAGAAAGTAATTAGAAAAAGCAGAGTAATGTGAAGAAGCTTGCTTATTCTCAAATCTGAGTGATTTTCTAAGATTTAGCACCCACATCTCCAAACCAGAGTCTTTTACTCTGCATAACTCAACCATGTGCCAACTGGCCAGCTTGGAATAAAACTGCTTCTTAACCAGCTCTGTTCACAGCTGAACACTTGATAATTATTTCTGTGTTGCTACAGAGCCCTGTGTTGTACCCAATTATCCTACACTCATGCTGCTTTAGAAGTTATTGGGTGTGGAGCTAAAAAGTGAGGAAGATTGTTTCTACTCTTGTTTTTGACCTTGTATATGACAACTGCAATCAGAGTAATCTTTCTAAAATGCACTCCTCCAATGGCTCATAAAGAGCCATTGGAGGCTCAGTCAAAAGCCTAGGTATCCTCTCTGAACTTCTATAGGCTGCTACAGAATGAGATTCTGGTCTTAGAATTTTATCTTAGAATTCTATCTTAGAATTCTACCTGTGCTTTCAAACCATTTAAGTTTAATTTGCTTATTTGTGGATTTTTTTCATAAACAAAAGTAACAATTATTAAATCAAGTTGAAAAACAAGCATTTATCACATTATATAAAAAGTTATGTATTGCAAGAATATGATCCATGGATGCAGTTACAGGTATGTAGACTTTCCAGCATTCCTCTTTCCAAGTGTGAAACTCTCCTCAGATCTTCCTGTGTATTTCTCACTGATGACAGCAGTATTTTCTGGTAACAGGTGAAACCACAAGCCAAAATTCTTCCACTTCTGCTTTAGCCAAAATTACAATGGGGGAAAATATGTGAAGACATGTAAAACAGGCAAGAGTAAGACAGTTGTCTGTTTATTGTCTAAATTTATCATAAACACCATTAAAACCTGAAGCTAACTTAAGAATTTAACAAAAATTTTCATTATTATTTAGGGATAAACAGAGTAATTCCATGAAAAAAATCTAAGCGCCTCATCTCAGCTGGTGGCATCTTGTTCAGTTATTCATAAAGCTGGGGCACAAAATTATCAAACAGAAAGAAGATTAAATAGAAACTATCACTGATTGAGAGTATTCAATGTGGAAATACTATTTTTTAATCACGCCTGACTAAGAGTTTTTAATCACTGAAAACAAATTAAGAGGTATTTTGCATATAGGTAGCTGTATGAATTTATATGCATGTCAATTTTGTAATAAATTGTACCTTCTTTTCTTTTCTTTTTTCTTTTTGGAGACAAGGTCTCACTCTGTCACCCAGGCTGGAGTGCAGTGGCACGATCTCGGCTCACTGCAACCTCCGCCTCCCAAGCTCAAACGATTCTCCTGCCTCAGCCTCCCTAGTAGCTGAGACTACAGGCACTACCATGCCCAGCTAATTTTTGTATTTTTTGGTAGAGACAGGGTTTCACCATGTTGGCCAGGCTGATCTTGAACTCCTGACCTCAGGTGATCTGCCCCACTTATCCTCCCAAAGTGCTGGGATTACAGGGATGAGCCACTGTGCCTGACTCGTACCTTATTTTCATCTTAACTGTGAGCTCAGCCATTTTATCTAATCCTTTGGATGTTTGCAAAAAGTTCTGACTTAAAGAAGCTGAATGTACCTTATTTCACTATTTTAGTTAAAATTTTAGAAAAGAGAAGGGCAATCAGATAAGTAATACTACATATGGTATTATACACAGAACACAGTATAATATATAATACTATATATGTACTATTGCTTATCTGACTTTATGTATATGTATACATATAGACAGATAGATAATTTGCTTTAACCAGATACACTTATATCCATGTTGTCTAATCAGTGTTTTGCAAGCTACAGCCTATAACCTGGTGGTAGAACATAAAAATAATAAAACAACAACGGCTTGCTTTTATTTTGTTTTGTTTTTTAGATACAGGATTTCACTTTGTTGCCCAAGCTGAACTGCAGTGGAGTATGAAGTACAGCCTCACTGCAGCCTCAAACTTCTGGGCTCAAGCCATCCTCTTGAGTAGCTAGCGCTACAGGTGGGCAACACCATGGCCAGCTAATTAAAAAAAAAAATGTAGAGATGGGATCTGGCTATACTGGCCAGGCTGTTCTCAAACTTCCAGCCTCAGGTAATCCTCCCACCTCGGCCTCCCAAAGTGCTGAGATTATAGGTGTCAGTCACTGTACCCAGCCCCAGTCCATTTTTAATTTGAAAAAGAAAGGATTAGAATAGAAATATTAGAGTACATTAGATGTACTAAGGTAAGTATTGCTTCTTGGAGCTGTTGTTTCATATAGATACATATCTGTATATGTAATATATACATACATATGCATTCACACATATATTTAAGTAAATATAATATAAAATATGAAATATGTTTCTTACTGTGGGCACTAATTTATACATTTGGAAAAACTGGACTATATAATAAAAAGACGCATAGTCTGATTGAAGACCCAAGGTATCTGTTCTACTATTAGTAAAATAAGAAAAGGAAAGAGACTATAACTGACACTAAATCCTTCTCTCAGATTAAAGTTTAAAAACCTTTTAGATATAGATTATTTTCTCGGAGATATTGAGGGAAGAATCTATCGTATATATTTATGAAGTTATCATAAGTATTAAAGACTGGGCTCAGGGCTTGATATTAAAGGTTTGTTTCATTAGTGAAAGTATAATGTTAATTACAGAAAATTCACATTCCGACTGAGCATGAATGAGTTTGTTTGGCTTTACCTTCAAACACAGATCAGCCTTTGTCCTAGGCATCCATCTTTTAAACCAATTCCACCAGAAAGAATCAGCAACAGTCTTAAAAATCTAGACTATTTCTATCTCTAATGCTAAGGTAAAGGCCTCCAGTGAGACAAGCAGATGGAGCATAAAAACAAGGTCGCATAAAGATAAAAATGACAAGCAAGAGCAAACATCATTCTCCCAATGGTTGAATCCATCTTTTCTGAAACTTCCCAAATCAGAGAATCAGTTATAGGTCTTAATTTATCTTACCCGGGAAAAGAGTCAGAAGGGAGAAAGTGAAGCTGGCCAAGGCTGGAGTTAGGATTAAACCTACCATCTTCAAGGCATCATACACTTTCATTTGCTTTAGGGATAGAGCATGGTGAAGCTGGGTTTGCTCCCAGGAAAGAGCACTCCCCTCAGCGGTTTCTGTTTTAAAAACTCATTGAAGGGAAATTGTCCTAAGGAACATTGCACTTCTAGAGAAACCCAGGTCTCTAACTCTTGTCCTCAATATATTTAAAATTCCAACCACAATTATTAAAATAACGGTTAATAAAATATTTTGTCCTATGACCTTTCAGATGACTCACACTTAAAAACAAATTTACTAGGAGGAACATCAACCATATATATTTTTTGTCCTTTAACCCTTAAACAGATTGACACTTTAAAAAATTAACAAGGAGCATCTCCTACTATGATGTTTTTTTCTAATTTGGAAGTGCCCCTGTGCTACAATAGTTTCATTATTTGAGTGAATTGATTACTTCCCTATATTTAGTTTGCTTTCACTGAGCTTTCTGTTACCTTCTACTGCTTCCCAGCTGAATAATTTCAAAGAGAAATTATCTTTCATAGGCAGGAAGCTAAATACTTCTATGATTTTTGGAACACTGAAATATTTCTTGAGCCACTCTCAAAGTACCTGCAGAGTAGGAATACATACATATATATTTTTTCGGGGGGAGGAAGTTTTCTTTTTCTTTTTTTTTTTAAGTATTTTTTCTTTGTACTTCTTACAGATACTTTTTGGACATATAAGTGTCTGTTGTTATTACTAAGGGCTGTTATGAAGGACTTTGAAGATCACTTAAAGACTGATATCTGCTGGAGGAGAAAGAGGATAGGAAATTATGGGGGAGTGAGTCACAAAGAGTTTGGGTCATCTCTCCTTTGAAATAAAAAAATAGAGATTTCAAACATTCAGAAAAGTATACAAAATATATATGAATAATATACTGCTGAGATATAAAATGGATTATGCCATTTTATCACATTACCTTCAGGTCTCCCATTCTCTTGTGGATTTTTTCCCCTTTGTTTATTTGTAATAATACATAAGTAAGATCCTCCCACCCATCAAACGACCCCATATTCCTTCTTCCCAGGGATAACCTCTAAAATAAGATGGATGTTCTTTCTCCCAGGCATGCAGTTTTCTTCTTTATTGGCCTCATCAATAGAAATGAGGACAAATAATATTATTTTCTACCTGATAAGATTATTGATTGTGTGAATTAAATAAATTAATATATATGAAATGCTTATAACAATGTTTTACACATATTATATGGCCAACAAATTTAGTTAGCTAGCAAGCTGTTCTTTAGCTACGTCTCCACAAACCATATATTATTCTTTAAATGTATTTTAAATTTGATTAGGTGGAATACCATGAAGCTGATGATATTTGACCTTGTTTGATCTATACACAAAAAAGGAATTTTATATAATGACTCCATTTGTATATGTATATTGCATTGCATATAACTTTTAAATACAAAATAATTTATAAGATTTATAAGATTATTCATATATCAGATCTGCATTATTAATATTCACTGCTTGACAGAATTCCATTTTGTCATCATAACAAAATGTATGTAGGTTTTCTGAACTTGAGGTTCCACTGCATTGCTTCCACATTTTCACCCTATAAACAGTGTAGTGATGGACATCATTGCATGTGCTTTCTTATGCGTGAGTGAATTCATGTAAAGTAAAACCTAAAAGTGGAATTCTTAGTTCAACAGTATGCATGTCTTTCACTTCACTGGGAATGGCCAAATTATTTGCCGATGTTTGAACTGACATACATTCTCCTTGGAATGTATTCATAGTGTGAAGCCTGCAAAAATAAGGAGACATATTATTTATTGTGCAAGTCAAAGACCTTTCAGTGGAGCCTTAAATGTGCCTCTGAAAGAGGTCATCGGGGGAGATGTTTTCAGAAGAGAAATGTAAACTCTAAGGAATAATCAAATGAAAATGCTGCAAATGAAAAACATGGTACAGAATACCTGCGATCTGGGTCCAGGTGATTTATAGCAAGTTTTTCAAGGGATGGAATTGATTGATACTGGGGAAGTTTTTGAAGGCAATACTATGCATTTTGAGTGTTCTTCATTACTTTATATAGAAACAAATTTCTGTCTGAAATCATATTCCTTCTACCTAAAGGTCTGTCTTTAATTTTTCTTGGAGAGTGGGTATCCCTCAGCATTTATCTGAGAAATACTTTATTTCTCTTTTATTTTAGAAAAATATTTTCACTAGATATAGAATTCTAAGCTGCCATTTTTATTTTGGTTCATTCAAAGTGCTAGTCCTTTGTCTTTCAGTTTGCATGGTTTCTGAGAAGCCGATTGTAATTTTTATCTCTGGTCATATTTAATGTGTATTTTTTCATGTGACTTCCTTCAAAAGTGTCTCTGTCTTTATTTAAGCAGTTTGAATATGATGCATCTATGGGTGGTAATTTCCCCCTTAGTGTTTTCTGAACCTCTTGGATTTATGTCTGTTATTAAGTTTGGAAAAAAAATAAGCTTATTTTTTCAAATGTATTCTGTTCCGTTCTTCATATATTGCAATTATGTGTATAGGAAAGAGTTGGATGATGTTCACATTCTTGGATGCTCTGTGCTGTTTTTGTTGTTGTTGTTTATTTGTGTTCTTTGCTTTTTCACTCTTTTGTCCTCTTTGTGTTTAAGTTAGATAATTTCTACTGACCTATCTTCAGGTCCCGTAAATCTTTGCTTGACTGTATCTAGACTACTGATGAGCCTCTCAGAAGAATTCTGTACTGGTTTTTTTTTTTTTCAATTTATTTCTAGTGTTTACATGTGATTTTTTTAAAAGTAGTTTTAATCTTTCTGCTGAAATCATTCATCTAATCTAGTATGTTTCCTTACTTCTTTATTATACCTTTAACATTTTAATTATAATAATTTTAAATGAGAAATTTCAACATCTGTCATATATGGGTCTGGAGTTAATTTTTTTTTGTTTCTTGATAGTATGCTTTTTTTCTTGCTTTTTTTTTTAAAACAAGGAGACATATTGTGTAGGACAGTAGAGACTGAAGTAAATATATTTTATACTTAGAGATAGACACACCTTTAGTATGGGATTTAAGTTAGTCTAAGTGGGAGTTGGGAGAAGTTTAAAGTTTTTGCTATGGTTACCTTCCTTTTAACACAGGATTTAAAATCTTCAGGAACACCTTGATTTAGGATAGGGCTGGTTTGTCAGGGATTTTGGTTTTTAATTTTTCCCCAATTGCTGCTCCGTCCTCAGGTTTAGATCTTCCCTTTACACTGTACCTCAGAAGAAAGGCTATCTCTTGCAGTTAACCTGTTATTTGATATTTGTTAGTTTTGTGGTTGAGAGTACAGAGTGTTCTCTGTGGTTCTGATTAAGCCTCTGTCTTTGGCATCATATCCTAGGTTTCAAGAGTGTTCCCTTCTCAGTACTACCACTTCTATCCTGGTATATTTCTGACACCAGTAAATATCCCCGCCCCTTTGCTAGGGTAAAAAGCTTTTTTCCCCCTGTTCCCTTCTCCTGGCTGCAATAGATCTTCACCAGTACCCTAATCATGGCTATGTTTGTTGCCATGCCCTCTCCTCTCACATATTAAGGTTTTTGTTTCATAGGAGATTTAGATTAGAAGAGCCAATGTAGGAGAGTTTTGTGACTTCCTGCAGCGGTTGCTGTTCCCTTCCCTAAAGCCTGCACCATTAAAAAGACTTTTCTAATGATTTAAGTCAGTTGGGTTAATGGAAAGATTCCCACAAGAGTGTGTAGAATGCCTCTATGTTTGCAGCCTCTAGAGGTGTCACCCTCCCTTGTTAATGTGCACTCAGACTCCACTGATACACCAATCAACCTTACTGAACTATCTTTCCAGTTCCTGTGTCCTGAACAATTAAGCCACAACTTACAGCTCATACTTCTTTCAGGCACTTGTCTCTTCTCCAGTTTTAGGCCATTTCACTGTTCTACTACGTCAGCTCTCTGCTGAGTTTAAGAAAAATAATAAACTTATTGTTTGCTGACATCTTTTGTCATTGTTGTATGTTATGGAATAACATTCTTCACAGTTCTCTATATCACTGAGTAAAATATGTGCCAATGCGTATATTCCCAAGGAAGAAATTTGGTTGTTGAACATTTAGGTCATAAAGAAGTCTGGCAATTTCAGAAAGGTTGGGAATTCATTGCCTGCAGTAGCTAATGAGAGTAGAAATTATTTAAATTTTCTCCTAGTGTCTGGCTTCTGAAAGTTTTGTATGGTTTTTAGCCTATCAAAAGTAAGCAATGTATTACCTTCTGTCATATATTACGTCTTAGTTAATACACATTTATTGATAAAATTGCAATTTATTTTAGAAAATATTTATATTCTTTTCGAGCTAAAATGGTATGTGGATAGAACTTGATCTTTAAATTCAGGTCTTCTTTAGTACATGGCCAAAGGTCATCCAGGTATGGAAATACAATGGAATCTAAAGGAATTGTAAAGTCATTAAAACCCTGGTAAATAACTTGTGAAAAGAAGGAAACTTACTAAATTCTGAAGTATAGATGCCTATTTATATTGTTGACCTTGTCAGGCAAAGGCAGAGGTAGGAAGTTTTTTGATCTAAAGGGACAACAAAGAAAGCAGGACCCAAATCCAGAACTGTAAATTATATAGCCTCATGACACTAAATATAAAATGATTTGTTGTGGATACCATGGGGAATAACTATTTTATTTATACTTATATAAAGTTATACACACACACACATATATATACACACATATATATATATGTTGGGGGAAATTTTGTTAACTAGTATTCTCAAAATAATATATATTCTTGTCTGTTGGGTTCCTCTTGACTTGGAGGATAGAAGTATTAGAATGGCTGGCACAGGTATAACGTGTCTTTTATTGATTTAGTCTTTTCTTTGTCGCAGCTTTAGAGGGTGTTGTCAAAGCTTTGGTAGAGGTCTGGATGGGTCTATCTGAACCTTCATAGGCTTAGTCACTAGAATTCTGTTGGTATTAGTAGACATTTTAGTTCATAGAGATTCCAGTTGTTTGTGAAGATCTTCAATTTAGTTTGGATTTTGACATAAGAATATCAGTAAGTCAATATCCGAGTTAGCTATGACTTTATTATAAATAGGGGGGGTCCCTGAAGAACTTCAATGAAGAGACTATCGGGAAAATATTGAGTCTGGCCATTCGATTTGCACAGTATACCCATCTCTATAAAGTTAGCAGCTGTGTTATCACAAAAAGGGTAAGAATATTATCAGTTAGACATATGTGTGTGAGTGTCTGAGGATTATTAGAGATGTCCATGATCTGATTAATTTATTGACTTTGAATCAGAAGTTGACTAGCAATGTAAAGTTTTTCAGCCAGTATTTGTGTAAATCAAAAATACGTGGGGTAGAGCAAGATGCCCAAATAGATGCCTTCACTGATTGTACCCCCAAAAGGAACACCAGTTCAACAAGTATGTTCACACAGAAAGCACCTTCATAAGAACCAAAAATTAGGTAAGCAATCACATTACCTGGTTTTAACTTTGCATCACTGAAAGGCACTAAAGAGGGTAAGAAAGACAGTCTTGAATTGCTGACACTGCCCCTCCCCGACCCCCTGGCAGTTTCTGCATGGCACAGGGAATCTGTGCACATGCAGGAGAGAGAATGCAACATTTTGAGACCCAGCATTGAACTCAGTACTGCCCTATCACAGTGGGAAGCAAAACTGGACTGAACTCAACTTACCACCACCCACCAAAAGGGAGCATTTGGAAAAGCCCTAGCCAGTGATCATCCCAAAGGTCAGAAATTACGTGTCAGCAAGCCTCACCACCGTGAGCTAAAGTGCTCTGGAGCCTTAAATAAACTTAAAAGGCAGTCTAGGCCACAAGGACTCCAATTCCTAACACTCCTACTGCTGTGCTGGGCTTAGAGCCAGTGGACATAGAACACCAGCTGGGGTGGCTAAGCAAGAACTTGCACCACCCCTCCCTCAACACCAGGAAGCACAACTTGGAGTAATGAAAGTGTCTCCTTTCTTCTACTTGAGGAAAGGGAAATCTTTCTTCCAAAAGAAGACTTTGTCTTGCATCTTGTATATCATCTCAGCCACAGTAGGATAGGGCACAGGGCAGAGCTGTGAGGCCCTAGCTCTTGGACAACATGTCCTTGAGCTCCTGCCTTGAAGAGGAGGAGTCAGTCCTGGCAGAATTTATCACCTGCTCACTAAAGAGCCCTTGGGCCTCAAGAACCAAGCAGGAATACCCAGATGGTAAACCGTGGGCCTTCAGTGAGACTCTGAGGTGTGATGACTTCAGGCACCAGTTCAGCCACAGTAGGGTAGAGCACCAAGTGGACTCTTGGGGTTCCTAGTTCCAGGCTGTGGCTCTTGGATAGTATTCCCGGACTGGCTTTGGACCAGCGGGGAGCCTACTGCCCTGAAGGGTGTGTCCCAGTTCTAGCAGCAGTCACCATAAACTGCCTGATGAGCCCTTGGACATTAGGTGTACATTAGAGGTAGCCGAGCAGTAACCATGGTGGGTCTGTGGTGGTGGCCATGGAGAGAGGCTTGCTGCCTGTGGAAAAGAGAGAAGAGAGTGGGAAGGAACTTGTCTCATGTTTTGAGTGACAGCTTAGCTATAATAGAATAGAACACCAAGTAGATTTCTAAAGTTTTGACTCTAGTCCCTGGCTCCCAGATGACATCTCTGGACTCACCTGGGGCCTGGAGGAACTAGCTACCTTGAAGGGAAGGATACAAGTCCGTCTGGCTTCCCCACCTGCTGATTGCAGAGCCCTAGGGCCTTGAGAAAATATAGGCAGTAGCCAGGGAGTGAGTATAGCAGGACTTGAGCAATATCCAGTTCTGTGCTGGCTTCAAGTCTGACCCAGCAATGTCCGAGTGGAAGTGGCCACAGGGTTGCTTGTGTTCTCCCTCCCCCAGCTCCAGGTGGCTCAGCACAGAGAGAGACAAACTCTGTTTGACTGGGAGTAGGTGAGGGAAGAGAACAAGATTGTCTGCCTGTTAATACAGATAATTTATTTGTATTTTGTCCAAGACCACCGAAGTGGTACATCTACTAGTCTGCAAGAACTGTAGGGTTACTGGGTTTGGGTAGCCCCCTAATGCAGATATGGCTTATATCACAATGCCCAAGTCCCTTCTAATACCCGGAAACCTTTCCCAAGGAATATGGGTAGAAACAAGCCCAGACTGCAAAGGCTACAATAAATATTTAACTATTCAATGCTCAGACACCAGCAAACATCCACAAGCCTCAGTAACATCCAAGAAAACATGACCTCACCAAATGAACCAAATAAGGCACCAGAGACCAATCTTGGAGAAAAAGAAATATATGATCTTTCAGACAGGGAATTCAAAATAGTTGTTTCGATGAAACTCAAAATAATTCAAAATAACACAGAGAAGCATTTCAGAATTGTATCAGCTAAATCCAACGAGGAGATTAAAATAATTAAAAAGAATCAATCAGAAATTCTGTGGTTGAAAAATGCAATCGACATACTGAAGAATACATAGAAGTTTCTTTTTTTTATTATACTTTAAATTCTGGGGTGCATGTGCACAACGTGCAGATTTGTTACATAGGTATACATGTGCCATGTTGCGCACCCATCAACTCATCATTTACATTAGGTATTTCTCCTAATATTATCCCTCCCCCAGCCCCCCACACCCTGACAGGCCCCGGTGTGTGACGTTCCCCTCCCTGTGTCTTAATAGCAGAATTGATGAAGTAGACAAAATAGATTTCAAGACCAAAACTATAAAAAGGGAGACAAAGAGTACTATTATATAATGACAAAGGTGTCAGTTCAGCAGGAGAATATAGCAATTGTAAATATATATGAACCCCAAACTGAAGCAACCAGATATATAAAGCAAATAGTATTAAAACTAAAGAAAAGTTAGACTCCAATAAAATAATAGCTGGAGACTTCAATATCTTACTCTTAGCATTGGAAATATCATCTAGACTGAAAATCAAGAAAGAAACATTGGACGTAATCTGCACTATAGATATAATGGAACTAACAAGTCTTTACAGAACATTTCATCCAACAGCTAGCTGCAGAATACACATTCTTTCCTCAGCACATGAATCATTCTCAAGGATACACCATATGTTAGGTCAGAAAACAAGTCTTAAAACATTCAAAAAATGTGAAATAATATCAAGCATCTTCTCTGACCACAATAGAGCAAAACTAGAAATCAACAGCAAGAGGAATTTTGGAAACTATACAAACATGAAAATTAAACAGTATGCTCCAGAATGACCAGTGGCTAATGAAGACAATAAAAATAAAACTTTAAAATTATTTGAAACAAATGATAATTGAAGCACAGTATACCCAAACCTGTGGGATACAGTGAAGGCAATACAAAGAGGAAAGTTTATAGCTACAAGTGCCCACATAAAAACAAAACAAACAAACAAACAAAAAACTTCAAACCAATAACCTGATGATGCATCTTAAAGAACCAGAAAAGCAAGAACAAATCAAACCCAAAATAAGTAGAAGAAAAGAAATAATAAAAATCAGGGCAGAAATAAATGAAATTGAAACAAAGAATACAAAAGATCAATAATAGGAAAAGTTGTTCTATTTTTTGGAAAGAGATTAACAAAATTGACAAACCATTAACCAGACTAATTAAGAATAAAAGAGAAAAGGCATAGATAAATAAAGTCAGCGATGAAAAAGGAGACATTACTACTGATACTGCGGAAATACAAAGGATCATTATTGGCTACTATAAATAACTATATGCCAATAAATTGGAAAATCTAGAAGAAATGGATAAATTCCTAGAAATATACAATCTATCAAGATTGAACCATGAAGAAATCCAAAACCAGAACACACCGATAACAAGTAGTGATAACAAAGCTGTAATAAAAAGTTGCCCAGCAAAGAAAAGTCTGGAATCCAAGGGCTTCCCTGCTAAATTCTACCAAACATTTGAAGAACTAGTACTAATTCTCCTCAAACTATCCCGAAAAATAGAGGAGGAAGGAATACTTCCAAACTCACTCTACAAGGCCAGTATTGTCCTGATAACAAAACCAGACAAAGACCTACCAAACAAAAGAAAACTTCAGGTTGATATCCCTGATGAATATTGATGCACAAATCCTCAATGAAAGACTAGCAAACTGAATTCAACAACACATTAAAAACATTAAAAAGATAATTCATCATGACCAAGTGGGATTTATTCCAAAGATGTAAGGATGGTTCAACATTTGCAAATCAATCAATGTGATACATTATATCAACAGAATGGAGGGCAAAAACCATATGATCATTTTAATTAATGCTGAAAGAGCATTTAATAAAATTCAGCATCCCTTCATGAATAAAAACTTTCAAAAAACTGGGTATAGAAGCAACCTAAAACCTCGAACTATTAAACTACTAAAAGAAAAAATTGGAGAAACTCTCTAGGACATTGCAGTGTGCAAAGATTTCTTGAGTAATACTTCACAAGTACAGATAATCAAAGCAAAAATAGACAAGTAGTATCACATCAAGTTAAAAAGCTTCTTCATAGCAAAGAAAACAATCAACAAGGGGAAGAGACAACCCAAAGAATGGGAGAACATATTTGCAAACTACCCATCTGAAAAGAGATTAATAACCAGAATGTACAAGGGGCTCAAACAATTCTATAGTAAAATTAAAAAATCTAATACTCCAATTAAAAATGGGCAAAAGATCAGAATAGACATTTCTCAAAAGAAGATCTATTAATGCAAATGGCAAATAGATATATGAAAAGGTACTCGACATCACTTATCATCAGAGAAATGCCAATCAAAACTACAATGAGATGGCATCGCACTCCAGTTAAAGTGGCTTTTATCTAAAAGGCAGGCAATAACAAATGCTGGCAAAAACGTGTGAAAAAGGGAAAACTTCTACCCTGTTGGTGGTAATGTAAATTAGTACAACCATTGTGGAGAACACTTTGGTGGTTCCTCCAAAAACTAAAATTAGCATTACCATATGATCCAGCAATTCCACTGCCAGGTATATATCAAAAAGAAAGGAAATCAGGATATTGAAGATATATCTGCACTCTCATGTTTGTTGCAGTACTGTTCACAACAGCCAAGATTTGGAAGCAACTTAAGTGTCCATCAACAGATGAATGGATAAAGAAAATATGGTACATAAACTCAATGGTGTACTATTCAGCCATAAAAAAAAACGAGATCCTGTCATTTGCAGCAACATAGATTGAACTGGAGATCATTAAGTTAACTGAAATAAACCAGGCGGACAAAGATAAACATGGCATGTTCTCACTTCTTTGTCAGATCTAAAAATTAAAACACTTGAACATATGGAGATAGAGAGTAAAAGGATGGTTACCAGGGGCAAGGGTAGTAGTGGGTTGAGGGGGAAGTGGGAATGCTTAATACATTCAAAAAATTGTTAGAATGAGTAAGAACTAGTATTTGACAGCACAACAGGCTAACTGTAGTGAATGATAATTTAACTATGCATTTAAAAATAACTAAAAAAGGTCAGGTGCAGTGGCTCACGCCTGTAATGCCAGCACTTTGGGAAGCCGAGCTGGGCGTATCATGAGGTCCAGAGTTCAAGACCATCATAGCCAACATGGTGAAACCCCATCTCCACTAAAAATACAAAAATTAGCCAGGCGTGGTGGCACACCCCTGTAATCCCAGCTACTCAGGAAGCTGAGGCAGGAGAATTGCTGGAACCTGGGAGGCGCAGGTTGCAGTGAGCTGAGATCATGCCATTGCACTCCAGCCTGGGTGACAGAGTGAGATTCCATCTCAAAATAAATAAATAAATAAATAAATAAATAAATAAATAAGAGTGTAATTGGATCATTTGTAACATAACTGATAAATGCTTGAGGTGATTGATATTCCATTTACCCTGATGTGATTATCATACATTGTGTACCTATATCAAAGTATCTTATGTACCCCATAAATATATACCTACTCCGAACCCACAAAAATTAAAAGTGAAGAATAAAATTATGTATATATATATATGATAAATATATGCACACAAGGTTGTCCTTTATTATTTAGATAAATTTCTTCTTGTAAGTGTAAAAATAAAACAGAATATTGAAAATTGAGTATTGAATTTCCCCTGGATCATCCTTACTGATTACCAGATTTTTTTAGCAATTCTTTTTTGTGTGTACGGGTATATGGTAGATGCATTACATAAGATGTTTTGATACAGGCATGCAATATAAAATAAGCACATCAAGGAGAATGGGGTATCCATCCCCTCAAGCATTTATCCTTTGAGATACACACAATCCAATTACACTCAATATTATAAAATGTACAATTAAGTTATTATTGACTATAATCACCCTGTTGTGCTATCAAATAGTAAGTCTTATTTATTCTTTTAACTATTTTTTGCACCCATTAACCATCATTGGCCAATTATATTTTCTGTTTATGCTATGCATTGGCATCTTTAAGGAGAAACTCTCTCCTATGATATTTTGACTGGGATGAAGTATTCAGTTGTTTTTATTTGTAAGGGCTTCAGTTTATTCTAGATCTTATTCTATTTTTGATCTAAGTTTCTGTCAGCATATTCACTCACTGAGAAGAATATCTAACAAAGGGGCTATTTTTCATTTGGGTTTTGCTTGCTTATTAAATCCCCTATTTCTGGTTAAGGCTGTTTACACAAAGTGAAAAAGTGAGAAGTAAGCATGTTCCCATTTGCTTCAGGATTTACTCCTGAGTGTTATGTACAGTTGTTAAAGAGCCTATACTTAAAGGTTTCAATGGACAGATTTTTCTTCCTTGCAGGATTTTATTAGATGTATTAGTCTGTTCTCACACTGCTAATAAAGACATACCCAAGACGAGTAATTGATAAAGAAAATTGGGTTTAAAAGACTCACAGTTCCACATAGCTGGCAAGGCCTTACAATCATGGCAGGAGGTGAAGGAGGAGTAAAGGCATGTCTTACATGGCAGCAGGAAAGAGAGCATGTACAGAGGAACTGCCCTTTATAAAACCATCAGATATCATGAGACTTATTCACTATTACAGGAACAGTATGGGAAAAAAAAACCTGCCCCCATGATTCAATTATCTCCCACTTCTCCCATGACATGTGGGGATTAAGGGAGCCACAATTCAAGATGAAGTTTTGGTGGGGACACAGCCAAACCATCTCATTAGAGTTAATGTAATCTATTTTCATTAGAAAGATTATGAAAATATTTATCAAAAAACCTTGTTCAACATCTAAAGCTTTTCTAAACCCTTCTGGTTTTCTATACAATTTGAGATGCCATCACTGACCCTCAGTGTTTTTCCACCTCTGCCTTTTCCATCCCAATTTATGCATGCAGAACTCTTTGTATTATGAACTAATTGATTTAGCTCAGGGAGCCCTGTCATGAATGAATAAGTTTAAAATATTTATCTTAATCCCCAAAGCATTTTTTTAAATGCAGATTACCTAATAGAAGGCAGAAAATGAGGAGTAAGGTAACTAAAAATTGATGGAATGTGTAGAAAACAAATAGCAAGATAGTAGGCTTAAACACATCAATATTTGCAGTAAATGTAAACAGGTTAAGCACCCTAATTAAAAATCAGATACTGTCAGTCTTGACAAAAATGCAAGACCTAGTTATGATGTTTATAGAAGAAAGGCATTTTAAATATAGATACAGAAATTTGAAAGTTAATGATGGGAAAAGATATTTCATATAGATACTGAGCATATGGAAGCTATATACAAAGTAGACTTCATGACAAGGCATATTATCAGAGATAAAGAGTAATATTTTACAATGAGAAAAAAGTCAATTCATAAAGAATACATAATTTCTAGAATTTGTATTTGTTCTGTCCTTCAATTCAGCCCATTTATATTTATGTTCTCATTCTTTCCTTAATCATTTAATCAATGTATACACACAGAAGTATGGTTTCTTTGTGAATTCTATTCCTCATGCACTTGAGACTCTAATCCTTTGTTCTGTCTCAATTTCCTTTTATTTTTGTTTTGTTTGTTTCATGCCTGCAGATTTTCTCTCTTATGACAAATACAATTTATTTCTCATGGAAATTTTTGTCATCTTGCCTTAGCCAGATTTATGCTTGTGTGGGCTAAATTAAGGCATTCATTTAAATTTCAACATCTCTTTCTCTCAGGGACCCAAAACTTCATTTACTTTTTTCACTGTGGTCACTGAAAGCCAAGCCCTTAGCATGCAGTTTGGTGACCAGTTCTTCCCAGTTCCCTTTATAGTAACTTTCACACCAGGCTACCAAGAATAAAATAAATTAAAGAGAAAACAAAGCAAAGTGGCAACATTAAAAAGTCCTAGAATTAACACTTGAGGCATTTCAAATTTATGGTGATGAAGATGGGAATGAAAAGCAAAGAAGAGAGGAAAAAAATAAAGAAGTGTCATCTCCTTCAATCTAAAACGAATCCTTTCTTTCTTATTTTTTCTCTTTTTTCCCCTGGATATCATGGCTTTTTATCTTTTCAGGAAACTCACAGTATTGATTATTCTTTCTTGTGTTGGCTACCTCTTTCTATATAATTGGTGTTCTCCCTCAATATAAAAATAAGCTTAAATTTCCTCCAATATTTAGTTACTTAGCATTCCTGGAACTGGAAAAGTAACAATTGAACACAGATCTAAAGGATAAGTTTGAATAAACTGGACAAAGGGCAAGGGTTGCAGGAGAAATATGCAAACCTCTTGCGTAAAGGCCTTGTGGTGGGAGGAGTGAATATCTCTCTTGTTTCAAAGCACTGAAAGAAGAGCAGCAGGCTGGAATGGTGAGATCAAAGGGAAATGCTGCATTCTATGAGACTGAAGAAACAGACACACGATGCGTCAGTGGGGCCTTGTCCATCATGTTATGGATTTTGTTCTTCATCCTAATGGCAAAAGAAAATGATTGAAACATTTTTAAGGTTTTATTTTTAATTAAAAAATAAAAATTGTAAATATTTATGGGGTACACTGTGATATCTTCAAATATGTTTACAATGTGGAATGAAGACATTTAAAGGAGATTAGCACAATCATACTAGAATTTCCAAATCATGTTTAAAATGAGGGATTCTAGAAGAGATACTCTTTTTGCATATTCTCTACATTGTTTCTCAAATCTTGTGTACCAATTTCCTATATGTTACCATTAACTTTTACTACAAATTTGGTTGCTTAATACAACTCATATTTATGAGATTACTGTTTTGGAGGTCAGAAGTCTGAAAAGGGCCTCACTGGACTGAAATTAAGGTGTTAGTAGGGCTGTGCTCCTTATTAAGGCTCTTCGGAAAGATCTGTTTCCTTGCCTTTTCTTGATTTTTACATTGCTGGCCTTTGTTAGCTCATGAGCCTTTCCTCCATCCTCAATGCCAAGAGCATACATCTTCAAATTTCTTTCTCATTCCTACCATCTGCTTCCATCATCGCAGCTCCCTCTCTGACTCTTACCCCTTTACCTGCCTCTTATAAGAACACTTGTGATTATTTTGGAGCCATATGGATAATCCTACTTCAAGATTCTTATTACATCTGATAAATCTCCTTTGCCATATAAGGTAACATGTTTGTAGTTTCTGGGGATTAGGATGTAGGCATCTTCAGGAGGAAGAAACATTTTTCTGTCAACAACATCTTTTTTCAGAAGTTTTATCACAGTTTGTAACTATAGGATTTTGTGGTTATTGCACAATTATCTTCTCTTCTAAACTCTAAACCACAGAGGCCAGGTCTCCAGCTTATAGTATTTATCATTGTATCCCCAGCACTCACTACCATAGTGTCTGGCTCTTAATCAGTGCTCAGTAACTGTAGATTGAATGAATACACAAGTAAGTGTCTTAAAAGTAAGATTAGTTTATCCTGGAAGCAATGGATACGTTTTTGCCAATGTTTTTATACATCTCTACAGTGATGGCTAATCACATTGAGCTAGCTATAGTTGACCTCATTTATTTTAGCCCTGTGTTTACCTATAGTGCAAATTCAACTGATTAATTACATGTAGAAGTATTGATTACCCATTTTGAGGCTTTGTGCTTCCAACTCTATGCCGTGAGTGATAGAACTAATTGCCTAATTATAACTATTCTTGTAGTATTCTGTATTATAAAATGTCGATGACTGAAATCATTACTCTGACTGTAATGCAGCTAAACCAAGTGTTACTTATAGTCATTTTATTGCATAATTCAATTGTGTTTTAAAATTGCTAGCTTTCTAATTTCTAATGCAAACTATATTTTTGTGACACTAAATATCTGTTTTAGAGTTATAATATTAAATAAAATGTTTGTTGATTTGGTTTAAAATATCATGCGAGCTTGAAGGTTTCTGGAATATAACCTGTATTTCTAACCTTTGCAAAAGAAAAATAAATCTCTACTGTATTCTCCACCACCCAAGTACGTGAGTCATCACTGATCTCTCCTTTTTTTATAGCCTCCATATCTGATCAATCACCCAGTTTTCTCAAATATTTCTTTTGCCATTTTCTTCTCTATATCCCTCCTTTGGTTCATATTCTGGTTATCTCTTACAAGAATACTGCAACACTCTATGAACTAGCTTCCTAAATTCTTGAGATGCCTCATTATATAACCCTTCTGTACATAATGTAGGTTACTTTCCCCTCTTTATGAAAGTGTTCTTCAGCATGAGGAGATTTATTACTTTTAATTAAATAACAGTTTTTAAAAAAAGAAAGTCATTCAGGTCAAATAGAGGTAAATTCCAGTCAAACAGAAGTGGATTGCAGATTTTTTAGTTAATGAAATTAGGCTTTTGTTTTTTGGCATTTGGGCCAAACATTAAGAAAATATATTTTCATGTATTGCTATAATCATACATAGCAAATATATAACAAGAGAAATAGGCCAAAACTTATAATCAGAAATCTCAAGTTTGAATCTATACGTCTCTATCAACTGTAGGTGTGATGCTGGGTATGTCGTCTATCTGCTGATTATCAGTTCTCACGTCTGTAAAATCGTTGATAGAAATGAAATTGGTGTAAGATTAAATGTACCTCTGCAGCCACTTAGGCTCTTGAAGAGTACCCCCATCCTTGGTTTGGCTTAACAACCAAGATTTCAGGAACATATAAGAGAACGGCTGTGCCATACATGTGAACTAAGTATTTGAAACAGGATATTCAGGCTACCACAATTTCTTGTCTCTAGTTTTCCCTTCTGTCTTTCCACTGCTATTTCTGAGTGGTATTTATAAAGTGGTGACCTGATTTTATGTAGCCTTTTTTTTTTTTTTTGACAGTGTCTTGCTCTGTCACCCAGGATGGAGTGCAGTGGCACAATCTCTGCTCACTGCACCCTCTGCCCCCGGGCTTAAGTGAGCCTCCCACCTCAGACTCCTGAGTACTGAAACCACATACACGCACCACCACGTCTGGCTAATTTTGCTAATTTTTTTTTTATTTTTTGTATTTTTGATAGAGACGTGTTTTCACCATGTTGCCCAGGCTGGTCTCCAAGTCTTTAGCTCAAGCAGTCAGCCTGCTTCAGCCTCTCAAAGTGTTAGGATTACAGGCTTATATAGCCTTTTAATAATACCCTTCAATGAACTTGAGAAATGATCTAAACCCCCTATTAGTGGCATCTAGGGTCCTCCAGGATGTGGCTCCTATTTACCTTTCAAATTTTATCTCGCACTGTTCTCTCCCCTCTATGTGATATTCTGAGAAAATGTAAGTATTTAAAGCACCTCAGTATTTTCTTTTTCCCCTTTCACACCTCATCACATAAAATTTCCTCAGCTTAGGATTCTATTTTTTTCTTGTTTCATTATGGATGTGTGTTTCTCCTTGAAGTCTTCAACTCAGTTTTGCTCCTCTTCTGCAAAATCTTTTCAGACTGACAGTTTGTAGACATGCCCAAGCAGTGTTGATTATGATTTACTTTGTGCCAACATTGTATCTCATAACACGGGGCATGGTGTAATTCATTTTTGTGTTGGTTTTCATTCATAATTAGACCCCAAAGCACCGGGTTATGGAAGTCATGTGTACATATTGTGTCCCTGTATCTAGCACAACATTTGACACACAGTGTTCATTAAATATCTCTGGAAAATAATATGAATTCTGTGCTTAGGTCTAGGCTGAGCATGATCCAGTTGTGAGGGATAGTTTCACAGGGCATTAAAGTATTAGAAGACTGTAAGTGAGATCACCTTTTGAGGAACAGGATATTTTCCAATGGGTTTTAAAGTAAATAATATATAGAAATAATTAACTCAGTCATTGGTCTTTTTATTTAGATAAGCTAAAAGATTAAAAAAAGGCTTATATTTTGTAATTTGACTAAGGCCAGCATGTAGAAATGTTTTATTGAGATGAAGGAGGCGTTTTGTTTGTTTGTTTGCCAGAGGAGGAGGAAAGTTCTGATAAGTAGACTGTACCACGGATGAATATAAAAAAGACATATTTTCTAAAACCCAGATGCTTTAGATGTCAGTCTTTTAATTAGGGAAGTACAGGTCCACCGTGGTTCTATGTTTGATGCTTAGAATGGTTTCTTCTCATCAGAATGGTTTCTTCTCGCCACTCTGGGCCCTTTTTCTACAGAGTCAAATGAAGCACAGAATTCTTGAAGCATGTTAGTTTTCCCATGGGAGGATTCAGTATCTTTTCATTTAGTTGGAGGTAGATTCATTAGGACATTTGCCTTATATATGTAGAGTAATGTATTTCCTTGGAATCAGAATGAGCGTTGGGACCAAAGTTGGAACAGATAACAGCATACATATTTCTGTTTTTACTTATTCTGGTGCATGCTTCTCATATGAAAAGTCTTGTTTAATCAAAATCTAAGCAGCATAATTGTCAAGTTGGAACATATTTTCATAAAGACATCTAAAATACTGAAATAATTAGAGAAACTTAGCAGATTTTCAGTTAATGAAATTAGGTTTTTGGTTTTTGGCATTTGGGCTAAACATTAAGAAAACATATATATATATATAGCTGTAATCATAGATGACAAGTATATTACAAGGGATATAGGCCTAAACTTACAATCAGAAGTCTCAAGTTTGAATCTGTACCTCTCTATCAACTGTATGTATGATGCTGGGTATATTGTTTACTGATTCTCAGTTCTCATGTCTGTAAAATAATTGACAAAAATAAAATTGATGTAAGATTAAATGTACATACAGAACTTATAAAAAGCTGATGTCTTACAGAAGTATATTATAATTGTATCAGTAGAAAATTCATAAAAAATTGAAAATCCAAAACTATTATAGATCAGGGATGATGTGCAGCATAAATTATTTTTTGATAGAGCCTACTCTAACTGTTGAGTATGCAGACCATAGAGATTATTAAATACTGTTAATATCAATCTTCTTATAGAAGGTTTTGCTTCCTGTTTTACAAGTGTTCAGTGAGAAGTAGTTGAATGTTGCTCACCTTCAATATAAAGATTTCGATGTTCTTACAAGTTAGATTATTATAAAGTAAATGAGCTGAATTCAGAGATTCTAAAAAAATCACATTGTTGTTGGTAGTCAGAACTTCCCTGGTTTTGTAGTAAACCAATAGAAGTAAATAAGATAATATTTGTGGGGCCTCTTGTAATCTACAAAGAGCTATACAAACGAGTGTGTGTGTGTGTGTGTGTGTATAAATATGTACATATATGTATATGGAATGTGAATGTCTGTAGAAAAATGATGTTTATAGTAACTTTTACAGTTTAGCTATAATATATTTATTTTAGATGGATCTCTAACTTGTAGTGGCTTTGAGTTTTCAGCCAGTTATATTCAAAGAAACATCCCTAAGTAGTTGTTCCAGTTGGTTAACTTTGTCAATACAAAAACATTCCATGAGCTAAGATTTACTAAGATTTCCCTACGATGCTTATTTGTTGTTATGAGACTGAAATACTAGATGAGTAACATACTGAAGAAGAATGACCTCTAGGACTTCAAGAAAGAAAGATTTCAAGCCTGTTGTTTTGAAATGCCAGTACAGACAGCTTGAACATGTAGAGAATGTAACTTAATTTCATAAAGGTTTGTTCAATTGCCCAAGTGTTGTATTTCAGCATTTTAAAATCTATTTTTAAAATATATATTTTAAAAACTATGTATGGTGGCAAACATGCTGGAATAAGCCAGGTTGTGTGTGTATGTGTGTGTGTGTGTGATTGAGTGTGTGTGTGTGTGATTGTGTGTGTGTGTGGCTGGGGTGTGCATGAGCGAGAGAGACAAAAGGACTAGTATATTTTTCTTGGACATGAATAACTATAGTTACATTTTTTATTATCTTATGGATTTAGTTAAAACTTTATTCTGTCCTATAAAACTAAGAAATTATTTTCACTTTGAACCATGAGCCTAGAAAGGTTCAAGACACGATGGAGTGGTCAATGGAGTGGCAACTTAAGAAACTTTATTTTCACTGAAATCACTTCTAAGGAAAGAATTTAGAGATTCTCTTAAATAGTGTTTGATGGCAGAATATAGTTACCATATGCTGGACATTGGAATACAAGGTATAAACACTCTATTTTTTAAAAATTTTATTATTATTATACTTTAAGTTTTAGGGTACAAGTACACAACGTGCAGGTTTGTTACATATGTATACATGTGCCATGTTGGTGTGCTGCACCCATTAACTCGTCATTTAGCATTAGGTATATTTCCTAATGCTATCCCTCCCGCCTCCCCCCTCCCCCCACCCCACAACAGTCCCCGGTGTGTGATGTTCCCCTTCCTGTGTCCATGTGTTCTCATTGTTCACCCATGAGTGACAACATGCGGTGTTTTGTTTTTTGTCCTTGCGATAGTTTGCTGAGAATGATGGTTTCCAGTTTCATCCATGTCCCTGCACAGGACATGAACTCATCATTTTTTATGGCTGCATAGTATTCCATGGTGTATATGTGCCACATTTTCTTAATCTAGTCTATCGTTGTTGGACATTTAGGTTGGTTCCAAGTCTTTGCTATTGTGAATAGTGCTGCTATAAACATACGTGTGCATGTGTCTTTATAGCAGCATGATTTATAATCCTTTGGGTATATACCCAGTAATGGCATGGCTGGGTCAAATGGTATTTCTAGTTCTAGATCCCTGAGGAATCGCCACACTGACTTCCACAATGGTTGAACTAGTTTACATTCCCACCAACAGTGTAAAAGTGTTCCTATTTCTCCGCATCCTCTCCAGCATCTGTTGTTTCCTGACTTTTAAATGATCACCATTCTAACTGGTGTGAGATGGTATCTCATTGTGGTTTTGATTTGCATTTCTCTGATGGCCAGTGATGATGAGCATTTTTTCATGTGTTTTTTGGCTGCATAAATGTCTTCTTTTGAGAAGTGTCTGTTCATATCCTTTGCCCACTTTTTGATGGGGTTGTTTGTTTTTCTTGTAAATTTGTTTGAGTTCATTGTAGATTCTGGATATTAGCCCTTTGTCAGATGAGTAGGTTGCAAAAATTTTCTCCCATTCTTTAGGTTGCCTCTTCACTCTGATGGGAGTTTGTTTTGCTGTGCAGAAGCTCTTTAGTTTAATTAGATCCCATTTGTCAATTTTGGCTTTTGTTGCCATTGCTTTTGGTGTTTTAGACATGAAGTCCTTGCCCATGCCTATGTCCTGAATGGTATTGCCTAGGTTTTCTTCTAGGGTTTTTATGGTTTTAGGTCTAACATTTAAGTCTTTAATCCATCCTGAATTAATTTTTGTATAAGGTGTAAGGAAGGGATCCAGTTTCAGCTTTCTACATATGGCTAGCTTGTTTTCCCAGCACCATTTATTAAATAGGGAATCCTTTCCCCATTTCTTGTTTTTGTCAGGTTTGTCAAAGATCAGATAGTTGTAGATATGCGGCATTATCTCTGAGGTCTCTGTTCTGTTCCATTGGTCTATATCTCTGTTTTGGTACCAGTACCACACTGTTTTGGTTACTGTAGCCTTGTAGTATAATTTGAAGTCAGGTAGTGTGATGCCTCCAGCTTTGTTCTTTTGGCTTAGGATTGACTTGGCGATGAGGGCTCTTTTTTGGTTCCATATGAACTTTAAAGTAGTTTTTTCCAATTCTGTGAAGAAAGTCATTGGTAGCTTGATGGGGATGGCATTGAATCTATAAATTACCTTGGGCAGTATGGCCATTTTCATGATATTGATTCTTCCTACACATGAGCATGGAATGTTCTTCCATTTGTTTGTATCCTCTTTTATTTCCTTGAGCAGTGGTTTGTAGTTCTTCTTGAAGAGGTCCTTCACATCCCTTGTAAGTGGAATTCCTAGATATTTTATTCTCTTTGAAGCAATTGAGAATGGGAGTTCACTCATGATTTGGCTCTCTGTTTGTCTGTTATTGGTGTATAAGAATGCTTGTGATTTTTGTACATTGATTTTCTATCCTGAGACTTTGCTGAAGTTGCTTATCAGCTCGAGGAGATTTTGGGCTGAGACAATGGGGTTTTCTAGATATACAATCATGTCATCTGCAAACAGGGACAATTTGACTTCCTCTTTTCCTAATTGAATGCCCTTTATTTCCTTCTCCTGCCTGATTGCCCTGGCCAGAACTTCCAACACTATGTTGTGTTGAATAGGAGTGGTGAGAGAGGGCATCCCTTTCTTGTGCCAGTTTTCAAAGGGAATGCTTCCAGTTTTTGCCCATTCAGTATGATATTGGCTGTGGGTTTGTCATAGATAGCTCTTATTATTTTGAGATACGTCCCATCAGTACCTCATTTATTGAGAGTTTTTAGCATGAAGTGTTGTTGAATTTTGTCAAAGGCCTTTTCTGCATCTATTGAGATAATCATGTGGTTTTTGTCTTTGGTTCTGTTTATATGCTGGATTACATTTATTGATTTGCGTATGTTGAACCAGCCTTGCATCCCAGGGATGAAACCCACTTGATCATGGTGGATAAGCTTTTTGATGTGCTGCTGGATTCGGTTTGCCAGTATTTTATTGAGGATTTTTGCATCGATGTTCATCAGGGATATTGGTCTAAAATTCTCTTTTTTTGGTTGTGTCTCTGCCAGGCTTTGGTATCAGGATGATGCTGGCCTCATAAAATGAGTTAGGGAGGATTCCGTCTTTTTCTATTGATTGGAATAGTTTCAGAAGGAATGGTACCAACTCCTCTTTGTACCTCTGGTAGAATTCAGCTGTGAATCCATCTGGTCCTGGACTTTTTTTGGTTGGTAAGCTATTGATTATTGCCTCAATTTCAGAGCCTGTTATTGGTCTATTCACAGATTCAACTTCTTCCTGGTTTAGTCTTGGGAGGATGTATGTGTCGAGGAATTTATCCATTTCTTCTAGATTTTCTAGTTTATTTGCATAGAGGTGTTTATAGTATTCTCTGATGGTAGTTTGTATTTCTGTGGGATTGTTGGTGATGGTGATATCCCCTTTATCATTTTTTATTATGTCTATTTGATTCTTATCTCTTTTTTTCTTTATTAGTCTTACTACCGGTCTATCAATTTTGTTGATCTTTTCAAAATACCAGCTCCTGGATTCATTAATTTTTTGAAGGGTTTTTTTGTGTCTCTATTTCCTTCAGCTCTGATCTGGTCTTAGTTATTTATTGCCTTCTGCTAGCTTTTGAATGTGTTTGCTCTTGCTTTTCTAGTTCTTTTAATTGTGATGTTAGGGTGTCAATTTTAGATCTTTCCTGCTTTCTCTTGTGGGCATTTAGTGCTATAAATTTCCCTCTGCACACTGCTTTGAATGTGTCCCAGAGATTCTGGTATGTTGTGTCTTTGTTCTCGTTGGTTTCAAAGAACATCTTTATTTCTGCCTTCATTTCATTATTTATCCAGTAGTCATTCAGGAGCAGGTTGTTCAGTTTCCATGTAGTTGAGTGGTTTTGAGTGAGTTTCTTAATCCTGAGTTCTAGTTTGATTGCACTGTGGTCTGAGAGACAGTTTGTTATAATTTCTGTTCTTTTACATTTGCTGAGGAGAGTTTTACTTCCAACTATGTGGTCAATTTTGGAATAGGTGTGGTGTGGTGCTGAAAAGAATGTATACTCTGTTGATTTGGGGTGGAGAGTTCTGTAGATGTCTATTAGGTCCACTTGGTGCAGAGCTGGGTTCAATTCCTGGGTATCCCTGTTAACTTTCTGTCTCGTTGATCTGTCTAATGTTGACAGTGGGGTGTTAAAGTCTCCCATTATAATTGTGTGGGAGTCTAAGTCTCTTTGTAGGTCACTCAGGACTTGCTTTATGAATCTGGGTGCTCCTGTATTGGGTGCATATATATTTAGGATAGTTAGCTCTTCTTGTTGAATTGATCCCTTGACCATTATGTAATGGCCTTCTTTGTCTCTTTTGAGGCCTTCTTTGTTGGTTTAAAGTCTGTTTTATCAGAGACTAGGTTTGCAACCCCTGCCTTTTTTTGTTTTCCATTTGCTTGGTAAATCTTCCTCCATCCCTTTATTTTGAGCCTGTGTGTGTCTCTGCACGTGAGATGGGTTTCCTGAATACAGCACACCAATGGGTCTTGACTCTTTATCCAATTTGCCAGTCTGTGTCTTTTAATTGGAACATTTAGCCCATTTACATTTAAAGTTAATATTGTTATGTGTGAATTTGTTCCTGTCATTATGATGTTAGCTGATTATTTTGCTCATTAGTTGATGCAGTTTCTTCCTAGCCTTGATGGTCTTTACAATTTGGCATGTTTTTGCAGTGGCTGCTACCAGTTGTTCCATTCCATGTTTATAGTTATCTCTGGAGCCCTGTGAAGTAGTACAATTAGCTCCATTTTACAAATGAGAAAAGACTTAAAATGTAAATAAGTTATCTAAAGTCTCCTAGATAGGAATTGGCAGTACCACTTCTTGTAGTGTGTTATCCATTTTTCCCATTATTTTCATCTTCAGCTTATATAATGTGGGCCCTTATCATAAATAAAACCTTCCAAATACTCTCAACACTTTTGATTCTTCCTTTCATCCCACTCCAACATAATAAACCCATCTATTTGATTTATTTAATCATGCAATTGAAAGCTGTACTTCTGAACAAAACAAGAAATATTTAAATCATTATGAACAGTATGTTTTTTAACCTGTGATATTATCAATTCTGAGAAATATCATCAGTTGATGTACTGTTAAGAAATAAGGGAAAACATGCCTAAGTAAATACCAATACATTGTTTAGTTTTCTGTTGTTGTATAACAAGTTATCACTAATTTAGGGACTTAAAACAGCACCAAATGATTATCTCACAGTGTCCATATGTCAGGAGTCTAGACCCAGGTTAGCTAAGCCCTCTGCTCAATGTCTGACTGGGCTGAAATCAAAGTATTTAGTTGCTGCCTGTGGTATTTGTCCCTGCTGGTTTCAAATTGGATATTGTTTCTATTGCCATTTCCATCAAAACAAAGATATCTCAGGGCCTCTTTTGTTCTTTTGTCATTAATTTCTGATTTAATACCCAAAGCAGACGCATCTGATTGTTGAATCTAAATTGTGTGAAGGTGCTTTTGCTGCAAGGGAGGCTGAAAAAGCTATCATAGGGACAGAAATCTTTGTGACATACCACAGAGTCCTTTTAGCTTGTTTAAGCAAAAAAAAAAAAAGAAAGAAAAAGAAAAGAAGGAAGGAAGGAAGGAAGGAAGGAAAAAAGAAAAGAAAGAAAAGGAAAGAAGAAAGAAAGAGAGAGAAAGAGAGAAAGAAAGAGAAACAAAGAAAGAAAAAAGGAGAGAAAGAGAGAAGGAAGGAAAAATAATAATACCCAACTCTCAGAATGTTTGGCAAGGCAAAAACAACCAACTGTGAATGTTATATAGCCATAAAATAAAACCAATGCACTTTTGCATTATGAGATACTGTTACAGATTGCTACTTAGCACTTCTCTGGCTCAGGGCTGGAAACCAGATGCTCTATTTCAGTTGCCTCACAAAAGTTTACATATGTCTACCTCTGCCATCAGGCTTACAAAAATATCTGATCGCTACACACCTAGCCTTCACCTCATCTGCAACCGAGACTTATGTGAAGTTATAAGACTCGTAGAATCTAGGTTATATACCTGTCCAGTAGTTATAAGAAAGTATGAGGAATATATTTTTTTAGTTTCCTAGCTTCTAAAATAGAGGAGGACAATATGTAAGCCCACTAAAATGGAAGTGAAGCAAATAAACCTGCAGTATCCATCATAAATATAATAGATATTTTTAGATTAATAATGAAAACCACTTTCCATCAAGATGCATAAAGTATTTCCTGAACACAAAAATAGGGTTCAAGTGCTAGACAGATCCAAAATGATAAATGTTCACGAGGGTGAGAGGAGTAAGCCCTCATCCAGTGTGCAAGATTTACGGAAGCACCAAACAAAATCAATATAAAGACTGCTTTAATGTCATATTAAAAAATTAAATGCATGAAAAACGGTCATAATAAACAAAAGGTCAAAATTTTAAATAAAGGATCAATACCAGTGCCATGTGCACCATATTCAGGCTGAGGTAAAATGGAGAAGTCAGTAATACTGATCCTATCTTAAGTGCCTTGCCCAGCCTTGAACAGGGATAGCCCTCCCTTAGTTCACTGTATTCTGAAAAGTGGCTGCCAGTAGCACCATGAGTACCTATCACTAGCTTTGCCACTGCAGTAAAAAAGAATTTCTCTTTTCTGTCATATGTATGTGAATCCCACAGAATATACTGATTGATTCTACTTGGGCCATTGTCCATTTGTGAACCAAGCACTTTGACTAGAGGGATGGGGGCACTCTGAGCAACCCCCTTTCAGCTCCAAGACTAATAACCTCCTCTAGGACATGTGGCAGGAGGAGAAATTCCCCGAAGCAACTAGAAGAAGAGGAATGTAAAAGTGTAGTGGGCACAGAAAAGGTTAACGTGACAGTTTCATGTGTCCAGATTACTGTGAGAACCACTGTTCTGCCCTTTTCATCTCCATTCTTGCCTCCTACTCTCTATCCTTTAATTAGTATCCAGATCAATCTTTAAAATGCAAGCCTGATTCTATAGTTCAGCTTGCAATCCCCCACATTTCACTTAGGATATGATACCAAACCTTGGCATGATCTACTAAACCTGCATGACCTTGCTTCAGCATTACCTCTAAAGCTTTTGTTTATTCAGCACTCCACCCACTGGCTCACTCTGCTTTGTCTCTCTAGGATGTTCCAGTGCACTGACTTCTTTCACATGTCAGCAATTCACACATGCTTCTCACCTAGACAACTACTTATTCTTTACATCTGAGTTTAAAAATCGCCTCCTCAGCTAAGTCTTTTCTCACACCCTAATTTAAAATTATGTTGTTTCTCACTCATAGCACTTATCCTATTTCATAGTTACATAATTATTTTCTAGGAATGTTTCATGTACCCATCCTCCACCCCCAACCTTACTAGATTCCAAGGTCAGTCATAGTAGACATGTTACTGTTTTATTCAATTATATTTCCTCATTTCCCACTTTTGTATGCTGCCTGACACATAGCAGGTGCTTAGCAATGTTTTTGTTGAATTAAAATAGAAACTGAGTCCCAGTTAAATACAGAATGGACTTCTTTCCTGCTCACTTCTAAGGCTAATTTTTTGTCATTTTTATTTTTTTCTTTAGGCCACCATTATTCTTGGAATAAATTATCTTTTGGTTAAGTTAGCCAGAATTGGCTTATAACCAAAGACACAACTTTAAGTGTTATAATTCCTAGTAGGGAATTGAGAGATTTTATTTTTAGAAACAGGTTGAAGGCAATAAAGGGCTGTTTCTCCTTCTAAGCATTCTCTTTGGCCTCTTCATCTCTGTTTTCAAGTGTTTCCCTAATTCTTTTCTAGAATATCTCCAACTGCTACCTTAGCCAAGATCTCAAAAGTAATCCCAATACAGACAAGACAAGTTTCATGTCTTCAAACCTCTAGCACCCAAGTGAGCTACATGTTGCTTTCTAAATGTGCTGTACAACCTTGATCCTCTTGACATTGGCACATTTTGCTCCTTCTGTTTAGAAAGCCCTTGTGATGTGGCAGAACCTACTCACTCACTTCATCCACTGGTTGACTTTTCACTTATCCTTTGGGTCTCAGATTAGGCATCTCTTCTGGGAAGGCTTTTCTCTTTGCATCATAGATTGTTTGAGTGTCCATCTAACATGGTCCTCTAGTCCCTTTTACTTTTCTCAGTTATGGTACTTGCAAAACACATAATTGCCTGTATACTTGTTTTCTCCTCCCATTGTCTCCTGTGGACTCCACTGTACACATTGCATTCCCAATACTTCAGAAACTAGTACATTATAGGGATCCATTAAATATCTATGCACTACACAAAGTAGGAAAACAAAACTTTCAAATGTCCTCAGTGCCAACTTACCTATCTGGCCTTTCATTTTTTGCAAGACACATGCACACACACACACACACACACACACACACACACACACACACATGCACGCACACACAATGCACAGATGCACAGCTTGGAATTGTCAATATTGGCTTGGCCTATGTTTTTCTCCCCCTTGCCTCTTGTTCCTCCACCGTCAGCTGTTGATAGAGGCATAATTTACCATACACTTTCAGTGAAATACCCACCTATCAACCAGATAGGTGGGTATTCTCATAGATTCTAACCCATGCCTAACACACACATCCTGCTGACTGTAGTGGTGATAGGGTAAAGACCCGTTTAAAATAGTTGGTTAGGAGGATGGGGGAGGAATAAACTTGAGAAATTCAAAAGATTTTGGTGATAGAGTTTTAGATAGATTATAAAGTAAAATAAATATAGCAAAGTCCATGAAAGGAGATGCAAAGTACGTTGAGGTTATATATGTACCAACCTAACAAAAAAGTATTGTAATAAATGCACATATTTCAACTCTTCACCCAGAATATCTCTATATTCTTGCAAAGTCTTCATAAAGTCATTTCTCTGAATTACAGAACTGCTTCCAAATATGTCAACTTTGGTTCGGTATCTCTCTGCAAGTAATTGAAGATTTGTTAAAATGACATTTAGTAGCATGTTCCTTATCCTGTATTTTCTTATCTTGTACTTATAATAACTTTCTCATAAAATATATTTATCAAATTTTAATATTAATTCAGTATTGTTTCATTTATATTTATTGAAACAATGTAATTAAAGGACCTACTGGAAATGCCATTCATATTAATGAAACTGTTAAATATTAAATTTTAGAAAACTTAATGTCTTTGCTGGTATATTGATGCCAAAGTGGACCAACTCTAAGCTTATCCAATAATTCAGAAATTCTATTTCTTTACTTTTTATGCAATAAGAAATAAAAATACTGAGTCAGAAAAATCCACCTAATGCTTTGTAGCATCAAAATAGAATAATCGTATTTTTTTAATTGGTGGCATGAGAATTACAATATTTGAAATCAGCTTTATGTTGATTTTAGTCATTAAAATGTGCTATTATTTTTTAATATTTTTCAAATATTTTTGAAATATATTTCAAATATTTTTGAATATTTTATTTTTCTAACTTATCGATGGCATATATATATATATATATGACAAAATGACTATGGAATTAGCGGCCTAAATTTCAAACAGATAAGGAAAAATTTTTCAACTTTTCTCTTTATCAGAAGAGTCTATAGTAAAGTGCTTTGACTCCTCTCCCTTTCTGATCTCTTCATTTTATCCATGGGACTGCTCATGTATTTTGTAGTATTGAATCTTCTTAGAATAGCAAAATGTGTCAGAAGCATGCTAATATTGTAGAAATACCTTGAAAAATATTCTCAGTAATATATACAATGGAATTTCTACACTTTCAAAACCATTTTAATTCTGACTGACATCATGCTGGTAAATAGAGTAAAGACATAAAATATTCTATCTAGTACCATTAATCTCACAAATAGACTCTGAGTGAATAGCATGTTATTAGTGCTATTTGCTGACAGATACCAGAACTGGCCAGCTGCTTAAATTACTTCCAACTAGTTATCATTCCAGGACAGTTTTCTTTGCTCGCTCAGAGCATTTTAGGATATATGGCTTTTTTACCTAAAGTGTAATAAAAAATATATAAACAACTGGAATGGCCAAATATTCCTTTCAAGTATTATGACTCCTAAAGAGTGGATATGGGTTTCCAGATCACTGCAGTTTTTCTTCTTTTACTTTACCCTTGAGCAATGAGAGTTAACCTTGAATATAGGGACACTCAATATGTCAAAAAGCCTCAGAATGTTTCAATTGTTTTCCATGCCTGCAGTTTAATTCTTAGCCCGATGTTTTCCAAGTCAGTCAACCACCTTATAACAGCAATATGTCCACAATAGCCAGTGAGCTTGGGATGAAGCAGCAACAATATGGACTCTCTGTGATGTTTTTTTGTTGTGAATTCTGTAAGATGCTATGAAGATGAGATTTCTGACAAGGTGGTCCCTCAATTATGACAGCAGTAACTTCTTTGAGATGTTGGCTGAAATGAGTATAAATTGCATTCAAATTCACCACAGTGCAACTTTTGGCAGAATAATATTCAATGTGCATGTTTTGGAAAATAGTGATGTTATCTTGTTCACTGAGTAAGGAACTTGGTAATTTTGACTTGTTTCATTGAGAACTTATTTGGATATTTTAAGTATATCTTTCATTTAGTTGTAAGCTGGATGGTACAAGACTTTGCAAAAAGATTAGTTGAGATAATTGGGTGGGGGTATTTAAGGATGAGAGAGAGAGAGCAAGAGAATGAAATTAAAATTTGATGATAGTTAAGTCTTGGGAGCATGTACTATCTCAGGCTCTATTCTAAGTGCTTTATATACCTATAACTGCCTGGGATAAACAGCTTTGTTATCCTTATTTCATAGTGGAGAAATGGAAAACTGAGGAGACTAAACATCATGCCCAAAGTCATCTAATTAATTGAAAGTCAGCATGAAATCAATGCAGTCTGACTTTAGTAGTGATGCTCTTAAGTTCTGTGTTAACATATAAAGCTGTATCTTGTGTGTGTGTGTGTGTGTGTGTGTGTGTGTGTGTGTGTGTGTGTTTTCTGAGAGGCTATGTCTTACCATGGAAAGATTGCAGACTTGCAGTTCAGTTAAAAGGCCTAGAATGCAGAAACATCAGCAATAATTTTTGAAAAGAATCCTCAGATAGGGACACTACCACTAGAATGACTGAGCACTATCCACCTCTTTCTCTCCTACATTTGCTCATGATTCAGTATCCTAGCAGAGAGCAGCACTCAGCCAATCTTAGATCAGGAGCCTGTTCCTGGTATGTGCCAGTCAGTGAGAAGAAGGATCTTCTATTGAGGAGTCAAGGATCTCTATTTATCACCTACCACAACCATATATAATATTTGGTAAGACCATTTTCCAAAAGGAAATCAGGGTATCATTAGAAAGGGGACATGGGTGCTAGGAAGTTAAAGACCACAAAGTATTTTCTACAAAGGTCATCTATTCACTGCCTATCGTCTCTGGCATCAGCTTTCAAAAATGTCTAAAATAAAAAATTTCCATCTATCAAGATAGGTCACTCTCTTAAATTCAAATCAAAGCTAATTTCTCTTTGAAACACTCACTGATTAAGCATATGTAGTTCACATAGTAACAAACCTGCTGCTGGTTTAAAAGGCAAAGAAGTATGGAAATCTACAATAGTCTACATCAGCAAGTATTTGTTCTCAGAGGCTGCCCATATATCTCAACAATATTCTGCCTTCTTCTGTGATCTTTTAGTTTTTCTGAAAGAAATGCCACTTAGGTGTTAATAAGCCATTATCACTTCTGGTTAACACTGTTTAGCAATTACTGATCTTGTAACAAAGAGATTCAGTCTCTAGGTTGTTCACAGGCAGCAGCAGTGGAAACAGCCAGTGTGAGAGAGGGACAGAATGAAGCAGCACAAAGAAAAGCATCAAGGGAAACACTTTCAAAATGCAAAGTGCACATCTGAAACCAAAATACCGAATTGTTTAATGAATAGCATATACAAAGATACTAACATATACAACACATGTGCCATGTACATTTGAACGTCTTGGATATAAATCAATAATTATTAGTTAATTGTCTACACATTTATTTCCAAGCATGTCATCCTTTCTGATTATAAAATCCCATGAAACCCATTTTAATTACAATCACTAGAGAGAAATATGCACTGTACATCAGTATAATTTGCCGTGTCAAAGTGAAAATTGCTTGGGTAAGAAGATGGCGACGATCAAGAGACGCAACTGGTGCTATTTCTAATGGCACCTTACATCTTTAAAAAGAATGTGGCAGTCCAGCTCAAACCAAGCAATGAAAATATAAAGGGAGCTGTCAAAATATGTGTCATAGTGGAAATATAAATAAATGGTTGAAAGATGAGTGGTAAAAAGAAGAGATGAAGATATGGATATGTAGTTAGATATATAGAACAATTCAGTGGAAGAGAAAATAACTGCTTGACAGAATAAATTTGAACATGACAGCCTTATAAAATAAGCCACAGAAACATGAGCATCTATGATAGAGTTGTAGAGAATAGCGCTGTATTTAGCACCTCTGCTTGATTTCCCATTATAACGTTAAACACCCTGGGCCTAAACATTTCAGGCATCTTGCTTTTGCAATGATTGTTTATTGAGAACTCCCTCTAAATGCAGGAGAGAGAATATACTCACTTTTCAGATAATTGTATTGTTATAGTTTTTATTTTGGGTGGTTTGATTCCTATTTGGGAACTTCAATAGGAAGTAGAATATCTTTACTGAATGATAGTAATGACTTCTTCATGCACAGAGTCAAGATATTCACCTCTTTCTGAGCCAGCCTCTCACCAATTCAGAGGCAGAGGCCAACATAGAAAACTGTCCTTTAAATCAAAGTTTTAAAAAAGAGTTGGTATAAATACCACTGTTGCAGAAAGCAATGGATTCAAGTTGGCCCCTAGTCAATTTTAAAGTGTATAAAGTTTTTGTAAATAGGTGAGGGAGAACTATGTTGGTGGAGAGCGACCAAACCCAGGTTTCCAGAATGAATTTGAAAATGGCAATAGAACAAGTTTAAGGAGGCAGATGAAGTAAAAAGACTAGAACATCCAAATGTTAGGACATGAAAGTTAGGATCTAGTACATAATTCAGGTATTTGTCAGATTAACAGGAGAAGAGTCGTTAAACAGGGCTGTGTTCTCTGATCCAATGGCAAAAGTTGTTGTACTTGGGTTGCTATGCTTCTCTGAAGTACAAGGACAAGAAGGGAATTACAAATGTGTAGTTGCAGACAAAGACAGAAAGAAAGACAAATCAGTACTAAAAGATGGTGATGATGCAGTAGCAGTGACTACAAGTGTATAAACAATGATTGAAAACAAAAATGACTATAAGGCCAGATAGGTAACAAATGCATGATACAAGCTTGAGAGTACATGTTCTATATAAAGGGGGTGGCTCTAAACCAGCTTCAGTTCAGTATTACCACCAAAGGAAAGGTACATCCAATTTCTCAAGCCTTCTGATTCTTCAAGAAAAGCCAAAAATCTGTATTTTTATTATAAAATTTTTCACATTTATATTGTGTTAGTATCATTAAATCTCACTTGTGGCTAGGGTGGCAATATCCATAGTGCCAGATAATTTATAGTCCAAATGAACAACAGAAAACCAGTAACAAGTCCAGTGGTTACTCTGATCAACACAGGACTTTGTCATAATTACTGAATCCCAAAACATTACAACCAAAGGCTCAGAGGTACTGACATCAATAAAATTTGGTCCAGAGAAACTCAAAATGTGTAAAATGATTAAAAGGAAACTAAAGGCTGGTAAAATTGACATCAGATAAAGTAAATTGCAGTTCAAATATTTTATACTGTTATAAAATAAAATTCATACCAGTATAATTAGGCATTTAATGATATAGCATCAACATATGCATTGAGACCGTGTCAACATTTTGACAGAAACACAATTGTTACAAGAGTATTTAACATACCACTCTTTTTTTCAGAAAACTCTAAATAATAGTTTCATTTATATATTTTAATATTATTTATTTATTTATTTATAATTATACTTTAAGTTTTGTGCAGATTTGTTATGTAGGTATACATGTGCCATGGTGGTTTGCTGCACCCATCAACCCATCATCTACATTAAGTATTTCTTTTGATGGTATCCCTCCCTTTGCCCCACAGCCCCCGACAGGCCTTGGTGTGTGATGTTCCCTTCCCTGTGCCCGTAAGTTCTAATTGTTCAACTCCCACTTATGAGTGAGAACATGTGGTTTTAGGTTTTCTGTTCCTGTGGTAGTTTGCTGAGAATTATGGTTTCCCGTTTCATCCATGTCCCTGCAGAGGACATGAACTCATTCTTTTGTGTGGTTGCATAGTATTCCATGGTTTCTATGTGCCATATTTTCTTTCTCCAGTCTAAGATTGATGGGCATTTGGGTTGGTTCCAAGTCTTTGCTATTGTGAATAGTGCTGCAATAAACATACGTGGGCATATGTCTTCATAGCATAATGATGTATAAGCTTTTGAATATATGCCCAGTAATGGGATTGCTGGGTCAAATGGTTTTTCTAGTTCTAGATCCTTGAGGAATCATCACACTGTCTTCCACAATGGTTGAACTAATTTACACTCCCACCAACAGTGTAAAAGTGTTCCTATTTCTCCACATCCTCCCCAGCATCGATTGTTTCCTGACTTTTTAATGACTTCCATTCTAACTGGCATGAGATGGTATCTCATTGTGGTTTTGATTTGCATTTCTTTAATGACCAGTGATGATACGCTTTTTTTCATAGGTTTGTTGGCTGCATAAATGTCTTCTTTTGAAAACTGTCTGTTCATATCCTTTGCCCACTTTTTGATGGAGTTGTTTGATTTTTTTCTTGTAAGTTTGTTTAAGTTCCTTGTAGATTCTGGATATTAGCCCATCCCTTTGTCAGATGGCTAGATTGCAAAAATTTTCTCTCATTCTGTAGGTTTCCTATTCACTCTGATGATAGTTTCTTTTGCTGTGCAGAAGTTCTTTAGTTTAATTAGATCCCATTTGTCAATTTTGGCTTTTGTTGCCATTGCTTTTGGTGTTTTAGTCATGAAGTCTTTGCCCATTCCTAGGTCCTGAATGGTATTGCCTAGGTTTTCTTCTAGGGTTTTTATGGTTTTTGGTCTTACGTTTAAATCTTTAATCCATCTTGAGTTAATTTTTGTATAAGGTGTAAGGAAGGGGTCCTTCAGAAAGTTTCAGTTTTCTGAATATGGCTAGCCAGTTTTCACGACACCATTTATTAAATAGGGAATCATTTCCACATTGCTTGTTTTTGTCAGGTTTGTCAAAGATCAGAGGGTTGTAGTTGTGTGGTGTTATTTCTGAGGCCTCTGTTCTGTTCCATTGGTCTGTATATCTGTTTTGGTACCAGTACCATGTCGTTTTGGTTCCTGTAGCCTTACAGTATAGTTTGAAGTTAGGTAGCGTGATGCCTCCAGCTTTGTTCTTTTTGCTTAGGATTGTCTTGGCCATATGGACTCTTTTTTGGTTCCACATGAAATTTACGGTAGCTTGATGGAAGTAGCATTGAATCCAGAAATTACTTTGGGCAGTATGGTCATTTTTATGATATTGATTCTTCCTATCCATGAGCATGGAATGTTTTTCCATTTGTGTGTGTCCTCTGTTATTTCACTGAGCAGTGATTTGTAGTTCTCCTTGAACAGGACCTTCACCTCCCTTGTAAGTTGTATTCCTAGGTATTTTATTCTCTTTGTAGCAATTGTGAATGAGAGTTTGATCATGATTTGGCTTTCTGTCTATTAATGGTGTATAGGAATACTTGTGATTTTTGCACATTAATTTTGTATCCTGAGACTTTGCTGAAGTTGCTTATCAGCTTAAGGAGTTTTTTGGGCTGAGATGATATGTTTTTCTAAATATACAATCATGTCATCTGCAAACAGAGATAATTTGACTTCCTCTCTTCGTATTTTAATATGCTTTATTTCTTCCTCTTTCCTGATTGCCCTGGCCAGAACTTCCAATATTATGTTGAATAGGAGTGGTGAGAGAGGGCACACTTGTCTTGTGTCAGTTTTCAAAGGGAATGCTTCCTGCTTTTTCCCATTCAGTAGTATATTGGCTATGGGTCTGTCATAAATAGCTCTTATTATTGTGAGGTATGTTCCATCAATACCTAGTTTATTGAGTGTTTTTAGCATGAAAGGGTGTTGAATTTTATTGAAGGCCTTTTTTTTTTTTGCATCTATTGAGATAATCATGTGGTTTTTGTCATTGGTTCTGTTTATGTGATGGATTACATTTATTGATTTGCGTATGTTGAAACAGCCTTGCATTCCAGGGATGAAGCAGACTTGATCATGGTAGATAAGCTTTTTAATGTGCTGCTTGATTTGGTTTGGCAGTATTTAATTGAGGATTTTCACATCGATGTTCATCAGGGATATTGGCCTGAAATTTTCTTTTTTTGTTGTGTCTCTGCCAGGTTTTGTTATCAGGATGATGCTGGCCTCATAAAATAAGTTAGGGATGATTCCCTCTCCGTCTATTGTTTGGAATATTTTCACAAGGAATGGTACCAGCTCCTCTTTGTACCTGTGGTGGAATTCAGCTGTGAATCGGTCTGGTCCTAGGCTTTTCCTGGTTGGTAGTCTATTAATTACTGCCTCAATTTCAGAACTTGTTATTGATCTATTCAGGGATTTGACTTCTTCCTGGTTTAGTCTCGGGAGGGTGTATGTGTCCAGGAATTTATCCATTTCTTTGAGATTTTCTAGTTTGTTTGCGTAAAGGTGTTTATATTATTCTGTGATGGTAGTGTGTATTTCTGTGGGATCAGTGGTGATCTCCCCTTTACCCTTTTTTGTGTCTATTTAATTCTTCTCTCTTTTCTTCTTTATTAGTGTGTCCTAATGGTCTACTCATTAGGACAGACTAATAACAAGTAATGAGATTGAATCAGCAATAAAACGTCTTACAATAAAGAAAAACCTAGGACTAGATGGATTCATAGCCAAATTCTTCCAATATACTATAGAAAGAACTAACACCAGTTCTCCTAAAACTATTCCAAAAAAATAAAATAAGAAGGAATTCTGAATTTATTCCATGAGGCTTGCATCACCTTGATATCAAAACCAAACAAAGTCCCAACAACAGAAGAAAATTACATGCCAATATCCCTGATAAACATAGATTCAAAAATTGTCAACAAAATACTAGCAAATGAAATTCAACAGCACATCAAAAAAATATTACACCATGATCAAGTGGGATTTATATCAGGGATGCAAGGATACATATGCAAATCAATATATGTGATACATCATATCAACAGAATGAAGGACTGTATTAGTCCATTGTCCCACCATTATAAAGAAATACCTGAAATGGAATCTTTTCCACATTGTCTTGGCTATTAGTACTTCCTTTTCTCTTAGTTGTGCAAATTTCTGCAGCCTGCTTCAATTTCTCCCCTGAAAATAGTTTTTTCTTTTCTACCACATGGCCAGGCAGCAAATTTTTCAAACTTTTATGCTCTGCTTCCATTTTAAATATATGTTCCAGTTTCAGATCATTTCTTTATTCATGTATATGAGCTTAGGTGCTTAGAAGCAGCCAGGCCACTTTGCTATTTAGAAACTTCTTCTGCCAGACACCCTAAATCATTCCTCTCAAGTTCAAAGTTTCAAAGATCCCCAGGGCAGGGGCACAATGCCTCCAACCTCTTTGCAAATGCATAACAAAAGTGACCTTTGGTTCAGTTTCTAATAAGTTTCTCATGTCCATCTGAGACTTCTTCAGCCTGGCCATTTCTGTGCATATCACTATCAGCATTTTGGTCAAGACCATTAAGCAAGTCTCTAGGAAGTTCCAAACATTCTCTCATCTTCCTGTTTTTGTCTAATCCCTCCAAACTATTCCAACCTCTGTGTGTTAACCAATTCCACAGCTGCTTCCATATTTTCAATTATCTTTATAGAAATGCCCCACTCTTAGGTACCAATTTTCTCATTAGTTCATTCTCATACTGCTATACATAAATATCTGAGACTGGGTAATTTATAAAGAAAAATGTTTAAATGGCTCGCGGTTCTGCAAGCTGTACAAGAAACATGGCTGGGGAGGCCTCAGAAAACTAACAATCATGACAGAAGGTGAAGGGAAGCAGGCACATCTTACATGGCCAGACAGGAGGAAGAAGAGAGTGAAGTGGGAGGTGCTACACACTTTTAAACAACCAGATCTTGTGAGACCTCACTTGCTACCATGAGAACAGCAAGGAGGAAATCTGCCTTCATGATCTAATTACTTCCCACCAGGCCCCTCTGCTGTCGCTGGGGATTACCATTTGATATGAGATTTGGTCCAGGACACAAATCCAAGCTATATCAAGGACAAAACTACCTGAGCATTTCAGTAGGCACAGTAAAAGCATTTAATAAAGTTCAACATCCCTTCATGATAAAAACTCTCAACAAACTAGGCATAGAAGGAGTATACCTTAACATAATAACGGCCATATGTAACAACCACAGCTAACGTCATACCCAAATAAGGAGTAATTGAAAGCCTTTCCTCTAAGAATAAGACAAGAATACATGTTTTCACTACTCCTGTTCAACATAGTACTGGAAGTCCTAACTAGAGCAATCAGACAAGAGAAAAAAATAAAAGACATGTAAATTGGAAAAGAGGAAGTCAACTTGCCCCTCTTTGCTGAAGACATAATCTTACATCTAGAAAAACATAAAGACTCTACCAAAAAACTCTTAGAATTGGAAAATCTAAGATTAAAAATTAGAAATAGATTTTAAAATATATTTTATGTCATTAAAAATGATAAAGAGTATATATATATCTTTCACATATATGTCAAATATTTTACAATAAGAGTATATTGTTGGATTTCATCATCAGAAATGGGTATTATTTTTCAAAAGGAAAATCTGTTCATTTAATTTTATAAAATATGAAATCCATCAAGGGCACAAAAAAAAATACTTTCATAGGAATATGATCAGGGGCTAGGAGGTTGAACATCATATCTGGGTTGAAATATGAATAGGTGATGAGAAAAGGAAGACAGTACATAAAGACTCAATACTTTGGTGGTAGAATTAGGGCTATTACTAAAACGAGACCTATATATGATTAACAGGGTGATAAATTGACTTAATATGGAAACAGATTATGCTTTCTTTGGTTAAAAAATATATATGTATATATATGTATATATGCATATATATGTCTTTATATATATAATATATGTCTTTTAACCAAAGAAAGCATAAACTTCATATCTTTTTATATATAGATATATATATGCATATATAGATATAGATATATATATATGCATATATAGATATATAGATATATATAGAGAGAGTAATGGCTGAAGTAAAGGAAAAGGTCTAACTAATAGAACAGTTCTTTGAAGAGCCTGGACCCAGTAAAGTACTTCTAAGAAATGGTTTCAGCAAATGGCTGCCTATTTCATGGAACTAAGAAGGAAGAAGAGATCAAAATGCAATTGAGTTTTGGGGTGAGGAGATAAAGTGCAGTAAGTTAAGGGAGTTTTGATTAAAAATAGTCTGGGTGCAGTGGCTTATGCCTGTAGTCCCAGCACTTTGGGAGGCCGAGGCAGGCGGATCACGAGGTCAGGAGTTCGAGACCAGCCTGGCCAATATGGTGAAACCTCGTCTCCATTAAAAATACAAAAATTAGCTGGACGCAGTGACGCGTGTCTATAGCACCCAGCTACTCAGGAGGCTGAGGCACAAGACTCGCTTGTACCCGGGAGGCGGAGGTTGCAATGAGCCGAGATCGCGTCACTGCACTCCATCCTGGGCGACAGAGCGAGACTCCGTCTCAAAAATAAATAAAATAAAAATAAAGATCCACTATTTTCTTAGTGATATACAGGAGGTAAAGAGAAGGGTATGGAGCATGGTGTGGTGATAGGGATGGTGGTTTTGATAGGGAAAACAACTGGAAGAGAGTTGTGATGATGCAAAAGATTGAAGAGTTTTATGTTCTGTGATCTAGACTGGATAGGAAGGAATTCTGGGATTGGGAGAGAATAAAAAACTGTAGGATTTTGTATTAGGTCTGATAATTAAAATAAAAAAGCAAAAGAAAGTCAATATTTCTCTTATTAAAAATGTCATACCTCTTCAAACTGATATTAAACCACCACAACTCTCAGCTTTGACATGAACTAATCACTGTCTCTTTCTTTGGTGACCTTTCAGCATGACTCAAATGGAGCAGGGTGCCAGTAAGCAAAACATGCCTTTTGATTTTTAGCCACTCACATTCCAAAGTGTTTCTTCCTAGCTTTAGGAAAAGTAAGCATCCAGATTTTATGAACCATTGTTGTAAGAACATTTAAACTTACAAAATATACAAATTGGAGGACTATTATTCATATCTCTATTAACAAAATAGTTACCACAGTATTTTCTTAGCAAAGTCAGTTTTTCTAACAGAATAGCATTCTATTGAGTGTCTTTGAGACTTTTCCCACTAACACATCTGTGATTGATGATGTGAAATATGTGATAGACACTTGTGAGAGATATTGAAAATATGTGAAACTCAGAATTCTTTAATGTTACAAAAACAGTTCTGAAATGATAAAATTAAAAGGATTAGGGTTTCAATTTGCAGCTATTGGAGAAAACTGTAATTTACTGATTTTTATTAATTAGTAACTGTTAAGTGAGGTCAACCATGGGCATTTATAAATAGTCAATTACACAGCAACATGAGACAGTAAAATACATACCCTAAAAGAGCTAACAGCCTCTAGTGTGAATACCAGTTTCATCAATTGCCTAGTAACCTTGGACAAGCTCTTCAACTAAATTAAATCTCAATTTCCTTATCTATAAAATGGAGACAATAATATTATTTACCTAAAGTAATGTGAATTGTTATGAGACGCAAGATATATAAAATGACTTTTGTGAACTCTGAAGCCTCATACAAATATTATTATTATTGTATTTTGTAGCTGTAATCTATAGATTAGCATATGGGTCCTTGAAAAAAATCACAAATCAACAATTATGAAGTCAGAAAGGACTTGTTGGCAGGCAAGTTTATCTAATACATTCACCTGGAAAAATAATGGATTTTTAAAAAAATTTCAGCTTTGGCACCCACTGGACAAATGGGTCACCTTGATGCATAGTTAATTGAATATTCTGGCACAGGCTGGCACCTATGTCAGCTTCTTCCTGTAAGGGCTGAAGTGATAAAGAATTCTATCACAGGCAGAGCTTAGTAATAAGAAAAAAAAACTGAGCTATTTAGATTTTTATTTACATTGAGCCTTCAGGCCAAGCCAAAATTCTCACTTCCTGTCAGTTGTGTCTGTTATACAGAGAAAAATATTCTAACTACAATTGCTATTGTTCACACTACTTTGTTATTTTTAAAGAGTGACTCTGGCAGGGATTCAGTTGAAAGATAGAAGAAATAGCATCGGAAACAATAACCATAAATAAAACATGATCTACAAAATAGAGTGCTTGATGCATATCTGACCTGAATGCTGCATCAACCTTGGGCAAAACAGCTGGATCACAAAGCAAGAAAAAGATTTACAAAAGGTCTAGTCATCACATAAAATACAGAAAGGTAAATTTGGAACAAATGACTATTGTTCCTACTTTCAAGTTTTTCATTTATACAATTTCTACAATGCAAAATTTTTCACAATCCAATTTTGCATTCCCCAGCAAAGTGAATTTTAGAATTTATTCTCAGGATGTGTGCTGGTAGCATGTGGGCTGTTGGAGTTATGTGTTTAAAAGAGGAAATCCTATTTTTATTTAGTGTATTGCACTCTAGATTTTATGTTATTTTAAAAGTAAAGCATGTTCAATATCAAAAATAAAGTTACATAAGCAGGGACCCCTGCCAAGTGTACATAGATTATTATCATCAACATTTTTGTGTGTGTTTCTTTCAGTATCTGTTTTTCTATTTCTCCCCGTGTAAGATACTTTTTACCTATATCACGAATATGGTTTGAAAAGATGGCTTTTATTGGCTGCTTAATATTTCATTGCATACTCAAGCACATCACATTTTCTTCTGTAAGGCAGAAGGGTTAAGTTTTTATTTTTTAAAGTATTACAAATAATATCTTTTAATGTGGTTTCACATTTCTATTTCCTTAGGATAAATTCTTAGCAATACATATATTGTGACACCTTCTTTTTAAAATTATTAATACAAGAGTCTTGTGCTTTCTACAAAAATTATTACATAATACAAAGGTGAGGTATTTAAAGCAGTTGGATCCATGTGAAATAGGAAACAACTGAGCTGGATTAAGACAAGTAGAGTTAACCAGATAAATGAGGTAGGAAGGATGTTACTAGTATGGTGGATATCTGCTCAGGCAAAGAAGAAACAAAGAGGGTTTTTAAATGCTTCCTTTCCATTTGAGGTGACTGGAATCTTGGACATGCTAGTATCCCTAAAATATGCTTTTTAAAGAGGATTCATGTACGAATTTCAAACTGATACTTTAGGCAATGGAAAATGTTTGTTTATAATTTGCTCACCTAAATGAATAGAAACGTTTATGATGTTTTCACAGGAACATTTAAGAGTTCAAGTTATCATTTTAAATATATAGTACATTAACCATGATCATAGCAGGATGCAGATGGCATACTCAGAAAGGTTATCAAAAAGGATCTCAATGAAGTGACTATTTCTAGAGGTTGGGCAGAGGAAGGGGAACCAACAAGAGCTGGGGAAGTCCAAGGCACTAGAAAGAGTGGGACCCATTATAAGCCAGGACCTGCAAGTTCAGAGAGAAAACTATATTATCTCAGCCTAACTGAGAACTATGGCTGTCAGAGAGAGCCTGTAATCTAAGATGCAGCTACTGCCAAAACTACAGCTCAAAAAGTTGGATTGGGAGAACATATTGGAGCATACTTCAATCTCTCTCTCTCTCTTGTCCTCTCATCTCCTGCCTGTCTCTTCCACTGGCAGAATCCAGTAAGAGGCTGGAGTCCAGTTAATCCTATCTGTAGAATTCAGATGTCTTGAGCATGGGTCAGAAGGGAAAACCTGGGAAAGGATACACCTCCTTTAAAAAGATTAGACAATACAGATAGTATATAATCTACTGATGTTTGGATTCTCAGGAGACTTGTCTGATGAAATAGCTGTTTCCTGTTTCTTAAGAGCAAGGCTCAAAGGAGCACATCTAGAAAAAAAAGCTTACAAAAGCAACAAAACATCCCAACTTCCTCTCATCATCATTAAGAATCCTCATTTCATAATAATCAGCAGTGATTACATCAGGTGAATTGGGAGGATCCAAATTCCTAATGTGATCTCCGTTTGCAAATCAGAGAGAAATTTGTAGATAGATTTGGCCTAAGTTTAATTTTTGGCGCTAGTGGAATTGTTTGTGTTTTCCTCTAACAATAGATCAAAGAATATAAAAGACTATTGAATAGTTAACATTATGGTACGTATCAATGTTAATTTATTGGTTTTCATCAACGGGTCATGGTTATATAGAATGTAAATATTAAGGGAGCTGAAGACAATATAAAAACTCAAAACTATCTTTGTGTTCTTCTGTAAATTTAAACTCTTTCAAAGTAAAAATTTAAAAATCATAAAAAGTATATGTCAACCAAGGAAAAAATAAAAGTGAAGCATTCTCTGAGAAAATGTAATGTATCCTCCTATCTATTTATAAAGTAATGAGTTTTGACAGACTGCTGTGAAAGGTTTTGAAAGCAAAAAATACATGCTCAAATGAAAGCAGCAAAATGCATAGATTCTCTAATAAAATTGTCTGGGTTCAAATTCCTGCCATTCACTGACATGTAGATCTTAGGAAGGTCCAAGGTCCATGTCTCAGTTTCCTTATCTACAAAATGGGATAATACTAGTACTTACCATTTAAGGGCTCTTGTGAAAGCTAAATACAATTATGTATTTAAAGCCCACCATCGCGCCTGATAATAGTAAGAGCTCAATACATTGACTGTTTTTATTATCGAGTTTTATTTTTATTATTCACTATAATTAAATAAGCATAGTCTATTGCTAGAACCCTATCTCTTAATTTGAGAATCCAATATATCTCTCCTGGTGAGCCTAAAAGCACTACTATTTAAATTGGCATTATTATCAGAACTTGACAACAGGGGGAGTGGGACAGAGAGGATTTACACTTGTTGCTACAATCATCACTTGGAATGTAGTGGGATGAGACCCCAAACAAATTGCTCTGAGTGTAACTTTCAGGGCTTTTGCCAGGGTCATGGTGTCATTTTATAGTGAATTCTTGCCCTTTTTAACATAACATAGAAAACCATTACTCCACATAAAAATATTACACAATGTCTGTTCAGACTTCCCCATCATTTCCAGAGACCTGTTTCCTGAGGCTCACCAATTCCTTGATTGCCCTTTCAACATTGTATAGAACACTGCCTCACATACCCTCTTTAGAGCTTTAGCCAGAGAAAACAGATTACCTCTGAGCTGAAGGGCTTTCCAAGTATTAGAGGAAGGGAATATCTCTCCTCTCCACTATTCAATTAATAAAGTGCATGGAGCATAGCACCTAGACAAATTGGCCACTCTACAAGACCTGCACACCATTTCGCTTAATCCTCAGGCTATAGCACCCTGGGGAGATGTATAGAAGGCCTTGCTACTTAGCAATCCTGCATCCAATGCCAATTACATACACAAGGCTAAGATGTATATTCAGATGGTATGTTGTTCATCAGCTGGCAGCAGTCATTGCCACCAAGTGAAGAGCTGAGCCCTAGGGTATGTTGAGAAAATACTGCTTGCAGCCCCTCAGTTAGCATGAGGGAAGATTCCCAACCATTTCCTACATTCGTCTGCCAGATGGTCTATTTATTATTCCTCATCTGGGTCCCCTCACCCACCTCTTATTCCAGGCTTCTATCACTGTCACTTGTAAATCTTTGTTCATTCTTGTGGAGAGCAGTGTATTGATACCTCTTCAATTTATGATGTGTGATATGATACTCATTGGTTGTGAGAAATGAGTGGTTGCCTAGTAACCCAGGTGTCTGTCAGCTTCCAGAGAAAAGAGAAATTTATTAAGCAAGATACCCTTTTGTGCACTATTATAAACAAGGTAGCTACTTATTTCCCCAGATGTTTCAGGTAATGGAGCTTCTTGGAACTAGACCGATATCTTTTTACAAAACCAAAGCAATCACATAGAAAATAGGAAACGAGAATATAGTTAACGTTTTAGTGAATGTAGTTTCTGTTGGTTGAGGCTATGGTACTGGAAGAGAGGAAAAGAAAACATCTTACATGTGTAAGTCTCTATGACTGAATCCATCATTCTAATTTATGCAATCAGAGTCTTTTAAAGCACATGATTTCAATCCCCCATGGCTAATATTGAGCTCAATAAGAAATGTACAAAGCCCCAATTTTGTGCTAGCTTAATCTTTAGAATAGTAAAGCAGATATATTACACGGCTTTAATCATCGGACATTTAACTTGTTTCCTGTAGCCAAGAACGTGCCTCATACAAACTTCCAGTAATTGCCTCATGTTGACACCTGCCACTTTGTGCCTACCTTAGTTTCCTGCTTGGCACATTAAGTACATGCTAGAAAAACTGGAAATACTAAAAATAAAAGAAATAAAAATTTCACCATAGATGTGTGTAAGTACATAAGTATACACATATATTCATGTAGTTTTATATCTATGCATTTATTCATCAGTTTATTTGGCATATTTATTGACACATACAATGTATGATAAAAATAAAAACATAAGGAGAAACAAGATGAAAAGAGACTTTGTCCTTGTGGAACTCAAAGAGCTAGAGAATGCAAGAAAACTAAAGAGGCAGTTATTGTATACTATAACAAATGCTGATGGAGGAAAATAGAGGCTGCTATAAAAACACATAGCTCAAACTTTAGACTGAGTGGGCAGAAAATGTTTCCCAAATGATAGACATTTCACTGTTTGGCTATTTAACCTGAGATCTAAAGATGAGTAGGGAGTAACTAGGTGAAGAGAGGAGTGTTGAGTGAGATTGAGAGACAGAGAGAGAGAGAGAGAGAGAGAGAGAGAGAGAAAGAGAACACTATAAAGCAATTCCTAGACAGCATTAAGGAATCTGTCAACAGTCATAAATTTAATGTGTGATTTTCTTCAGAAAAAGATAACTATTGAGTACTGGGCTTAATACATGGGTAATTAAATAATATATACAACAAACCCCATTGAAATGTGTTTACCTATGTAACAAACCTTCAAATGTACCCCAAAACCTAATATATATTTTTTTAAAGGTACAACCGGCTGGGAGTGGTGGCTCACACCTGTAATCCCAGCACTTTGGGAGGCCAAGGTGGGTGGATCACCTGAGATAAGGAGTTTGAGACCAGCCTGGCCAACATGGTGAAAACCCATCTCTACTAAAAATGCAAAAATTAGCCGGGCATGGTTGTGTGCACCTGTAATCCCAGCTACTCAGGAGGCTGAGGCACAAGAATCACTTGAACCTGGGAGGTGGAGTTTGCAATGAGCCCAGTATGCGCTATTGCACTCCAGCCTGGGCAACAGAGAAAGGCTCAGTCTCAAAAAAAAAAAAAAAAAAAAAAAAAGAAGTACAACCTGAATATACACATTGAAAAGGAATTTCCTCTTGTTATATCCTTTGTTGAAGTCCTTTCCTGTTTTTCCCTATTTAATGTCTGTATTATTTTTCAAGTATTTTGTCTTACAGGAAGCTTTTCTTGGTACCAAATGCTGGGTCTTGCCTTTCTTGGCGTTCTAATGAAATCTGTGCTGTATGGAATTTATCGGTGTATGGCTATCTCTCCATGAATCTGTGAATGCTTTAAGGGCAGGGCTCTACTATCTCCAGAACACAGTTTTTGAAAAATCCACATTGATCTAAATGGCAACTACTAAATCCGTCATGACACCCAATCCTGAATATGTCTAATGTAATTACGCAAGACTTTTCCAGTTAGATCATGGCAGCCTGAGATAAACTTCTCCCTGGCAGGAGATTCACCCAACTAGTTGGCCAGAGGAGATCTGCACTCAGATGCAGTCCTTTCTGGGTTTGAAGCCAATAGTCAGTTAATCTTTTATTATTATTATTATTATTAGAATAGCTTAGACTGAGGATGACCTACTAGCTTCTTTCCTGACTAGTGTCTTTGCTACTTAGTTATAGAGAGAGAGTTCACTTCTATGTTTGAGTCAACCTTTTAACAATACCAACATGTAGGGGAAAGAAAAATAGAAAATGATTGCTGAGGACACTTCAATCTGTAACTTTAGAAGGAGTGATGTTCAAGCTGATGTTTGGAGTTGGTGAAACTGAGGTTCAAAAATGTAAAAGCAATTACAGACAGTCCAGTCAGGATGACTACAGATGAAGAGATGTCTGACTCCAAAGGTTGACCTTCTGCTCTGGCTACACCACACTGCCACCCAAATCAATTAGCTTAACCACCCGCTAGCTAATGAACAGCTTCGTCATTATAGCCTGATCCGCTGTGCTAGAGTTCTTGGCAGGCAACAGCACAGAGAGTCTCCTGATAATAGGAAATCTCCAGAAGTCCTGATCTGTAGGAATTTTGTGTGCAAGCACATGCATGTATGTTTATGCACGTGCCAATGAGTTGAAGGGCTCCTGTGAGAGCTTTGGAGTTTCTTTTTCTTTTTCATTCCTCTTTTTTCTGCTTTTGCATATTTTATAAATAATTTAACAAGAAGAAGCTGTGACATTTTTTTTCCTTGTGAGGTTCTCAAGTCTACAGGGATCACTGCCCAACTCAAAAATATTTAATCTGTTTAATCTGTGTTTGCTGAATAATTAACTAATCTGATTCTCACTCTTTACTAAATCTCTTCTTCTGAATAGGACAATAATGGGAGAGAATCTGCCCGAACTTCATTTAAAATGTTCTCTTCGAGACAATTGGAACAAAGTTCTAGGAACAAATTTCCACAACTTGAGTAAAACTAATATTGGCAATGATAAATTACTAGTTAAAGAAAACTGAAGTGTATTATTCACTGTCTCTAAAGACTAATTGTCGTATGTAGACTCATGTTTAATGCTTTTCTTTTAAATGATACTTATAAGTTACCAAGGAAAAGCAAGTGTCAATATTTAATGATTGAAGTTAGGCAGTGTCATCTGGGAGGTATCAACAATTGATGAGTAATTCAAACTTGGACAACTCCTTATATATCTCTATCATCATTATTTTATGTTTTCAGAAGGCATTATAACTCACAATTATATATTCATAGTAAATTCATAAACTCATAGTAAATTCATAAATGATTCAAACTGTTAAAAATTTGTGTATGATTTATTAGATTTTAACCAGTCTTTCAGTCTGTACTTATATGTTAATATAATTATTAAAGGAATAATCTTGTAATATATGTGTGTGCTATATATATTATATGTGGGTGAGGGTATTCAGAGATTATAATCTTTATATATAGAGAGAGAAGTAAGTTAATTAAATTCCCTATATTTTATTTAAGAAAACATTGAAGATATTTGAACATTTGAAAATGGCTTGAAACAAAATTTCAAATTTTTAAATGATAAATTTAGAAATGATAATCAAAGGGAGATAAATCATCTATATGAAAAACTCATGTACTTTACATAATATTATTTCTGCTGTACTATATTATGATATAATAATATCTACAGGGCCTAATGAGTGTTTCTTATTTTTGTCTTTATACCAACATACTCGAAGGCACTGTGCCTTTACGATATCCCTTCAAGCATCAATTCCTTTGTGGCTCTTGGCTTATCCTACTACATCCATTCTACTATCTAATTTTCTAATTTGCTCGAATGAGGATATGAGTATTTTTCTATAGAAGTTCTGCAGGGCAAAGTTCATGGGTTTGATGGCAATGTGCTCCTTCCCAGAAACCGTTCCTGTTTACCTCCTTCCAGATTTTTAGCTATGGTATTAAATGTTTGTTTTGGTTGATTACACACTTATAAACTATGAATATGAATATGAATATAAATTTGTGCTTTTAAACTACTCTATTGAGGTATGATTGATGTACAAACATAGTACATATTTAACGTATGCAACTTGATGAGTTTGGAGATATGTACACACCCATGAAATAATCAAAACAATCTATGCCTTAAACTTATCCATGGCTCCCCAAAGTTTCCTTGTATTCTCTTTATTATTATATTATTATTGGAATAAGAACATTTAACATAATATCTACCCTCTTCACACATTTTTTTGTGACAAGGTCTTGCTCTGTCTCTCAGACTTGAGTGCACTGACACCATGATAGCTCATCACAACCTTGAGCTCCTGGGCTCTAGCCTGAGCCGTCTGAGTAGTTAGGGCAGCAGTACACGTACTGACTGGCTAATTTTTATTATTATTATTATTCGTAGAGACAAGGTCTCACTATATTGCACAGGCTGTTCTCAAACTCCTGGCTTCAAGTGATCCTCTTGCCTTGGCCTCCCAGAATGCTGGGATTACAGGGATGAGCTACCATGTCAGGAGTTTAGCAAATATTAAAGGATATAATACAGTAATTGGAACTACAGGCATTGTACCATATAGTTGATCTGTAGAACTTACTAATCTTGTAAAACCATAGCTTTGTAGCCTTTGACTAATGCCTTCCCACTTTTCCTCCCCAAGACACCAGCAATTACCATTCTGTTGTCTGTTTCTATGAGTTGGCTACTTGGGGTTTCTTATATGTGTGACATCGTATAGTATTTTTTTAATCTGGTTTATTTCACTGGCATAATGTCCTCAAGATTCATCCATGTTGCTGCTACTGGCAGCATTTCCTTTCTTATAAGGCTGAATAGTATTCCATTGTATTAATAGATTACATTTTCTTTATCAGTTCATCCTTTGATGGACATTTGGCTGCTTTTGTGTCTTCTCTATTTTAAACAATGCAGCAATGAACATGGACATGCAGACATCTCTTCAAGATCCTAATTTCAATTTCTTTGGATGTACAGTAGTTCCCTCTTATCCATAGTTTTGCTTTTCAGGTTTTCAGATACCTGTAAAAACCATGGTCCAAAATTATTAAATGAAATATTCCAGAAGTAAACAATTCCTAACTTTTAAATTGGGCAACATTTTGAGAAATGTGATTAAATGTCACATTATCCATCTTCAGTCCCCCAAAGAATGCATCACCCCTTTGTCCAGCATACCCACACTGCAGATGTCCCCAACACCTTAGTCGCTTAGTAGGTATCGCTGCTATCAGATCCACTGTGGTGGTGTCACAATACTTGTGTTTAAGTAACCTTTATTTTACCTAACAATATCCCCAAAGTGCAAGAGTAGTGATGCTGACACATTGTTATAATTTTTCTATTTTATTATTTTCTATTATTTTAAATCTCATATGGTACCTAATGTATAAATTAAACTTTATCATAGACATGTATGTATAGGAAAAAATATAGTATACATTGGATTTGGTACTATCTGTGGTTTCAGGCATCCACTGGACCTCCTGAAAAGTATCCTCCATGAATAACGGGAGGGAGGCCACTACCATATACCCAGAAAAGAAGTTACTGGTTCATATGGTAGTTCTATTTTTAATTTTTTGAAGAACCACATATAGATTTTCAGTTGCTGCACCAATTTTAATTCTCATCAAAAGTGTACATAGGTTCCTTTTTTTCCACATCCTTGAAAACATTTATCTTTTTTATTTAGATAATAGCCATCCTAACAGTGGTAAGGTGGCATCTTACAGTAATCATGATTATCATTTCTCCAACGATTTGTGATGTTAAGCACCTTTTCATATGCCTGTTGGCCATTGGTATGTATTTTTTGGAGAAATGTCTATTCAATTCCTTTGCTCATTTTCTAATTAAATTATGTTTTTTGCTATTAAGTTGTAGGAGTTACTTATTTATTCTGGAAATTAATCCTTTAGCAGATATACGGTTTACAAATTTTTTTCCCATTACTTAGGTAGCCCTTTCATTTTGTTGATTTTTTTCCTTCTCCATGCAGAAGCTTTTTAGTTTGATGAAATCCCACTTGTCTATTTTAGCTTTCATTCCCTGTATGTTGGTGTCATAACCAATAAATCATTGCTCAGGCCAATATCAAGATGTTTTTACCCTTTTTTCTTTTCAGAAAGTTTTATGGTTTCAGGTCTTAGGTTTAAGTCTTAAATTTATTTTGAGTATATTTCTGTCTGGCATTAGGTCTAATCACCTTTTTATATGGATATCCAGTTTCCCCAACATCATTAATTGAAAAGACTATCCATTCCCCATTGTATATTCTTGGCATCCTTTTTGAAGATCAGTTTATTATACACAGGTGGAGTATTTTTTGTTCAAAATGCTTGGGACCAATTTCAGACTTTTTTTATTTTGGAATATTTACATTATACTTCCCAGTTGAACATTTCTAATCTCAAAATCTAAAATCCAAAATGCTCCAATTAACATTTCCTTTGAGCAACAGGCCAAGTTTCAAGAGATTTCAAACCTCATAGCATTTTGGATTTAAGATTTTTCAGTTAGGAATACTCAATTTGAATGTGTTAGTTTATTTCTGGGAACTCTATTCTGTTCCATTGGTCTATGTATGTGCTTTTTTATACCAGTACCATACTGTTTTGATCACTGTAATTTTGTAATATATTTTGAAATCAGAAAGTGTGATTCCTCCAGCTTTATTCTTCTTTCTCAAAATTGCTTTGGCTACTTGGGATCTTTCATTGTTCCCTACAAATTTTAAAATTGTTTTTCTATTTCCATAAAAAAATGCCTTTTGGATTTTGATAGGGATTGCATTGAATCTTTACATCATTTTGAATAGCATAAACTTTCAACAATATGAATTTTTCCAACCCATGAACATGGGCTATTTATTCATTTATTTATGTCTGCTTTAATTTGTCCCATCAGTGTTTGTAGTTTTTAGTGCATCAATCTCACATCCTTGGTTAAGTTGTAAAGGTGATAGTTTTCTTAATTTCCTTTTCAGATAGTTCATAGTACCTAGAAATATAACTAATTTTTATATTTGATTTTTATTTTCCAACTTTGCTGAGTTCATTAGTTCTAAGAGGTTTTGTGTGTGTGTGTGTGTGTGTGTGTGTGTGTGTGTGTGTGTGTCTGTGTGTAGTATTTAGGATTTTCTATATAAAAATCACATCATCTACAAAGAAAGGTAATTCATATTTTCTTTTCTGATTTGATTGCATTTTTAAAATTTTCTTGCCTAATTGCTCTGTATAGGATTTCCAATACTAGGTTGAATAGAAATGGTGAGAGTGGACATTTTTTCTTCATTCTAGGTCTTAGAAGAAAAGCTTTTAGTTTTTCACCACTGAGGTAATGTTAGCTGTGGGCTTTTTATATGCAAGAATACTTCATTTTATGCTACTTCATTTTATTCAAAGATATTGTGTTTTTTTTTACAAATTGAAGGTTTGTGTCAATGCTGTATTGAGCAAATTCATTAGTACCATTTTCTAATGTGATGTGCTCACTTCGAGTCTCTGTGTCATATTTTGATAATTATCACAATATTTTTGACTTTTCTAATATTATTATATCTGTTACGGAGGTCTATGATTAATGATTTTTGATATTACTATTGTAATTACTTTGGGATGCCATGAACCAGGCCCATATAAAACAGTGAACTTAATCCATAAATGTTATGAGTGTTATGACTGCTCCTCTGACCAGCAATTTCCATCTCTCTCCCTCTCTTTAGGTCTCACTATTATTCCCTGAGACAAAGCAATGTTCAAATTAGGTCAAATAATCCCACAATGGCCTCTAAGCGCTCAAGTGAAAGGAAGAGTCACATGTCCCTCACTTTGAATCAAAAGCTAGAAATGAGTAAGCTTAGTGAGAAAGCCATATCAAAAGCCAAGATATGATGAAATCTAGGCCTCTTACACCAAATGATTAGCCAATTTGTGAATGTAAGGGAAAAGTTCTTGAAGGAAATTAGAAGTGCTACTCCAGTAAACACACAAATGATAAGAAAGTGAAATAGATTTAATATGATTTGGATCTGTGTTTCCACCAAATCTCATATGGAGGTGTGGTCCCCAGTGTTGTGGGTTAGGACCTGGCAGGAGGTATTTGCATCAGAGGGGTGTATTCCTCATGAGTGGCTTGGTGCTCTCCCCTAGGTGATGAGTGAGTGAGTTCTTATGAGTTTGGGTTATTTAAAAGTATTTTGCACCTCCCCCCTCTTCTGACTCTCTCTTTTTCTCCTGTTCTGGTCATGTGACATGCCTGCTCCCACTTCAACTCCTGTCATGATTGTAAGTTTCTTGAGGTCTCCCCAGAAGCCAAGAAGATGCCAGCATCATGTTTCCTGTAAAGCCAAAAGAACCATGAGCAAATTAAACATCTTTTCTTTATAAATTACCCAGTGTCAGATATTTTTATACCAACATAAGAATGGCCTAACACAGGGTTTATTGCTGATATGGCTAAAGCTTGAGTAGTCAGGATAGAAGACTAAACCAGCCACAACCTTCCCTTAAGCCAAAGACTATTCAAGAGTAAGGCTCTAACTCTCTTCACTTATATGAAGGTGAAGAGAGGTAAGGAATCTGCAGGAAAAAAAAATGAAGATAGCAGAAGTTGGTTCATGGGGTTTAAGGGAAAGGAGCCATCATGATAACATGAAAGTAAAAAGAAAAGCAGTAAGTGCTGATGGAGAAACTACAGCAAGTTATCCAGATGATCTAGCCAAGATTATTGATGAAGGTTGCTATACCAAACAACTATTTTGAATGTAGATGAAACGGCCTCATATTGGAAGAAAATGCTATCTAGGATTTTCATAACTAAAAAGAAGTCATGTCTTGATTTGAAAACTTCAAAGAACAAAGACTACCTTGTTAAAGGCTAATACAGCTGGTGACTTTAAGTTGAAGCCAATGATCATTTAACATTCTAAAAATCCTAGAGCTCTTAAGAATTGTGAAAAATCTACTCTTCCTAGGCTACATAAATGGAAAAACAAAGCCTGTTTACTGTGTGGTTTACTGAATATTTTAAGCCTACAGTTGAGACCTACAGCTCAGAAAAAAGATTCTTTTCAAAATATTGCTGCTCATTGTCAATACAACTGGTCACCCAAGAGCTATGATAGATATGTACAAAGAAATTAATGTTCTTTTCATGCCTGCTATCACAACCTCCATTCTTCAGCTCATAGATCAAGGAGTAATTTTCACCTTCAAGTCTTATTACTTGAGAAATACATTTTATAATTCTATAGCTGCTATAGATAGTGATGTATCTGATGTATCTGAGCAAACTAAATTGAAAAGCTTCTAGAAATGATTCTACATTCTAGATACCATTAAGAATCTTCATGCTTTTTGAAAGTAAGCCAAAATATCAACATCTAAGGGACTCTGGAAGAAGTTAATTCTAATCCTCATAGACAATTTTAATAGGTTCAAGACTTCAGTAAAGGAAATAACTGCAGATATGGTGGAAATTGCAAGAGAAATAAGAATTAGAAGTGGAGCCTGAAAATGTGAATGAATGTGACAATCTCATAATAAAAGTTAAACAGATGAGAAATTGCCTCTTATGAATAAGCAAAGAAAGTTGTTTCTTGAGATGGAATATACTCCTGGTCAAGATATTATGAACAATGCTGAGATGACAAGAAAACATTTAGAATATTATGTAAACTTAATTGATGAAGCAAGGACAAGGCTTAAGAGGACTGACTTCAATTTTGAAAGAACCTCTATTCTGGGTAAAATGCTTTCAAACACATTGCATATTACAGAGAAATCTTTAGTGAAAGGAAGGGCCAATTTATGGGGCAAACTTTATTGTCGTCTCATTTTAAGAAATTTCTGCATCCATCTCTACCTTCAGCTATCACAACCCTGACCAGTCATTAGCCATCAACAAGAAGGCAAAATCCTCTACCAGGAAAAAGATTGCAGCTCACTGAAGGCTCAGATGATCATTAGCATTTGTTGGCAAGAAAGTATTTTTTAATTAAGCTATGCACTTTTTTAGACATAATGCTATTGCACATGTAATAGGCTATAATATTGTGTAAACATAACTTTTACATGAACTGAAAAATAGACAAAACCGGCGTGACTCACTTTATTGTGATGTTTCCTTTATTGCAGTGGGCTGGAACTGCACCTGAAATTTCTTACAGGTATGCCTCTTTGGCTTTGATTGTGCTAAGTTATTTCTATACCTAACTTGTTTAGAGTTTTTATTATGAAAGGGTGTTGAAATTTGTCAAATGACTTTTCTTCATCTACAAAAAAGATCTTGTGATTTTTTATTCTTCATTCTGTTTCTGGAGTGTATGATAATATTTGATTTGTATATGTCGAACTATCCCTGCTTACTGGGGTAAATCCCACTTGGTCATGGCGTATGATCCTTTTAGTATGCTGTTGAACTTTGTTTACTAATATTTTGATGAAAATTTTTGCAATCAGATTCATCAGGGATATTGACCTTTAGTTGTTTTTTCTTGTGGTTTCTGTCTGTTAGTGTCAAGGTGATGCTGGCCTTATAAAAAGATTTCAGAACTGTTCCCTCTTCTATTTTTTCTGAAGAGTTTAAGAAGGATTTGTAATATGTTTTTAAATGCTTGGGACAATTTATCTATGAAGTCATTAATTCACGTGTTTTTCTTTTTTGATTACTGAGTCAATCTAATTTGTTATTAATATGTTCAGGCTTTTGATTTCTACTTGACTCAGTCTTGGCAGAGTGTATGTTTCTAAGAATGTATTCATTTCTTCTAGGTTGCCCTGTTGGTGCATGATTGTTCATAATAGTCCCTTATAATCTCTTTCTTAAAAAATTGTGGCATTGATTGTAACATTGCCTTCTCCATTTCTGATTTTATCTTCTCTCTTCTTTTTTAAGTTAGTGTAGATAAGAGTTTTTAAATTTTAATTATCTTTTCACAAAACAAACCCTAAAATTTATTTTTTAATATTTAACAAAATCTCTATTTTGTTTATTCCTTCTCTAATATTTATTATTTCCTTCCATCCCCTAAGTTAAGGCTGTCCTTTATTTCTTGTTTCTTGAGACACAATACTGGGCAATGGTTACATCTCCATTTCCTTAGAATGGTTTATTTGAGCTTTATTTTTTTCCTTTGCTGGTGTCATGTTTCCCTGGTTCTTCGTGATTATTGTAAACTTGCATTCATGCCTCTGCATTTGAAGAAATACTCAACTCTTCTAGTCTTTACAGACTGACTTTGACATGGAAAGCCCTTCACCTGTCATCCTGGCCAGATATTTTCGATGGACTAGCTAGTAGGGATCTTTAACATGTGGGCTTTGGGCCTGGGCCCACGGGTAGGATGGCCTGATGCCAGAGTCTGTAGTCCTTGAGTAAGTATTTAATCTACACCTTTAAATTCACACAAAAACATGGATCACTTTGTCAAAATATTCATCCATGTTGAGATCAGATAAGTCCAGCACAGGGTTTTATGACCTTACGCTATTAATATTTTGAGCTGGATAATTCTTAATTTGGGTGGGGGGTTGTTCTGAGCATTGTAGGATGTTTAGCAGAATCTCTAGTTCCTATGTATTTGATTCCAAACTGAAATGTCTCCAGACATTGTCATATATGCCTAAGGAAGAGCATCAAAGTCACCACCCTTGTAAAATTACTGAAAATCTTGAAGCAATCAAACACTTTATGATGAGTGATTCGCCTGAAACTTGTACCTTTAACCATGAGCCAAAAAATCAATACATGTAAACTATGTCATATAAACTGTTATTATCAGAACTCTCTTTATGTTAGAATTACGGTTTTTATTGCATTTCTGTGCACTTTTGACTTTCCGACTTTTTTACTTTCAATACTTCTAACAACATTTGCCGAATTTCTCTAACAGTATACATTTTAACTTTTAGGTTCAGGCATACATGTGCATGTTTGTTATATAGGTAAACTGTGTGTCATAGGGGATTGGTGTACAGATTATTTCACCATCCAGGTAATAAGCAATAGTACCTGATAGGTAGTTTTTAAAATCTTCTCTCTGCTGCCATCCTCCAGCCTAAAGTGGGCTCCAGTGTCTGTTGTTCCCCTTTTTGTGTCCACGTGTTCCCATTGTTTACCTCCCAGTACACATAAGAATATGCCGTATTCAGTTTTCTGTTCCTGCATTGGTTTACTTAGGATAATGACCTCCAGCTCCATTCATGTTGCTGCAGAGTATGATCTCATTCATTTTTATGGCCGCATAGTATTCCATGGTGTATATGTACCCTATTTTCTTAATTCAGTCTACCATTGATTTAGGTTGATTCCATGCCTTTGCTATTGTGAATAGTACTCAAATAAATATATGTATTCACATGTGTTTATGGTAGAATGATTTATATTCCTTGGATATACACCCAATAATGGGATTACTGGGTCAAATGGCAATCCTGTTTTTGTTTTTTGTTTTTTTTTCTGAGATGAAGTTTTGCTCTGTTGCCCAAGCTAGAGTGCAGTAACACTCGGTTCATTGCAACCTCTGCCTCCTGCGTTTAAGTGATTCTCCCGCCTCAGCCTCCCAAGTGGCAGGGATTACAGGCACCTACCACCACACATGGTTAATTTTTGTATTTTTAGTACAGACAGGGTTTCACCATGTTGGCCAGGCTGGTCTCGAACTCCTGACCTCAGGTGATCCACCCGCCTCAGCCTCCCAAAGTGCTGGGATTATGGGCATAAGCCACCTCACCTGGCCAGTAGTTCTGTTTTAAGTTCTTTGAGGAATCACCACACTGCTTTCCAAATTGACTGAACTAATTTACATTTCTACCAGCAGTGTTTAAGCATTCCCTTTTCTCTACAACCTTGCCAGCATCTGTTACTGTGATGGTTAATACTGAGTGTCAACTTGATTGAATTGAAGGGTGCAAAGTATTGATTCTGAGTGTGTCTGTCAAGCTGTTGCCAGAGGAGATTAGCATTTGAGTCAGTGGGCTGGGGAAGGCTGACCCACCATTAATCTTGTGGGCACAATCGAATCAGCTGCCAGTGAATATAAAGCAGGCAGAAAAACATGAAAAGGCAAGACTGGCCTAGCCTCCCAGCCTACATCTTTCTCCAGTGCTGGATGCTTCCTGCCCTCAAACATTGGACTCCAAGTTCTTCAGTTTTGAGACTCGGACTAGCTCTCCTTGCTCCTCAAGCTTGCAGACAGCCTGTTGTGTGAACTTGTGATCTTGTTAATACTTAATAAACTCCCCTTTATTTAAATATGTAAATATACGATATATATTTATCATATATATTTAACATATATGTATGATATATATATTCTATTAGTTCTGTCCCATTAGGGAACCCTGACTAATACAGTTATTTTCTGATTTTTAATAACAGCCATTCTGAATGGTGTGAGCTGGTATCTTATGATTTTGCTTTGTGTTTCTCTAATGACGAATGATGTGGAGCATCTATCATTCCTGTTGGCTGCAGCTATGTCTTCTTTTGAAAAGTGTCTTTTCATGTTCTTTGCCCACTTTTTAATGGAATTGTTTATTTTTTGCTTGTAAATTTAAGTTTTTTATAGATGTTGGATATTAGACCACTGTTGGATGCATAGCTTGAAAATAGTTTCTCTCATTGTGTAGATTGTCTGTTTTCTCTGTTGATAGTTTCTTTTGCTGTACAGAAGCTCTTTAGTTTAATTAGGTTCCTTTTGTCAATTTTTGGTTTTGTTGCAATTGATTTGGATGTTTTCGTCATGAAATCTTTGGCAGGTTCAATGTTCAGAATGGTATTTCCTAGGTTGTCTTCCAGAGTTTTTATAGTTTTAGGTTTCACATTTAAGTACTTAATTTATCTTGAGTTGATTTTTATATATGATGTAAGGAAAAGGTTGTGTCAGTCTTCTGCATATGGCTAGCCAGTTATACCAGCACTATTTATTGAATAGAGAATCCTTTCCCCTTGCTTATTTTTGCCTACTTTGGCAATGATCAGATGGTTGTAGCTGTGTGGTATTGTTTCTGAGCTCTCTATTCTGTTCCACTGGTCTATGTGTCTGTTTTTGTATCAGTACTACGCTGTTTTGGTTACTATAACATTGTCATATAGTTTGATGTCAGGTAACAGTGATGCCTTCAGCTTTGTTATTTTTGCTTAGGATTGTCTTGGCTATGCTGGCTCTTTTTTTGGTTCCATATGAATTTTTAAATAATTTTTTCTAATTCTGTGAAAAATGTTATTTGTAGTTTGATAGGAAAAGCATTGAATCCATTAATTCCTTTCGGCAGTATGGCCATTGTGACAATATTGATCCTTCCTATCCATTAGCATGAAATGCTTTTCTATTTGTTTGTGTCATCTCTGATGTCTTATTTTTTTAATTCTCATTTAACAGATCTTTCACCTCCTTGGTTAGCTGTATTCCTAGGTAGCTTATTGTATTTTATTTTGGCAATTGTAAATGGGATTGCATTCTTGATTTAGCTCTCAGCTTGGATGCTGTTGGTGCATAGGAAAGCCATTGATTTTTGTACATTGATTTCATTTCCTGAAACTTCACTGAAGTTATTTTTCAGATCAAAGAGCTTTTGGAAAGATACTATGGGGTTTTCTAAGTATAGAATCATATTGGCTACAAACAGGTATAGTTTGACTTCCTTTCTTCCTGTTTGGATGCTTTTTACTTCTTTCTCTTGCCTGATTGCTCTGGCCAGGACTTCCAATACTATGTTGAATAGGAATGGTACAAGACGGCATCCTTATCTTGTTCCAGTTTTCAAGGGGAGTGGCTTGCTGCTTTTGCCCATTCAGTATGATGTTGTCTGTGGGTTTCTCACAGATGACTTTTATTATTTTGAAGTATTTTCCTTCAATGCCTATTGCTGATAATTTTTAACATGGACAGATGTTGAATTTTATTGAGAGTCCTTTCTGCATCTATTGAGATAATCATGTGGTTTTCATTTTTAGTTCTGTTTATGTGATGAATCACATTTATTGATTGGTAGACTTGTATCCAACTTCCTAGTAGACATTCCACCTAGAAATCCTGTAGACATTTCTTTCTTTCTTTTTCTTTCTTTTTTTTTGATGTCTTGCTCTTATTGCCCAGGCTGGAGAGCAATGGTGCAATCTCGGCTCACCACAACCTCCACCTCCCGTGTTCAAGCAATTCTCAGCCTCCCGAGTAACTGGGATTACAGGCATGTGCCACCGTGAATGGCTAATTTTGTATTTTTAGTAGAGAAGGGGTTTCTCCATGTTGGTCAGGCTGGTTTCGAACTCCTGATCTCAGGTGATCTGCCCGCCTTGGCCTCCCAAAGTGCTGGGATTACGGGCATGAGCCACTGCGTCTGGCTCGAAATCCCATAGACATTTCAAATCAAAGCACCGAAATCTAAACTTGCCCAAACATCCTTTTCCTCCATTATTCCTAATACTGGACAGCAACACCAGAAACTCTGGAAATAATAGATACATTTATCCTTCTCATCCTGAACCCTCATGTATGGGCCTTTTCCCATTGATTGTTTTCCCAATTGTTATCCATTTAGTTTTTCATTTATTTATCAAATCTAGTTCATTTATTTCCACCTCATTGTTATTGCCTCTTTAAAGGCTTTAGGCAGAATTGCATTGACAGTGTCACCATCCAGCTTTCTGATCTATTCCCAATCTGAGCTATCTCCTATATCATCTCCAGTAATTTTTCTAAACCATTCATTTAATCATGGAATTCTCAGGCTTAAATATTTCTCATTTAATAAAGCAGGGTAGAAAATGTATGCAGAGGTCATCAAGGTAAATAATTTAATAAAAAGATCATCAAGCATATTTTGACCACCTGAAAAGCATGGGTTTCATCTACAGAGAGTAGTAATTATTTAGTACCAGCCACTTCTCAAAGTATAAAATGCAGGCCCGGTGAACCCAAATGGTCTGATATTTCAAGAGAAGCCGGAAATTTGTGTGAAGTTTCATTTTTTTTCCTTTTTCTTTTTTTATTTATTATTATACTTTAAGTTCTAGGGTACATGTGCACAACGTGCAGGTTTGTTACATATGTATACATGTGCCATGTTGGTGTGCTGCACCCATTAACTCATCATTTACATTAGGTATATCTCCTAATGCTATCCCTCCCCCTCCCCGTACCCCATGATAGGCCCCAGTGTGTGATGTCACCCTTCCTGTGTCCAAGTGTTCTCATTGTTCAATTCCCACCTATGAGTGAGAACATGCAGTGTTTGGTTTTCTGTCCTTGAGATAGTATGCTGAGAATGATGGTTTCCAGCTTCATCCACGTCCCTACAAAGGACATGAACTTATCCTTTTTTATGGCTGCATAGTATTCCATGGTGTATATGTGCCACATTTTCTTATTCCAGTCTATCATTGATGGGCATTTAGGTTGGTTCCAAGTCTTTGCTATTGTGAATAGTGCTGCAATAAACATACGTGTATGTGTGTCTTTATAGCAGCATGATTTATAATCCTTTGGGTATATACCCTGTAATGGGATGGCTGGGTCAAATGGTATTTCTAGTTCTAGATCCTTGAGGAATTACCACACTGTCTTCCACAACGGTAAACTGGATCCCTTCCTTACACCTTATACAAAAATTAATTCAAGGTGGATTAACACTTAAATGTTAGACCTGAAACCATAAAAACCCTAGAAGAAAACCTAGGCAATACCATTCAGGACATAGGCATGGGCGAGGACTTCATGTCTAAAACACCAAAAGCAATGGCAACAAAAGCCAAAATTGACAAATGGGATCTAATTAAACTAAAGAGCTTCTGCACAGCAAAAGAAACTACCATCAGAGTGAACAGGCAACCTACAGAATGGGAGAAAATTTTTGCAATCTACCCATCTAACAAAGGGCTAATATCCAGAATCTACAAAGAACTTAAACAAATTTACAAGAAAAAATCAAACAACCCCATCAAAAAGTGGGTGAAGGATATGAACAGACACTTCTCAATAGAAGACATTTATGCAGCCAACAGACACATGAAAAAATGCTCATCATCACTGGCCATCAGAGAAATGCAAATCAAAACCACAATGAGATACCATCTCAAACCAGTTAGAATGGTGATCATTTAAAAGTCAGGAAACAACAGATGCTGGAGAGGATGTGGAGAAATAGGACCACTTTTACACTGTTGGTGGGACTGTAAACTAGTTCAACCATTGTGGAAGAAGTTTCATTTTTTAGATGATTGCAATGAGTTATTTTTTAAATATGTCTGGCCTAAAGAATAAAGCTAAAAGTTTCTTGCATGTTTACAAAAACTTCTGTTATCTAGTATACCTCTTCACATTTTCTTTTTTACTACCATCCTTGCAATTTATTTTTTAGTTAACCAATATTATTTGTTCATACTAGATAGTTGCAAAAAATTGTGTTTCCTTGAGTACCCGCACTCCTTCCAGCTGTCTGCTAAATGTCTGCATATTCCTTGTACTCAGATGGAACCACTTTTCCTGAGCCCCTTGAATAGTTATTCCCTAATGTGTGTTATTTTTGTATTTTTTATTATGACACTTGCAATCTTGTAATTGCAATTACATGTTTGCATTTGTATTTCCCCATGGCACTGTGAACTCTTTAGAGAAAGAAACTGGGTCTTACCCTTCTTTGTATCTCTAGCATTTAACACAGTGTCTGACACATTACAGGTACTCAACAGATGTTGAATAAATGAACTGTCAAAATGAATAATGTAAATATTTTCTTGGCCTTATTTCAAAAAGATGTTTTTTAGGGAAAAATCCAAAGAAAAAAATGGATCTCAAATATTTTTGAATTAATCAGAGTCCTGTCAATTATTTGAGCAATATAAAGTTGTTAACTAGGTATTGGGATAGATAAAATGAACTCTAAGGTTTCACAGTGGCAGCATTGTTGGAAAGCAGACAGTTTCCTAAGGCTTCAGAATCAAAAGAAAGTGGTTGGAATCATTAAAACCTAACAGGTTGGAAGAGGAGACGTTCCATGGAGTGAAACTCAAGACTTTTGAGGAGAAGGCTTTGCAGAACTGGTGCAGGAGCTGTTGACCTGAAGGAGGGTGTCATGGCACTGGGACCTAGACTTTTGAGGAGGAGAGTTCTGACTGGAGCTGGTGCACATGAAGGGGGCATGATGAGGCTTGGTTCTGCAAGAGTTAGAACAATTTTAATCTGAATTCAACTGTTGCTTTTGCAAATAACTGTTAATGCCAGAATGAAGAGAATGAAGTGATACTGCCAGTTATAGGGGGTGCAGGGGGAGGAAGGAGTGATCCCTTTTTTCCTTCCTCTAGTGCCTCTTTTTGGCAGAGCCAAGCATGGAACCAGCAGGTAAAGGAGAAATATGTTTGCAGAGTCCCAGTTCCAGGATCAAATACCCAAATAGAGAAGGCTGAGCTTGAAGCTGAGAGAAGATAACTGGTATAAGGGCTTTAAAAGATAGTAGGAAAGACTAAAATGAAGAAAGTAAGCAATTTATATTGAATAACAGTTAAAGCAAAAGTTGACTGACTTTCTGCTTTGCTCAATTTCTTCTGTCTAAACTTCACTCACATTTCCTTATGTGTATCACTCTTATGTGTATTACTCTATCAAAAACATTATTTGAAGCCTATTCTAAGCGTTACTTCTTCCATGAAACTTTTTCCTCCTCCAACTTCCATTGAACTTTGCAATTTTTAAAAATATATATATTAAAAATTAACTGTTATTACTGCCTCCTTTTGGATTTGAGATCTTTAGAAAGAAGCAGAATAATATATACAGTTGTAGAATTGGAGTCAGTATGCACAACATACACACACACACACTCATATACATACAAATAATATACAAATAAAATTAGATACAAATAATTACATACAAATAAATTACATACAAATAAAATTTTCATTGCTTACCCAGACACAAATATGCTTGTGTATGTAATTCTACTTGCTTTTTTTACAGCCATTATTCCTTTCTAATGCACCATTTAAATGATTTATTTATTATGGTTAGGTTTTGTCATCTGTCAACCTTGATAGAATGTAACTTCTATGAGGGCAGAGATCTTTGTTTTATTATTTTATGTGTTGTGAACAAGAACAGTGGCATCTCCGCTTTTTCTAATACTGGTTTCCTCCTTCTCAACTTCATGTATATTCTTCTTGAAATTGTTTGATTTATTTACATACAAGCATAAACACACAATAGCTGTGTAAATAAGAAAACTTTCCTATATTATTTATGTGCATATATTTAAGTTTGTGTGTGTGCTGTACATAATTGAATCTAGCTATATATATTGTTCTGCCTCTTTCTTGGAGATCCACCTAACATTAGTTCATATAGAAGTACTTTATTATTTTTAACTACAGCATTTCATAGTTTGACTATAACAGTGTATTTATCCAAACCTATTATTTTAAATTAAACATATAATAATCTATATCTAACATTTAATAATATGTAGTTAGCACATTCATATCTACTGTAATTTTTTACAATGAAAGCAATATAAAAATATACATTTTGTACAATCTTTTTGTACTTATGCGTGATGTTTTTCTACTGTAGTGAAGTCAAGCACAACTTAAATTTAATAGACTTTGCCAAATTGCCTTCCAAAGTAGCAGAACGAATTCATCTTTTCACCAGCAAATTATATCTATCCTTGCCATTGCCAACCCTTTCTGCTATCAAACTTCTATATATTTGTCATGTGATAAATAGAAAATAAAATTATATTATTGGTTTAATTTGTATTTCCTTGATGACTAATGAGGTTGTATATCTTTTTTGTTTTTTGACCTCTCCAGTGCATTTTCTGTTTATATCCAGTCTTCTAATTAGCTTTTGTTTTTTAAAAAAATACTTCTAGTTACTAATTCTTTAAAAATTATACATATTTTTCTCAAACTTTTACACTGAGTTTGTAACATTTAAAATGTTTATATAGTTATAAATGCATCAATGATATACTTCATAATTTAGAGTTTAATAAATCCCTTTCTACTATAAAGATCATGAATATATTATTTAATATTAATTTTAATAATTTATATTCTTTTTAATTTTTAAATTTACTCCATATTTACATTTATGAGAAGTGTTAGGTGTGAATCTAACTTAATTTTTGCACGTGTTTAGTCATTTGTCCTGATACTTTTGAAATGTTTGCCTTTTCCCTGTCAATTTAAAATGTTATGCTTATCAAATGCTAAATTCCCATATTCTCAGATCTGATTCTGGATCTGTTCTTCTGTACCACTGATCTATATGTCTACTTCTGAATTAGTATCATTACTGTTGAAATTACTATGCCTCATAAAAATGTATCAAACCTAGGGGTAAGGAAGAAGTTACTTCTCTTTGTTCTTTTGTTACAAAATTGTTCTGGCTATTTTTGCACACTTGTTTTTCCATATGAAATTTATAACTAGCTTGTCAAATTCGGTAAGAAATTCTGCTGGAAATGTAATGGAGATTGCAATTAATTTACTGATTAATTTGGTAGAAAAGATGTTTTTATAATAGTACATTTTCTCATATACAAACATAAACTTGTCTATTTAGGTACGTCTCCTTGTGTGCCCCTAAATAGTGTTTTATAGGTTGAGTGCCATGGCTCACACCTGTAATCCCAGCATTTTGGGAGGCTGAGGTGGGGGCATCGCTTCAGGCCAAGAGTTTGAGACCAGACTGGGCAACACAGTGAAACCCTGTCTCTACAAAGTGTTAAACAATTAGCCAGGTGTGATGCCACATGCCTGTAGTCCCAGCTACTCAGGAGGCTGTGTCGAGAGGATTATTTGAGCCCAGGAAATTGAGGCTGCAGTGAGACGTGCTCTCACCACTGCATTCCAGCCTGAGCAACAGAGTGAGACCCTGTCTCTAACAATAATAATAATAATGATAATAATAATAATAACAGTAGAGTTTTATAGTTTTTCCCATAAATTTCTTATCCATTTTGTTATGTTTCTTCCTAGATACTTTACTGTTTTTAAATGTCTTGATGCTTTTGCAAATGATATTTATTATTACATTATTACCTTTTAAATGTTTAATTATTGCTGCTCTCTAGAAAAACTATTTTATATTTTGATATTATATCCAGCCACCTTGCTTACTTGCAATGCTCTCCACAATTGCCCCTTTCATTTGCAGTTTCCTAATTCTTTAAATATCTTTCTGGGATTTTTCATACATTTACCTAACCTTTTCTGTTTTCACATATGGTTATACATTTATTTATTTGTTTATTTCCTGTAATTATATAATTACTGTGTGAGAGCCAAAGTGAGGTTTAAATCGTTGAAAGAAGTCCAAATACTTTCTTTATGCCTATCTCAAAACACTGATTTATCTCTTATAGTAGTCTCTAAGACCCTGTATTGCAGTATGATTGTGTTGTATTGGCTGCATTATCTAGCACAGTATCTTGCAAAAATCATCTTTAAACAAATATAGCAGTGAGTTTCTTAATCGATTCAGGGTACATTGAGGCAATTTACCTGAATAAGTGTCCAGCGAAGTAGTTTTATTCAAGAACGGAAGCATAAATAAAATTCATTAGGCAATGTAGGGCTAGATTATTGAGTCCCCTTCATGGTGAAAAAAATACAAAATTGATTTTTAAGAGAAATTCATTGTGAACAATTTAAAAATGTTACTATGCTTAATTTAGGTTATGATTTCTAAAAGCCAGCAATTTAACAATAATGCAATAAAGTTATATGTGTTTAGAACATTAAGCTACTGGGCTGTGGAACTCAGCTAGTCCACTGCATGCAGATTTATTACTTTATACTCCATTATTTTATTCAGAATAAATGCATTTTTTCAGTTTTCTACTCTTCAATCTAAGTAGGTAAGTTATTTTAACTATTTTTCATAATGAAATGGTTTCACAAACTCTTATGGTCCTCCAAAATATGTTGGATAAGGTCAGCATTCTTAACAATTAGAAGGCACAGTGCCTAAAGGGATAGCATGACTATTTGGAGAAAGTATGGTAAATTGGACTGTTTATCATAAAATCAATAAAAGAGATAGAATGCTTATCATCCCCATGAACTTTCAGCCCATAAGGAAAATAAAATTTTTGATGTTCTGAAACCCCAGAGCAAACTGGTTTGCATCCAGATAAATCAAATAGAGAAAAATTTTCTAGAATATAAACTTATAAATCTGTCTCTTCAAGAAGAAAAACAGCTTTTGTTTCAAAATATTCTGGCTTTAGAAAGTAAGATACACCTTGAAAAGTTAGTTAAATAAGAAGACATTATTTACATTTGTCAAGTGGATTTGGTTTTCTACTCAGGATGCAGGTGTGTTTGTGTGTGTAAATTATATATAAACATATACAATTATATATATTTACACTCACATATACACTTTTATTTGTATATGTGATATGTGTATGTACATAAGTTGAAGATTAAGTCTAAAACTCAGCAATCTCTTAAAGGACATACTTATTGTATATAAATGTGTGTATTTGTGTGTTAATATGAAATATGTCTGTTAGGTGTTTAAAATTTCTCTAGCTTTGCTAGCATAATCTGTGTTTTCAAGAGATGTAAAGCATAATGAAAAGCAAAAAGAACTACCATTAAGTAATTTTTATAAAATATATTTTGTGTTCCAGGGCAGGAATATGTGACTTATTTTTGGGGACATCAAGGAAGTCATCCATAAGAAGGCATTACTTAGTCTATGCTTTCAAGTAGAATGACTGAAAAGATGAGATAAAGAAGAGAGCATGGCTGGGCGCGGTGGCTCACACCCGTAATCACAGCACTTTGGGAGGCTGAGGTGGGCAGATCACGAGGTCAGGAGATTGAGACCATCCTGGCCAACATGGTGAAACCCTGTCTCTACTAAAAATACAAACATTAGCTGAGCGTGGTGACGCACGACTGTAGTCCCAGCTACTTGGGAGGGTGAGGCAGGAGAATTGCTTGAACCCGGAGGCAGAGGTTGCAGTGAGCCAAGATCAAACCGCTGCACTCCAGCCTGGGCAACAGAGCAAGACTCCCTCTAGGGGTGGGGATCTTTCTCCCATTCTGCAGGTTGTACATTTACTCTGTTGATTATTTATTTGGCTCTGCATAAGTTTCTTTGTTTAAGTCTCATTTGTCTATTTTTGTTTTTGTTCCTTGTGCTTTTGAGCTCCTCTTAGTCATGAATTCTTTGCCTAGGCCAATGTCCAGAAGAGTTTTCCCAAGGTTTTCTTCCAGTGTTTTTGTAGTTTCACATCTTATATTTAAGACTTTCATTTATCTTGAGTTAATTTTTGCATATGGTGAGAGATAGGGGTCTAGTTTCATTCTTCTGTAAATCTCAATCCAATTTTCTCAGCACCATTTGCTGAAAAAAAAAGTACATATAAAACGCCAAGAAAACAGAGAATATATCAACAACCTTTTCCTTCTTTTGTACTACAGTAGTACTTTGGCCTTCAATAAAGACATTACAAAGCTTATTAAAACTTTTCATAAAAATATATCAAACTTAAAATTCTCCCAATGTGCTTACTAGGTTGGTGCAAAAGTAATTGAAGGTTTTGCCATTACTTTTTAATGGTAAAGACAGCAATTACTTTTTCACCAACCCAATATAATCTCAATTATATTTTTGGCACTAGTGTCATTCTTTCAGACTGCTAGCTGTTGGGGGCATCCTGCCATACCTATGGGATAAAGCACATTCAGGACTCATTCCTTGGCAGGAAGCATATACCTTGCTCCTGAATCCAAGTGTAACACCAACAATGTATACTTGGGAGTCAGCAAGATCTAAATTCAAATTCAGACTCTATCACCTATCATTCTATCCCACTCTATCACTGGGAAAACATCTCATTCTCAGATTCTTCACCTATAAAATAAGAATGAGAATATTTATTATAGAGAAATTTTTGAAAATTAAGTGTAATAAAATCATCAAGTGACTGGTATTTTGTAGGTGCTTAGTACATTGCTAGTTCCTCTCACTTTGCTATTGCATAAGCAAGCTATACCTTGGTTCTGATGTCATTTCAAACCCTGTTCTTGCATGCTTCTCCCTGTTGCCAACTAGCGAGCCAGGACCCTGTCTCTACAAAAAAAAAAAAAAGAAAAAAGTTAGCCCAGTGTGGTGACACTAGCCTGTAGTCCCAAGCAGTATCAGGAGGCTGAGGTGAGAGGATCACTCCAGGCCAGGAGTTCAAGGCTACAATGAGCTTTCATAGCACCATGGAACTCCAACCTGGGTCACAGAATGAGAGCCTGTTGTGAGTGGGTGTCCTATAAAAGTGTATTAGTTCCTGTTGGTTATGATGTTATTGAGTTCCACGTTCTTGCTGATTTTTTTCCTGTTCTGTCATCTGTTAAGAGAGGGATGTTGAAGTCTCCAAGTATAATTTTTGATTTTTTTATTTCTTCTTTCAGTTCTATCGGTTTTGCTTCATATATTTGCAACTATGTTATTTGGTACATTTAAATTTAGGATTTCTATTTCTCCTTAGTAGATTGACCCATTTATCATTATATGAAATAGAAATCCTAAATTTAAATGTACCAAATAACACAGTTGCACCCACAACAGCAGAATATACATTATTTTCTAGTATCCTAAGAAAACATACCAAGATAGAACATATCCTGGGATATAAAACAAGCCTTAATGCATTTAAAAATTTGAAATCATGCAGACTGTGTTCTCTGATCACAACGGAATCAAACTAGAAATCAATAACAGAAAGATAGGAAAATATCAAAACACATGGAAACTAAACAACACACTTCGAAATAATCCAGGGGTCTAGGAGGAAGTCTCAAAGAAGAGCAAAAATACAGAATTTGTGGGACATGGCTAAGGGGTACTGAGAGGGAAATTCATAGCAATTAATGTACATATTAGAAAGGAGGAAGAGTCTCCAATAAATAATCTAAGCTCCTGCCTCGAGAACCTAGAAAAAGAAGAGAAAAATAAATGCAAGGCAAAAAGAAGAAAGAATATAGTAAAGACAAGTGAATATATTAAATAAATTGACAGGACCTAATTCATAAAATCAATACAAAAATTTGATTTTTTAAAAAAGAAAATAAATCAGCAAACCTCTCACAGGGAGGAAAAAGACACAAATTACTAATGTTACAAAATAAAATGAAATGGGGATTTTCTGTATTTTTCATATAAGTAATTCTTTCTTGAAATCTTTACATTTTTATATTATGTTAGGAGAGTCTAAATCTTATTTATAACTTCTATTTTAGCTGACTCTTCATGATACTACCCAGTAAGGGAAACTGTGACATACCTCCTTGTGACTGCCAGGTAGAGGTAGAAGTTCAGGTTCACCACTCACCATCCATTTATACAAGCTTTTCATTATCACTAGGCAGAGATGAAAGATCCAACTCTGCTTGCGATGTCTGTAGACAACGGGAATGGCATGTCCTTATTACCACTTGAAAGTGGTGAAAGTCCTGCACCTCCACTAGGCCTTCTTTGACATCATCCTAGTGGAGAAGATGAGGGTATCTTATTAATGCTAGGTGGGAGTACAGGTCCTCACACATATTCTCCACCTGATACTATGTGAGTAGGTGCAGACATGTTACCACCTCATAGTACAACTGTTTTAGCGCTTTGCTTGGCTTTATCTGACACCACCCAGGTGGCGGTGCTGGGGTGTCTCATTATAGTCTCACAAAGGGGGAAGTATAGGTTTCCACTTGGCTTTTGCTGATATGGGTGAAAGTGGTGCCACACTTAACATCAGATCATGTTGACAGAGTAGAGAAGGTCTGTCTAAAGATTTAGTTTCTTGGTGGGTTACCCTTTTCCTGGCCCTTAGGCTCAAAATAGAAGAATTTTAACAGGGTGTTTCCAGGTTGCCACCTTTCTCAGCCCTAAATCTGGGATAATGTGACGCAACATAAACACCCAGGGAACTCATCATTGTGTTGTTTATTGGGTCTCAAAGTCCCTAGCCACGCTGCCTCCTTCTCTCCTCCTTTTAGAATCTTCTTATGTTTTGTTTTACATATTATATCTAGGAATTTGGTTGTACATAGCAGATGGAATACAACAAAAGCATGTCTACTCCATCTTCCTAGAAGAGGAAGTTGTCAGAACCTTTAACATTATGAATGCTTGATGATTCAGTTTGGATGTTTGTCCCCTTCAGATCTCACGTTGGTTTCAGGGGCCAGGCCCAGGGAGCCACTGCCCTGCACAACCTCAGGACGCTGCTCACCTCATCCTGCTTATTCCAGCTCCAACATCCACGCAAAGGGGCTCAGGGTACAGCTCAAGCCAAACCTCTGGAGGGCACAACCCATAAGCCTTGGTGACTTTCATATGGTGTTAAGCCTGAAGATGTGCAGAATGCAAGAGTGAATCAGGTTTAGAAGCTTTCACCTAGATTTCAGAGGCTGTATGGAAAAGCCTGGTGCCCAGACAGAAGTCTGCTGCAGCAGCAGAGCCCCCACAGAGATACTCTATAGGGCAATGCAGAGGGGAAATGTAGAGTTTTAACCCACACAGAGTTCTTGAAAGGACATTTCCTAGCGAAGCTGTGGGAAGGGAGCCATTACCCTCCAGACCTCAGAATGGTAGAGCCACCAGCAGCTTGCATCCTGAGGCTGGAAAAGCCACAGGCACTCAACTCCAGTCTGTGAGAGCAGCTACATGGGTTGTGCCTTGCAAAACCATAGGGGTGGAGCTGCTCAAGGCTGTAGGAGCCCACTTCTTGCTCCAGTGTGCCCAGTGGGCTACGGATTCCAGGGTATTTTGGAACTTTAAGGTTTAATATGTGTCCTGCTGGGTTTTGGACTTGCATGGAACCTGTAGCCCCTTTCTTTTGGCTGATTTCTCCCTTTTGGAATGGGAATGTCTACCCAATGCTTGTATCACCATTGTATCTTAGAAGTAAATAACTCATTTTTTATTTTACAGGTTAACATATGGAAAGACTTTGACTTGAGTCTCAGAGGAGACTTTGGATTTTGTACTTGGTACTTTTGAGCTAATGCTAGAACCAGTTAAGACTTCGGAGGATTGTGTTTTTGCAATGTGAGAAGGACATGAGGTTTGGATCCCAGGGGTGGAATAACATGGCTTGGCTGTTTGTTTCCTCCAAATCTCATGTTTAAATATAATCCCCAGTGTTGGAGATGAGGCCTAGTGGGAGGTGTTTGGGTCACTGGGGCAGGTCCCTCATAAATGTCTTAGCTATGATAATAAGTGGGTTCTTACTCTGAGTTCATGTGAGTTCTGCTTGTTTAAAAGATCACGGCACCTCCCCACCTTCTCTCTTGCTCCCATTCTTGCCATGTCATGTGCCTGCTTCCTTTTGACCTTCTACCATTATCGTAAGCTTCCCAAAGCCCTCACCAGAAGCAGATGCTGGCATCACAATTCTTTCACAGCCTGAACAATCATGAGCCAATTAGACCTCTCTATAAAGTACCCAGCCTCCAATATGCCTTTATAGTGACTCAAACAGCTTTACACACCTGGGTCTTGTCCTTAGAGATCTTGATTTAATTGCCTGGGGACTTGACTTTGGGATTCGTACTTTAAAATATCCCCAGATGTTTCTGATGTGCATCAATGGTGGAGAAACACTCAGACCTGACGTTTTATCCTCTAAAGTGAAAACTTGCATTCAACTACTGCTAGTGGTTTCCATACGGCATCACAGACCAAGTGCTCCAATCTTTCCCCCTCATAACAAGTCATAAAATTTGATTCATTAAAATGCAAATTATCTCAATATTTATTATTGGCAATGACATTTTTAAATCATTGCTTAAGACAGTTTGCCAGTCCATCAAAAGCAATCTGAGGATCAGATGTGGCTGGCCGTTACTAGCAACTTCAGGGCTAGCTAGGTGCATGCATTCTCACAAGCTAACAATCTATTCCTTCCTTCATGTTCTCACATCCACTGCCCAACTTTAGAAACTCAGGCCTGGACAACTCCATGCCTTAGTATTGAGCAGCTACTCCCATTTTCTTTGTCTTTCTATCAGTCTTATATACTGGCTCAGATAATTACTTATAAAATATATCTTTTTATATAAAACAAACAAAAATTTTAACAGCTGCCATTTTCTCATTGTATCAAATTCAATGAGCTAATCATTGACATTCAAAATCATCACCACTCAACAAAAATCAACTCCCCCATTCTAACCCACTCCCATAAACAACAGTCTAATCCTGGTAAAACTGTCCTATCTGATATATCTTACATTTTCCACAGTATATTCTGCTGTTTAGAACACACTAAGGTGTTTTCTTCTTCTTTTTTCTTTTTTTTTTTTTTTTGAGATTCTTGCCACAGCCTCCAGAGTACCTGGGATTACAAGCACCCACCGCCACACCTGGCTAATTTTTATATTTTTAGTAGAGATGGGGTTTCACCATGTTTGTCAGGCTGGTCTGGAACTCCTGACCTCGGCCCACCTCGGCCTCCCAAAATGCTGGGATTACATGCATGAGCTACTGCGCCTGGCTGGGAGAAAGTATTTTTAAACTACCCATTCAACAAGGGACTGCTATCCAAAATCTACAAATAAACAACTCAACAAAAAGAGACAAATAATTCTATTAAAAAGTTGGTGGAGGACATGAATATACTTGTTTTTCAAAAGAAGACATACGAATGGCCAACAAGCATACAAAAACATTCTGAACATCACTGATCATCAGATAAAGGCAAATGAAAACCACAATGAGAGATCATATTATGCCTGCCAGAATGGCTGTTATTAAAAAGACAAAGAACAATAAATGTGGATGAGGACATGGAGAAAAGAGAACACTTACACACTGTTGGTGAGAATGCAAATTCATACAGCCTCTATGGAAAACGGTATGGAGATTTCTCAAACAAATAAAAATAGAACTATCATTCCATCCAGCAATTCCTCTATTGGGTATCTACCCAAAGGAAAAGTTACCTGCAATCATATGTTTCTAGAAGCACTAGTCACAATGGCAAAGATATGGAATCAACCTAAGTGTCCATCAATGGACGTTTGGATAAAGAAAATGTGGTATACAAATATCCATATATCTGTGTCTATATATCTATAGCTTTTATTATTTATCTATTGCTGCATTTTGTGGCTGACTAGTATTTCATTGTGTATCTATCTATCTATCTAGATATATATATTCTGTATATATTAATATATAGCTATGTAGATAGATATATGATTTTATAGATACATATATAGATATATGCAGAGTTGAATACTATTGGAATACTATTCAGCCACAAAAAAGAATGAAATCATGTCTTTTGTAGAAACATGAGTGGAATTGGAGACCGTTATCTTAAGTGAAACAACTTAGAAACAGAAAATCAAATACTATTTTCTCACTTGTAAGTGGGAGATTAATAATGTGTACACATGGACACAGTGTGTGGAATAATAGACCCTGGAGACTTGAAAAAGTGAAAGAGTGAGAGGGGAGTAAGAGATGAGAAATTACTTAATGGGTACAATGTACATTATTTAGGTGATGGTTACTCTGTATGTACTCTTAATACAGTATTTACCTCACTGTGTAGTAATTACCTGTTTAAAGGTTTGTCTCTTTATATTCAATTATGAATTCTACTAGGACAGGAATTTTGCCTTATTCCTTTCCTATTCCTAGTACGTAACTCAATTCCTTACACATATAAGATCAATTACTGATTGTTGAACAAGTAGACAAAACCATTATAATATTGTCATACACATCTAATAAAATAAAGTTTATGGAAATGGCTTGTGAACCTCAGAATAGCTTTTAAACCAGGGGTCAGAAAACTACAGCCCAATCAGACCCACTGTCTGATTTTGTAAATAGTTTTATTGGAACACATCTAACTCACTCATTTGTTTACATATTGGCTATAGCTACTTTCACATTATCAGACCAAATTAACTAGTAGCAAAAGAGATTATATGGGTCACTATATTGAAATTAATTCTATGTGGGTCTTTACATAAAAAGTTTGACAATACTTGTATTAGATGCTAGTTGCTTAGGGGCAATGCACTTAGTGATTTTGCTCTTGGATATGGGCAAAGGGAAAAGCTAGGATTAAGGATCCCAGTTTCTTCAATAATTTAAGCAATAGGTAATGATAACTTCTTATTTCTGACTGGAAAGAGTGCATTTTTATTCATTTAACAAATATTTACTTGGAATCTCTAGTGTTCTAACCACTATTTCGGCATCAACAAGTTTATTCAATAAGTACTTACGGAGTGCCTATCGTGTTCAAGCACCATTCCTGCTTTCATAGAGCTTATATTTGTTTTAGTAAAATGAAACCGACACTTTAAGGAAGAATTACTAAAATTGACAGATTGGATACAGGGGCTGAAGGACTGGAAGAGTTAAACCCTTCTTATACATTTCTATCATACCATATAATGTATTAGTTCATTTTCACACTGCTGATAAAGACATATCCAAGACTGAGTAATTTATAAAAAAAAAGAGGTTTAATGGACTCACAATTCTACATGACTAACAAGGCCTCACAGTCATGGTGGAAGGTGCAGCAGGCAAGAGAGAATGAGAGCTAAGCAAAAGGGGTTTCCCCTTATAAAAACATCAGATCTCCTGAGACTTACTCACTATCAGGAGAACAGCATGGGGGAAACCGCCCCCCATGATTCAATTATCTCCCACAGGGTCCCTCCCACAACACATGGGAATTATGGGAGCTACAATTCAAGATGAGATTTGGGTGGGGGCACAGCCAAACCATATCAAATAACATGTTAAACTGTATTGAATTGCATTTATCTACATGTTTATCTCCCTGTATTTGATAGTACTCTCCCTGAGGACAGTTCACTTGCATATTTTTCTTTATTCCTCCAACTCTGGGACAATAACTGGCAAAATGTTTTATTAAAATAAAATGAATGGTTGGGAAACTAGAAAGAAAATTCATCTTTGCAGGGAAGATTATGAGGTTGATTTGAGATACGTTGTTTAAAGAAGTAATGTAATACATTCAAGTCTAAATGCCCTCTGGACAAGTGCACATAGAGAAGAGAAAGTAAAGACTCTAATCAAGAAGCAGAGCTCATGTTTTCTGATTCCCAGATCCGCACTCAGTCTTGACCACTTGCATTAACCCAATGAACAGCAGTCAGAACAGACGCTTACCTCTAAATGGATGGGAAGACACGCTGAATTCTCTTTAGCATAAAAGGTATTATCATTAAAGTTGCATTATTTAGAGAACATGGGGAGTTATGAGGTATGGCTACAACTTCCTGAATCCTGCCTTTCTCTTTACAACCCGGGCCATCTGCCTTAATGGTTCTGCTAGTGTTTTCAGTGGCTTTCCATTGCCTTTGACAATGAAGGGAAACACCACTGTCAGTGAGAGCCACTCTCGAGGAAAAATATTCTTCTAAAAAGTGTATGAGCCTCAGAACTAAAATCAACATTATCACAACCCACAATCTGTTAAAAATAAGGCTCTTCTTTTCAGTCCAGTCAAGTTTTGCTGAATATCAATAAGGTAATAGCTATAGCAGATTTCTGCCAATTAACATACATTTCTTCTGCTGAAATTCACACCATTTTCCTTAATTAATCCTGACCTTTCATCCTGCATTTTATAAGCTTCTTAAGAAGTTAGAAATAAATAATTCAGTCCACATATTTTCTGAAAAGAGACAAGCTGTTTTACTCTATCCTCAGAGAATAAATTAGATAGCTATTCAGATTAAGCTCATGGAAAATCGGATAAACAAATGCAAAAATCATACATCTTCTGCATGAAGCACATAGATGGAAGCTTTCCACTGCTGTAGGAGGACAAGATGATTTCTAGAGATTTTGGAAAAAGACAGCATAATAGGAGGTGTTTTCCTGTTTTGTATGTTAAGAAGGTCATCCAGCTTTTTGGATTTGTAAACTTTAAAGTTCATTGTCAGTGTTTGGAATTGAAATCATGTCTTTGTGTTCTTTCATATTTTCCTGATGTTGCCCTCCATAAATGGATTATAAAAGGCACATGTCAATAAATCTTTTGCATTTCTTTACCATATTACTGAAATGTCTATCTTCTTTCTCAATATGAGGACATGGTCCCTTAACAATTCTATTCAACTTTTTAGAGTCACGTTTAAGATGCAAAACTCTCTTCATATCACTCGCATGCTTTTATATATTCAGAGGTTCCTATTGCCACTGAGTGATTTCATCACACTTCACTTTTTAAACCTTATCTCATATTGTGTCATTCTACATACTCTATCTTTGAGTAAATATGTTAATTCTTGCTATTTATGCCAAATGTTACCTTACCTAAGGCTATTACCTCTGCCAGAGATATCTTGTGCCTTGTAAAAACCTCCCTCTATTCCACTACCTCTGTCAATATCCCTCTGTCCAGTGAAATACTGTCTATTCTTCAAGGTCTAGGTCTTTAAGAAAGCTGTCTATAATCCCTTCAGTCAGAAGTGTTCTCTTCTACCTAAGTATACTTCTGATATTTAAGTTATACTCTTTTCTTTGTAAAATTTTAAGCATATAAAATCTATATAGTATTTATCTTATAACTTGAAAGCTCTTTCAAGGACTTGAGTATTTTTCCCCACTAGTTAGCAGACTACTTGTCACATTACATGAGTTCAGTAAAAGTCTCCAATGATTAAAAGGAATCTTTACCAATATTCTCTATATTAGGTAAAAGGTTGCTAGGAAAGAAATAAGAATTTTATATATTTCGAAGTTAGTTCCTTAACATTTTATGTAAATCTTACTCAAGAAAATCCTTCTAAATAATAATGAAGATACTACTTTTTAATGCATTGAAGAAATAGAGTGTTAGTTGGTTATGCTTATTAATTTTTAGTAAAAAAATTACATATTATTAGTAAAGATGGTTAAAAATAATTAACTCCATTTTGGTAGCTAGAATTATTAAATGACTTTCCCAAGACTGCATGTGTTTAGGAGTTGAGTAAGCATTAAAATCCTAACCTTTCAGTTTCTCATTTGATTTGTAAGAACCATTAGCCAACCATCTTGTAAAATATATGTATATTTTGTTTGCTAAATCTGAGGAATACTTGATATATATATGGAAAACTAACACATTTGAACATGTACTAAAATTTATGCTCTGACATCAAACTCTTTACTCACTCTATTTCCTCTGTAAACTCATAACCTGAAGATTCCAGCATTATTTCAAATGGTTACAAAATTAATCGATCAAATTAATGTCTTTAATGTTTTCTGGCTATTGCATTTAATTAGCCCGACAATTAGATTATTTTTTTCTTCCTTGGATATTACTATATTTTTCTGATTTTGTTTGGTTCAACGATGTTTGTTTTTGCTATCGATATGATTTGAGAATATATTTGTGTTTTTGTAAATTGCAGTTAATAAGACTCAAGAAGTTAGATTTTTCCTTTTTTAATGTTTTTCATACTTATATTAGTTGTGATTGAAATAATTCTATTCAGATTTTAAAACCTGAGCCCTGCTGCAAATTTTTCTTATTCTAGTTTGATGTCATATTTTAGAAAAATTGCTTAAAATCATTTGATAAAAAATAACTTAAAACAGATATTTATTTAACTTTTACCTTAAAATATAATGCATGAGAGCCTGTGATCTTAAAATTGTTTAAAAAATCTGAGCTTCATTTGATTTCTTTATTTTTATTTATTTTTATTTTTAGGAAAGCATTTTGACTTTTATTTACTGTGTAAAAAGAACATTTGCCTCCCAGGTTCAAGCTATTTTTCTGCCTCAGTCTCCCGAGTAGCTGGGACTACAGGCATGTGCCACCATGCTCTGATAATTTTTTATTTTGTATTTTTAGCAGAGACAGGTTTTTACCATGTTGGTCAGGCTGGTCTTGAACTCCAGGCTTCATTTGATTTCTAGTTGTGTGCTCACATGTAAATTGATCATTTCATTATCACCAGCTAATCTCTTCAAAAACCTTAAAATCAAAGATTCTTTTCTCCAAAATCCACCTCTACCATTAAATTATCACAGCCTCAGCTAAAGAGTATATTTGGTAGTCGAGATTAAAGAAAGTGGCACGTGCCAGAGCTATAAATGAAAATGCTTGAAGAGGAGAAAGACATTGACTTAATTCATCTTGACCTTTTATTATGACCAACATGTATGATTGCCACTGTCATAAAGATTGTTTTAGTTTGCTGCCTTGTCAGCCTAGGGTGATTGACAGAGCACTTTATGGATAACAAATTATTATTTTGCCCTTTGCCTGGGGCTGGTCAGCCTCAGCTGATCTTTCTTTTTCTTTTCTTTTCTTTTTTTTTATACACAGGTTAGGAGCTGTCATTTAATCCTTTATGTATAAAACATTTGGTAATTGTAACATTTGCTCTTTACATCCTGTCCCATAAATCCCATAAGCTTTTAAAATTCATTATAATTTTTTTCTTCTCTGCCTGTATCTTTTAAAATTATTATTTTTTCTTCTAAAAGATGGGATACATGCACAAAGCATGCAGGTTTGTCACATTGTTATACATTTGCCGCAGTGGTTTGCTGCACCTATTGACCTGTCTTCTAAGTTCCCTCCCGTCATCCCCCAGCCCACAACAAGCCATGTTGTATATTGTTCCCTTCTCTGTGTCTATGTGTTCTCAATGTTCACCTCCCATTTATGAGTGAGAACATGCAGTGTTTGGTTTTCTGTTCTTGTATTAGCATGCTGAGAATGATGGCTTCTGGCTCCATCCACGTTCCTGCAAAGGACATGATGTCATTCTTTTTAATGGCTGCATAGTATTCCATGGTATATGTGTACCACATTTTCTTTATCCAGTCTGTCATTGATGGGCATTTGGGTTGATTCCATGTCTTTGCTATTGTAAATAGTGCTGCAATAAACATATGTGTGCATGTGTCTTTATAGTAGAATATTCCTTTGGGTATATACCCAGTTATCAGGGAACCAGCCCCCAATAGGTTCTTTCTATTTTCCCTAAGTGTCGGCCAGTCTGAGAAATAAAGAGAAAGAGTACAAAAGGAGAAATTTTACAGCTGGACCTCCAGGGGTGTCATCACATATTGGTAGGACAGTGATGGCAACCCAGAGCCACAAAACAAAAAACAAGTTTTTATTAGGGATTTTAAAGGGGGAGGGGGTGTAAGAACAGGGAGTAGGTTACAAGGATCACATGCATCAAAGGGCAATAAAGATCACAAGGTGAAGGCAAAATTAGAATTACTGATGAGGGTCTATGTCCTGCTGTGCATGCATTGTCTTGATAAACATCTTAACAGGAAACAGGGTTTGAGAGCAGACAACAGGTCTGACTAGAATTTACCGGGCTGGAATTTCCCAGTCCTAGTAAGCCTGAGGGTACTGCAGGAGACCAGGGCATATTTCAGTCCTTATCTCAATTGCATAAGACAGACACTCTCAGAGTGGCCATCTATAGACCTACCCCCAGGAATGCATTCCTTCCCCAGGGTTACTCCTTGCTGGGAAAAGAATTCAGGGATATTTCTCCTACTACACATCCGTCTATAGGCTCTCTGCAAGAAGAAAAATACGGCTCTATTCTACCCAACCCTGAAGGCAGTCGGACCTTATGGTTATCTTTCCTCATTCCCTGAAAATCGCTGTTATTCTGTTCTTTTTCAGGGTACACTGATTTCATATTGTTCAAACACACATATTTTACAATCAATTTGTACAATAGTGGTCCTGAGGTGATGTACATTCTCAGTTTATGAAAATAACAGGATTAAGAGATTATGAGTATTAATTGGGGAAGTGATAAATGTCCATGAAATCTTCACAATTTATGTTCAGAGATTGCAGTAAAGACAGGCATAAGAAATTATAAAAGTATTAATTTTGGGAACTGATAAATGTCCATGAAATGTTCACAATTTATGTTCTTCTGCCTCAGCTCTAGCTGGTCTCTTCGTTCAGGCTCCTGGACTTCCTGCAACACCCAGTAATGGGATTGCTGGGTCAAATGGTATTTCTGGTTCTGGATCCTTGAGGAATTGCCATATTGTCTTTCACAGTGGTTAAACTAATTTACATTCCCACCAACAGTGTAAAAGATTTCCTATTTCTCCACAGCCTCACCAGCATCTATTGTTTCCTGACTTTTTAATAATCACCATTCTGACTGGCGTGAGATGATCAGTGATGTTGAACTTTTTTTCTATGTTTGTTAGCTCTGTAAATATCTTCTTTTGAGAAGTGTCTGTTCATATCCTTTGCCCACTTTTTGATGGGGTTGTTTTTTTCTTGTAAATATGTTTAAGTTCCTTGTAAATTCTGGATATTAGACCTTTGTCAGATGGGTAGATTGCAAAAATTTTCTTCCATTCTCTAGGTTTCCTGTTTACTCTGACAGTTTCTTTTGCTGTACAGAAGCTCTTTAGTTTGATTAAATCCCATTTGCCAATTTTGGCTTTTGTTGCAATTGCTTTTGGCATTTTTTTTCATGAAGCCTTTGCCCATCCCTATGTCTTGAATGGTATTGCCTAGGTTTTCTTCTAGGGTTTTTATGGTTTTGGGGTTTACATTTAAGTCTTTATTCCATCTTGAGTTAATTTTTGTATAAGGTGTAAGGAAGTGATCCAGTTTCAGTTTTCTGCATATGGCTAGCCAGTTTTCCCAGAACGATTTACTGAATAGGAGATCCTTTCCCCATTGCTTGTTTTTGTCAGCCTTGCCGAAGATCTGATGGCTGTAGATGTGTGATGTTATTTCTGAGGTCTCTGATCTGCTCCATTGCTCTATATGTCTGTTTTGGTACCAGTACCATGCTTTTTTGGTTAATGTAGCCTTGTAGTATAGTTTGAAGTCAGGTAGTGTGATGCCTCCAGCTTTGTTCTTTTTGCTTAGGATTGTCTTTGCTATATGGGGTCTTTGATGCCATATAAAATGTAAAATGGTTTCTTTCTAATTCTGTGAAGAATGTCAATGGTAGTTTGATGGGAATAGCATTGAGTCTATCAATTACTTTGGGCAGTTTGGCCATTTTCACAATGTTGATTCTTCCTAGCTATGAGGATGGAATGTTTTTCCATTTGTTTGTGTCCTCTCTTATTTCCTTGAGCAGTGGTTTGTAGTTCTTTTTGAAGAGGTTCTTCACATCCTTTGTTAGCTGTATTCCTAGGTATTATATTTTCTGTGTAGCGATTGTGAATGGGAGTTCATTCATGATTTGGCTCTCTCCTTGCCTGTATTGTTGGTGTAAAGGAATGCTTGCACATTCCTTTGCAAAATTTTTGCACATTGATTTTGTATCCTGAGACTTTGCTGAATTTGCTTATCAGTTAAAGAAGTTTTTGGGCTAAGATGATCAGGTTTTCTAAATATAAAATCATGTTGTCTGAAAACAGAGATAATTTCACTTCCTCTCTTCCTATTTGAATACCCTTTATTTGTTTCTCTTGCCTGATTGTCCTGGCCAGAACATCCAGTACTATGTTGAATAGGAGTGGAGAGAGAGCACATCCTTGTCTTATAATGATTTTCAAAGAGAATGCTTCCAGCCTTTGCCCATTGAATATGATACTGGCTGTGGGTTTGTCATAAATAGCTCTTATTATTTTGAGATATGTTCCATCAATACCTAGTTTATTGAGAGTTTTTTAATGAAGGGATGTTGAATTTTATCAAAGGCATTTTCTGCCTCCGTTGAGATAATTATGTGGTTTTTGTCTTTGGATCTGTTTATGTGATGGATTATGTTTATTGATTTGCATATGTTGAACAAGCCCTTACATCCCAGGGATGAAGCTGACTTGATTGTGGTGGATAAGTTTTTTGATGTGCTGCTGGAACCAGTTTACCAGTATTTTATTGAGGATTTGTGCACTGATGTTCATCAGGGATATTCGTCTGAAGTTTTCTTTTTGTTTTCGTTTTGTCTCTCCCTGGTTTTGGTATGAGGATGATGCTGGCTTCATAAAATGAGTTAGAGAGGAGTCCCTCCTTTTCATTTGTTTGAAATAGTAAAATGTTATCAGCTCCTCTTTGTATTTCTGGTAGAATTCAGCTGTGAATCCGTCTGGTCACAGGCAGTTTTTGGTTAGTAGGCTATTAATTACTGCCTCAATTTCAGAACTTGTTACCAGTCTATTCGGGGATTCAGCTTCTTCCTGATTTAGTCTTGGTAGGGTGTATGTGTACAGGAATGTATCCATTTCTTCTAGATTTTCCAATTTATTTGCATAGAGATGTTTATAATATTCTCTGATGGTATTTTGTATTTCTGTGGGTCAGTGGTGATATCTGCTTTATCATTTTTTATTGTGTCTATTTTATTCTTCTCTCTCTTCTTCTTTATTAGTCTACCTAGTGGTCTACCTATTTTATTAATTTTTTCAAAAAAACAGCTCCTGGATTCATTGATTTTTTTGGAGGGCTTTTCGTGTCTCTATCTCATTCAATTCTTCTCTGATCTTAGTTATTTCTTGTCTTCTACTAGCTTTTGGATTAGTTTGCTCTTGCCTCTCTAGCTCATTTAATTGTGATATTAAGGTGTTAATTTGAGATCTTTCTAGCTTTCTGATGTGGCCATTTAGTACTACAAATTTCTCTCTTAATACTGCTTTAGCTGTGTCCCAGACATTCTGGTACATTGTCTTTTTGTTCTCATTGGTTTCAAAGAACTTCTTGATTTCTGCCTTAATTTCATTATTTATCCAGGAGTCATTTGGGAGCAGGTTGTTTGATTTCCATGAAATAGTGTGGTTTTGAGTGAATTTCTTAATCCTGAGTTCTAATTTGAATGCACTGTGGTCTGAGAGACTGTTATGATTTCAGTTTTTTTTTTGCATTTGCTGAGAAGTGTTGTACTTCCTATTATGTGGTCGATTTTAGAATAAGTGCCATGTGACACTGAGAAGAGTGTGTATTATGTTAATTTGGGGTAGGGAGTTCTGTAGATGTCTACAGAGTTCACTTGATCCAGAGCTGAGTTCAAGTCCTGAATATCCTTATTAATTTTCTGTCTTGTTGATCTGTCTAATACTGACAGTGGGGTGTTCATGTCTCCCAATACTATTGTGTGGTAGTCTGAGTCTCTTTGTAGATCTCTAACAACTTGTTTTATGAATCTAGGTGCTCCTGTATTGGGTGCATATATATTCAGAATAGTTAGCTATTCTCGTGAATTGTTCCCTTTACCATTATGTAATGCCTTTATCTTTTTTGACCTTTGTTGGTTTAAAGTCTCTTTTGTCAGAGACTAAGATTGCAACCCCTGCTTTTTTTTGCTTTCCATTTGGTTGGTAAATTTTCCTCCATCCCTTTATTTTGAACCTGTGCGTGTGTGCACATAAGATGGATCTCCTGAATACAGAAAACTGATGGGTCTTGACTATCCAATTTCCCAGTCTCTGTCTTTTAATTGGGGCATTTAGCCCGTTTACATTAAAGGTTAGTATTGTTATGTGTGAATTTGATCCTGTCATCATGATGCTATTTGGTTATTTTGCACACTAGTTGATGCAGTTTCTTCATAGTGTCATTGGTATTTATACGTTGGTATGTTTTTGCAGTGGCTGGTACCTGTTTTTTTCTTTCCATATTTAGTACTTCTTTCAGGAGCTCTTGCAGGGCAGGCCTGGTGATGTGAAAATCCTTTAGCATTTGCTTGTTTGTAAAGGATTTTATTTCTCCTTTGCTTATGAAGTTTAGTTTGGCTGGACATGAAATTCTGGGTTGAAAATTCTTTTCTTTAGGAATGCCAAATATTGGCTCCCAATCTCTTCTGGCTTGTAGAGTTTCTGCCGAGAGGTCTGTTATTAGTCTGATGGGCTTCTCTTTTTAGGTGACCTGGTCTTTCTTTCTGGCTGCCCTTAACAGTTTTTCCTTCATTTTGACCTTGGAGAATCTGATGATCATGTGTCTTGGGGTTGGTCTTCTCATGGAATATCTTAATGGTGTTCTCTGTATTTCCTGAATTTTTATATTTGCCTGTCTTGCTAGGTTGGGGAAGTTCTCCTGGATAATATTCTGAAGTGTGCTTTCCAGCTTGTTTCTATTCTCCCCTTCTCCTTCTGTTACTCCAATCAACCGTAGGTTTGTTCTTTTTATGAAGTCCCATATTTCTTGGAGGCTTTGTTCATTCTTTTTCCATCTTTTTTCTCTATTCTTGTCTGCATGTCTTATTTCAGTAAGGTGGTCTTCAAGCTCTGATATCCTTTCTTCTGCTTGGTCGGTTTGGCTGCTGATACTTGTGTATGCTTCATGAAGTTCTCGTGCTGTGTTTTTCAGCTCCAACAGGTCATGTATGTTCCTCTCTAAATTGGTTATTCTAGTTAGCAATTCCTCTAACCTTTTATCAAAGTTCTTAGCTTCCTTGCATTGGGTTAGAACATGCTCCTTTAGCTCATTGTAGATTTTTATTACCCATCTTCTGAAGCCTACTTCTGTCAATTCGTCCATCTGATCCTTTGTCCAGTTTTGTGCCCCTGATGGAGAGATGTTGCAGTCATTTGGAGGAGAAGAGGCACTCTGGCCTTTTGGGTTTTCGGCATTTTTTTTTCTTGATTCTTTCTCATCTTCATGAGTTTGTCAGTTTTGGTCTTTGAGGTTGCTGACCCTTGCGTGGGCTTTTTGTGGGGGACTTTTTGTTGTTGTTGTTGTCGTTGTTGATGATGCTGATGATGCTGTTCTTGTCGCTTTCTGCTTGTTTTTCTTTCAATAATCAGGTCTGTCTTCTGTAGGGCCGCTACAGTTTGCTGGGGGTTCATTACAGGCCGTATTCATCTGATACACTCCCATGCCTGGAGATGTCACTCAAGGAGGCTGGAGAGCAGCCAGAATGGGTGCCTGCTCCTTTTACTGGAACTTCCAACCTTGAGAGGCACTAACTTGATGCCAGTAGGATCGCTCCTGTATAGGGTGTCTGACAACCCCTGTTGGAGGGTCTCACCCAGTTGGGTGGCACAGAGAGTAGGGCCCGTTTAATGAGACACTTTGTCACTTGGTGGAGATGGTATGGTTCACTGGGGGGAAACCCACTTGTTTGGGCTGCCCACGTTCCTCAGAACTACCATGAGGAGAGACTAAGTCTGCCAGTCTGCAGAGACTGAGGCCACCCCTCCCCCTAGGGGCTCAGACCCAGGGAGATCCAAATTCTGTCCCTGACCCTCTGGCTGGAGTTATTGGAGTTCCTGCAGGGAAGCCCCACCCACTGAGGAAACATGGGCCAGGGTTAGACCTGAAGAGGCACTCTGGCCACAGACTACCACAGCTGGTGTGTTGGGCTGTGGGGACAAGTCTTGGGACCAAGCTGTCTAGCCTCCCTGGCTCCCACTGCGGAAAAGCCAGCCTCAGCTGATCTTAATTTCCAAACTGTACTCTCTCCCAAGTACCATGTTAGTTGTCATTTGAAAGATTTGAAACCTATTTTCTTCAACATTCTGTGTTATTTTACTCATTTGGCTTCTGTCTTCATGATGACATTAGAGAACACTGGTTCTCAATAGGAAAGTACTGCCCCTTAGTGAAACTCTCTGGGTTATCACAATAATTGGGATGCTCCACCATTTAATAGGTAGGTTGGGATGAGGGATGCTAGAACCCCTTCAAAGCAAGAGATAGCATGGTAAAGAATTTTTCTCAGGCTCTACACCAGAGCTCCACCTCCTGTCTAATGAGAGGCGACACCAGATTCTCATAGGAGTGTGAATCCTATTGTGAATTGTGCATGAGAGGGATTTAGGTTGTACGCTTCTTACGAGAATCTGATGATACATGTAATGCACTTAAACCATCTTCCCCCTCCCCGCCCCTGTCGTGGCAAAATTGTCTTCCACAAAACCTGTCCCTGGTGCCAAAAAAGGTTGGGGACCGCTGCTCTACATGAATTCCAAATGTCCCCTCAAGTAGATTAAAAGCTTTTAATAAGTATTTGAGCTCAGAACCTAACTCATTTTACACACAAACCCAGAAATTTGTGTCAATTTATTATGTATGTTGCATTTCCTGGACACCTGACATTTGTGTAAATGAAAGGAATAATGTGCTTTATTTTATTTTTGGAAGTTCATATCAAAAATTATTTTTCAATTTGGAAAATATTTTACTGAGAACCATACATTTTTTAAAAATTTAGATCACCCATGCCAAAATTCTGACTGTCCTTCATTTGCAGCTGACATATACAGGTAGTCATTTTATAGGGGCAAGAATATGACTAATTAAGTCTTCTAGTATAATCATGTCCAAGCTTTTAGACAGAGATATGCATGTTATTCAATTATAAGTTAGTTTTCTGTTCTTTCTTCCTAATGTTATAGTTTGGGCTTGATACTGATTTTCTTAGAATTAGTGTGTGTCGATATGCAATAGTATTTTATAAATTTCATTCCATGATAACAGTGGTGGTGCTATACAAAATTTTACTAAAGAGGACATTGGGTGTCATGAGATTCTAAGTCACTGCTGTAGACACAGAAGATTCACTTTGACAGAGTTTACAGCAATGTTAAAGAATTTTGAATTCTCCCTCTGCTTTCATTTGTAGTTCAGTATAAGAGTCAAAACCCCCCCTACACACACACACATGCACGCATACACACATACACACACACAAAATGCCTCATTTGCTTTGAAAATAAACTATCACTTGTGACTGAATTGAATAAAATATATAATTCAGGGAAGCATTAACTTAGTTCAGGGGCCACAAACTAAACCCTGTTCACTGCATGTTTTTTGACCAGCATCATGGTTTTAAAATTGTTTTAATTTAAATGACATCAGAGGAGGCATATCTAAAGTTCAACTGTACCAACTATGCTAGTGTATACCTGAAGAACAAAATAGTAGCTCACCCACAATAGAAATGTTTCCTGAGAAACAGAGAGAGAGAGAGAGAGAAAGAAAGAAAGAAGAAAGAAAGAAGGAAAAAAGAAAGAAAGAAAGAGAAAGAAAGAAAGAAAGAAAGAAAGAAAGGAAAGAAAGAAAGAAAGAAAGAAAGAAAGAAAGAAAGAAAGAAAGAAAGAAAGAGAAAGGAAGGAAGAGAGAGAGAAAGCACGTGTATGTGTGACTTGTACAAAATTGGCTTCCAGTTAAAACAATGGGTCAGTGAGTAGTATTTAAAGATTAGGAGACTATATATGAAATATTCTGATTTTTTGCTGAACTTGGAAAAATCAGAAAACAGATGGTCTGGCCACACCAGATCTTCATTGTCTCGCCGCAGCAAGAATCTGGGACTGAAAGATGGCTGCCTCCTTTAGACAGACAGCAGCTCTCCAGGGGGTTCACCTTTCTTTATTGTTTCTCTCAGCTGGCCTGATTAATTGATTTACATTATCTGCCAGAGCCCTATATTTGTGACCTCTGGCTTAATTGGTTATAAAACTACCTACACAAAGAGAAACAAAATATTCAAAGTAAGCGAAAATGTGTAGAGTGCTACAAAATATCAGGTAATATTTTATTCTAAGGTTATATGCTAATTATGAAAATAAATAACATTATCATATAGTATGATGTAATGAGGAAGCAACAGCAAGAACAACACAGGATCTATAACTAGGGTCATTTGTAATCTCAATTTTGCACCTTTACCTGTGTGTGACTGTATATAAATCACATTTCCTTGCTTATCTTTAGTTTTCTTGTCTTTGAAAATGAGGTAGTAAAACCTGACTGCAGTGTACAATGTGAGTGTGTTCTGCTCGTGTGCCTTTGGGTCACTTTTTTCCTGCTGGTTTTATGAATCCCTTCCAAACCTTCCCAGTTTCTATGTGCTTTTGCTTCCAACAGCTAGTAAAGGACTGTCCTTGGGCTACTGAAACCTATTTTGCCTGCAAATGGGAAGAGACAGAGTTACCTGAAATATTATATTCCTCTTGGAGCCCTTAGCCAATGTCTGAAGGCAGTAAAAATTTGAAATCTCTGATCCGTTATCTCAGGTCAGCAGAATTCTGAAGCATAACTTATACTCTAGAATTTCTTTGCAGATGAGATTAAAGTTACCCTTTACCTTTTTATTCTGCTATTGTACTGTTGCTTGGCTCCCTCTTTTTTCCTGATCTGCACCCCAGGTTTTCTTCTCAGGATCTAACTCTGGAGAACCCTAACTAAACCACTGACTAACCAACCCTCATTAGTGTTAGATGAAATGTGATGTATAAAAATGAAATTTTAAAACATTATTATAAAATGCTATCTTTAAAAATCTTGTAGAATTTTCAAGGCAGTATCACAATCTTTTCCCATGCCAAAAAGCTAGTGAAAGAATTAACTTCATAGGAAATATCATGATAACAATCTGTCCATATCTTTTACATAATCAGAAAGTCAAGAACTCATTAGAAGTCAGGAAGTTGTGTTTTGATTACGGCAACATCCCTCTGTAACCAGTTCTAAATAGAACTCTATGTTGACTCTACAATGATGAGAAATGACATTGCATTATGGTTTTCTGTTTACTATGGTTCTCCTCAACTTAAAACTTAGACTTTCTTTGAGTAAAACAGGCTCTCCGTTTGTTTACAAGAGTATTTCTAAGTTGCAAAAGTCTTCTCTCCATGTTTTCCTACATTATCATGTTTTTCTCGTATTTTTTTCATTCAATGTTGGCTGCCACAATCATATACACAAAAGTGTGACAAAAGTGCGTCTGAAGTGGAGGTTTTAGCAGCTAACAGTAAGTGCACCAGGTCTGTCAAATGAATGCATTCCATAATTTTGGTCATGTATTCTACATACCTAGTTTTGTCTTCTTATGGTAACCTTGCTATTTCCCCATGCCAATCACTGAGTTTCATTATCATAGTCAACCATCCTTAATGTTAGAATCTGCTTTCACTGGCAAAATCTGAGAACCAAACTTTCAGTTCATCAATAGGTGTGGTGAATTTAAATGGGCTAAAAGGAGACACATTAAGCCTGAAACTAACATTGGCAGCTGTTTTGTTAATTTGATTGTTATTATGGTCAATCAGCACGTGTTTGATGACTCAAAAACAAACAATTAAAATATAAAGCAGAGAGTTGAAAAACCAATTGTTTTGACACAAAATTATTTTTTTAAATCCCGTAAATTGGTTACTTGTTTTAGAAACATAATTTCAGTATAAAACATTGGTTTGATCAGCTTCCCTTTTCTTACATACCACACAGAACAGAATTTAAAAAGTGTGGTTAAGCTTAATATCTTTTTGATTTAGCCCCAGAAAGTGGTTGAATTAGACCAAAATCCTATTGTTAATAATTGTAGTTCCAAATTTTAGTGTGCATACACATAAAAACTACTTCTAATTATTCATTTTTTTGGAGGAAACAATAATATTTTCACAGTTATTTATGGGAAGAATAATGTATAAAATGATTTCAGAGTCATTTGACTGCATGGACAGCCCAGATATCAAAATATGAAACTTTATGGCAGAAACTAGATTATTTAGACCTTTAATCTAAAATTTCCATAAATTGTAATATAACTTTCTTAAAAATTAATAACTTCTGTTTTTTGATATTATTTGTCTTAGCTATGGAAATTTATAAATTATATTAGTATTTTACTAGCTTTAAAGTGGAGACTATATGTAGAAGTTATTCTAAGATGCATACGTAAGTAATTATGATCTCGGAAAAAGGTAAACGTGTAATTTTAAAAAATGCAAATATTTAAGAACATGACTCCTGTCCCCTAAAGTAGGGTCTAATTGTGGGGTGAGATACAACCTGTAAACAGATGAGGAAATTTTAGGGTAATAAATATTTTGATATACATGATTCTGTAAGGATACATATGAGAGTAACTAGTTCAGACTGGGAAATTCGGGGAAGGCTTTTCAGAGGATATGCAAAACTCATCCGAATGAACTTTTTTTTTTTTTTTGAGACAGAGTTTTGCTCTTGTCTCCCTGGCTGGAGTGCAGTGGCACAACCTCGGCTCACTGCAACCTCTGCCTTCCAGGTTCAAGCAGTTCTGCCTCAGCTTCCCAAGTAGCTGGGATTACAGGCCCCTGACACCATGCTGCCTAATTTTTGTATTTTCAGTAGAGCCGGGGTTTCACCATGTTGGCCAGGCTGGTCTCCAACTCCTGACCTCAGGTGATCCGCCCGCCTCGGCCTCCCGAAGTGTTGGGATTACAGGCGTGAGCCACCGCATCTGGCCCAAACGAACAATTTAGATGAGAATTTTCCAGAGGGACAGATTATGAAAAAGACCAGATAAGAGGGGTATGTGTGTGTGTGTGTGTCTGTGTGTCTGTGTGTGTTTTAGGAATGGAAAGAAACTAAATAGAAGATAAAATTGTGTGAAGGAGGAAAGGAGGTATGGGATGGTTATGGGAGATAAATTGATGAAGAAAGCAGAAGCAGCCAACTAGGCAAGTCTTGTAAAATAAGTTTGTTTTTGTCTTAAAAGCAATGGGGGAAATGGAGAGAATTTCAAAGGCTTTAAGTAAGAGAGCTTCAGGCTAATATGCACGTTTTAAAGCACTCACTCTGTAATAATGGAGAATAGATAGTAGGGGTGAGGTGAGCAAGACAGGAGGCAGAGAACCAGTTAGAAGTTAGAAGGCTTTTAAAATCAACCACCAAATGATCTGTACACTAGAGGAGTGGCAATGCTAATAGATGAGATTGAGAGATAGGTAAAAGGAAGGGAAAGAAGAACATGGTGACGTTTTGACTATAAATGGTAGTGAGGGAAAAGGGGAGGGGGCATTAAAAAGACATGAGATTCCTGATTGTCCAATACCATACCGTGGTGCCTTTTACTGAGAAACGGTTTCTAGGAGAAGCAGTTACGAATATGCCAGGTTTGTCTTAATCATCAGACTTTTAAGTAAATTATTTGATCTAAAAATTATTGTTTTAAAATTTTACATCTTGGTAATATGGCTCCCTCTAAATCATACTTCTTCATTTCAAATTGGCCTTGATAGTAGAGTATAGGTTGTGTTTAAATTTTGAGAGAGACACTTAAAAACTATATGACTTAGGGTAAATTACTAGACTTCTCTGCAACCGCGTTTCTTTATCTGCTGACACTGGAAATTTCATCTAACTTGCTTGGTTGTTTTGAAAATTCAAAAAGATTACGTATAGAGGGCCAGTCAAGAAACGGTTAGCACTGAATCCTTGTCCTCATTCTGTGTTGATGTCCTTACCATTTTAAATTCATCATATATATATGCACACACATATATATAAATTTATATATTCATATTATATACACACATATATGAGGACATACAAATGAGTGTATATATGAATGTATATAAATTCATGATAGAGATATATGCATATATACATATATAATTATTCCGATATGTATGTATGTTAGAATAGTGACTTCCAAAGATGTCTACAAGCTGATCCTTCAAACTTGTGGATAAGCTACTTTACATGGTAAAAGGGAATTTGCAGATGTGATTAAGGTTAAGGACCCTGGAATGGAAAGTTTATTTTGGGATTATCTGGGTGAGTCTAATGTAATCACAGAAATCCTTCGAAGCAGGTAACATTTCCCTGTTGTAGTCAAAGAGCCTCGCTGGATGGATGATAGAACAAAGGTCAGAGAAATGCAAACTTGCTGGCTTTGAAGAAAGAGGAAGGGAGCCAGGAGCCAAGGAATGCAGATGACCTCTAGAAGCTGAAAAAGACGGTGGGATGGATTCTCCATTAGAGCTTTCGAAAAGAAACACAGCCCTGCCTGCCAACACTTTGGTTTTATCCCAGCTAGAGTGGACTTCTGACCTACAGAACTGCTAAATAATAAAATTGGGGTTTCTTTTAAAGCTACTAGGATTGTTGTGATTAGTTGCATCAGCAATAGAACGATTATATATTACATATTTGTACTAATATAATTAAACTTTATATAAGCAAAAGTGAATGGCGAATTTTGAAAATAGGACACAAGATGTTATTTGGAGACAGCTGAATAAGAGGCCAGAAACTACATACACTCTGTGCTCCTCATAAACTTGTGCTCTATAGCTTGTGACCTCGAGAGAACATATCCATGGGGACTTGACCTTTGAGTTTTTCTCTCTTCTGTTTCACAGGTGTTTTTATAACTTTCTACCTCAGCAGAGGGAGAGGACATGTTATGAGATTTTTAGATGTTTCTTTCATATTATCACAGACCCAGGAAATTGTAGCCTTGGCATGTGCATTCCCATAAGCATTTGAATAGAAAGCAAGCATTGGCCTTTCTACTTGAGTAAAGGGTGGGTGAGAGGAAAGAGATATTGAAGAGGCATATAATGAGGAGGAAAGTTTGACTAGGAGTAAATTCTGGGGCTGTGTCTTTGCCTCTTGCCCATCCCATCAGGATGTATCCTAGGTTTCATGTCTTCCCTTGACATCTCCCACTCTCCCCACATAAATAAACTTCAAAGACATCTATGATATGTTATGAAGGCTATGTAAAGCCAATGAATATCCACTGAGTGGTGTCATATAATAGAAGTTCAAATATATTTGTTAGTCAAATGAATGCCTGGATTGCATATATTTTAATTTAAAGGAGAGAGCTTTAAAAGAGCCATGAAACTAAACAAAAGCTTGTTTTATTTTTATTGTCCAAAATTACATTTTTTAAGGATTACATTAAGGGCTGATTCCCCCCTCCCACAAATACTACCAGTTTGATAAATTTTATAATTTTAGAAACATTTTTAAAAGTACAACAATTTATAGTAGGGGAAAATACTGCTTTCAGGGGCCAAGACCGTAGGTAATAATTGGCAGCATCCAATTTTTTCTTCTCCATTAGCAGTCCCTAGAGCTTCTGGGGACGAGCATCTTGCAATCTAGATTCAACCACTGTGCAGAAGCTCTTTGAAGTCACATTAGGGATTTGGTTTTCTAGTAGAACCATTATCTACCATATCATATACTAGAAAATGCTTATAATATCCTGTTCAGATTTCTTTAAAGGGCCATTATATACGGTTCTTATTTCTTTTGTTACTGGTTGATGATAACTGAGCTTAATATTAATGTTGTATTCACACATGATCACAAGTACAATTGCTTTCATTGAATTGGCCATTTAATCATTTCAATTAAAAAATCATACTAACAAACATGTTTTCTCATGAAATTAAATGTCCTTCCCCCCAAATCACCTGAATGATCTATTTTGGCTCTCTTTGGATAAAGACGACATTAGAGATAAAAGCCCAAGACTCAGCCACACTGAGAAAGAAACCATCTAACTGCAGGGATGGGGGACCACTCCCCATTTCCCTCTCTGTTGAGAGCTGTTCTGTTGCTCAATAAAATTATTCTCTGCCCTCCTCACTCTTCAATTGTCAACTTATCCTTATTCTTCTTAGAGGCCAGACAAGAGCTCAGGAACCGCAGAATGTAGGTACAAACTGCAGCACAGGTGAGCTAAGGCACATCCAGCACAGCTGCAGGCTGAGCCTGTGTGCAAGCCAAGCCTGTGTGCAAGCCAGACTCAGCTTGGGTGGGCCAAGTGGGTGGGGCACCTCCTGCAGCAGGTAGCATGCCTGAGTGAGACCCAGGTAGGAGTGTTGGCAGCCAGAGGTCCCCAGCTGGCAAAATGACCAAGTAAAATCCTGCGTCATTTTCTGGGGGCTTGTCAAGGATCTGAGGAAGGATGAAAAAATGTGGACCCAAACCCTCTTTCACTTTCATTTCTGAGCTTTCTTGTCCTCAGATGTTTTCTGAAAACAGATGGAGCACCGGATCTCTGTTAGCCAATTAAGAATGAATGACATGGCTGCAGAGGAGGCTGCCACCCACACCCCATCGCACTTGGGGATGAGAATGTCGGCTCTGTTCCAATCCAGTCTTTTCTAAGGCATTTTCCTTCTTTTTTTGTGGCACCTGTCTCTTCTTTATATACAATATTGGGGGTGTTTTGTAAAAACTGCTTTACCACCTGTTTGAAAGTATCTTGTACACTCATGGTTAAGTCATAACCTTAAACAAGGCTTGTTGGTTTCACCTGTGAGGTTACCTTTGGTAAAGTTTAAAAGCCAGAAATATTGGCTGCTTGGTGTGGCTAAAGTCGAGTAATAAGGGATTTAAAAAGATTTTTAAAAAATGGTTCTATGGTTAACATTCAGCTTAATTAAAAGTGGATATCCAAGCTATGGGTATATTTAAAAGGCCTTTATGGCTTTTTGTTTTGTTTTTTCTCTTGGATCTTCTTGGATCTTGTTTTGCTAGAAGTGTTTTTTGTTTGTTTGTTTGTTTTGTTTTCTCAATTGGCTAAATTAATTGTCTCCATCTTGTCTTGCCACTCTTAATGCACACATGAGAGGCACAAAGATAACTTCTAATAGCCTGGTACTTTTTAGGAAAAACAGAGAAGGTGTCACAGACCCCATTTTGGGAAAAAAGTCTCTGTTTTCCTCATGGAACTCCAGGAATTAAAAGTGGATGGATCCCTCTCAAAATCTAAGGCTCCTAAACCACACGCTTTCCTAGCCTTGTTTCTTGAAGGGCTCCAGCCTGAGATCAATAATCCAATTAGGAGATTGGCAAAATGAATATTTGTACAACTAGTGAATCTTTTTCTGTCTGTATGTATGTGTTATGTGCATGATGTTTATTAAAAAAACAGCTCTAATTAACTGGCTTAAAAAATAAGAGCTTAGATCAAATATTTTTAAAGGAAAAAAAAGTTCTGATACCTTTTAGTTACATAACTTTAATCTTGTTTTAATTATTATTGGTAAAATACAAATATCTTCAAAATGTAAATATGGGGTCTGAATTATGCAGGTTACATACTAGGTTTGATACATGCTTTAAGGTCATAAACTGCTTCTTTGGCTTTTGAAAATTGTTCAACTTGTCTGCTTCACAGTTTGGTAAGGCCTGTGGACATATGGAATTAACCACACCTCTAAATGTGCTGAAAACAGTCAGACCTTATCTGCACCTAGAACATAATTAAAATAACTGGGTTTTACACCAAAATTAAAGATTGTTCAGAATTACCATTATAACATGTAATTAAGACTACTGAAAAAAGATTTACATACAAGGTTTGTAAGGAAAATAAAATGTGTTTTTAGTAAAAGATTATAAGAAGGTATGATTATAAGAAGCCATGGGAAGGTAAATTTTTGCCTAGTTGAAAGGGTTAAAGGATTGTCTTAGATTAGATAAGATGAAGCTAAAGGTTTAAACAAGTTGTAGAAGGTTTGTAAAAATAAACCTTGTAAAAGAAATATGTGAACATATTGACTAAATTCAAAAGGGTATTATTTTCTTTTTCCATAAATTAAGCATTGAAATAAAAGCACAAGATTTTCTTAAGGCATTTATCTGCTCTTTAACAGAAATTGGTAAGGGATTGAAAAAAGATTTATACCAGTACCATGCTGTTTTGGTTACCGTAGCCTTGTAGTATAGTTTGAAGTCAGGTAGTGTGATGCCTCCAGCTTTGTTCTTTTGGCTTAGGATTGACTTGGCGATGCGGGCTCTTTTTTGGTTCCATATGAACTTTAAAGTAGTTTTTTCCAGTTCGGTGAAGAAAGGCATTGGTAGCTTGATGGGAATGGCATTGAATCTGTAAATTAGCTTGGGCAGTATGGCCATTTTCACGATATTGATTCTTCCTACCCATGAGCATGGAATCTTCTTCCATTTGTTTGTATCCTCTTTTATTTCCTTGAGCAGTGGTTTGTAGTTCTCCTTGAAGAGGTCCTTCACATCCCTTGTAAGTTGGATTCCTAGGTATTTTATTCTCTTTGAAGCAATTGTGAATGGGAATTCACTCATGATTTGGCTCTCTGTTTGTCTGCTGTTGGTGTATAAGAATGCTTGTGATTTTTGTACATTGATTGTGTATCCTGAGACTTTGCTGAAGTTGGTTATCAGCTTAAGGAGATTTTGGGCTGAGACAGTGGGGTTTTGTAGATATACAATCATGTTGTCTGCAAACAGGGACAATTTGACTTCCTCTTTTCCTAATTGAATACCCTTTATTTGCTTCTCCTGCCTAATTGCCCTGGCCAGAACTTCCAACACTATGTTGAATAGGAGTGGTGAGAGAGGGCATCCCTGTCTTGTGTCAGTTTTCAAAGGGAATGCTTCCAGTTTTTGCCCATTCAGTATGATATTGTTGGTGGGAGTGTAAACTAGTTCAACCATGGTGGAAGTCAGTGTGGCGATTCCTCAGGGATCTAGAACTAGAAATACCATTTGACCCAGCCATCCCATTACTGGGTATATACCCAAAGGATTATAAATTATGCTGCTATAAAGACACATGCACACGTATGTTTATTGCGGCATTATTCACAATAGCAAAGAGTTGGAACCAACCCAGATGTCCAACAATGATAGACTGGATTAAGAAAATGTGGCACATATACACCATGGAATACTATGCAGCCATAGAAAATGATGAGTTCATGTCCTTTGTAGGGACATGGATGAAATTGGAAATCATCATTCATTAAACTATGGCAAGAACAAAAAACCAAACACCGCATATTCTCACTCATAGGTGGGAATTGAACAATGAGATCACATGGACACAGGAAGGGGAACATCACACTCTGGGGACTGTTGTGGGGTGGGGGGAGGGGGGAGGGATAGCATTGGGAGATATACCTAATGCTAGATAACAAGTTAGTGGGTGCAGCGCACCAGCATGGCACATGTATACATATGTAACTAACCTGCACAATGTGCACATGTACCCTAAAACTTAAAGTATAATAATAAAAGAAAAAAAACTTAAAAAAAGAATTGCCTTTAAAAAAAAAAAAGGTTTATAAGAATCTCACCTCATAGTCAAAATAGCTAAGATTGTGTAGAATTATAATATAATAAAGAATAATATAGTATGATATAATAAATTGATTTATTACACGAAATTTAAAAATTTTTAAAAATATAAAAAATTAATTTTTTAAAATTTCATTTAAAAAATTGGAGTGGACATTAATAGTAGACTAATGCAAGGGTGAAATTTGGCTTTCTTTTCTCTCTAACAAGATTTTCATGTAACATTAAAGGATAATGGAGGTTTCTTGTTTGTCTTGAGAATAAACTACCAAAAAAGGAAGGGAAAGACAAGAGACAGATTGTTTGGAAAGCTAAGTCTTCCCTCTTAATGAGTAAATGGTTTTTCCCCTTTGTAAAAAATGTTTTGAGTCACCTTTTGACCAAATAAATGAATTATGGTAACCTGGAATTCTCTTTCATAATATCAAGGGTTTTAAACCTTTAACATATTTGATAGACTTTCCAAAATCAAATTTCAGCTTCAAAATTGTCTTTCCTGACCTCTAACTTTTGGATACTACAGAGGGCCCCTAGAGCATCCAAAGGAGAGGTAAATAGGATTATTTGACATGTTTAGTTACACAAGATTGCCAAAACAAAAATAAGGTTTAATCTTTTTTAGGTTATATTTTAGTGAGTAATATTAATATATGTTCAAAAATTGCATGGGATTTCTAAAATTTATTGTCTCAGTATATGTCATCAATCATAATGAGGTTATTATGTTAATTTATTGTAAACCACAGAAGTAACCAAATTTCTTTGTCAATTGTGTTTTTGGCTGTAACTACCCTGGACATTTTGTCATTCACAGACAATTGTCTTGCTTTGATCCTTTTCAAAAGATGGTTTATATAGGACTTTCACAGGTGCTCTCAAATACGGGTTTCTGATTTCTTTGGAGATTGTGACATTAAAATAAATGAAAAACATTCAGAACTCACCAAGAGCTGAAATGTTCATGAATATCAAGCAGAACAAGAGTTAACTGAATGGACTGAACTAACAGAAAACTGAAGTAATCTTGTTTAACTTTTTGCTTAAAACATTGCTGGTCCTTATTTCGTTTTTCGGAGTCAAAAAAACTTTTCTTTTGAGCTATCTGCAGTTTTTGTGGGTTTTTTTTTAGTTTTTTTTTTTTCCTTTTTTTTTTTTTTTTTGACGGAGTCTTGCTCTGTCATACAGGCTGGAATGCAGTGGTGCAATCTTGGCTCACTACAAACTCTTTCTCCCAGGTTCAAGAAATTTTCCTGCCTCAGCCTCCCAAGTAGCTGGGATTACAGATGCCCATGACCACACCTGGCTAATTTGTGTATTTTTGCTAGAGACGGGTTTTCACCACATTGGCCAGGCTGGTCTGGAACACCTGACCTTGTGATCCGCCTGCCTCCACCTCCCAAAGTTCTGGAATTACAGGTGTGAGCCACTGCGCCTGGCCTGCAGCTTTTAACAATTGAGTAAGGTATACTCCTGTTAACAAAATTTGGGGCATATTTGTTTCTCTCACCTGGTTTCTCTAGAATTTGGAAACTATTTGTGAGTATTCTTAACTTATGGCAATATGGTTAGTAGGATAAGTGCAATAAAAATCCATTTTCTTTTGCAACAGGACACAATTGGAGAAACTGGTTGTTTTACTAAGACTTTGACTGGAAGGGTGTGCTTCCCTTTAAGGAATCAAACGTGACTTGCAGAGCCAATAAAAGCCGCTTGGGAAAACTGGCTTCACACCTTGTCTACACAGTCACTGTATAGGGTTCCTAACCTGTGGTAAGTAAAGAACGTCATTTTCTAATATGCCCAGGAGCCCCAAGCTATCTTGGGACTTCAAGAATGGAGGAATTTACTCAACTAATAGTAATTTGAGGGTATGAACCCATGGCTGGTCTCAGCTTTAGAAAGTCTAATCCGATATTCCTTGTGGAAAAGAGTTCCATCAAAGCCAATTTAAAAGCCTATGTGAAAAATTATTCTTGCTGTGCTTTTTTTGTTTTAACAAATATGAGGACTGGAGAGAGACAAACTATGTTTCAGAACTTATCATACACTTGTCACTAAATTCTAATCTCATAAAAATCCCAAAAAATAGACAAAAAAGATTAGGTACTCAGTTTTCTGTGAGATTTAGAATTAGAATTTTAATATTGTTTTTATCAAAATTATGAAATATTTAAAACATGCAGAAAAGTATAATCATCTAATAAGAATCAGTGTGCCCATAACTCATTGAAAACAGCTCCTCAGTTTGCCTTATTTTGCTTCAGATGTCTTTCTCTCTTTTTGTTCAATAAGGAAAACATTTCAGATGCAGTTCAAGTCCCAGTGTATCCATCCTGGTCACATTACCTCCCCTGTATTTCCATAGGTGACCATTGTCATGAATTTGTTCTTTATTATTCTCATGAATATTTTATACTTTTTTACCTATGGTGTGCCCATAGTCAATGAATAGAAACATTTTGGTTTCTTATATAAAAGGTCATTTGCTACATAATCTGAAATGTGCCTCTTTTACTCATATTGTTTGATTGAGGTTTACCCATGTTGATAGATGCTACTGTAATTCAATCATTTTATGTTTATATTGTAAAATATATCAGTAGGTACAGATGCAAGATTTTATAAATTCTCCTGTAATATATTGTGAATTTTTCAATATTGCAATGATGTAGTTCTTGAAAATACCTCCTTGTGTGCATGTGTGGGAATTCCCTGTGAAGTGCTTACACAAACGGAAAAGCAGGATGATGGGATAGATTCACCTTAAAATTTACAGGATATTTTCAAATTGCTTTAGAAAGGGACTGTATTTGTTTATACTCCTAACATCAGTATTTGAGAATTTCAATTCTTCCATATCATTATGGACACTCAGTATGGTCAAACTTTAAAAATTTTTGCTTAATCTAGTGATTCTGAATAGCATCTTCTGGAAAAATAAATGCTAGCAGGAAGTTGACTACTTTCAGTTCAAGACTCATACTCATATTTTTGTGGATAATAAACTGTAGCCAAGATGAAAGCAACTTATTTAAATTCACAGATTTAGTTAACAACAGAATTAAGATGAGAACAGAAACTTGCCTTGAGTTCAGAAATCAATCTGCGGATTCACAGATTTCAGTAAACATATTAAACTGATTTATACCAAGAAAAATACATATATAGAAAAAAAGCAGTCACCTTTAAGAATTTTATTCCATATTTTTATCTTATTTCTTTCTTTCTATTTTTAGTACCTAGACAGATCTTGGGCCTTTGAATCATAATTACATGTTCATGATCCTAAATAATCACCTAAATTTGATTTCAGAATAAAAATGAATTATTGAATATCATCCATTACTCTTTTTGAAACAATAAATCTAAGAAGTTATTATTCTGGAGCTAATCACATTAAAAATAAGGCATTGCTTTTGATTTTTGAATTCCATTTTATATAACACTGAACAATAGATGTCACTGTTTTGCCAATAAAAATAACTATGAAATTATTTCATTTGATTATTTTTCTTCATAAACAGTTCTGGTGCTGAAAAGATAAGTTATAAGGTTCTGGTAGAAAAATCTCAAATAGTGGCAGGAAACTTTAAATATTAATATCTGCTAGTGTTTTCTCTATGAAACAAATTAATATACTCTCAAACCGTTACTTTCTGAATTATTTTAAATATAACCAATCTAAAATTTCTGATTTTATGCCTTTCTATTAATGTTCTGACAATTAGGTGTCATTAAAAGGAAAATTAGAATGAGGTTATTTGAGAAATATATGCCCGAGTCAGGAAAAGAAAACTTTCAGAGTGTAATTAATGATATCTTAAGTTCATGCAATGTCTAGTAGTTCACTTGATAGACAGGGAATCCATAAAAATGGAAATCAGGGATAGAGAAGCCAAGAAATAAGAAGTATTCAAAATAATGCAATTGGGGCCAGTTCTGAGGCATGGTTAAGTGATAGATTGTGTTCCAGATCTCGTGGCTGAGGTCAAGGACACATTCAAAGTTTTATCAATTTTGCCTAAACAAATCAGAATTTTTTAAGAAGCTGAGGGCAAGTTGTGAAGGTGTTGGCAATAGAAGATGACCTATTGAAATGACCTAGAGAAACAGTGGAGTGCATTTGAAGATTGTTTAATCACAGTGCATTAATTTAAACCTGGGCATGCTATGAAGAAAGGTTAGGTCAAGGAAGAAGAAAAATGTTAAGGAAATGTTAACATCTGTTTCATTGATTGTGACATACTCAGCTAAAGCCCTAGCTGCCTGTGCTTGATGCCAAGAAAAATAGATGAATTCAGAAAGTTTGGTGAATGAGCAACAAGCAGGACCTAAATCTAACAAGCTGTATATTCTAATTGCATTTTTAAAGTGGTTTAAGATTTAAGAAGCACTTTCACATTCATTATCCTAGCTGGTTTCTGACTCTTCAGCCCATTGCAATTGGACTTCTGAACCAACTATTTCATTCAAGCTGATCTCTCAAAGGTTATTAATGGCCTATAAATTGTCAAAACCATTCACCTGCTCTTAAGCCTTTATTCTACCAGATCACTGTTTTTTATTTTCTTCTTAACATAGTTTGCTTTCTCTGCCCTTTGAATTCTCTCCTTCTTTGCTTTCTGTACCACTTTTCTTTTTTCACCTGGGTTTTCTTCTAATTTGCTGACCTCTCCTTCTTATCCTCCTTCACTAACAATTTGTCCACTATCTTCCACCTTAAATTATTTGTTTTTCTCAGGTTTCTGCCTCTAGTCCTTTTCTCTTTCAATACTTCTGTGGGTGTTTGTGTTGATGAGGATTTGAGCCATTTTATGTACAGGTCTTCATTCAACAAATATTCATTTTCCAGGTGCTATTCTAGATGCTGAGAACACAGTTGTCAAAAGAATAACCATTTCTTTTCTCAGGCTTTTATTTCTAATGGGGGAAAGCACATGTGTAGGAATATGTTGAATTATTGACTGATATGTCTACATCTTCATCAGTGCTACCCTCACACTTCAAACACAATTTATTGTACTTGCAGCCCCTACCCAACAGCTAGGAAAATATGGAATTGTGTCTTTTAGGAAAATAAATTCAGGGGAAAACAAATGGGTCAATATTTTAAGTCTGTACTTAAAACAGACTTTTGGTACTGAAAATAGAGATTATGATCTTGAGAGAAAAGGCTTTTAGAAGTGCAAGAGGGTGAGATTTTGTTTTTCTGAAGTATAATCTTATAAGACACAGGTCATAAAGTTTATTCCATAAACAAATTTTTCTTGCTTTCCTACTCAGATAAGATCCCAGTGGTTATAGAATGGGAGAGAACAAGAGACGGATCATAGACGGACGACTGTTGTCTTGTGTTCTTTTTTTTCTCTAGGCCATATCTTACAGGGTTGTGCTAAAATCCTACATTAGTTTAAGTCATGAAAGAGTGAGATAACCCATGCTCACATTCCTGGTTGTGTTCCTACATTCTGGCAGGTTCTTCACGGGTGTTGAGAGAGTTGCATGTGGTCAAGCGATGACTGAAGCCAAAGGTACAGAGCCTCAGGGCATATCTCTGGCAGGTGGCAGGAGAGAGTTAAATGTTTTCCTATAGAGCTGAGTGAGACACAGATGTGACAGCAGATGCCAAAACACCTAAAGAAACCCTGTGGGTAGGTCAAAGGAATAGCATTAGCTAGTGATGGTGGAGTTTCTTGTAGGGGGTCAAACTGAAAAGCTGAATCCAGGTAGGTGCCAGTGTAGAGATATGACCCCTTATTATAAGGATGCCCTCTCTCACCTCTCCTATTCAATATACTATTGGACATCCTGGCCAGGACAATTAGGCAAGAGAAAGAAAAAAAGGACATCCAAATGGGAAGAGAGGGAGACAAACTATCCCTGTTTGCAGACATGACTCTATACCTAGATAACCCCATAGTCTCAGCCCAAAAGCTTCTTAAGTTGATAACTTCAGCAAAGTCTCAGGATACAAAATCAATGTGCAAAAATCACTAACATTCCTATACACCAACAACAGTCAAGCCCAGAGCCAAATCAGGAATATACTCCCATTCACAATTGCCACAAAAAGAATAAAATGCCTGGGACTACAGCTAACCAGGGAGGTGAAAGGTCTCTAAAAGGAAAAGTACAAAACACTGCTCAAAGACATCACAGATGACACAAACAAATGGAAAAACATCTCATGCTCATGGATAGGAAGAATTGATACTGTAAAAATGGCCATACTGCCCAAAGCAATTTATAAATTCAACGTTATTTCTATTAAACTGCCAATGACATTCTTCACAGAATTAGGAAAAAAAAAGATTTTAAAATTTATTTGATACCAAAGAAGAGCCCAGATAGCCAACACAATCCTAAGCAAAAAGAACAAAACTAGAAGCATCATGTTACCTGACTTCAATCTATGCTACTAAGCCACAGTAACCAAAACAGCATGGTACTGGTACAAAGACAGACACATAGACCAATGGAAACGAATAGAGAACCCAGAAATAAGACTACACACCTACAACTATCTGATCTTCGACAAATCTGACAAAAACAAGCAATGGGGAAAGAATTTCCTATTCAATAAATGGTTCTACGTTAACTGGCTAGCCATATACAGAAGATAGAAACTGAACCCTTTCAGTTTCAACCTTACACCACATAGAAACACACATACAAAAATTAACTTACGGCTGGGCATGGTGGCTCATGCCTGTAATCTCAGCACTTTGGGAGGCCGAGGCGGGAGGATCACCTGAGGTTGGGAGTTCGAGACCAGCCTGACCAACATGGAGAAACTCCGTCTCTACTAAAAATACAAAAAATTAGCCAGGCATGGTGGCACATGCCTGTAATCCCAGCTACTTGGGAGGCTGAGGCAGGAGAATTGCTTGAACTTGGGAAGCAGAGGTTGTGGTGAGCTCAGACAGCACCATTGCATTCCAGCCTGGACAACAACAGCGAAACTCCATCAAAAATACATAAATAAATAAATAACTTACACCACATACAAAAATTAAAAATTAACTAACTCAAGAAGGATTAAAGACTTAAATGTAAAACTCAAATTATAAAAATCCTGGAAGACAACCTAGGCAATAAGGCAATACCACTCAGGACATAAGAATGGGAAAAGATTTCCTGATGAAGGCTCCAAAATTAATCACAACAAAAGCAAAAATTGACATTTGGAATATAATTAAACTGAAGAGCTTCTGAACAGCAAAAGAAACTATCAACAGAGTAAACAGACAACCTACAGAATGGGAGAAAATTTGTGCCAACTATGCATCTAATGAAGGTCTAATATTCAGAATATATAAGGAACTTAAACACATTTATTTAAAAAATGAATTCCATTGAAAAGTAGACAAAGGACATGAACAGACACTTTTCAAAAGAAGACATGCATGCAGCCAACAGTCATATGAAAAAAAAGCTCCACCTCCCTGATCATTAGAGAAATACATTAGAGATAACAGCTTACACCAGTCAGAAAGGCAATTACTAAAAAGTCAAAAAATAACAGAGCCTGGCAAGGTTACAGAGAAAAGGGAATGCTTATACACTGTTGGTGGGAGTGTAAATTAGTTCAACCATTGTGGAAGACAATGTAGCAATTCCTCAAAGTCCTAAAGATGGAAATACTATTTGACTAAGCAATCTCATTACTGGGTATATACCCGAAGGGATTTAAATCATTCTATTATAAAGACACATGAATGTGTATGTTCATTGCAACACTATTCACAACAGCAAAGACATGGAATCAACCTAAATGCTCATAAATAATAGACTCAGTAAAAAAAAAATGTGGTACATATACACCATGGAATACTATGCAGCCATAAAAAGAACAAGATCATGTCCTTTGCAGAGACATGGATGCGAAGCATCCTAAGAGAATTAATGTGGAAAAGGAAAACCAAATACTGCATGTTCTCACTTAAAAGTGGGAGATAAATGCTGAGAATACATGGACACATAGAGGGGAACAGCACACACTGGGGCTTATTGGAGGGTGGAGGGTGGCAGGAGGGAGAGGATCAGGAAAAATAGCTAATGGGTACTAGGCTTAATACCTGGGTGATGAAATAATCTGTACAACAAATCCCCCCAGAAGCTTACCTATGTAACAAGCCTGCACATGTACCCCTGAATATAATATAAAGGTTAAAAAAAAGAAATAAAAGAGGGATATAACCACTTGTTAAAATCACCTGTTTACCGACGCAAGCAAATCCTGAGGACTAGCCATTTACATGTGTCAACCGCTCACATGAAAATTGTACTTTCTGTCATTGGGCAGAATGATGTATCAACGTAAAAACCAATTTGAAACACAAAGACAGCTATACTTTTTCTCATAGGTGAAATTCATATAAGATACTAGCCAAAGAAGATATTAAGGGCTTAAACAAGATATTGATCCAAATTACTAATTGAAGATAAAAACAGGACAGAGACAGGTTGCCTTTGCACTTCTAAAAACCGTCTGTGTTTGAGGTGATTCTGAACATAAATGAAGTTGTCTACTTGTCATAGCTAGAATACAAGGGCTTGAATGGTAACAGTAAGAAGGAACACAGTAAGGTAACAAGTAAGAAGGAAGACATAGAAGATGATTAGTAAAATCTTATTTTATTGAAACTTCTTAAGTTGGTCCTCCAAAATGACTCTGTGAGTTTGGCATAGTGGATATTTTTAGACTGTTTTTTAACAGGTAGCAAAAAATAATAAAGAATACAGAGTGTCAAAAACTTGTCTGAATTCACACAGATACTAGGTGACAAAGCCTTAAGTCAAACCCAAAATATTTAACTCTAAGGCAGGTGTTTTGGCTCACTTAGCTTGTTTGAGTTTAATCTCAACATTTGGACTCATGTCCAGATAGTATAAAAACTATTTGGATTCTCCACCATGGCCTAATTCATTCATCCCTTTCTAGCTTCATAACTTCATGAGACATGAGTGTGAGCATGGTATATTGGTTAACTGGCACCATGCCATAACCTTTATTTTAATCACTTCCATTTGTAATTGTTGCTTTGATAATTATTTCCATTTTTCCTGCTCTGGATTACTGTGTTCCTTCTTACTGTTACCATTCAAGCCCTTGTGTTCTAGCTATGACCAGTAGACAACTTCATTCATGTTCAGAATCACCTCAAACACAGATGGTTTTCAGAAGTGAAAAGGCAACCTGTCTCTGTTCTGTTTTTATCTTCAATAAGTAATTTGGATCAATATCTTGTTTAAGGCCTTAATATCTTGTTTGGCCAATATCTGCTTTAAGCGTTTTAAAATAATTTCAGACATTACATTTATATTACATTAGAAAGAAAATGCCTTAACTAGGAAAAAAATCAAATTTCAGAAAAACAGTGTGTTAAGGTTTGCTATCTGGAGTTGCTCTTTTGGAGAATAAAAAGAATTAAACAGTTTATAAATGACAGGCTTGCTTTGAAGATAATACCTACACTTTGAATAACAAATTATTTGACATTTGTTTTCTTAAGCCATACATGATAGAAACTGTATTTCTGCTCTAAGAATATTTTAATTCTGAAATCAAATTGCAAGCAAAAAATAATTTAAACATTCACCTAAGAAGCACATAAATATTTATCTAGGGCTCTCATACAGTTTTGTCATGTAGATTATTAAAAAATAATTTTATCAAATAAAAAGTAGTAGAATAATATTAATAGTATAAAAGTTTATGATCACAGATAAATTATGGGATGAAAAAGTTACAATTATAAAACCTTAAGTTTGGTATTTTAAAAGTAGTTTTATTATGTAAAAGTTCACACAGCCATTCAAAATAAGTTTGTCCACTACAGGATAGGAAAAAATACTTTAATTAATAGATAAGCATAGCTTATAATTAGCATGCCAAGTTTTTGTGTGTAAAGGGATGTTTTCAAAGTACTGAAAGTATTTATTTTTCTTAATTTAGCAGTTCTGACTTTTTTTCTACAATCTTGTTAAAGCGTTAATTTGCTTACAATCTTTTTTATAATTTCAGGGCATCTGGGCAAGCTGTCAACAATTCTCTTATAGTGGACTCCAATTAATTTATTTTCTGAGTTTTTTCATTTACATAATATTTTATTTTATAATACTCAATATAAAATTGTATGCTGTATTTTTACATTGTTTCAAGTACCATGTATATTCTCAGGAAAAAAATACTAATGTCAATGGAAATATGAATGCACAGTAATTAAGAAAGAATTTTAATGCAACGGAAGCAAAGAAACTAAGAAATAGCAAGAAAGCAATTTTTTAATGAAGTAGAAGTTTTAAGTTGTATTCTGTAGACTTGAATGTAAGAATCCTTAGAAAAATACATATTACTATATTGTGTAGATTACATCTCAATAAGAATATTTTTTAAAAATCACAGGGAAAAGGAAACCACACTGAGATGATTATTATATTCACTGCTACCTTTCCCTCTTGGAGCATTTGCTGATTCTTGAAACTGAACAGTAAGCCCAAAAGGAAGGCAGTAGCCAAGTAAATGTTGTTGCAGTCTCACAGGGACACAGTTTCACAAAAGCCTAACATTAAAGTTCAGACCTACCAGAGCCAACAAGACTGGTTTTGCAAAAAAAAAAAAAAAAAAAAAGGATGACAGAGAATTGAAATACACAATATATGTGCAATTTCTCCCTAATATATTGCTAACTCTAAGACTGTGCATACATAGAAAAAGGTTCAAATGTGAAAATAATCATAAAGCAGTTGAAAACAGATTAAAAGTCAGCAGATAATTTATCAAGCTTATAGATTTAGAAAAGCAAGAGTCCGTGAAAGTAGAAGCTTTTAGTTAAGATACCAGACATGCTAAGCCCAAAAATTAAGAGTAAACCAGAACAAGGGATCACGGTGATATGCTTTTACTCTATGTGTCTTCAGAAAGAAAAATAAATCCTCTTTGGAAAAATATAACATCATATAGAGCCTTCACATTATATCACACATATTGTTCAGCATTCAATCAAAACATACGAGGCATACAAAGTACCGAACAACTTGAATCAACAGGAAAAACAGAGATCTACTTTAAGAGTCAAGTGAAAATCCTAGAATTAAGACTAAAAGTTGAAATTAAAAATTTAATGCATGAGTTTAATAGATTTGACAAAGAGGATTAGTGAAATGGAAGATAGGCAATTAGATAGTATCCAAACTGAAGCATTAAGAGATAAATTAATACAAACTAGACAAAATAGTATGAAACATGTAGAATACTTAAGTATTTGTAACTTCCAAGAAGGGAAGATATAGAAAGATCCAAAAATAATATTTGAACTGTTGAATGTTGATACTTTGGCGGCGCCAGTGGCTTATGTCTGTAATCCCAGCCCTTTGGGAGGCTGAGGCGGGTGGATCACCTGAGGTCAGGAGTTTGAGACCAGCCTGGCCAACATGGTGAAACCCCATCTCTACTAAAAATACAAAAATGAGCCGGACATGGTGGCGGGCAACTGTAGTCCCAGCTACTCAGGAGGCTGAGGCAGAAGAATTGCTTGAACCCGGGAGATGGAGGTTGCAGTGAGCCGGGATTGCACCACTGCACTCCAGCCTGGGCGAAAGAGTGAGTACTCCGTCTCAAAAAAAAAAAAAAAAAAAGTTAATACTTTATACTTTATCAAAACTGATGAAGGATATCAGTGATAGACTTAAAAGTTTTATAAAACACAAGGAGAATAAATAAGAAAAACACACCTTATTGCATTATAGAAAAACCAATCCTGATTTGAAATCAAGAGAAGGAAAAAAATCTTAAAAGTTCCTGAAAATGACAGTTAATTTTTAATAGAAATGGCAAAATAATAAAACAAAATAATGATTTCTTTGAAGGGCAAATAAATAAATAAATATGTAAATGAAAGAATAGATGACCAAGAATTCCATAAGCAGCAAAAATATACTTCAAAAGAGAAGGTAAAGTAAGGATTATTTAAATTAACAGAATTTTCACTAACAGGTTTACTCTTACATACACATATATGAGTCATATAAGAAGAAAAATGATCCTAAATGGAAACAGTAAAGAATTAAGCATAAAGTATTAGATATAAAGAATTAAATACAATGTATACAGAATTAAGAATATCAGAAAAATAAACATGAGTTATTTAAATGTATATCCACCGTTTAAATATTAATAATGATGTATTAAAAGCATATATATAATGCCTTAAATTCTACATATAAATAATTAAAAGATAAAAAGCATAAAGTCTGGGAAAAAAACAATGAACTAAAATATTTAAGGTAGTTTCACTTTCTATGAAGAAATATAAGGTAATAATAAGAATGCATGATATGATTTTCAAGTTACAGGAAATAAATGCTCACAGACATAAACCTAAATCTATCAGTAGTTACATTAAATCTAAATGACATAAATGTGTTCATTAAAAGACAAAAATTATAATATGGGATTAAAAAATTATTTAGAACCAATTATATATTTTTATAAAGAATTAATCTTAGCTGTAAAGACCAGAAAGATTCAAAATAAAAGGGCAGCAAAGTATATACCACACAAATACAAACTAAAATAAAGCTAATATTATCTATACTAATATTAGGAAATGCAGAATTTAATTCAAGAAAAATTACGAGAAACAAAGAGAAAAATTTAGTATGTTAAAACTGTGAACTCAACAGGCATATATAAAACCCCAAATGTATATGCAACTAGAACATAACCTCAAAAGATATAAACTGAAAACTGTCAGAATTAAAAGGAAAAGTAGTTAAGCCTACAATTAAAGTTTAAGAATTTAATATCATGGTAAAAGATAAAGTAAATAAGTGTTATAAAATATTTCAACAACGTGATTAAACAAATTTAAAAATAGGCATATAACAATGCTTTTAATAACTTATTGGTAAGTGAAAATTAGAAACAATGAATACTTTGAATATTTGAGTATTCAATTTTTTGAATAATAAAAATATAATGTAGATTGACTAAAAGCAGTAGTTAAAAAGAATAACTATAAAAGGATGACAAATTTATTATCTAAGCATAGAAATTAATAAAATGAAAAAAGTAGAAATTAAATAGAAAGAAGGAAAAATGGAATTAATAAAATAAAAACAAACACAATAGAGAAAATAGCCAAGAGTTATTTCCTTGAAAAAACAAATATAATTCATAAACATACAACAAGTCTCATTAAAAATAAAAAAGAGAAGACACAATTTACCAGTATCAGGAAGGATTAAAAAAAGAAATAAATAATATGGGCATGATAGATAATGAGTATAGTATAGTTTTATGAGAATAAATTAATAAAATTTATTAAATCTGGTATGAGAAAAATATTAAGTGTAAACTTGAATAATATTATTTCCACTAAATGAATTGAATCTAGAAAATTTTGTCATAAAGATAACTCCAGAGCCAGATAGCTTTGAAGTATTTAACAAAAATTTAATAGAAATCGTATCTATACCGGTGTGGTGGCTCCCACCTGTAACCCCAGCACTTTGGGAGTCTGAGGTGGGTGGATCACCAGAGGTCAGGAGTTTGAGACCACCCTGGCCAACATGGCGAAAACCTGTCTCTACTAAAAATACAAAAATTAGCCTGACGTGGTGGCAAGCAGCTGTAATCCCAGCTACTCTGGAGGCTGAGACAGGAGAATTACTTGAATCCAGGAGGTGGAGTTTGCAGTGAGCCAAGGTGTTGCCATTGCACTCCAGCCTTGGTGACAGAGTGAGACTCCACCTCAAAAAAAAAAAAAAAATCCGAATGATTTCAGAAAATAGAAAAAGAGAATAGGCTTCTCATTTTGTTTTATAGAGTTGGCAAATCTTAATTCCAATCCCTGAGATAGATATCAAAAGAAAATTATAGCATCTCTCATGAATATAGATACAAAAATCCTAAACTAATTATTATTATTTCTAATTCAACAATGTATAAAAAAGTATAAGTTGAAATTATTTCAAAAAGCAAGATTGATCTAACATTTGAAAAGGTATTGTAATTCATTACACTTAGAGACTAAAGGAAAATATCATATGGTCATCTAAATAGAGGAAGAAAAGACAGGGTAAAATTTAGCACTCATTAACAATAACTAGATATAAAGAAATTCTGAATCTGACAAGATTGGTCTATGCATAAAAATTGAACCATTAAACTATATTAATTGCTAAACTATTAAAATATTTTCTTTGAGATAGGGAACCAGACAATTCTTGTTATGACTTTTTCTACTCAACATTACATACAAGGTCTTATGGGAATAAGATAATAAAAGTATATACTTTTGAATAAAAGGTATAAAAATTGGAAGGAGAGAAACAATACTTTTATCATTTACAAATCCCATAATTATATACCTAAAAACATCCAACATAATATATTTTAAATTCTATTAGAATTAGTAAGTTAATTTATCATTACATTAAAAGGTCCAAACACAAACACCAACTTTTCCCGTATATATTAGGAATATTTTGATAATTACATTTAAATGTGATAAAATTTAGATTAGCCTTAAAAACATTATCTAATCGACTATCTAATCATGCTTTTAATGAAAGGAATGTGACACCTCAATATGGACAATGCTAAAAGACTGAGAGAAATTAATAAAGAACTAAATAAACTTCCAAGAGGAATATTCATGGATTGAAGACTCACAATTGTAACGATATTAATCTTTATCAAGTTAATTGATTTAATGCAATCCAGTCAAAGCACTGCTAAGTGTGTATGTGTGTGTTTGTTTTCTAAAGACCACAAATATTAATTACGAAAGACCAGATGTTCATGGTCATCCTTATTGTTTTACACTGATAGCTTTTGCTAGGACATTATTATTCTACGCTATAGTAATGTGCCAGTTATCCTAATGTTAATGAGGTCTTTGTAACTTTTAGGAAAACATTTGAAAATAATGAGAGTAGCAAAATTTGGAGACTATGTATTGTCTAAATTTCCTTAATCTGCCATGGACTTTTCTTTTTTGCAAATCATTTCTATTTATTTCTTTTTAAAAAGCATTTGGAACTTATAAGATTTGAAACCGAAAGACCCTTTTTTGTTACAGTATTTTATATAATGTTTGCTAATTATATTAGTTTGCTGCACGTATTATTTATTATATTTGTATTTACGTATCAGATTAGCTTTTTTTTAAAAGAAAGAATGGACTTTGTGATCCTTGAATCAGGAAAATGTTTCAATTATCTAATCAATCTAAGGTATCAATGTTTCTGATGCTACTTTTGAGGTATTTATGGGATGTGTCCCATTTTAGGTGGGAGTTTTTCTACTGTTTGTCTTATACCCTGCTCCAACTTGATACAGGAAGGCTTTTTATGTGAAGCATATAAATACAATATATGGTAAAGAGTGTGTGAGGAAAAAAAAATTAAAGACACTATAGTCAACAAAGCCCTACTTAGGCAAAACGTGCACACACACATACACACACCCCTACACACATGCACTTTAATCACTTCTAGGGAGTACAATACTTTGCCATTTCAACTCAAATGTTTCTTTTAAAAAGTCCCTCTCAATTCTAGGCTCTCATACATGGTTTCAAGGAAAATCCAGCCTCCCAATATGATTAGATCTTAAAAACCATTTGAATCTAAACAGCAATGCAAGAGAAAGATTCATGAGCAGTATCATTAGATTTACTCCATTGTGTACCCCTGGTGTCTTTCCAATCTATTTCCTTTAACTCACAGTGTTTTGCTTTCCCAGCTGGAAATTTAGTGTATCTGCTTTCATCACAGCTGGTTTCTTCTACAGCAGGGTTTCTCTACCTCGATACCATTGATGTTTGCAACAGGGTAGTCACTTGCTGTGAGAAGCTGTCCTGTACACTTCAGGGTCCCCAACCCCTGGGCTGCAGACCGGTAGGTCTGTGGTCTTTTGGGAATCACACTACACAACAGAAGGCAAGCTGGCAGTGAGCGGGCATTACCGCCTGAGCTCCCCCTCTTGTCAGATCAGCAGGAGCATTAGATTCTTACAGGAGCATGAACCCTATTGTGAACTGTGCATGTGAGGGATATAGGTTGTTGCATGCTCCTTAGGAGACTAATGCCTGATGATCTGAAGTGGAACAGTTTCATCCCCAACCCCACCCACGGAACAACTCCCTTCCACAAAACCGGTCTGTGGTGTCAAAAAGGTTGGGGACTGCTGCTGTACACTTTAGAATGCTTAGCAGCATTTCTGGTCCTCAAACTACTGTATGCCAGTATCCTCATCACCCCCAGTTGTGACAATCAAAAATGTTTCCAGACATCGCCAAATGTCCTGGTAGGGGGTGGGGAGGAACCATTCCCTGTTGAAAACTATAGTTCAGCAGGATGAAAACAAACTACAGAAATACAGAGGCAGAAGAAAGAGCATGTTTCCCATCAGTGTATTTTAAGATGTTTTAAGCTTCTCAGGAGGATCTTTAGATAATTTGGACAGTTTTCCTGTATAAGAGTGGTGGAAACTGCAGCAATGCAGCATTTCGGACCTGATCTCTCGCCATTGGCTTCACTCTACCTTGCTCTTCACGTGGAGGTCAGCTAGTAATAATTTCAGTTTCTTTTGGATCTCGGTCAGAGCATCAATTTTCTGCTCCAAAATGGACAAAGACCGGGCAATGCAAAAATCAATATCATGGTGTACTCCACCAGCTCTCTCCTGGATGTTTTCCAGCCATTGGCTAGATCCCTTCCCTGAAATTGTGGTATCCTTCCCTAACAGAGTGGGTAATGTTTCAACCTCTTCAATCTCTTTCTGCTCCTCACTCTGTACATAAGGTATTTTAATAAATTCATCCCTCTGAAGGGACATTTCTGAATTTCCGATGTGACTTTTTAACATCCTTGGTGCCTCATGTCCAATCGGATAGTGGCCACGATGGTAGGGCCTTACATCTACATTTAATTTTTTTACTCTGTTTGCATATCTTAAAGTGTTGAGAGTGTTTTCACAAGAGGTCATCCCCGGAGAGATGGTAGCAATCATGCAAGTGGAGGAGTTCTGGCCTATAAAGGAGTCCCGGAGCACCAGTGTGAGTTTGCTGGCTCTGAATGGGGTGTGAGGCTTGTTCTGACCCAAAGCCAGAATACATTCTTTGAGGGCTAGAAGACTCTTGTTAATCTCTGCCCCTTCCAGCTGCCTTTTCCGGCTGGCCTTGGTTGTATCTGCTCCTCTTTCATTCCCAGCTAAATCAACGAGGGAAAACTTGCCATGCATTATCCGTCCTGACTTCAGGATGATCTGGAACACTGCATGGCTCCTGGATGAGTGAGCGTTGACAGGTGTTTGCCTGGAAGTCCGACAGCTATTCCCTATTTCCACCAGGTTCAGCACTTCCTCCACACAACACACCTCTTTCTCCTGCAGCCCGACCACTTGGATTTGCTGATTGCCATCCTCAAGGACTTGCAGCTTCTTCTTCCAGTTCAACAAATCATACACCTTGCCCCCATAAATCTCAAAAAATGTCCCATAGACTTTGAGGTCCAGCTTCTCATATGTGGAGTTTCTGAGCAGGAGAAAGACATCCTGTGCCACCAGAGCATAAATGCCCTTAGAACAATCTTGGGCCGTTCCTGAAAAGTCTCCACCCATGGTGTACGTCTTCCCACTTCCCGTCTGCCCATAGGCAAAGCAGGTGGCCATGCCCTTGCGGAAGATGGACTCCACCAGTGGCTGGGCGGTGAACTGGTACACCAACTCGTTGGAGGCTTTGTCATCGAAGGCATGGTCGAAGCAGAAGGTCTGGTTCTGCAGGTAGCGAGTGAGGTCCACCTTTTGCTTGGACTCATGCACCATAACCACATTGTCCGAGGGGACGGTGATGATATCCAGGTCCTTTAAGGTTGTCTCTCGCTGGTTGAGAGGCCGCTTCCTCACGCAGACGCAGATGCGATGTTCTTGCGGGGGCTCCAGGACTGAGATCTTGCTGCTGTCCAGGTGCCTGCGATACTCTTCGATCATGTGCATGATTTCGTAGTTGGGGTTTCTGGTATTGACATCGAGGGCGCGTCTAGCTCGGATCTCCTGCTGCAGCCGCCTGCGCTTTTCCCGCTGCTCCTGCAGTTTCTGGATTTCCCAGAGGCAGGGAGACTTTTTCTGCTTCATCAGACAAGGTTTGCTGGGGACCCTCACATCCAGGCTGTCCCCTGAGGCTGTTTGGTTTTTCTGGGGGATCATCGCAACCCATTTCGTGGCGGTACGCTGGTCCCTGATGGCCGAAGAGGGCGCCAGAGCCAAGGGGGATAAGGGCGGGGGCGGCATGGGGTGTTCAGCAGAGTCCAGAGCTGGATTCAGCAGGAGTATGGTCTCCAGGTCAATCTTCTTGCCTTTTTTGACTGCTTTCTCCACCCACTCTACCGTGACCCAATAGTTTTCTCTGTTGATCTCCGTGACCACAGCGAGGTGGATCCGCTTGTCACTGCGCTGGATCGCCACGTAGATGCCCTCTTGGATGTCTCCGAAATGTGGCTTCAAGGGTTTCAGGGGCGAGAGACATGGGGATTCAGGGAGGCAGAACTGGCTGGCCATGGTGAGTGATGGAGGTATCAGGGAGCGCTCCAGGGCCCTTGGGGTTGGAGCAGCAGGACCCAAGCCAGCCTGAAGCGCCCGGAGCACTGAGCAGGGTTGCAGTCTGTGCCTGCCTTTGTGAGCCTAGCGCGCCGGGGCCCGGACTGGGGCCACTACGTCACAAAGGGATGAGATGAGGCGGCAGAACCTAGGGCTTAGGAGTGAATGGTACGGGAGCACAAAGGGATGGAGAGATTGTTCTCTGCCAGTGAGGGTGAAGGGGTTGGAGGAGGATGTGGCGTGCTCTCCGGATCATGGCGAGAAAGAACAGGTAACAGAGAAGCAACGGGAACCATGGCGTTGAAATTTAATTTATATGTCCCGTGTACATTTATGCCTAAGCATAAAAGGAGGCCTTGGCTGGCAGTCTCAAAGCTCAGTGCTTTAATTTGAGAATTGCTATGAAGTTTCCTTAAACTTTAACTCTCCAGTGATCAGTGGGAATAGATGAAGGTAGAGCTATTTGCAAATCTCAGGACTCGATATTCAACAGGATCCCAGAAAGGCTCCTCAAACCCGCCATCTTTGTTTTTTCACCTCCTTCAAAACGTGTAACTTGTTTAAGAGTCACAACTTAAAGTTATTACAGTTTAATCGGCTTTCTCATTACAAAATCAAAATGAGTAGAATGTAGCAGGTCGTTGTGGTAATTTGCTAATATGAAACTACCTTTCGTACAGCACCTGGGTTTGCAAACACAACATGTGTATCACATTCCAAGTGGCTCTGACAGCTATAAAGTGAGTTTTGTTGTGCTGTGGTCACCACCATTTTTGAGATTAGTTCAGTAATTACCTTTCCAAACTCCTTCAGTAATTACACTTCTGGCCTCATTATCCATAATTGGGAGAGAAAGAAAAGGCATTGTGTGGAAAGAGATAATTAATCTTATACTCCCCCCACCCCTGCAGTACTTGTGTGTGTCCTTTAGAAGTTGTTAAGCAAGGCTGGAAGGCAGCTAAGACCATCGGATGCAAAAATATATTTTGCCAAGATTGCAATATTTTCATGCATAAGAATTAGCTTATAAAATAAATGACATTGACTTTTAGACAGGCCAAGCTCAGAGTAAGGGTGATGCCTTACGTTCAGCTCACTAGCAACACCCGTGCATGTTGTCTTTTGGACTGTTGAATTTTATCATAATTATAGCTCCAAAGTAACATGAAGTAGCAAGTTACAACCTTCCCTAGGAATAAGGGCCTCTATAGAAATAAATTCTACTATAAACTAACTTTTCTGTTCAGTCAGTCTAGTAAAGCTTAGATTTTGAAAAGAAGGTGGAAGGAGGATACTGGATAAATTAGATAAGTAAGCAGTGCTCATTTCAAGAGGAGGTTGTATGCAGGTGGAGGGAGAGGAGAAAGGGCTTTAGGCAATTGTCTTCTAAAAAATATCATGTTTTATTTCCCCAAATTATCAATACTTAAAGTTGTGCTTTAAATCAGTTGTTCTTTCTTGGTTTCAAGGCCATGATGTAGATATTCTTAATACACTGTATTTGTCATTAGCACTCTGTCATTCAAGTTGGAGTACAGTGGCCTGATCATAGCTCACTGCCACCTCATACTCCTAGGTTAAAGCCATCCTACCATCTCAGCTTCCTGAGTAGCTGGAATTACAGGCATGTGTCAGGATGCTTTGCTATTTTCTTTCTTTGTTTCTTTCTTTTTTTTTTTTTTCTTTTTTTTTTTTTTGCTAGGGATGAGGTCTCGCTGTGTTGCACAGAGACTGGTCTCAAACTCCTGACCTCAAGGGAGTCTCCCTTCTCACCCTCCCAAAGTGATAGAAATATAGGCTTGAGCCACTGAGCCCACATAATAGTTTGTTTTGCTTTGTTTTTTTAACCGTTACCTTTGAAAAAGCTGGGTCTCTCTCAAAATTATGAAAACTCTAGACCCTCCAGGCTAGCCATAGGGTTTTCATCTTAGCTAGTAATGTTTTAGACAGACAATGGATGAGCAGATCCATGATAATAGTGCCAAAATCAGAGAGAAAAGTTTCCTTTTACTCCCTCTTTCTCTCCAACATGTTCATACAGGTTTTCATAGCAATTTCAGGACTTTTTTTCAGTTCTTTTCTCTTTTATATAGTTTCCCTAGTATATTGCATTTGTTCCTACAGTTTAATTTTATATAAAGCTGGCTAGATAGATTGTTGATAACCAGAATTATGAGTCCTAAACTTGTAGTCACCTGCAGGAACTAAAAAGTTAACAAATCCAAAACTGATTCTGTTATTTTCTTACTGAAAATGGCAGGTCTTTGTTATTTTTAATTGCTTTTAGTAACTTCAACATTTACTCATCTTTAAAATCCTGACACAGATCTTTGTGTTCTTCCCCTTTCAGCCCATCCTAACTTAGGTAGTCCTTTCCCAGTCTCTAGAAGTCTTCCATAACCATGATATCATTTAATCTCCCAACCAATTATGAGCTTGTTTTCTTTTTTCTTTTTTTTTTTTTTTTTGCAACCTCATCCAGTCAGGGACTTAGTCTATTTCTCACACTGCTCCTAGAGTTATTTTAACAGGTTCTTCCTTATTAATTCACTGCTTTTAAGCATTTGTTAGCTCCTCATCATCCTAATGATATGGTATAAATTCCATATGAAGACTTAAGGCACATCATCATCTTGCCTGCTTTGTCATCCTCAAGATTTCCCACTATCCATACTTAATCTAAAATTGAGCCATGTGGAAGAAATTGCAGCCCTTCAAACACACCATTTTCTTTCAAATTTCAAATTGCTAGTCCGGTGGTTCTCAATATTAAGATATGTGAAAATCAACTGCAGGGCTTGTTAAAACACAGGCTACTAGGCTCCATGCCAGAGTTGTTGATTCAGTAAGTCTGAAGTGGGGCTGAAAATTCTCATGTTTAACAAGTTCCCAGGCAATGTTGGTGCTGCTGGGTGCAGGGACAACATTTTGAGAATTACTAGTACAGCCCTCTGACAATAATCCTTCCTTGTCTTCATGGTTTTCCTGAGCTCTTCAATACCTACCTCAAACATCACTACCCTGGACAGGTTTCTCTGACCTTCTTGACAATAGCCAGGCAAAATAGCATTAGATAAAGACACCCCTTCTGAAGAAATGGTGTCTATTACTGGTCGAATTTGGCTAGTCAAGGGAACCCAAAGCCTAATTTTTAGTAGTACATTAAAAAAAATTCTCATTGGTGAAAAATAACAGTAACCTGTTTATAGAGAGCTGATTGGGTGCTTTTACAATTCCAATAGTCTGGAACTTCTTTGGAGCAATCCCTTTTTATATTTGCTGATATAAAATTCACAATTCAGAAACCATCTGCCTAACTCTCTCATTTAATGGAATTTATTCTGCCAGACTAGTCCATCTTAAAACCAAAAACCACTGTGAACCTTGAGTAATGAGATAAATACAGCATTTGTCAAAACAAGAAGGCCCTAGATGCAAGATATCAGCCTTGGCCATGCCCTGAATAGCTTTTGGTAGATGAGCAGTTTCTCCAGATTAGAGACCAAAGCCACCCCTATATTTTTAACTGAATAGAACCAAGCAGTACATGCTCACTTTGTGCTATTTCTTATGTCAAAGAAATCCTTCAAGGAACTTACCATTTACACATTTTGTTCTGTGAACCTACTAAAAAAGCTCATGCCTTGACAAACCGTTGAGTGATAGATTCTCTTTATTTTAAGTCTCCTTTTTTCAAAAGCCTAATAAGTGTCAGGTGTAGCCCCACAAGAGTGGGTAGGGTGGGTGGAAGTAAGCGCAGGAAATGAGCTTTGTAATTTTCATTTATTAATTACAGATATATTCCCAGTTTGGGGCTTGTCAAAGTTGATTTATACAAGAGAATGTGATTTCTAGTCTCATTTTAGATACAGATCTCCCAGGAGATATGCATCACATACGTGCCTTTCTAACACTGTTTTAACAGACATCTAGCAGCTGTTGGACCTGTCTGATCACCCTGGGGGGCTGTACTTTTCCAGTATGGGGATACAAACTGAGGTTGATTTAGTTATTCAGAGGAGTTCAATAGATTTTCCCAAATCTCTTTGAAGAAATGAAATGCATCATTTTCATTTATAAAGTTATTTTTTAAAGAGGAGAGAGGTATCTTACTAAGTTTATGCCTTTTTTAAAAAGAGGAAATTAACTTTTAGAATGAGAGTGGTATTTCACCATTACAGCTAGTGTCTCTGTCTCCTAACATTTCTACATTTTCCCAATGCTCTACCCTTAACCTATCCAGATAAGTCCATACTTCTCCAAACCTCACATTGATTTAATAGGCAAGAATTGTTTCTATGACAACAGTATTAACTCAGAGCCATCTTTCCCCTGCTTATTAAATGGGGTTGTCTACCTGGAGATATCTATAAGATTTCTATATATTTTTTAATTGTGGATATTCATCTATAAAGTTAGCCAAGATAACAAAGCTAAAAATTGTCCCTCTGTCACTTTAAATCCATTTGTGTTGACCATCTTTTAGCTTTCAACTCTATTTAGCATGCTGAGTGGAGAGGCTGGGTTTCACTTCCATTTTATGTTAGTGTTGTTTGCTTGTAATTCACACTAAAGCTAGGAGTTCAGTGTTCAAGCTAGTGTTGTTTGCTTCTAATTCACACTAAAGCTATAGCTCTTTAACTTGGAAGATGTGCTATATTTCTCATCTTCAAAGAATGTTCTTCAGATGATACGATTCAGAATATTTAATATAATTTGATATTGGAATAAATATGAAAAGTGATATAAAATACTTGTATTTGAGAAATGGTTGGAGGAATTTGGATATTTGTCCTAGAGAGTTTGAGAGACAGATCTTTCTATATACACTTACATGGCTACCTTATAGAAGAGGAATATAATTTGTTGTATTTGATTTAAGGTGTGTTGACATTCAAAAATTCAAGCGCTAGGCCCTCAAGACTCAACTCATCATCATTTTTCTTAGAAAGTACTCACAGATATTCATAGCTCCCTTTCCTCTACCTCAATCACAGATTAGTTAGTTTCCTTTATCTCAACTCCCACATTTATTCCATATTTTTGACATTGCACTTACGAATGTGTGTGAAAAGAATCTGCATCTTTCCAGGTTAAAAAAAAATAAGCTTTGAGAGAAGCAAAGAGGATAACTTATTCATAGTTGTATTCCTTCTATCTGTCATGCAGACATTAAATATCCTAAAACTATAAAAACTAGCTTAATAATAGATGGATGTTTCCAACTTCAGATCAAACTAATAAGAACTTCAATCTAGTGTGCATTCAGTGAACCTTAATAACTATCTCCTAAATATAAAGGTCTATACTAAGTGGTAGATTATGTAGTAGTACAGAAAACAGTCCTAACTTCTACCTTCACGGAGCCTACAGCATCATTTTTGGAAACAGATACTGACAGATATAGATATAGATAGATATAGATACACACACATATATTCACACACACTTATACACACACATGCACATACATACATACAGATAGATACAGATATATAGATGTCATTCTAATAACTACAACAGTTTTTGAGAGTCAGGGTTCTATCCCATGTATATTAAAACAGAAACTAAATGACAGCTTGTAGGGAAAGGTAGTGCAGAACACATTTCCATATCAGACCCAGGAGTTGGGCTAGATTTGAATTCTCAAACCAGGCTACATATCAAAATCACCTGGGAAGCTTTTACAAAGTACAGATTGCCTGGCTCCACTCAGACCTACTGAATTAATCTCCAGGGGCCAGAACCTGGGAATCCATTTTGCTAAAATCACACCCCAGGTTATTCTTATGTTACTGTGAAGCCTGAAAGCATAGGGCTGGACGCCCTCTAGGTCTCTTTCTACTCAGAGATTTTATGATCCTGTGGTTCCGTGAATAAAAAGATGATCCTTTGATACACCTGTGGCCTTTGAAATTTATTTTATTTTCATAAGCTGAACGTTTAAAGATACTCCTGATTTCACAAATGAGACACAATGCAGTTTTACTGGGAAAGCTACTTTTAGGTTTCTGAAGAAGATTTGCTACAAAATATAACATTTGGTATTATTGTCTAACAACATAGAGTAAAATTGCGTAAAATCAAGACCTCATGTCATTAAAGATGTGCAAGCATGAGAGCGTACCATTTATATTTCCTATGGTGCTTCAGGATATCATTTTGCACATAGTAGATATTTAATAAATGTTTGCTATACCAAATATTGGATAGCTTCAGATATGATATTTCAGACTGCTCATCTTTTTGGCTGGTCTTGCCTGTTTGTTAAGTGTAGAAGATGAAAGTTATACCAAGAATAAAAACCCTTAACTTTATGTCTCAGTGTGATCTCTATAGGTAATGTTATAAGTGCTGTTTATCATTGTCAGAGCCTGATACCTGCCTGTCTTGAGAAACATATATTTACCATTTTGCAATAACTTTTAAATTCTTACCTGGAAACAGAAAGCAAGAAGACTAAAGTTCTAAGAAATAGGACATGATATCAAAATAACCAGTCGATCCTGGGAAAAAGAAAATCCATTAAATGGTTGATTTAACGGAAATAACAAGTTGACTATTTTTATTTCAACTACACGTACCTAGTGTTGTGCAAGCTGCTAGGATTAAGGAATTATTGAAAAAACACCAGATATAACCATTTAGTGTTAGTGAATAAATATTTGGTTTGGTGAATACATGATATTGCTGAAATAGCAAACTCTGGGTAAAGATATATACTAAAATCAGCATTTAGCAATTGCTTGTTAAGTAAACGAGTGAATGGATAAATAAATATATAATAAGATGGTTGTCAAACCTCAACAAACATGGATTTTTCAGTCAGACTGAATGAAAAATGCAATTCAAATTATTTTTTAAATGTACTTTAAAAAATCTCCAATGGCTTCTCATTTCACTGCTTAAACACTCAACTTACCTTCATGACATCCAAGACCTTGCATAATTCACTCTTGCCAGTCCTCCCTATTATTTAGTATCACTCTTCTCCCTTTTTAAAAAACATATTTCAGTCACACCAGTCATCTCTCAGTTCTTTGATGCACCCAGCTATTTCCTGACTCAGGGTTTTCACATACCCTGCTTTTCTTGGGACTGGCTCCTTGTCATTCTGGTCTTTCATTTAATAGCTGTGTGCTTTCGTCACTTCTTGGGTTTGAATCTTGATCCCACTGTTTCCTAGTTCTGTGACCTTGAATAAGTTATTCAATCTCTCTGAGCTTCATGGTTTCTTTTTAAATATATAAAAGCTACCAGTCATATCCACCTCATAAGGATGCTATAAGGAATGTGTACAAAATTGATGGAAAATGCTTAGAACAGTGTGTTACACAGAGTAAGCACGTAGTACATGTTGCTTATTATTTTCATACTTTATAATTACTACATTTATTTGCTTATTTTGGGGGGTGGGGGGGATACAGTCTCACTCTGTCGCCCAGGCTGGAATGCAGCGGCAGCATCTCAGCCCACTGCAACCTCCACCTCCTGGGTTCAAGCAATTCTCCTGCCTCAGTCTCTGGAGTAGCTGGGATTACATGCCCGCACCACCATGCCCAGCTAATTTTTGTATTTTTAGTAGAGATGGGGTTTCACCATATTGGCCAGGTTGGTCTTGAACTCCTGACCTCATGATCCACCCACCTCTGTCTCCCAAAGTGCTGGGATTACAGGCATGAGCCACCGTGCCCGGCCTTTTTTATTTTCTAATCTGTTTCTCTGAATAGACTGTCTCTGCAAAGAGAGAAGAGGACCACCATGCCACACACCTTTAATATAAAGAGCACCAGACCCAGAGTAAGGACACGTAGGTTTGTCAGCTCAGGAATTGATTCTTACTTTACCTTGAAGAAGCGGCATCATGTGTTTTCTGAAATTCCATTTTCTCATCTGCAAAAAGAAAAAAAAGAGACCAAATCTTCCATTTTTTCTCTGGTTTTTAAATAAGGATGAGTCTAATTTGCAAACTATTAAGTACCATTTCAAAGGTAATATGATTATTTCAACTTTGTAAAAGATTCTTGAAAATGCGGTTTTGGCTGGGCCCAGTGGCTCACGCCTGTGATCCCAGCACTTTGGGAGGCCGAGGTGGGCGGATCACCTGAGGTTGCGAGTTCAAGACCAGCCTGACCAACAAGGGGAAACCCCTTGTCTACTATAAATAGATAATAAATAAAATAAAAATTAGCTGGACGTGGTGGTGGGCACCTGTAATCCCAGCTACTCAGGAGGCTGAGGCAGGAGAATTGCTTGAACCTGGGAGGCGGAAGTTGCGGTGAGCCGAGATCACACCATATACACTCACAAGTTTAAAGGATATGTGGAGGATGAATTTATGGTGTGATGAGATAAAGCCCTTCTAAAAAGAAATAATTTGGCTCTCACTCTGGATTTTGGTCTCTTTTTCCATTTTTATTTCTCCAATGTAAGAGTGATGGACTTCTTTATAAGGTATTTAATTCTCTAATCTGAATAAAAACTTTTGTATCCAAAATTGAATTTTTATCCAGATTTGATTGAGTATGGATGTATGTGACTGTATACAATCAACTATTTTTGTAGTTTTCTTTTATTTTCCTTAGCACGATAAATGGTCAAAACAATTGGAGAATCATAATAAATGACTTGTTAAATATTTCCAGGAAGTTCTGATTTTTATTTCATTGAAAATTTATCTTCTGGGAAAGAGAATATTAGAAGGTGGGAAATTATGTTGAATGGCAGGAAGTTGTCCTAGAATATATCTGTATTGTAATTGGGACCTTTGATCGGGGCCTTGCTTCCTATTTCATCAGCCATTGGACATAATATTTTATAAAACAAAACTATCCCAAGTAAGATGAGAGAAAACATTCTCACTTTTATCGGGCATTACCCTGAGTTATAATTATCAGTCTCCTTAATTACATGGATAGATTTTTATCAAGCCAATAAAAATTATTCATTATAATCACTTAGCAAAAACTGTAAGTACTATATTATCTATTTGATAATTTAATGGGGTATAATCAATCTTTGTGAGAAAAATTTTTAAATATTACCCAGAGAAAAACTGAATTTAACATTACTCCTACTAATTTTTAATTATGCACCGATCTTATTAATGGAGATTACAGAATTTAGTATTAATTTCAATCTGTGAGCTGATAACACTATAAAAGTTCGGTACATGTGTAACTATATCTCTGTTGTTGACAAAGTACTTATATATACCACATAATTTTTGATCCTCTAGCAACCTATTTAAGTTAAACAGGGTAGATATTATTTATCACATCTTATTAATAAGAAAGCTGGAACTTAGATAAAACCTTTATGGATTGGCCTTTCTGAAAGTTATTTGAATTGAGATAAGGGCACAGATATAGAGAGTAAGTTTAGGATTTTTTTCCAGCAAATCACAGAATACAATTAAAAAACCTACAAGGATTGTAGTTCCCAAATATGAGCCTTAGGGAATTTACTAACTCTCTTATTCTCAGATGTTTTATTTTGTTTTGTTTTGTTTTTTGGTATGTAAATGTGGGTGGTAGCATTGTGGTGAGGACAGTGAAAGATGATGTTACACACAGGTATGTATGTATGTATGTATTTATGTTCCTGTAGGTTTGTATGTTCTGAAGGACACATAATGATTGCTATTTCTCATAATAGAATCACAAAATTTTAGATTTGAGAGGACGTAATGATTAAAAATTTTCTTTGCTTTATCCTGATTTTTGAATATTCTTCAGACAAATAGCCAGTCAGACTTTTGGGATTTAACTGAAAACAGATGGGTTTTGAGACCCTGCCCCGCCAGTGGAACTAAAGAGCTATCATGTATTTAACAGTCATTGAGCACTTATTATATGCCAGGCACCACACTAGACATACCATTAATGTTATAATTTTGCATGTTGCATGCACTTTTCCCTGAAAAAGTGTTTATGTAAAATATATTAAAATTCATGTAGATATAAATTTAAAACTAGGTATCTGGTTGGGAAATGTGTGTACATATAAAGGACAATGACCAGATCTGTTACTTTAGTGATTAGTTTGAAAGATTCCTATGATAAGAACTTTTCTTAGGCTGGGAGAATGATGACCATTTTAATTTACATCTGTATTTGGTAAAATGTTGAGTGGTGAAACTAGGACCAGGATTTACATTATAGTAGCTTTGGAAAGGCGAAAAGAACCAGAACCACAGAGAGAGGAAGAGTAAGAGAGAGAGAGAGAGAGAAAGAGAGAGACATCTACTAGGTTGCTGCAAAAGTAATTGCAGTTTTTTGCTGTATATATATATATATATATATATACACACACATACACACACACATATATAAATATATACAAAATATATATATACACATAGAAATCTATATGTATATATCCTGAGACTTTGCTGAAGTTGCTTATCAGCTTAAGGAGATTTTGGGCTGAGACAGTGGGGTTTTCTAGATATACAATCTTGTCGTCTGCAAACAGGGACAATTTGACTTCCTCTTTTCCTAATTGAATACCCTTTATTTGCTTCTCCTGCCTAATTGCCCTGGCCAGAACTTCCAACACTATGTTGAATAGGAGTGGTGAGAGAGGGCATCCCTGTCTTGTGCCAGTTTTCAAAGGGAATGCTTCCAGTTTTTGCCCATTCAGTATGATATTGGCTGTGGATTTGTCATAGATAGCTCTTATTATTTTGAGATACGTCCCATCAATACCTAATTTCTTGAGAGTTTTTATCATGAAGGGTTGTTGAATTTTGTCAAAGGCCTTTTCTGCACCTATTGAGATAATCATGTGGTTTTTGTCTTTGGTTCTGTTTATATGCTGGATTACATTTATTGATTTGCATATATTGAACCAGCCTTGCATCCCAGGGATGTAGCCCACTTGATCATGGTGGATAAGCTTTTTGATGTGCTGCTGGATTCGGTTTGCCAGTATTTTATTGAGGATTTTTGCATCAATGTTCATCAAGGATATTGGTCTACAATTCTCTTTTTTGGTTGTGTCTCTGCCCGGCTTTGGTATCAGGATGATGCTGGCCTCATAAAATGAGTTAGGGAGGATTCCCTCTTTTTCTATTGATTGGAATAGTTTCAGAAGGAATGGTACCAGTTCCTCCTTGTACCGCTGGTAGAATTCGGCTGTGAATCCATCTGGTCCTGGACTCTTTTTGGTTGGTAAGCTATTGATTATTGCCACAATTTCAGCTCCTGTTATTGGTCTATTCAGAGATTCAACTTCTTCCTGGTTTAGTCTTGGGAGAGTGTATGTGTCGAGCAATTCATCCATTTCTTCTAGATTTTCTAGTTTATTTGCATAGAGGAGTTTGTAGTATTCTCTGATGGTAGTTTGTATTTCTGTGGGATCAGTGGTGATATCCCCTTTATCATTTTTTATTGCATCTATTTGAGTCTTCTCTCTTTTTTTCTTTATTAGTCTTGTTAGCGGTCTATCAATTTTGTTGATCCTTTCAAAAAACCAGCTCCTGGATTCATTGATTTTTTGAAGGGTTTTTTGTGTCTCTATTTCCTTCAGTTCTGCTCTGATTTTAGTTATTTCTTGCCTTCTGCTAGCTTTTGAATGTGTTTGCTCATGCTTTTCTAGTTCTTTTAATTGTGATGTTAGGGTGTCAATTTTGGATCTTTCCTGCTTTCTCTTGTGGGCATTTAGTGCTATAAATTTCCCTCTACACACTGCTTTGAATGTGTCCCAGAGATTCTGGTATGTTGTGTCTTTGTTCTCGTTGGTTTCAAAGAACATCTTTATTTCTGCCTTCATTTCGTTATGTACCCAGTAGTCATTCAGGAGCAGGTTGTTCAGTTTCCATGTAGTTGAGTGGTTTTGAGTGAGTTTCTTAATCCTGAGTTCTAGTTTGATTGCACTGTGGTCTGAGAGACAGTTTGTTATAATTTCCGATCTTTTACATTTGCTGAGGACAGCTTTCAATGTACAAAAATCACAAGCATTCTTATACACCAATAACAGACAAACAGAGAGCCAAATCATGAGTGAACTCC